>NC_000003.12:73760000-75010000 GCF_000001405.40 Homo sapiens
CAGAGCTTACTGGAATCACGTGCAAAATGAACAAAATCGGTGCCTACAGCTACCTGCCTCCAACTTTCCATTTCAGACTTCTTGTTGGGAGTATAAGCTGTTATGGGAGGTAGGGGTGGGGAACTAATATATATTAGGTACTGTGATCAAGCACTCTACAGTGTTGCTACTCAAAGCATGGTCCAGAAACCAGCATTATTGGCACATTTGCAAGCCTGTTAGAAATGCACACTTTCAGATCCCACCCAAACCCTACTGAATTAGAATCTGTAGGTTCACAAGACTCCCAGGAAAATTCTCATGTATATGAATGTTTGAGAAGCACTGTTGATATGGTTTGGCTCTGAGTCCCTATACCTCCATGGGTTCAGCAACCTGAAATCTCCATTTCAGGTTGAATTGCAATCCCCATAATCTCCACATGTCAAGGGAGGGACCTGGTGGGAGGTTTTTGGATCATGGGGGTGGTTTTCCTCATGCTTTTCTTGTGATAGTGAGTTCCTATGAGATCTGATGGTTTTATAAGTGTTTGGAGGTGCCTGCGTCCCCTTTCACCATGATTGTAAGTTTTCTGAGGCCTCCCCAGCCATGCAGAACTGTGAGTCAATTAAACCTCTTTTCTATATAAATTACCTAGTCTTGGGCAGTTCTTTATAGCAGTGTGAGGATGGACTAATACAACTGCTCTGCAAGGCATTATTATTATTTGAGACAGTGTCTCACTCTATTGCCCAGGCTAGAGTGCAGTGGCATGATCTTGGCTCACTGCAGCCTCGAACTCCTGGGCTCAGTTAATCTTCCCACTTCAGTCTCCTGAGTAGCTGAGAGTACAGGTGTGCACCACCATGCATGGCTATTTTTTTGTAGAGACAGGGTTTTGCCATGTTGCCCAGGATGGTCTTGAACTCTTGGGCTCAAGTGATCCTCCTGCCTTGGCCTCCCAAAGTGCTGGGATTACAGGCATGAGCCACTGTGACTAGCCTGCTAGGCATTTTATTTAGGCATTTAATACCCTTAGTGAACAGTATTCATGTCTTAAATGAGAAAACAAAAGCTCAGGGTGGTGAGTAACTTGGCCAACTTCTCAGCTAGTTAGTGCAAGGTTGGTATTTGAACCATTTGGCATCCGATTTTAAATCTTGTCTATTTTCTTCTCTATCACACTACCTTCATTTTTCCCTGATGCTTCATTGGGCCGTGGTAGTGTGCCCTGAAAATACATCTGCACATGCTGGAACAATAGCTATGTTTGGCTCTTTCTTTCCTCTCCTGTCTTTGACATAAATGGTAGAAAAATTGGTGTTTTCTTGCCCTTCTAAATCCTCTAAATTAAAGCTTATAAAGAATAACCTTGAATGCGTCTGGGCATGGTGGCTCACGCCTGTAATCCCAGCACTTTGGGAGGCCGAGGAGGGTGGATCACGAGGTCAGGAGATTGAGACCATCCTGGCTAACACGGTGAAATCCCATCTCTACTAAAAATACAAAAAAATTAGCCGGGCGTGGTGGCGGGTGTCTATAGTGCCAGCTACTGGGGAGGCTAAGGCAGGAGAATGGCGTGATCCCAGGATGCGGAGCTTGCAGTGAGCCGAGATCACATCACTGCACTCCAGCCTGGGCAACAGAACGAGACTCCATCTCAAAAAAAAAAAAAAAAAAAAAAAAAGAATAACCTTGAATGCTTAATTCAGCCCCTAGCTGGGCATTATTTGATCTACACGATGTTGGCTCAGAAAATGTTTTAAAATTTCCCTACAATTTTAATTACTTGCCAACACATTTTAAAGCTTTTCATGAAAGTGTAATATGCATACAGAAATGTGCATACATAAGTGCCCCGTTCAATGAGTTTTCACAAAGTTAATACATCTGTGTAATTAGCACAAAGATCAAAACCCATTACTAGCACCCCAAAGTTCTATTTATACTTTTTATGTATGAGTAATCAATATTTTTACTTCTAATTGCACTGACTAGATTACTTGCCAACATTTAAAAACCAGAAGGTTTAATTTAAAAAAAACCTGAAATTTCTAGTTTCTCTTGAAAAATGGAAGCATCTAGTCACATTGGGCTCTTGTTCTCACAGGGTACCAATCAGCTGGAGATAAGGAGGGACTGCCCTCTTTAACTAGGCATACCCTTTCTAGTTTGCCACAGTCCCCACCACTCCCTGTTACACCCAACCCTCAGGCTTAGTGACAACTATCTTTAATCAATGCACTTCCAGTTAATAGAATAATTAAAATGAATTAAGACTTAAGTAAAACATTTCTTATACTTGCGTGCTTCACTCTTTTACATTATATGCCTGCCCTTCATGTACATTTGAGTTTGAGATCCCATCTCCAGGCCTGAGGATTCTCCATATAATTATCAACCTCAGAAAGTATCTCTGATAAAATATATGACAGAATACTCTCACACAACACTTTTGACACCAGATGTGTGTGTTTTTCCCACACTAACCATTCTCCAGTTCTTTGCAGACACCAGCTGGGGACTATCCTATAATTCAATTCAATTCTGACACTATCTACTTGGAGATAGCATCAGATTTCACGGGTTGAGGACTCAGCCTCACAAAATTGCCCCAACTTCAAACACCAGTCAAAAGCCCCAGGTTGTCACCTATGTTGCTGATCGAACACCTATAAATTGGAGGCTCCTACAACTCCTTCCTTGGGTTCGATCATTTGCTAGAATGGCTCATACAACTCAGGAAAACATTTACGTTTACTGTTTTATTATAAAGGATACAACTCAGGAATGATCAGATGGAAGAGATGTGTAGGGCAAAGTATGGGGCAAGGGGCATGGACTTTCCATGCCCTCTCTGTGTACATCCTTCTCCTAGCGCCTCCATGTGTTCAGCATCCTGAGAGCTCGCGAAATTTCATTGTTCAAGAATGTTTATGCAGCTATACCTCCAGCCCTGTCCTTCTCAGAGGTGAGTGGGTTGGGCGGAATGTTCGAGCCTTCTAATAACTTAGGCTTTCTGATGAGCAGCCCTATCCTGAGTCTCTCTAGGGGCCCTCCCCTAAGACACCTCATTAGCATAAACTCAGGTGTGGAAGGAAAGGGCCTGGTTATGAATAACAAAAGACATTCCAATCACTGGGGAAATTCCAATGGTTTTAGGTATTCTGCACCAGGACAAAGAGTAGGGGACAAAGACCTAATGTATTTCTTATTATGCCATAGTATAGTATCTCAAATATTTCTTAAGAACAGAAGTTATAATGATCCTTACCCTCATAATTTGGCTTTTCGGATGCTAAGTAAGTGGTTATACATACTTGCTAAAGTTAATTCAAAGAGAAGTAGATTCAACTTCTTAATAGGCTTTTTTCTTTTCCTCAGTGTTTTAGTCTATTTTGTGCTATTATAACAGAATTCCTGAGACCGGGTAATTTATGATGAACAGAAAGTTGCTTCTTAAAGTTCTGGAGGCTGGGAAGTCTAAGACTAAGGGGTGGACATCTGGCAACAGCCTTCTTTCTATGTCATTCCATAGTGGAAGGGCAAAGAGAGAGAGAGAAAGAGAAGGGAGCCAAAGTCATTCTTTATAAGGAACCCATTCCCCCCATAGCAAATCCACTCCCGCCATAACAACATTAATCCATTCATGCGGGCAGAGCCCTCATGACCTCATCACCTCTTATTAGACCCCATCCCCCAACAGTGTTGCATTGGGGATTACATTTCCAACACATGCTTTTTAGGGGACACAGTCAAACCGTGAATAGCTAGTACTCATAGCTAGGTGTTTTTGTAGGGAGTTTGGGAGTGGTACAAGCAAACACAGGGAGAAAGCTTGAGGATACAGCCTAGGCAGGTACACCAAAATGACCACATCCAGACCTAAGTTCTGGCAGCTACACTTTGCTCTGCTAAAATAGATGTCTCTGCTTGTTTAATTTAACTGCAAATTGTAAATTGGAGAGAAAATATTTTCATTGAATAGGTGTTGCTCTGGAGAATTCCAAGAGTAAAGAAAATAAACCAGGAATTGGGCAGGAGCATTCCATAGGAGGAAAAGATAAAAACAATGACAACAGAAATTGGATTATTTCCCATTTGGAAGGGTGGGGAGTCTAAGGATGATGGCAAAGGCAAAGCTAGAAGGAAAGTGCGACCCTTTCTTAAGGCCCTACCTCCTCTGTCAAGGGAAACCCCATCACACTTAAGAGAACCACTTTGATTTCAAGGAAAGGAAGTATTCCATTCCCTGATGGATAGCACAGGTATGAAATGATCCCTTGAGGTGATATAGGTTGAACTAAGTTTAAGGTTTTGATTAATGATTCTAGGCTAATATGAGGAAGGTACAGGTCAAATTTTGTCAATGAGGACAGAATTGTCCATTTAAAAGGTTTCCAGGTACGGAGCAGTTAAATTTGGGCTGCATAACTTCAACAAATAGTATTGGGGGAACTCTATATCCACATGCAAAAGAGTGAAATTGAAGCCTTATCTTATACTATACATAAACATCAACTCAAAATAGATTAAAGCTTAAATGTAAGACCTGAAACTGTACAACCTAAGAGAAAACTGTAAAACCTAAGGGAAAACGTAAGGGAGAAACTTCTTGACATTAGTTTTGGCAATGATTTCTTGGCTATGACACCAAAAACACAGGCAATGAAAGCAAAATTGACAAGTGAGATAAAATCAAGCTGAAAAGCTTCTGCACAGCAAAGGAAACATCAGAGTGAGAAGGCAAACAATAGAATGAGAGAAGATATTTGTAAGTTATATATCTGATAAGGGGCTTCTATCCAAAATATATGAGCAACTCCTTTAACTCAATAGCAGAAAAAAATGGTGCAATTTAATAAATGGGCAAAGGACTTGAGTAGACATTTCTCCAAAAAAAGACATACAAATGGCTAACAGGTGTATGAAAAGATGCTCAACACCACTAATCATCAGGAAAATACAAATCAAACCAACAGAGATATCACTTTATACCTATTAGGATGACTATTTGAAAAAACAAGATAATAAGTTTTGGCAAGCACGTGGAGAAATTTGTTGGTGAGAATGTAAAATGGGGCAGCAACTATGGAAAATGGTATGGAGGTTCTTCAAAAAATTAAAAATAGAAATACCATGTGGTCCAGTATCCCACTTCCATATATTTATCCAAAAATGTTCAATTAGTATCTCAAAGAGATATTAGCACTCTTATATTCATTGCAGCACTATTCACAGTCACCAAGATGAAGAAACAATTTCAATGTTCATCTATGGATGGATACATAAAGAAAATGTGGTATACACGCACAATGGAATATAATTCATCCTTAGAAAAGAAGGAAATTCTGCCATATGTGACAATATGGATGAAGCTTGAGGACATTATGCTACGTTTAAAAAGTTAGTCACAGGAGGACAAATACTGCATGATACCACTTACATGAGGTATTTAAAATAGTCAAACACAGAAGCCAAGTGTAGAATGGTGGTTGCCAGTGGTTGGAGAAATTGGGAAATGGGGGGTGTTTGCTATTCAGTGGGCATAAAATTTCAGTTATGCATGATGAATAAGTTCTAGAGATCTGCCATACAACATTGTGCCTGTAGTTAACAATATTCTACACTAAAAAATGTGTTAAAAGTGTAGATCTCATGTTAAATGTTCTGACCACAATGAAAACAAAAGTTTGCTTAGCATTATAGCCTCTAGCTCCATCCTTGTTGCTGCAAAGGACATGTTCTTTTTTATGGCTGCATAGCTTTCCATGGTGTATATGTAACAGGTTTTCTTTATCCAGGCTGCCATTAATGGGCATTCAGGTGGATTCCATGTCTTTGCTATTTGTGAATAGTGCTGCAATGAACATCTACATGCAACCAAACCTATTCAACATGGGACTGGAAGTCTCAGCCAGAGCAATCAGGCAAGAGAAAGCCTGGATATACCATTTGTACTTAAGGAAACTGAAAATGTGAGAGTAGAATAATCATCCCTTCTGGCTTGGCAATATAGTCATCACCTTGTGTGACACTGTAATGACAAAATCCATACCTAGCACCACAATGGAACACTTCCTGTGTGTGCCAAGCTCTGTGCTAGGCACCCAGGTGACGTAGCTCACATAATTTCAAAATGACCCGGTGGGGTAGACCTGAAATTTCCTGTTTTTTTCAGATGAGGAAATGGAAGCTAAAAGGAGTCAAGCAATGTATCTAAGTTGCCAAGCTAGCATTTCTAAAGAGAGTTGTTTAATGCCGAAACTTGATTTTTAAAAACCACGCCCTATTGCATCACCATTAAAACGAGGATTTGGACTTGACCCTTGGTGCCAGCTTCCCTTTCTAAGAGGGCTGATAAAGAGATAGAGATTGAGTATCAAGTGGGTGTGCATTGTGACTAATGAGGGTTCTCCTTTGTCAAATGGCATCACATGGAAAGTATGAAGTGTTGTCACACAAATAATTGGCCACCCAGGAGGGAGGGAGTAGGAGAACTCTTTTGCTTGTCAGAGTCCTGGATGGACTCTTCTAGATTCTCTTGGTAACTCTTTACCAGGAAGAGTCTTGAGTACGTTTTCTATTTCAGAAAGATGGCTGCTAAAATTATCTGGGTTAAGAATGTGACAGAATTCTGGCCCCAGAGCATTTGGTATGGAAATAAACAGCAGAGCTGATTATCTCTATTCAAGCTTAAATAAAACCATATGAAGAGCTCAGCTGGATTCCTCCCCCACCATCCCCACCTCACCTCTTATGAAAGACCAGCAATTCTTGGAACATCTATTACAACAGGGCTTTTTTTTTTTTTTCTCCTTTCTCTTTTTTCTCCTCTGAAAAAGGCCCTTGTAATCCCAGCTGTGGCTGCAAGTCAGCGTATGCCTCCAACTCTTTCCCAAATGTTTTCAGGCTAGAGAAATCCCAAACACATTTCCACCAAACCTCCTCCTTCTGAAATTTTGAAAGTGTGGACATTTTCAGAAATGTAATCGGGATGATTAGGATTCATTTGTGCTTTGCTCATCAAAGTTTTATTTTGCAAGAGCCATTTGATGTCAAGTAAGTTTTTTTAGTCCCCTCCACCCTCCTTCGCCAAGTCTTTTATCTTAGAACCAGGAAGTCACATTTTGCCAGCCGACTATGAACTAACTAACCACAAAAAGTTGGAGATTGGTTCAAAGCACAGGATTCATGAGGCTTGAATATGTTCTAACCTTGGCAGAAGGCGTTCCTCACTCATTTGGGGGTAACGTGTCCACGGGGGGCTGGAGGGGGAAGCTGTGTTACTGGGGACATGGCTGGTGGGTTGTTCTCACAGTCTGAGGTCTGTGTGAGGAAAGTAGCCTTGTTCTGGAAGGTACTTAGTTTCATTTTCCACTCAGATACAGTTATGGAAAGTTGTGAAAAGAATCATTCTCTCTGCTCCCTCTCCCTGTGTTTAGGCATAAGAAGGGTCACTTTTCTCTTACACTAGGAAAAGAAGAGCTGACCCATATTGACTGTCTGCTGTATACACTCAAAATCTAGTTTGTGATTCTCTCTTCTTAGTTTCATCTCCTTCCATGTAACCTTCCTCAATCCTCAGTCTTTATCCTTCCACAACGTAAAACAGCTCACATTTCCTAAATACCTTGTTGTTTTTTTTGTCTTTCTTAATATGTTTACACATGATCAAAAGTGGACCCTTTCTTCCTCCCCTTAAGTCTTCCTGAAAACATCTTGACACTCCTCAGACTACTTTTTATCATCTTTTGTGTAAAGGCTTCCATTAAACTCTTATATATATCTGTATTTAGTGTAGACTTTCTTTGACACCACTGGAAAGAGTTTATCCTCCCCAGTTTGTTTGATCTGTTTATATATTCGTCTCTGATAGCACTTTTCAAATGGGTGGTAAACTCCTGAGTCCATTTCGCTTTTAGATCAGTGCTATCCAATAGGACTTTCTGCAATAATGGAAATGTTCTGTATCTACATATCCAAATGTTCCAAATCTGTACAGTCATAGCCACTACTCACCTATGGCTATCAAGCACTTGAAATGTGACAGTGCACCTGAGGAACTGAATTTTTAATTTAAATTTTAATTAATTTAAATTCAAATGGCTGCATGTGGCTAGTAAATACTCTATTGGAAAGCACAGCTCTAGACTGTGTCCTTCTTCAGGCACTGATTCTCTGTGCTTGACACAATGCTTGGCACATAGTAGGGGCTCAGGAAATATTTACTGAATCCAACTAGTGTATATACTTACGGCAATAATCCTGCTGGGCAGATATTACTAACTCTAGTAATTTCATCTTTGTATACCAAAACAAGCCAAACCAAAATGAAATGGAATAACAACCGAACGTGGCTCAGTGAAGTTCAGTAATAGAATTGGGATGTGAATGACAATCTGTTTAAAATAAATCCTCTGACCTTTCTGTTCCCATGGGCAGTGCTTTGGTACCTGTGAGTACATTTGTATGTAAGTGGTTGCACATGCAAGATAGGAGGAGACAACATTTCATAGAACAGCTAATTGTCTCCATACAATTAGACATGCAAAGATTTGCTCGTATAAAAGCCAATAGAAAGAAATAAAAAGAGGGAAGCTGGCACACTGCTAATACAGCTTTAGTATTGTGCAAAGACTTAAAGGGTATATTGGCTAAATGGATCTCTTCTAAAAGAGAAGAACTGCATCATAAAAGAAAGGTTACAACAGCCAACAAATTGGGCAGCTGCTATGCAATTTGTGATTGTTAACTTTCAAATGTTGATAGCCTCTGAGTTGGCAGATGATTAAAATGGTGGAGGTAATGCTGACATCTTCTGGTGATCAGTCACAGTTAACTGGTATTTCAGAATGTTAAAAATTCCAGAAACTGGGCAATCATAGTTAACCGAGCCTTTTAATTTACCATTACTTAAACTTACGCATTAAAAATAGTTCCAAAATTATTTTAAATTTGAAAAAGAAAACATTATCATGCTTCAAAATTTGCTTTTTTGAAATTTTTGAAATCCAACCATCTGGAGTTTTTCAACTCCTTCTCCTCATTTAGCCTAGCTTGCCTGCTGAAACAATCTGATAACATTTTTAGTTGGCTTTCCTCTGATTCACGTTCTATCTCCTGACAAATGATTGCATTATGCTGTATTCTGATGGGACTACATATAATCATGGAGCCTGATACAATCTGTAGAGTTCCTTCCTGTCTGGATCAAATCTATTTTTAGATTTGTGTTGAAGGGTGCACCTGAAGACACGCAGTTGGGCCAAACTTTGGGATTTTGTGATTGCACTGAGTCAGATACTCCTCATTTAAAGAAGTCTTTTTAATTTTTAAATTTTACTTTAAGTTCTGGGATACATGTGCAGAACGTGGCGGTTTGTTACGTAGGTAAACATGTGCCATGGTGGTTTGCTGCACCTATCAACCCGTCACCTAGGTATTAAGCCCCACATGCATTAGCTATTTGTCCTGATGCTCTCCCTTCCCTCACCCCGCTGCCTACAGGTCCCGGTATGTGTTGTTCCCCTCAGTGTGTCCATGTGTTTTCATTGTTCAGCTCTCACTTATAAGTGAGAACATGTGGTGTTTGGTTTTCTGTTCCTGTGTTAGTTTGCTGAGAATGATGGCTTCCAAAGAAATTTTTAAGAGAGCTACAGTTACAACAAACTGGGATACATTAATAGTATCTGTCAGAAATTAGAAGTCATGCTCCCATCTTGCTCAGCCATGAGTTTTCAAAAAGCAAAATGGGACATGGGATTTTGACATACTATTAGTTGGGCTTTCTTCAGAAGGAGCTACACTTCGTCTAGTGATTTTATAGTAAGAATCACATTGAATATTCCTCTGTTTCTACATGGGTAGGGTACTGGGAGTAAGAGAAGCAATATGAACCTTCAGAAGTAGATGAACAAGAGAAAAGAAGCATTTGTATTATGTCTGGTTCATATATAGATTATATATGCAGATATGGGCTTCAGTGGACTTGTAGTGACAGTTGGTAGGAAGCCCATCCCATCATCAAACTTCTCCACTCCCAGGGTTCCCCTTCCTGCAGGATCCAGCTGCCTCAATGGGTCATTGCTCAACCTTCAAGCATTCATCAGTCTTCGATCTAAGCAGTTCTTTGGATATACCCTACTAGGGATTAATTACAATGATGCATACTCACTCATTCTTTGATTCAACTATTCATTCAACAAACATTGTTGAATACATACTGTCTGATATGGTGCTAGGGACACAAAATAGAAGGAGAAATGTTCCCTGACTACAGAGAATGCATTGCTTCATCTTATATATACTGTATATCATTAATGAACCTTTTTTGTATGCCAGGTACTATGCTGAATATTTTATAACTATTATATTAGTGATTCATTTGTTTAACAATATTTACTCAGGGCCTGATCTGTGTCAGTCATTGTGCTGAGTGCAAAGACGAAATGGTACCAAATTAGATATGGTTCCTTGTCTCATGAATAATTGCTGTCTACTGAGGAAAGCAGACAAGTAAACTAGAGATTACAACATGGTTTGTTTAACTTTTGCAATTCATCTTGGCCACTCAGCATTTGATTACCTTTCTATACTGAGAAATCCCTTTTCTTATCATTCTGAGGTGGGGGCAAAGACCTCCTCCAACTATAAAAGCTAAAAATACTGAGTATTTTCTCCTAGCATCCCTTGCAGCTATGTCACAGGCATGTGACACAGGTTTTGCCAATCAGACGGCATCTTGCTAGACTTTGAGTAGGGGCCTGGTACCTCAAGGAATGGAGCAGGCATTTAATTTTTCTGATGGTGACTGTGACGGGTGAGGCAATTTCCTCATCAGAATCTCTCAGAAGCATGGTTTTAGATGTTTTTTTTTTTCTGGTGATTTCTTCAGCCTTTCCAGAGATGCTAGGGCCCTCATTACTCATTTCATAACTCCTTTTCTTTTGGATCTGAGTCACTTTCTGTTGTTAAAAGTAGGTACCCTGATGATGCCCACTGTGACATGGAAAAGACTGGGTGTGATCTCATCAGTGTGCAGGAATTACTGCCTTCCTACACCAAGTGACATCTACACTTGCATCATAAAGACTAGTAGGAATTATCCAGGTTAAAGGTACTGGAAGAAGAGGGCTGACAAAAGGAAAGCCCAGGGTAATCCTCTGAGGTGGGAATTCTTAGGTCTATTTTACATATGAGGAAACTGAGGCCAAGGAGTAACAAATCCTGGACTGACTGTAGAGTCCCTGAATTTACCCACTATGGTTCTCTTCCAATTGAGGCCTAGAAATATATTTATGCCAATGGCTTGCAGTACGATTTTTGAAAAACTCTTTATTTTGAAGCGGACATATACAAAAAAGTGTCTAATACATAAATGTAAAGCACAATAATTTTATCTTAAAAAGAATACCTTATAACTGCCACTGAGATTAAAGATGTAGAATGCTCTGGGCACTGCAGAAGATTCTCTATGGCCCCCTTCCAATCAATACCCTTCCTTCCTCCTCAGGGGTAACCACAATCCTGACCTTTTTTTTTTTTTTTTTGAGATGGGAGTCTTGCTCTCTAGCCCAGGCTGGAGTGCAGTGGTGCTATCTCTCTCACTGCTACCTCCGCCTCCCGGGTCCCGGTTCAAGCAATTCTCCTGCCTCAGCCTCCAAGTAGCTGGGATTACAGGCATGTGCCACCATACCCAGCTAATTTTTGTATTTTTAGTAGAGACGGGGTTTTACCATGTTGGCCAGGCTGGTCTTGAACTGACCTCGTGATCCACTCGCCTCGGCCTCCCAAAGTGCTGGGATTACAGGCATGAGCCACCGGGCCCGGCCACCACCACCTTGACTTCTAACAGCATAGTTTTGTTTGTACCTGGTTTCGACCTTTGTATAAAAGGAATAATCTCTTTTATAGTTAATGGATGTTTGATTACTTTTAGCTTATGGAAATTATAAATTTATTGCTAAGGACATTCTCATACATGTTTCTTGGTGTATGTGTGATAAAACTTGTTGAACATATACCTAGGAGTGGAATTGCTAGGTCATAGTGCATACACTGTTCAACTTTAGTAGATAATGCCCAGTAGTTTTCCAAAATTATTATACCAATTTAAGTTTCCACCTACAGCTTTTGAAAGTTTCAGTTTCTCCACATCCTGCACAACATTTGGTATGGTGAATCTTTTTAACTTTAGCCATTCTGGAGGGTACAGGGCTATCCTGTTGTGATTTTAATTTGCATTTCCCTGATGACTAGTGATGTTAAGAAACTTTCCATATGTTTACTGGCCATTTCCATGGTACTATTTATCAGATGGCCACTTCTTGGCATATATTTCAGGGTTAAGTGCCTTAAGGATGAATAGATATGGTTTCCAAAATTAGTGCAGTCATTTTTTTCAGCTGTCTGAGTTCATGGATTTTATTATTTCTTTAACATAGACACCCTGTAGATTTGTGGGGTTCTGTTCTTTCTCACAAAGTTGCTCTCTTCGTGCAAACTTTCTATATGTGGAGTTGGTTTAATAAATGTAAAAAGTCAAGGAAAGACTACAGGGAAAGCCAATTGAAGACTCTTGGCTGGGTCACTAATGGTCTCTTGGATGTTGTGTGGTGAACATTGGCCTAGACAGTATTTGTATTTTCCCACACATTTACTGGGTAAAAGTCTCAATGGACATGTTACTGTGAATTTACGATACTCTTTGAGGGGTTTGGGTTAGTTCTGTAATAAAAATTCTGGCATATGGAGACGTATGTCTGGTTCCCACACATTTGAGGCTAGAGAGCATATAACTACATTTTCTTAAGGTCAGCTTACTGATGTCTCTGAAGATAAAAGGCACCTTCTGATTGAAGGCCTGCTCTGAAAATATTCTTGGCAAAGGATTTCTAAGTTCCATTCTCTTGAGATGATCAAATTGAATTCTGTTTTGTCTGTTGTTTTGACAAACTCACTTTGGCAGGGACAAGGGTGTATTGCAGGCCTTTCTGCTTTAATTTCAAGATTTTATGGTCAGAAGCAAGGAGACAACTGCAATCAATGAAAACTATTCACTCAGAATACAGACTAAGGTACAAATATATAATAGCAACCAATAACAGAAATTGTTGTCTTGCTTTTAGGTTTTACTAAAAGTTTTCAGTCAAGTTATGTCTATTACCCCAACTATTTTTAGCTTTAAGTCATAACAGACTGATAAGACTCTAGACTATTATACAAATATTAGAATGTCCATAGTCCCGATATGGGTATCAATTATCCCCAACCTTTTGAACAATGCCCTTTTGTATTAGCCAAGATTTTGGTTGCAAGCAGCAGGCAGTGATGATAGTTATCCTAGAGAAGAGATTTGTCTAGGGAATATCAATGGCTTACTGACTCAGAGGGAAGCTGGAGGACCAGACTTGGAAAATGGGCCAGAATCCAGAGAGCTCCATCCAGCTCTCCGGATATCCAGAGGGCTGGACATCAAGGACCTTGACCATGGTCACATGGCAGGAAGTCCAGCCTGTCATGATGCTGGCCCCATTGAAATCTCTCTCTTGGGAAAGTATATCTTGTACAGAAGTACAGGGAGCTGGGTCAATGTTGGATTCAATTCATCTCATAGCAGCACCTGTGTGAATAAACTCTCCTTGACTCCTACTGTCCAAAGGCTGAAGCTGTCCTGCTTCTTATCCTTCCCTGTACATTGCTATTCATATCTTCCATGGATTCAGTGAGCCACCCAGTATTCTTCTAATAAATGATTTCGATGGCTGTTGGCCAGAGTTTTCTCTTCCTTACAATCCAAGAACTCTAACAGAGACACTAATGATGGTAGATGTGGTTTAGGCTTGTGTTCTGCCATAGAAAGAATGGGAGAGAAAACACCCTTACCCTTAGTAAAGCCAGAAGACTCATGCAGTCCAAAAAGAGGTCCTGCAATTGGCCTGTTTTCTATCTCCGTCATATCATTCATTCCTTGCAGTCACACATGAAGACAATGGAGAGCAGAGTACTCTGGGCATGGTGGGTCCTCAAAAGATATTTGTTGAGTTAGGCAATACATTAAATGCTTGGTTTTGAAACTGGTGTCTTACAGTCCTAGGCATTCCCAGGAGATATGTAAGGGATTACTGGGAAACAGTGAAGAAAGGGTTTCTCTCCTCTGCCACCACCTTTATTCTGAGCCATTCTGCTAGTCTTTGTTTTATATTCTGAGATTCCATTTAAAATTTGTCCTTCAAATAGTGATTTCAAAATCACTATGCTAAACCATAATTGTCCATTAATACTTCATTTTAATTCATTTAGTTTAGAGAAGAGAAACTGATACTTACTGGGTTCCTACTGAGTTGCAGGCACTGGACCATACTTTTCACCTATGTAATTCCATTGTTTCCTTATAATCACGGAAGTCAAGTTACCTGTGGGCTAATTATTCATTCATTCCACTTACCAAGTGTTTCTCCTCTGCTTTTTCATAAATTATTCCATAAGTTTGTCTATTTTATTAGCTTCTCAAAGGGCTGGAGTTAGGTTAGGCTGATCCTCATTACTATTTGTTTCTTTAAAATTGTCTTAAATTTTGCTCTTATCTTTATTATTTCCTTTCTGTGGCTTGCTTGCATTTACTCTGTTGTTCTTTTTTTCAGCTTCTTGAGGTGCTCACTTAGCTCGTTGGCTTTCAATTTTCCTTTTGTTTGATACATGTTTTTAAGGTGATACATTGCTCTCCAAGTAGAGCTTTTATGCTATTATACACATGAGGGATTTTTTGGTCACTTACTTTTAAATATTTTAATTTTCTTTCTTCTTTTAATAATGACTAATAGCAGAGTGTATTTGGAGGGATGACTATTTGTTTTTATTGAGTTCTAATTTTATTGTATCCTTGGCAGAGAACACATTCGGCATGATCTAAATTCTTTGATATTTGTTGACACTGCTTTGTTACTTCAAGTATGCTGAATTTAAAAAAAAGTCTATGTTGCATATCCTTTTGAAGAAGATTAAAAGTACTATATTGTTGGGTGAAGGGTTCTAAACAGGTACTAGTTCAAACTTTTTAACTGTGTTCATAGCATTTTAGTTCTTATTAATATTTAGCTTTGGATAAGCACTTTCTGAGGCAGGTGTGTTACATCCCCCTCAACAATTGTAGATTGACTAATTCTTCGTTTTAGTTCTATCAGTTTTTGACTTATACATTTGGAAATTCTGTCAGGTTCATATAGGTTCAGAATAGTTACATCTTATTTTTTTCATTGCATAACATCCATGTGTATTCTTAATGATTCTTTTAGCCTTGTCTATATTGTGTGACATTCACATTTTTTTTTACAAGAGCTTTCTTTAGATTTGTGTTGGCCTTGTATATATTTTTACACTGCTTTAGTTTAGACTTTTCTATGTCATTATGTTCTACATGTGTCTCTTGTAAACTGTGAATTTTATTTTATTTTTCTAAATCTAAACCTGAGAACCTCTGCGTTTTAACTGGCAAATTTTATTTGTATATACTATCGTGATTACCAATATATTTGGATTTATTTCTGTGACCTTTATTTGAAGTTTTCTTTGATTTTTTATTCTTTTTTTTCCCCCTGGCTTCTACTACATAGATTAAGAGTATGTAGGCTTAGAACAGAAGTAGGACTTGTGCTCAGTTCTTCATGTTGCTGGGAAAAGAGGTCCCCTAAGTGAAGTACATGTCAATCCATATAGCAGGGGCAGGATAAGTGGCTCCTCCCCAATGACACTCATATTTCTCTGCACGACCTTTTCAATCTGCCACAGCAGAGTTATTTTGTTTAGCTATTTCTTTATTCATTCATTTATACATTTTCCTAATGTTGACTAAAGGCCAACTCTGTACCGGGGCTAGATGATCAGTATGGAATAAAATAGATGTGGCTTCTGTCCTTACATAGCTTATAGTTTAGGAGGGAAGACAGTGCATATATATGTACAATATTACACTTTTTTATGAGTTATAAAGTAAATAATTTGAGTGGAGTGAAAGAAAACAATGGAATGGGGTTTACTGACCTGGTGGCTTGGCTTTTCCAGAAAGATAAATTTAAATTAAAGCATATTTCTGGGTGTTATGGAGCCACTGGAGAGGCTGAGGCAGGAGGACTGCTTAAGTTTAGGAGTTTGAGGCCAGCATGGGCAACATAGCAAGACTCCATTTCTAAAGTACATATAAATAAATAAGCACATGTGGGGTAGGGGATGTCCCCTTCTGTATATTATTTCCTTCTTCCTTAGCAACTGTATTAGTCCACTTTCACACTGCTATAAAGATACTACCTGAGACTGGGTAATTTATAAACAAAGGAGGTTTGATTGACTCACAGTTCTGCATGGCTGGGGAGGCCTCAGGAAACTTACAATCATGGCAGAAGGGGAAGCAGGCACCTTTTTCACAAGGCAGCAGAATAGAGTGAGTGTGTGAAGGAGGAACAGTCAAATACTTATAAAATCATTAGATCTCATGAGAACTCACTCATTGTCATGAGAACAGCATGGGGGAAACTGCCCCCATGATCCAATCACCTACCTCCCTTGACACATGGAGACTACAATTCAAGATGAGATTTGGGTGCAGACACAGAGCCAAACCATATTAGCAACATAGTCACAAAATTTATCTGGGCATAGAGACAACTCAGAATAAGCATTTATATCTGATCATCTTTCTTTCAGCTGGGTATGACCATGACTAGACCCTGGTCAATGGGATATAAATGGATGTGGTGTATGCAACATCTGGGAGGTGTCTTCAGTGGGAAGGCCATAACCTTTTTCTCCTTCCAGTTGCCTAGAATGAAGCCATGACAGCTAGAGCTGGAATAGTTATCTTGGATCATAATGTGAACTGGAGTAGATATCTTGGATCATGATGTGAATTTGAGGACAGCAGCAATGAATGATGAGGCAAAAAGATAGTAGGAATCAAAGTAAAATCCCCAGATTACCTATATATACTTTTTCAAGGAAAAGAAATATATTTCTTCATTTTTCATCTCCTATTATTTTGCTTTTGGGTAAACTGCTGAAATCCTAGAGGCTTCCAGGTCCAGGGAACAAAATTTTGTAGGGTAGTGACTCTCAAAGGTTAGCACTCAAAAAAAAAAAAAAAAAAAAAAAAAAATCAGGTGAGCTGGTTAAAACACAGACTTCTGGATCCCATCCCAAAAATTCTGATGTTGTAGGTCAGGGTAGAACCTCAGAATCTGCATTTGCTATTACCTTTCAGATTATGCAGAAGGTGGTTGGATCACATTTTGAGAAGCACCAGTTTAGGGGTTTGAGGAAGAAGAGTTGGGCACATTTGAAGAATGGAACTAAGGCTAGTTTTAAAGAACAGTGAGTAGCATGGGATAAGAATGGCAAGGTGGTTGGGGGCCAGATTGTGAAGGGCCCTGTAGGCCCGATAAAGGAATGGTTTTCTCCTCTAAGTGTGGTGGGAAACCATTGAGCAGGGAAGTGACAAGATCTGATTTACATTTTAAAGGATCACTCTCTACTACATGGAAAATGGACTGCAGAGAACTAGGATGCTCTATCAGTAGTCACGGCCAGAAACACTGGTAACTTGGTCCAGTGTAGTAGCAGTAGAAATGGATTCAAGATTAATTTTGAAAGTAAGAAAAGCAAGTACTTTGCTGGTGGTTTCAGAATGTGGAATAAAGAATGAGGAGGAACCAGGGTTGATTTCCAGGTTTTTGTCTTAAGCAAATGGGCGGAACCTTCCCAAGATATGCTGAGCAGATTCCTGTGCAACAGACCGCAAACCAGAATTAGGGATGGTAGTCCACCACTCCCATTTGTGGCAAGTGGCACTTTCTGAAGATGCCAATGGTTCGGATTATCCCTCTACCCCAAGCAATTTATTGCGATTTCCCAACAGGGCTCTGGGGTGGGTCAACTCCACCCACTTCACATCTCTTCATAAGCACTTGTACTTCAGATGTGGTTCAGAATTATTTTGTCTATTTTCCAGTGATGACCTCCAGGGTGTGTGTGTGTGTGTGTGTGTGTGTATGTGTGGTTATCTTCCTTTTGGCAGGGTGCATTATGATTCTTCAGTCGCAGGACACAATGAGCTCTCAGAATCCTATAGTTCTGGAGGTGTCTGGGTGTCTTGGCCAATGTGTACAACTGACCTGTCTTCCAGCACTTTTCAATGATAATTAACCTCACTATGGAATTACTTTAACAAGAAGAATCGTTATGCTTCCTTTGACCTTAACTCCTATTATTTCTTGTTGCACCTAAAATAATGTCCTAAATCCTTAACAAGGCCCTACAGTTTCTAGCCCCCACCTTCTCCTCTGGTCTCATCTTGGCTACTTGTCCTGATTCCCTTTCCATGTTAGCTCTACTGAAGTTCTCTCAGTTTTACCCACTCAGTTTGCTTTCTCCTGCCACAGGGCTTTCTTTTTTCTTAACAAGCTATTCGCTATTCGTAGAAAGCCTTTCCCCTTGATAACCAGTGGTTTATGACTAAGCTTGAATAAATGGTATTTCCTCAAGGATACTTTTCTGTGTCTCCCCTACCCAGTTTTGCATACACCTAAACTTTCATAGACCTCCTTATTACATGATACTGAGGATTCTTGAATGGTTATTTTGCTAATTTTTCTTAATTTAATTATCTATAGTTATTTATTTATCTTCTCTAGTTGACTATAAATGCTATGAAGACAGGGATTATGTCTGCCCAATTCTTCTTTATATATCTCCAGTGCTTACCCTACTGCCTGGTATACAACAGCAAGTATTCAATAAATACTGTTGCTTTCATGGATTGATTTCAACAGTTGGGATACATTGATTCTTTCACTCTAAGAAGAATCATCATAGGCTTTTAACAGTTCAATTATTTGCAACTGCAAAATCATGTACTGAGTTTATTTGTATTCCAGTGCATTTGGTGGCCAATGTAATACAGCTTCCCAAATTTCTATAATGCTGTTTTTGTCTCTTATCTCCAACAAATTGAAACGTAGATTTGCCTTTTAAGCAAATCTGTCTGCTGACAAATTATTTCCCTCTTTTGTTCCTTAATCTATTTCAATACAGGATTCTGTTATGTTCAGAATTTCTTGCCCTTCTACCTATTTCTCTTTCCCTTCACCTTGAGTATTCTTGGATCTTATTTTGGATTTTCCTCTACGGTCAAAACACCGTCCACTCCCAAATACTGTTCCCTACTTCAAAAGAGCGAGTAGAGGCATTCTCTACAAGATACTCACCCATTCTGGTTAGTTTTTCAGCTTCCTAGATTAAAGCTAACTGCCCCTATCTTCAGATTGTAAAATTCCTCTAGCTGGGAGGTTTTCTGCTCTGTGTACTTTTATGACATTTTGTAAGCATTAATGATATGCTACAGCATTTTGTAGAGTACTATAACAGAGAATTATATATTAGAGAAAAATTAAGGCCATCAAGCCTGTAATAAGGCCTCAGGAGAACTGCTGAATATCTCAAGTGCGTTTTGGATTTCTATAAAATTTGGCTTGACATTTATATGGGGTTCCAAATAGTTTTTAGCTCTCTCATCTTAATAATCACCCCAACTTGTGTACTCTGGTTTTCCATTTTGCAGGAGAAATCAGCGAAAACATTTACAGATCAAGTCAGAGCTGGTAGAGCCAGGAACACACATTGCTCTCTAAGTCTGTTTATAAAATAGAGAGATTTTTAGTTACCAAATCTCCCCAAATTATGGACACAATTAAAATGTAAATATTAACTAATTTCCCATACTCATAACAAAGAAAGAGCTTAAAGAAGTTAATTTGTTAAAAGACTAGTAAGTGACAAGCCCTCCAGTTGGCCCTTTACAGATGTCTTTATTCATACTCTCAACATTCCTGAGGAACAGAGACCATCTCCATGTAGAAGGTAAGAAAATAGGCTCGGCAATTAGGCAACTTTCTCCAGGTCTTTATAAATAGAAAACGGTGAGACTGAGACTAAACCTAGATCTGACTGTTTCATCATTTGTGCTCTTATTAAGACATGAATGATTCTGACCAGGTGTCTTCCGTCAAGGAGTTTAAATTATGGTGGGAGATGCAGTGGTAAACACATTGACAAGATGATTCCATGGAGATAGGTACTGGGAGAAATATAAAATGGGACAAAGAGAAGAAGACTGTAGAGTGAAGGGGAACCATTTTATATTAAGTATAAAAAGTATTCAAAATTTTCTTTGTTACGGGAAAATTCAAATATACAAAGTAGAGAGAACAGCAAAATGAACCCCCATGTAACGACAGCCTCCTGCAACAATGTCATCTCATAGCCATTCTTATTCTATCTTCCCACCAACTCTGATGATTTCAGTTGTAAATCTTTCATTAAGTATTTGCAAAAGATAACTAACTATTTTTTTTCCTTTTATACAAAACCACACCACCATGATCACATCTAAAGACAAGTTAATAATTCATGGTATTATTTTAGATTTGGGGTTTGAGGAAAGGCCTGTTGGAAGAGGTTATGTTTTGATGATAGCTGAGTTTTAAAAACAGCCAGCCATGATAACACAAGCGGATAGCACCAAATTTTAATTTGGACACCACCAAAATTTCAGTTTTTTAGCTATAAGGAAAAACAGCTGGGTTTGTCAAAAACAATTCTGGTTGTTCCCTGTAAAATAGTAAGCTTACAGAAAATTTGTTTCTAAGGAACAGATAATCTATGCTTTTGGTCCAAAGTAAGTTGAATTTTTTCCTTCTATTTCAGATGACAGATGGATGTAGCTGAATCTAAGAAGATGTGTACTTGTCCCAAATGTGCAGGATAAATAAATACAGAAGTCACCAACAGAAGACTCAGTCAATGCTAGTGTCAGAGGCATGTGAACCAGAGCAACTCCATCTTAATTAGTAGCTGGGTAAAATGAGGCTGAGACCTACTGGTCTGCATTCCCAGATGGTTAAGGCATTCCAAGTCACAGGATAAGATAGGAGGTCGGCACAAGATACAGGTCATAAAGACCCTGCTGATAAAACAGTTTGCAGTAAAGAAGCTGGCTAAATCCCACCAACACCAAGATGGTGATAAGAGTGACCTCTGGTCCTCCTCACTGCTACACTCCCAACAGCACCATGAGAGTTTACAGATGCCATGGCAATGTCAGGAAGTTACCCTATATGGTCTAAAAAGGGGAGGCATGAATAATCCATCCCTTGTTTAGCATATCATCAAGAAATAACCATAAAAATGGGTAACCAGCAGCTCTCAGGGCTGCTCTGTCTATGGAGCAGCCATTCTTTTATTCCGCCACTTTCCTAATAAACTTGCTTTCACTTTATGGGCTCGCCCTGAATTCTTTCTTTTGCCAGGCCCAAGAACCCTCTCTTAGGGTCTGGATCGGGACCCCTTTCCTGTAGCATTAGGGCAGGGCTAGCCTCAAGCCGCAGACTCTTCTCGGTAGAATCGCTACACCCCCAGTGCCTGTTGAGTGAGGTTCCATAGCTGGCTGGACTATAGATCCCGCTGCCTGGCTATTTCATTATTTGTTTTTTGAAAATCCACTTAACCAAACCGTTCTGGAACCAAGAGATGAAAATACTCCTAAAAACCGTTGGATTACTTCATCCCACTGTAAGAAGTATCTCTGTGCTTGCTTGTTCCTTTCCTGGATGAAGATCAGCTGAACACAGCGGCAGCATTAATGTTCCTTGCTGGCATTTCAGCCCAATGTCTCCAGGCAGGCATTTCGCCAAGCCCTCCTCTGCCCATTTGAAATTCAAATCCCTTGAATAAGCCTCAGTGCCACCTTTGTCCAAAAACCTCAAAAGCCCCAGTCTATGTCGATCTGCCTTTAAGTTATAAAGGGACATATGACTGCGTAGGAAGATAAACTGTGTTGAAATAACATCCAGGGTGGTTGTTAAATAAATTCAGGAAAACCAAGACATTCACTGTTAAGCCGAGACTCTGTCCTCAACTCACCTCCCAGACAAGAAGTGGGCAAAGAAGCCACATGCTGGGAGCCCACACTCTTGAACTCTGGCTTAGCTTTTAGGATCTTCAACGGCTATTTGTACTTAAAAATAATCTAAGTTACCAACTTTTTGCAGCCTCTGAGCTCCTGTTCCGGGCATCTGGAGAGGTGTTCTTAAAGTCTTAGCTTAAGAAACCTTTAGCTATGATGGGAGAATCTTGGGTCCATTTTCTTTTTAGGCAATTCATGTGCTGTATGACCTTGGAAAAAGCACTTGACCACCCTGCACTTTATTTTCCACATCTGCAAAATGGGGATATTCAGATTTGGATCATAGGTTTGTTGTGAGGGCCAAATAAGAGGCATGGGAAGATGCCTTGAGAGCTAAAAGACCCAATGTAATATAAGCTTTTTTTAAAAAATGAAGACTCTAAGAGCGATGCAGCTGCACTTTGGGACTGATGAGGGATTTGTGTGAAGCCTGTGGCTCAGTTCGATTTAAAAGGGATTTACCAGACACCTCCTCTTCATTTAGCATGCTTTCCCTGGTGCCAAAGAACTTGTAGGGGTGTGGTTGGGGTAGGGGTGGTGGGGAGATGAGAAACACAGAAATAAAAATGACTACACAGCAGTACACAGAACCAAGTGTCCTCGAGCAAGGTTAACTTCTCTAAGCTGAGTTTCCTTAGTAATAAAATGGGTGACAATAACAAGGCCCACCTCATAGAATTCTTGTAGGCATTAGAAGAGATAGGAGGGGCAGAGCATTGAGCATAGTGTCTGGCACACAGGAAACTCCATAAATTTATCTGCTTTTAAAAAGGCAATTTAAATTTCTTTTCCTCAATAAAGGCAGTCAAGTTCTGATATTCTTTTCTATCAGCTTTAAGAAGAGGGAACTTTTTTTCATGTCTGTAATAGAATCCAGGAAGGTTTCTGAACAGGAGTAACTGTGCAAAATTAACCTGGCAGCAGTTTTGGGAGGGAATGAAAGAAGGTCAGGCAGTAGTTAGGAGGCCTATTAAGATGATATTTTAATAATCTAGAGGCAGGCCTAGAAAATATGATTGAGGAAGATGATAAATGAATGAGTAAAGGCTCAGAGGAGGCAAGAGGGACCAGGATTAAGAATATGGGACTTGGTGGCATGTATCCATCGCTCATTCTGCCCATCTCCTTTCTGTGGACTAGGGCCCATGGCACCATTTGGTCATGGCAGTCTTTCCCCCTGAGCAAGCTCTGTAGGCATTATTGCCATTGGCTTCAGCTTGGCACAACCCATGTGCTCTCTTTAGAGATGGAGGAGCTCATCTTCAAAGGGAGGAGCATGACTTTTCCAGGAGGAGGAGCTAAGGAAGAGAGGGAGGGTGAATCTAGCATTGGAATCTCAAGATGAAAATTACCAGATAATTCAACTGCCTCTTCAGTATAGGAATCTGGTTTATGATTTTAGTGCACAAAATAGCAATGAGGCAGCAGGGGATGAGGAGCAGAGGGAAGATTTAGACTGCTTTCCATAAAATAATGACATATTTATTGTACAATTATTATGTGCTAGGTCCTCTGTCAGAGGCTTTGCATGCTTTTCTTGTTTAATTCTTACTGTAACCTTACGAAGTTAGTCATATTATCTCCATTTTGTAGATGAGGAAACTGAGGGCAAGTGGCCCCAAATGACTTAGGAGTAGATTTAAAGGCAGGCAGTATGACTCTAGAGCCCAAGCCCTATGCTAAACTGAGCATTTTGAATATATTAAGGAAACAAGAAATGGAAAAGACCTAATGAATGTCTTTTGGATTTTGCATTCATACCCAGGGCTTACTTATATTAATTTTTGAAAATATGTTCTAATGTCAATTAAAATTGAGGAAAACTGAAACCACTTCTTTGTCACAAATTAGGGACAAAAAGCTGTAAAGATGCCTTTGTTTGATCAGAAAAAAGAATTCTGTTTATGTCTAACAGAGAACTGATTGTAAATGTTACAATGAAGTCTTTTCAGTAATAATGTCCTCTTTAAATTACCTGCTGATTGTTGGCACATGGTAAGAATAACAGAGTCAATGTCTATGTGTATGTGTGTGTGTGAACCTGTTTGTATTATGTTGTTATGCTAAACTCAGCTAAAAATTACACAAAGAATCATCTAACCAGAAAGCAGCTAAGCAATTGCTTACAATGGTTTGGTTGTTATATCATACTCCTTTGATTCATTTTTATTTTTGCTTTCAAGTTTCATTCTAACAAACCATTTAGTGGAGCTGCAGAGTAGAGTTTATTTATTCCGCATGAGATAGCAGGACATTGTAATCACATATGATTTTTTAATATATAAATGTGTCAGATGTCCGGAAGAAACACACTCCCAGGGTAAAATTGCTCTACACCCACTTCTCTGTTAAATAAGACTATTTACTGATAGATAGTGGATTTCAAAAACATTCCCTTTCCCATTTAACAGTGCATAACATTCAGGAAGTCAAATATTTCTTTCTTATATAATAATAAATGCCTGTTAGGATTCATTTTTTTTGTTTCATGTTTCTTATCAGTGTCAATTGTAATCAATTACCTGTAGAAAAAGATGGAAGTTCTAATGTATTATATGATGACACACAGTAGATACAGTCTTTCTATTTAGAATTGAACAAAACCCCTGTGTTAGTATTTTGTGAGTACCAAGGGAAGGCTCTGGAGATAGACCTTAAATGAATAAAGCATTTTTTTAGCCTCCTTTCTTAAATACTTTAACTTTTAGAAATAACACTGGATAGCCAATGAAAACACTTCTTTGATAAAAGCTAAGAATTTAAGATAAAAAACAGCTGGGCAGGTTTTTTCTATACAAAAGGAAACAACTTTGAACTACATAGACAATGTCATTTAAACCCAAACAGATGTGGTTTAATCTTGTTTTTGATCCTCTGGTAGATTTTTCTCAAAATGCCTGCATATGCATAGAAATGATGACTTTCAGATGTTCGAACATAATTTGTCTCTGTTAGAATATCACCTTGGTACATAGATCATGTACACCAAATACTCCAAGGCTTTGAACAGGGACAGCAGGGTACCAGAGAGAATTTATGCTGGTCTTTTGGTTTAGCCTAATGAGTCTGTAAGAAACTAAAGGGGAAGAAGAAAGCAATGGTGTCCACGTAATGTCATTTTCAAAACAAGAAAGTCACATGTGTTCTCCACGACTTCAGTAAATCATGGTGATAGTTTCAGATCCTCGCATTTAGAAATGCTTTTAAGATGAATCATATCACATGAACGCTCTAAAAATAATACACATGGTGGATTTATGCACCCTTCTGTGTCTCCGTTGATTATTATCCACTCATCCTACAATATCCTCTTGCACTGGAGCTTTCCCATCCTAACACCAGGAGAAGGAATCACTGGAGCGAAACGATTTTAAAACAAGAAATGTCATCAGTCAGACTGTGAAGCCACCTACTAAAATATACTCAAATCCACTTTCAACTTCAAAGCCTATTAGAGTTGTTACCTCAGGCAGCAGCCAAAAGGTTGAAGGAAGAGTTGTGCAGATAGAAATTTTTTTTTTTTTTTTTTTTTTGAGACGGAGTCTCGCTCTGTCGCCCAGGCCGGACTGCGGACTGCAGTGGCGCGATCTCGGCTCACTGCAAGCTCCGCTTCCCGGGTTCACGCCATTCTCCTGCCTCAGCCTCCCGAGTAGCTGGGACTACAGGCGCCCGCCACCGCGCCCGGCTAATTTTTTGTAATTTTAGTAGAGACGGGGTTTCACCTTGTTAGCCAGGATGGTCTTGATCTCCTGACCTCATGATCCACCCGCCTCGGCCTCCCAAAGCAGATAGAAATTTTATACAGATTTTTCCTTTCCTTCTCTCCCCTCTCCCTACCTGAATTAATATTATGGTGAATGGCAGGGAAAGCATCTAATGGAACAACATGTGGAGAGGCTTATGATCACTAATAGGAATCAAAAGGAAAGAGAACTCTAGGACAGAGGACACTGGTAATTAAAGCTCAGACCATCAAATGACCATGGGGAGGTCCATGGACAGCATTGTTCCAATTTAGCTTTTCCTTCAAGGTACCCTGTCTTTAGTTTCTATAATTTTCTCCATGGTTGTAGCCCTTGAGAATATGTAAAAGCCCACATCTGGAGTGGGAGGAAATTAGATGCATATATTTGTTGGCAAAATTTTGAAAAAGAAGTGTGTGTGTGCTGGGGATCTGTAGGGGGAATGAATAAGAGGAGAGATGGGGGTGAGGTAGACTGAGGGTGGTGGTGGTGGATTTGTGCTTGAATCATTGAGAAACCAGCCTAATGGCTCCAATCAAAACACTAAAGAAGGATCCAATTCATAAGTGGTCAAACATTTTCTAGAACTCTGTTGGCTCTCTAGCAACAAACTATTGTTCTGTGAAATGTCTCACCTCATCAAAACCCCCCTCAGGCCATACATGTAATGTGAGTTCATCCCTCGCCACAATCTAATCTACAACAATAATCTGGCATTATATGTGAATGCTTATTATTTTAGAAATGCAGATTTGTTTATATGGTTGGAGTCTCTAAGTCCTCTGCACTATCCATTTGTGCTGTCTGTCTGGATGTGTTTCCTGATCTTTGTGTGAGGAAGTTGCCCCTGCTCAACATGACTCAAAAAGAAAATAGTAGACTCATTGGAGTTTTGTCATGATGTGCCAGGGGCATCATGAATGATGTCTCCCACTAAGAATGACAGCAGCTGCCAAAGGATGCAGAAGGCAGGCACTGGCCCAATTACAGAGCAGTGAGTCAGTTTCAGGAGGCTGTGTAGAAATCCAACTGATTCCTGAGGCAGTGAGGAAGGGGGAAGAGCCTGAAGAAGTTACAGGGAGAAGCAGAGGATGCTGCCTTCATTGGAGGATGCTTGGGTCCTGAGCAAAGGAGGAGAGGAACTAAAGGCCATAGCACTCCTTTTGGTGAATGGTTTGGAAAGGGGAAAGAGTGAAAGGGGAATGACAGTGTTACATGGGACACATTAGAAGGCAGCTGAGAAAGGTGGAGAAAATTCCTGAGATTAGGGAGCCACGGAGCTGACTTCTAGCACTGGACATCTCATTGTGTGACTCAGACAAATTATTTCTACTTTTCTTGTGGATCTTGTGTAAAATAAAATGGTCTGATGTCTTCTAAAGCTCCTTCCAACTAGAAAATGATCTGAGCATAACAGTCTTATATGACACTGCTTCTGAGTCTATAAATGCACATATTTAACTCAGACTATTTCAACTGAATGCCTGGCAGAAAGAGGAGGAGTAGGTGGAGTGGAAAGGGGAAGAGAGAGAGCCCAAGACCAAGACAGAATAAACACATAAATGAAGCAGTGATGATAATTCTGGCCCATCTTCACATCTATGGAGTGACTTAGCCAGAGTGACTTAGAAGACACATGATTCTTCACCCCTCACATTTGGTCTTGGCACCTACTGTATGAGCATCTCACCCCCTTGAAAAACACTCTGGTGTTTAAACATATTACTATTAGTATTATAGTGCTTTAATTATTTATTACTATTTTTGGTACAGCATAGTCTCGAACACAAGTCAAATACTCCATTGGGTATTCAACCAAATAATCACTAAATCTATTGTGAAGCAGGAAGAAAACCTGTTTGGGTTAGGTTTAGAGAAAAATGGCACATTGATCTTTGATGTAATGTCTTCCTAAATAATCTTCAATGACAATTCATAATATATGTGATTTTTTTCTTATCCCATGTGCTGACTCCAGAGTTGTAGAATGCTACACCTACTTCCTTTTGCTGTTGTGGGAATCTCTGTTGTAACTTAGGGAGTGGATTAAAGAGATCCACTAAGCCATGAAGAACTGGATGAGATCATAGTCATCATTCTTAAGAGTCTCTGTGGAAAAGTGATGACAATAACAAAAATAACTAATTTGTGCCAAGGGCCTTTGTGCCATGTACCATGTGGAACATTTTACACATATTCTCATCTTTTCCACAACAATCTCATGGTTCACTCAACAACTAACTTACTTTATTGCCTACCTACTACATGACAGAAACTCTCCTGGCCTCCAGGGAGATAGCAGCAAACAAAACAAAATAAAGTTTCTGTACTTATGATGTCAAATTCTGATGAGAGAGAGATGATAAACAACTAAGTATATACAATGTAAGTGATGATAAGCCCTATGGAGAAAAAATGAAGCAGGATAAGGATAGAGAAGGCCAGAGGGAGGCTCACATCTATAATCCCAGCACTTTGGGAGGTTGAAGCAGGAGGATCGCTTGAACCCAGGAGTTCGAAACCAGCCTGGGCAACACAGCAAGACCCCATCTCTACAAAAAATTTAAAAAAATTAGCTGGACATGGTAGGATACACCTATAGTCCCTCCTACTTAGGAGGCTGCCTTGGAAAGATTGCTTGAGCCAGGGAGGTTGTGGCTGTAGTGAACTGTGATCACACCACTGGACTCCAGCCTGTGTGGCAGAGCAAGACCTGTCTCAAAAACGTTTATATACAAAAAACATTAAAAATATGATATATATAACTATATAAAAAAGAGAGAGAATGCCAGAAGGAAAGGTGGGTGCAATTTAAATAGGGTGGACAGGGAGGTCTCTCTGGTAAGGTCATAGAAACAAGGGAATGAGTCCTATGCCCAGGCCAAGAAAGCACTGGGATTGCCCTGTCTGCAGATGGGGAAACCAAGCTCCCAAAGGCTCTTATTTAATAAAAGATGACGATCTCACTACATCTCAACACAGCCTCTGCTTCACATATATCCAGATACAGGTCAGAAGAGGGCTGTGACTATACGAGATTAGCAAGTCCGGTTGAAACACGCAACTCCACAAGTCTCCTAACACCATTGCTTTGTCTGTGTAAAGCTTGATCTTGTTAATTTCTTCCTATTACACTGAATTAACAGAATGGCAAGTTGCACTGGTGTTACATAGAAAAGATATGTTTTCCTGATTGTTTTCTCCCCTTTTCTTACTCAATCCAGGAACAAAGAGTCAATGCAGCATGGTTTCAGACATGCTCACAGAGGGTCAGGAGACTCCTCAAAGAGGCTGCAGGGACTTCTTTGTCAGATGACAGTGATGTTCAGTGGTCAGAGCTCCAGGCTGACAACCCCGGCTTTAACCACAGCATCAGTGACTCTGTATTATACACTGTGGCTCTGAAAATGAGATTTCTGGGACCTGCACAAAGGTTGAAAATAGTGTGCATGCTATGGCTCCTTGTGAAGAGTAAATAAAGATGTTCTTTGAGTCATCTTTAAAAAACTGGCTTTAAATGCAAAATTTCCTTAAAAGTTTCCAGTGGAATAAAAATCATAGATGGTAGCTTGTATGTTTTGAAAAATAAATGAGTGCGGGTATGGTACTGGGTGAGAAAGGATTTTAGGCAATTCTAATCAAAGATTTGAAGAAACAATGAAAGATCAATGCCTGACTATGCTTTTCTCTCTTATCTTTTCTGATGGATGTAATGGATATGACACACTCTATTTAAATACACAAACACAGGTACTTATCTATAGCCTAGAGGTTTACAGTTTTTTTTAAGGTCGTTTTTTTTTTTTTTTTAATATAAACATTGAATGAGGAGGGACTTTTTCCACTCCAAACATTTCAGGAAATGTCTAATTTTCATACTGATTAAATTAGAAGTCTTACCCATTAGGTGAATAAATAAAAGGAAGAACTGTAAAGAGGCGTTGAAAGCCGGAGTTTGTTGTCCAATGAAGTTAATAAGAAATCATTTCCTCATAATTTCACTGTTTGTTGCAGTTTGGTTTAAAAAAATGGTGAATATTCAGGGCATATAGATAGATGTTGGCTGTGGTGGTTATGGGTGTGTGTGTGTGTGTGTGTGTGTGTGTGTGTGTGTGTTTGTGGGGTTACTGAGAAAAAAAGGCCTTTCTGTCTCCTTTTTTTTTTTCCCTAAAGGATCATTAAAGCAGGGAACAGCAATTGTTCTCCGATTTGCATTTGCTCTTTTCTCCTTTGAGTGACAGCCCCTCACTGCTTTTTGGCAGGTCACATGGCTGCCAATTAGAAATATTAGAAATGCTTCCCAGCAGCTAAGTAATGCTTTGTGACTAAGCTATCACCAATGGAGCAAGAGTGGAAGTGACAGGCAGACCTGCTGAGCCACCTCCTTAAATGCAATTTGTTTCCTCTCTACTTTCTCTCTTTCCCCCTCCCCATGAATAGGAACTTGGATGTGTAGTGTGAACCCTTCTTACCCAGGTTGGTGAGAAACACACTAGAGGGTGACAGAGCACTATGGGAGAAGGAAGAAGAAAGAAGCATCCACCCATGGATGCTCGGGTAATTTAGTGGAGAGGAGCTACCTACAGCCTGCATCGCATGCCTACTTCTGAAATATTTCAGGAAAGAGAAATGAATCTCTGGTTTGTTTGGGCTACTGTATTTTTGTTGTTGCTATTGTGTTTTTTCTTTGTCTTAGCAGCTTATACTCAAATCAATAACTTATTGGATATGAGGAAAAATTAAAAGTTGACCTGGACCCAGAATACTGAATTTTTGAATCCCATTCTTTTTTTTTTTTTTTTTGATACGGATTCTCACTCTGTCGTCTGGGCTGGAGTGCAGTGGCGCTATCACGGCTCACTGCAACCTCTGCCTCCCGGATTCACGCCATTCTCCTGCCTCAGCCACGTGAGTAGCTGGGACTACAGACGCCCGCCACCACGCCCGGCTAATTTTTTTGTATTTTTATTAGAGACGGGGTTTCACCATATTAGCCAGGATGGTCTCTTGACCTCATGATCCGCCCGCCTCGGCCTCCCAAAGTGCTGGGATTACAGGCGTGAGCCACCGCTCCCGGCCTAATCCCATTCTTAACTAGCCATCTACTATCCTTTTAGGTGCACAAGGAAATTGCATATGTAAATGAGGATTTAGTTTCAAACTCTAGTTCTCTGCTCCACTGGATCATGCAGAGCAGATGTTGCAAACTTGGTCACCAACAGGGGCTGGGCAGTTAAGTACAAAGAAGCAAAACTTACTGAGTAGAGCTTGGCGTAGTGGAGAATGTGTGATCCACCTAAAGGACTGTTGTTTTGGGACATGGGCTTCAGTATTTCTTGATATTTTTACCTGTATAAAAGAAAATGGAAATCCAGATTTTTAAAAAGTAAAATCCATAGATTTTTAATTAACAAGCTAATATTCACAACATTTTTAAGTAAATATACTATCCGCACTGTGATACTTAATTTTATATGCCAAATTGTCTGGGCCCCAGGGGGCCAAATACCAGGTTAAAATATCTGGGTGTGTCTGTGATGGTGTTTCTAGAAGAGATAAACATTTGAATTGGTGGACTAATAAAGCAGACGGCCCTCTCCGATGTTGAGTGGGCATCATCTAACCCTTTGAAGGCCTGAATAGAGCAAGAAGGTGGAAGAAGTTTGAATTAACTTTGCCTAACTTCTTGAGTTGCGACATTTATCTTCTCCTGCCTTTGATGCTCCTAGTTCTCAGCCCTTCAGCTCTAGACAGGAATTTACATCAGTGCCTTGCCTTTGGATCATAATCCTGGAAGACACAATTTCAAATGCCATAATCCTGAATGATGAAATTCCAAAAGTTTAAATCCTGAAAGATCAAAATTCCTAATGTCTAAAATTGTGAAATTCACAACCCCAAAAGATTAAAATCCCGAATGTTGAAATCCGGAAAGCCAAAGTCTGGGGAAGGGATTAGTGCATTTTCAGTTGTATGCAGGATAGTTACGTCATGTTAGGCAAAACTATTATCTTGTTATTGTCTTTATTTGCATTTGGTGGAAAAGTCAAATGAGTGGATTAGCCACTGCATACAGCAACAAAGAAAACTTCAGTTTAAAAATGCATCATATACCTTCCTACTTATGACATTTCAGGAGGTTTTAATGAATTAAAGCTGAATTTGCCTGAAGAAGCCAGTAAAGCTTACTGACTGTTTCAAAAATTACTATGTGCACAGTAGGATAAGAAGATGTAATGTTCACAATGGCATTGCTGTTCGATCACCAGCATTGTTTCTGCCAAACTTGTGTTCTGTATATGAGGGCATGTGAAATGGATTTCTGTAAACCCTAAACAACACAGAAGCATGGCACAGAAGGTAGAAAGCTTTAATAGGAAATGCTCATATCAGTATACATAGAATCATAGAAGAATTTCATAAAGAGCAGTGCCACATTGGAAATGAATCTAAACATATTATCTGAAGAGAGTCATGCCCTAAAAGAAAAACGCAACTATTCATTGTGATGAAAGACTTCAAAATATAGTTAATGACCGTGAAAGTCTGCCAGTTCTTAGGGATTATCTCTGTGCAATTGCCCACAATCTATCCTTGTAATAATATACTTTTTCATATGTCAAATTTTATTTTTGGTTTTGTTTCTTAGTTTTATTTTTTACTATTTTAAATTGTATTATTTTTTACAACTTACTATGCATTTCATCTTTGTATCATTTTCAATACTGGAGGTGTAAATGGCGTAGGAACTTTTGGAGAGTTCTAATACTTTTTATGCATTTTCAAATTTGATTCCATGAAGTACATTATCACAATGTGGACTGTATTTAAACATTATGCATATACATAAAAATGCTGAAACTTCCTCAATAAATAAAGAGATATCCTTTCTGTACATCTACATTGTGAAAGATAGAATTTCTCAAGATCTTAGCTCTTTGGGGGATGGTGTAAATGGTGGTTTTGATTGGTCCCATCAAAAGACTTAGGTGGTTTGTCATGGTGTTTCAGATGACCTCAGTTATAAAGCTAGGTGCACACAATTACCAACCACAGTGATATGTGTTTATACATTTCCCTTTTTGACCTCTTTATGAACACAGTATATCTGCTCATAACTGTTATACCCATGTGACTGTTGTTAGAATATCTGAGTGTTTATACTCACAAACATATGTATATTATTGCTTATTTTATCGTATAAAGTGGCCTATGAAGTATTCATTCATGTTTTTATGTTTCTTAGATAAATCCTCCTTTAAAAATGTAAATAAATATTTTAGATAATTTTAAAATTATTTTTTCTAGAATTACATTTTGGGGATTTTGATCTCTTGGGATTTCAACATTCAGGATTCTAGTGATAGGGCTTGTACCTTTCTGGATTATGATTGGCTCTCCATTGGCTCTCTTGCTCTCAGGCCTTGGAACTACATCAAGAGCTTACCTGGGTCTCCAGCTTTCAGGTGGCAGAATGTGGGACTTCTCTGCCTCCATAACTGCAGGAGCCAATAATTTATAGTAATCTCTTTTATCTGTCTTTCTATCAAACATCTATCTATCATCTATCTATCTATCTATCTATCTATCTATCTATCTATCTATCTATCTATCTCCTATTGATTCTGTTTCTCTGGACAATCCTGACTAACATAGGCACCAACAAAAATATTTCTGCAGGGTAAGGCCCTAAGGCCTAAGAGGAATTTCCTGTTGCTTGGGCTAAAAATTAATCTGGGATCTATTACCAAAGCTATATGGTTGGTGGACTTTTTTGAATCACTCTGTGAAGTCCCACACCAAAATCCTGGACATCTAATCTGTTAGTAAGATTATCTATTTTAGGCCAAATGTATATAGGCAGCAAAAAGATGCAAGTCCAAATGAGAGAGAGAAAATTAGCCTAATGTCTTGAGCAGACATATTATGGGCCATTTGATCAAATCTTTCTTGGCCAAGCCAGTAGTTCTGGAGCCTATTTTCCTTGCCATTGGAATCAGTTAGGTTTTCCTGGTTCCAAGCAAAATAACTTGCTAACAAGCAAAATGAACAAAAAGAAGGGGAAATTATTCTTGGTTAGGCCAGAACAATAGATATTCATCATTATAACAGTTTCCATGTGGGGGTTCCCTTCTGGCATTTCTTGGGAAAATTATATATTTTTTCTGAATCCCACATCCTGAGAAAAATGGGTTTTAGAAATCAGAAAAATGGGGAGGGGGAAGTATTGCAATTCTCCTGTGAGAATAAAAGATTAACATTCAACTTAGAGATGTTACTTCTCAAAGGAATGCAGTAATGTCAAGAAGAAAGCAAGAGCAGGAAAAGCTGGTGTGCAGATTTGAAGGTCAAAGTCAACATTTCCAGTAACTGGGACAGGGGAAAGAAGGGGAGAAACAATCACTGTCTCACCACTTTTGCTTGTAGCTATGGCCATGTAATAAATACAAGTTCTGACGCTGTCTGTCACTAATGGTAAATTCTTACAATTAAAGTGAATGTTAAGGTTCTTCACATGTTATCCTCTCTACTAAACCTATGGGTGGTGTTCCAAGAAATAAAAAATTTTGAAAGCAAAATAAGTTCTTCAATTGATCTTTACGCATGGTTCTGTGTAGAGCTGTTAATCTTAAAAGATTAGAATGTTACATCATTTAAAAGCCACCCAATAATGTTCACATTTTCTAGTTCTTATATATTCAATCTAGGCTACAGTTCTTTGTAAATAGTCTTACTAAACCTGCCTATCTTACTTATTGAACAATTTTTTGATCTTCCTAATAAACTAGTACATGAGGAATATGGGAAGTATTTTAATCACAATTTATGATTTGGGGTATTCTGGAGAATTCTGATTTTATTTCTAAATCCCTAACATTAGTATCTGTTTGGAGTTTGGAAACTACACCAGCCACAGGGATGAGAGAGTGTTCAAAGAAAAAGCAAGGGAGGGAAACAAGGAGAAGGAGAGCTGGCTGAGTCTTCTTAAGAGGGAGAGCAGGTCTTACACTGTCATCCCTGAGAAGCAGAGAGAGAGAGAGAGACCCTTATGAAGGAAAACCAAAGGACAGGCAGAGCAGGCCCCTCTTTTAGGGAGATGTGAGGGAGGAATAGGAAGTGTGTGTGTGTGTGTGTGTGTGTGTGTGTGTGTGTGTGTGAAAGACAGAGAGAGAGAGGAGACAGAGAGAGACAGAGAGAGAGAGAGAGAGACAGAGAGAGGCAGGCGAGGGTAGGAGGAAAGGAAGAAAGCAGAAATAAGTTCTTTCTAAGGGGCCAAGGAAACCCATGAGAAATTCAACTTTTTTTAGTATTTAAGATTAGATAATTGTCTAAATGTGGCTGTGAGAGCTCAGTCTGGGCTGAGCAGGCAAGGACCAGGTGGACCCGAGGAGGACTCCTCTACCCTCATTGGGAGGGGATGCACCTGCACATGGTTTCTAATGGGGTTGGGGTATCCCTTCTGTCAAGGAGTAGCTGTAAGTCCTGTTTGGCCTCAAGGTCTCCAGAACCTTGAGGTGGACCAGCTGGTGTTCCCATACAATTGCTACAAACAGTGGGAATATATTATAGAATTTGTCCCCCAAACTCCACTGGAGATCCAAAAGGACTCACCTACTAGGATAAGGACGAGCTGAAAGTGTTTTAGAAAGAGATGGGTTTTATCAACGACTTGGATAACAATACAGAAGACATGCTTAACACTAACTGTACAAGTATAAGAAGTGAAGAGACTTCAAGGTTTAGACTGAGAGGAGACTCACTGCGAATAAATAATAGACAGGGCTGCAAAAAATCTAATGTGACCTGTGGTGAACAAACAATAGTATTTCTTGTGAGCATCAAATAAGATACTACATGTGGTGTCAGGAATGCACTAAGTGCTCAAAAAGTGTTAACTACCATTAATGCTGTGGTTCCTGTTTGCTATTGTTAACATGAGGGTGAAAAGAAGGGAGAAGAATGGTTACTGCTCCAGGGCCTGTGGCCTTGCTCTGCCCTCCTGTTTCCTGTCTTTTCTTCTACACTCTCCCTTAACACTACTTCAGCATTGCTGGGGCTGGTCAAAATGGAGTTAGGAACTGAGGGGAGATGGGGACTAAGATCAGTAGTCAACCTTAAATTCCTCATACCTACTAGGCCCATGTCAGGAGCTTTCTGTGGGTCATGTGACTGAATCCTCACAACATCTCCAAAAGTTAGAAATTATGGCTTCCTCATTTTCCAGACAACAAACCAAGGCTCAGAAAGTGACTCTTCCAATGTTACACAGCTAAGAGGAGGCAGAACTGGCATTTAAAGCTACACCCTTTCACTTTTCTTCATGACTTTCTCTATGTGACTAGAGACCACATTGTAGCAGCTGCAATTTTCTGGGTCTGCAGCAGGGATGGTGGGGTTTGGGGGTGGAAATGTGGGGGTGTGTGGAGGGTTCTGGGGGATTCTGGATTGGGGGAGGAGAAGAAAGAGGATTCAACAGACATAAGTATATGTCTATGTTGTATCTCCAACCAATTCAAAATGTCTGTTCCCCTAAGAGTGGCTCAACAATAGTATCTTTGCTTTTTGGTTCCAGAAAAATGGTTGGGTTTTAGACTTCTAAATTTGCCCGCAGCCCCTGATGGGTCAGATGAAACACTGCCAATTTGAAGTGGCTGTACAAGGAAAATTGAGATGTGAGAGTCATTGGTAAGTTTTTTTTTCCTTTCACCTCAAAGCTCTCATATTCAATTTAGGATAAAAAAAAAATTACAGGATGAAAAAAAGCTCTCCCTTTGGAGATAAAAATAGCACACGCTGCATCACTTCTAAGAGCAAGCCAGCAGCTGGAACGAATTATTTATATCTTATCTCTGGCCCTTTTCTATGTTTGTTGGTCACCTTTCTGTTTAATTACTGTTGCCATTATGATTTAAAGCTGTCACATTTATGGCATTCATTATTTCAGTAGCACCTGCTTGTATGGATTCTTTTTCTCAGCTTTAAAGTTTAGCCAAGTCATACCAAATAGGAGTTTTAGAAGCTCATCACCCGCTTCTGAACACTTTACCCCGAAAACAATAGCTATAATTTTAGAAGAAAAAGATCCTGACTAGTCAATAACTTTACTTGCAAAATTTTCACAAATTATCTTGTTCTGTATTCAGCTACCCGTTCCCAAAACCATGTAGAAAAATAATTAAGTTTGAGGTGTCTATCTTTGTTTTCTCTTCTCTTCTATTTGAAAGTAAATAATATTTTAGGGGGCATGGGGAAGAACATATATTTAACATGTGATTTTTTTTTTCACTTACAGAAAGATTTTCTGGTACCCAGTAGACTTGGGATAGGCAGAAACCTTACTATTAACTAAAATTTGAGAACTCTTTAGTTTGGTAACTTTGAAGTGGTTCTTTGTTGTGATTTGAATCCTAGGATGGGAGCAAAAACTGTCAACAACCTTGGAGAATTAGTAACCTTTTCCTGCATTTGTTCTTCACCAATATAAGAAATTGCTCTCTTCAGCATAGGGACTAGTGGAGCTTACTTAAAAAAAATAAGGACAGGGTGATGTTTCTCTTCCTTTGAACTATCTTATCCTTGGGAAGAAGGAATAACTTCTAAACAGAACTTTGTCCCCCTATCCATGGTGATTGAAAATTAATGATGCTGAGGAGAAAACAGGCAAGGAGGGATGACAAAATATCGAAGGGGGATTTGGGAAAGGCCTGTTTCCCACCATCCACACATTCAGATTAGAAGGCTGACAATTATTTATGAGGTGGTCATGAATTATTAGCTATAGAGTGATGGCTTTGCTAGTGATAGTATTTTCTTAGCACTTTGTTTATTTTAGCAAACATTTGCTTCCCACACTACATTAAGAGTGAACATTTAAAAGAACTGTACCAAAATATTTTTGTCAGTGTGTTTGTCATTGAGAATTTGAGAGGAAACAGAAAGCTTTGTCTTCATGCAGTGAAAGCTCTCACTTGTAGCCTAGACAAAGCCAGAGAGGTAGGGCCGGATTCGTATCTGCACTTGTGTGGGGCAGAATGGGGGGTTCTGATTGGCAGGGGCCCTAGCCCTGTGAGAACCTGGTTGTTAGGAACATATCAGGACAGAGAAGCTCGTCACTTTTCTGGGCTGTTCAAGTTCAAATTACCTTTGGGGAGCGGAACGCCAGTCTCACTGATTGGAGAGTGGAATCTTTCAGGCAGAGTGAGTCTCATGAGGTCAACCTGGCCAGCATCCTGCTTTTGGGCAGGATATACATAAAGGACACCAGAAAAGTGACCGTCCTATGGCAGATATCCCTCAAAAAGGCATATTCAACTTTAATGAAGTAACAGTTCAGGGCTGAACTTACATTGAAATTGACAAATGTAATTTTGAATCTCTCATTAAGGCTGTCCAATTTTTGAGTTAGACATAAAAGAATGCTGCAATTGCAGACTTCCTGCTCATAATGTAAAAACTAAAAATTATACATTTCTGATTTATATTTTACCTTTTTGATACAAAATTCAATGACCTAGCTCCATAACACACATTTTAAACTTTTGTTCCTTTCCTTCTTAATTGACCACCTAAGAGTAAAATTAATCCTTCTGGGGTTAGAAGTAGTTCACATTTGGCATGCCTAATAACTTCTTTCAAACTTATGGTTTTCATTAATTTTCAACACACTCAATCATTAGAATCAGTACTCTTGCTTTCCAATTTGTACTCATTTAAAAATAAAAGCATAAAAGCTAAATTCAATATGTTGGTTGTACAGTTTGAGGATCACCTGCAGACAATAACGCCCTTTATTTACAGAGTAGTTTACTTTTCTCTGAGCATTTCAGATAGTCTTGCAAAAGCACTAGTTTCTCTGAGAATACACATTTGAAAGAACAGCCATCTATCAAAGGACAAAATGAGGTTATTAAAATGGCTTTGTTAACTGCAATGATTGTGGCATCAGAAACTAGGGCTTGAATTTCTTTTTTGAAAGTGGAGAAAATTAATTTTCTTTGAATGCAATGTTTGCCCGATTTAGGAACAGCTGCTCCATTTCCAACTTTCTAATCTTTTCTTTATAGAACTAAATAACCTGATGACAAGTTTTACACTTAAAAGTTCTCAGGAGATAATTCCTTGTCTTGTAAATTTTGATACAACAGCAAAATAGGCTAAACACAATAGAAAAGGCATGTGAAGAAATGTTCCATAATGGTCATTAGTGTGGGCTCTGACATTGGGCAGGCCTGAATTGTGCCCTGGCACTGCCACTTACTAGCTATGAGACTTTGGGGAAAGCCACGACAAGTTTGTACCTCACTTTCTTTACCTGTAAAATGGGAGATAGCAGTACTTGTTCATAATCGCTGGGTGAATTAAATAATAGGAGGCATGAAAATATTTTAGAATAGGGCCTGGCTTAAAAATATATTAACATTTTGTTGTATTCACATATTAATAATTACTATTATTTTCCCTATAGCAATCATTATTCTTTTACTCATCTACCACTAACCTTTATTTATTATTTTACCGGTATGCTGACTACTTTCCAAATAATTTTAGTCAGTTTAAAGGAAAACCAGAGGTATAGTAAGACCCAAACCAACTAATATAAAAGACAAAAATCTGAAAGAGAAATGGACCAATTCTGATGAGAATTCCTGGTTGAAGAAAGACACAGTAATGAACATACAACTTAGCTCTGAGAATCTTACTAACCAGGGCAAAGAGGGAAACACAAAGGATTCAACAATTGAGTAGATTGTCATCTAGATGAAAATATTCCAGTTTGTTTTAATTATCAATAGCAGCATAACAAGCTACCCCAGAACCTGTGGTTTAAACTATAATGATTTATATTTTTTCAGGGTTCTGTGGGTTGGCTGAATGATTGTTCTGCTGATCTTGCTTGGGGTCACACATGTGACTTGGGATCATATGTGTAGTTGACGGATCACTGGAGGCTGTGATCAGCAGGGGATGTTTATCACAATATTTTATTTCATCTCCATGTGGTGAACTTGAACTTCCTAGTAGCATGGCAGTCTCAAGTTAGCCTTGCAAGAGGGAGAATTCCGACAGGATAATCCTTAATATACAAGTGCTTATTGAGTCTCTGCTCGTGTGATGTGTCTCATGATAAAATCAAATCATATGACTAATTTCAGAGTAACCCAAAGTTGGAACGCCAGAAGTCATGGTTTATGCGGTCCACAGTCTACCACAGTTTCTTAGGACAGGCCGAATTAGAAATAATCTGGAACTCATTAGCCCCTATAACTTTTTTTTTTTTTTTTTTTTTTGAGCTGGAGTCTCGCTCTGTTGCCCAGGCTGGAGTGCAGTGGTGCGATCCCGGCTTACTGCAACCTCTGCCTCCCAGGTTCAAGAAGTTCTCCTGCCTCAGCCTCTTGAGTAGCTAGGATTACAGTCATGTGCCACCATGCCCAGCTACTTTTTGTATTTTTAGTAGAGACGGGGTTTCGCCATGTTTGCCAGGCTGGTCTCGAACTCCTGACCTCAGGTGATCCACCCGCCTCAGCCTCCCAAAGTGCTGAGATTACAGGCATGAGCCACTGCACCCAGACCCCATAACCATTTTTAATATTTGCTTTGTATAAACAGCTGTCTTCATGCTTTATATGCTTTTAATTATTAAATCTTGCTTCTCTGTGTTACATTCTTCTTCCCTTTACCCCCTCCATAGTGAGACCACCAGTCTATGGCTTATCAGCCTCTATCAGCCAGAAGCTACAAAGATTTTGTTAGCCTTCTGTCTCCAGCAGCCCTGAAACAATTTTCTCTACTTTTTTGCTGATGACCCTCCATACCTTCTTTACTAAAACCGAAGTCCAGCAGTAGTCCTGTGCATGCTGTCGATGGATGCAAACACTTCAGCAAATCTTGAGCTGTGATGAATCACCATTCATGTAGTTGTAGGAGGTGTGAATTAGACCAACTGGAGAAACATTCAAAGTACAGATTCCTGGGCCTATTATAGCCTTACAGAGAGGTCATATGGGACATTCTATAAGCACAAATAAGGATTGCCCTCTGAATTATACTCTCTTGCCCTTCTTTTGCCTTCTAACATTCATTTTTCTTTTAGCATTTCATGTATCCTTGGCCTACTTTACCTCTGAGTACATAAGTATGGGCAAGAGAGCGGGAGCAACAACCAAACTGCCTTGGATACAATTCTTTCCATCTCTTTTGATCACGGTGTGACTTTGGATAAATCATGTTGCCTCTCTGAGCTTGCTTCATCATTGGTTAAATGGAAATAATACTTCCTACCTTATATTATTTTCATAAAAACTAAATGTGACAATACAGGTAAAGTGTGGTGCCTAAAACAGTACGAATTCTATTATCGCTATGATTGTACTTTCTGTGATGCATAAGAATAAAGCCAGTGCAGAAGAAGGCAGAGTTGACAGGGAAGCTACTCAATCTCTGATGTCATTGTTTGAGCCTTTGAATCCAGCTGTGCCTGAAGCCTGTTCTCCTCGCTGAACTTCTCAGTTACTAGGGTTGATGGATTCCTTTTTTGGTTTAAGCCAGCTGGGGTTAGATGTCTGTCAATTATAACGGAGAAGTTCTGGCATATGTAGGACCAAACCTACTCTGTGTCAGTTTCATCTGATGAATATGTTTTAAATGCAGATTCTTGATCCTACCATTAGAGATTCTGGTTTTGTTGGCTTGGAATGGGGCCCAGGAATATGTATTTTTAGGGTACTCAAGATGCCTCAGATGTCACCAGCCTACACATCCACTTTAGGAAACTATTGCCTTAAATTAGGAGTCTTTTTATTTGGCAGTCCCTTCAGGACTTTGTAAGGTACCTTGTAAATAAAAGGACCATTAGCCTATTACATATTTGTTGAATTGAACACACATTTCAAGAATATGAGCAATGAGACTGCCCAAATTCCTTTTCCTTTCAAAGTTTATTTTTAATAGACAAATAACAGTTGTATAACTTTATGGGTTACAATGTGATGTTTCGATACGTGTATTCATTGTGGAATGACCAAAGTAGCCTAATTAGCATATTCATCACCTCAAATATTTATTTTTTCTTTGTTGAGAACATTCAAAATTATTATTATTATTTTTTAGCTATTTGGAACTACACAATAATTATTCTTGACAGGAGGATTACATGAAGTTGGCAGGACAGCCAAAAAGAATCAGATTATCTCCAGAAATTTCTACGTACCTTTGGGTATGATTGCATCTTGCAGTAGCTACCTTGAATTAATGTAGTACAAGTTTTAAATGCCATTTAGTTTTCTCTTTCTAGCTTTAAAGTTTTTGTTATGACTCGTTCATCCTATGAGCCTGGACCTGTTTCCTGACATAATTGAATTCTGCACTTTATTGTTTGTTTCAAATTAAGACCTCTTTGCTACATATAAAGATTTCATGTTAGGGTTGCCCTTTATGATAAATTTTATTCCCACTGAATGATTGTTTAATAAAAATTTCAGTCTCATTCCAACCACATCAAGGGGTTCCCAGGGACCAGTTTCATATACTCAGGATCCTGATAAATGGAGTGGGAATCCTCTTTATTAAAGACAGGCTGTAAAAGGTGCTATTGATGAAAGTATTAACAGCATATGCTATCAAAATGGGACAAAAATCAGAGTCCACTTGGAATAGAACTTTGCTTCATTTATTTGATGCTCACTTGGGTGATTTCATGCTCTTGGCCCCACAAATATTACAATTGCTCCCTCTGAAGGCCTATCTGGATGTATTTTTAAAGGTTATTGACTGAAGCTGAGAACGTGACCACAGAATATTTATTCTAAAGACTTTCTGTGGAAACCACTCATCATCTGCACTGAGAGGGAGGCAGTTTGGATGTGAGTTTGGAAAGATTGTTTTTAAAAGCAGCGATACATTTGGTGGTTTGAATTACAAAGCTGAAGGAGGCCAAGGATAACTAAACATCATGATAAAACCTGTAGACCCATCTTTTTATGTGGAACACAGGCAACCATAACATCAGAGCCATGGATTCTTCTAGTAGAAGACATGCTAAGAATCTCCAGCAGGAAGAAAAATATCCCATTCCTCTTGATACACTGACATTGATAAAATGACATTTTCAGATGGACGAAAACTTTGGCTTTATATAGCCCAGATTTCTTAGCGTTGATTTCATGGATCTATTGTGGGGAGGGGTAGTCAGGGGTTGAGGTTTATAGCTTCATTGGAAACCATAAAATATGTAAATAAGATTGCATGCTGGTGTGTATATGAAATTTTATTGTGCAGATGTACCCGAGAAAGACAAAGAACGATCAGTTTTCTCCCATGGACTCATTTTACAGACGGAAGTACTAAGGACCAGGCTGACATCTCCAATGTCCCACAGCAAGTAACTGACAGGACTGGCTCTAAATCTTTCAATTATGGCTGATAAATGGGAGCCTGCTTGTGAACTTGAGGCAGAGGGTCAGGGGCTATAAATTGAAAACCCTGAAGTGAAATTAACCTGCAGTTCAGTTTTGTTTTATTTGTACAATTTTTTATCCATTGGGAAAAGTCACACAAATATCCAAATTCTTCTGAAAAATTGCAAGATTTAGCAACAGGGAGCCCACATTTCCTTGGCATGTGCTCACCAGTTTGACCCAGTCCCTTCCCCTTTCTATTATCATGTGCTCAGCTGCTTTCCTTAGTTACCTGCCCTACCCGATCCCTGTAGCACTTGAGTTTATGATTCTGGGTGTAGAGAATTCTAATACCTGCTGGGTCTCTTGGGGGGTTTAAAAAGCTCCTTTGGGTCTGGTTCTGTGTCAGTCAGGGTAGACTAGTTTTGTTTGTAGTTTATATTAAAAATACCCTTGATATTGTCTGGCTTTGTGTTTCCACCCAAATCTCATCTTGAATTGTGATCCCCACGTGCCAAGGGAGGGAACCGTAATCCCCACGTCGTTGGAGGGAGTTGATTAGATCATGGGGGCAGTTTCCGCCATGCTGTTCTCCTGATAATGAGTTCTCATGAGATCTGATAATTTTATAAGGCAATTTTCCCTGCTCTTGCTGGCTCTTCTCTCTCCTGCTGCCATGTGAAGAAGGTCCTTGCTTCCCCTTCACCTTCCGCCATGACTGGTAGTTTCCTGAGGCCTCCCCAGCCATGTGGAACTCTGAGTCAATTAAACCTCTTTTCTTTATAAATTACCCAGTCTGAGGTGTTTCTTTATAGCAGTGTGAGAACAGACCGATACAACCCCCAAATCACAATGGCTTAAAATAACAGACATTTAATTCTTGCTCATGAAACATGCCATCAGGATTGCTATGATAGTCATTTAGGGATCCAGACTGATGGAGCAGCTGCCATCTCAAATGCTGCTGGTAAGAGCTCTGGATGGTGTCAAATTGACAATTAAATGCTTCAGCCCAAAAGTGACACATGTTGCATGTGCTCATAGCTCATTGGTCACTACCAGTCACATGGCCTCATCCAACCTTAAGGGCTTGGAGGTGTGATCCTATTGTGTGTGCAGAAGGCGGAGGCTGAGGAATACTTAGTGAGAACTACTGATTCCTTTTGCGAGCCTTGTGGAAACTGAGTGGTGGAACGTAATTCCTGCACGTGTGAGATTGCCTTGGGTCACCTGTGAACACCTTATCTACAATAATAAAGCACTCTGTGTGTGAGGAACATGGAGCGAAGTCTGTGTGAAGTTCAAGATGTTCTGTGGAGATAGAAGCCTGCCATCTGGCCTGGATTCGCATCCCAGATTTCTCACTGTGTGGTACTGGGAAAATGCTCTGTATATTTGAGTATCAGTTTTCTCATCTATAACTTAGAGTACTAATATCATCTGTCATTGTTAGCATAGCAGCCTAAACTGACTAAGTACTATAAGCTATAGATGACAGAAACCTCTCACAGCTGTGGAGGTTGGAAGCCTGTGATCAGAGTGCCAGCATGATTGAGTTCTAGTGAGGGCCCTCTTCCGGGTTACAGACTGCCAACTTCTCATTGTATTCCTCTATTTCAGAAAGAGGGTCAAAAAGCTCCCTGGGGTCTCTCTTACAAGGGAACTAATCTCAGTCATGAAGGCCCCACCCTCGTGACCTCATTATCTCCCAAAGGCTCCATCTCCTAATACCATCTCGTGGAGACTAGAGTCTCAACATATGAATTTGGAGGAGACACAGACATTCAGTAAATTACACCATCTTCTGAGTTTTTAGAGATAATTACATTAAATGAATTCAGAGAGTAGGTATAAAGCCCAATATTGTATCTCTAGCAGTGGTAGTTGCTATTTTTGAGGGTGCTACATTGTAGTGGCTATAAAATGGGTTTACATGTAGCTATAAGACTTTGGGAAAGTCATCAAACTTCTCTGTGCCTTAACTTACTGATCTTAAAAATGAACAGTCACTATGCCTGTGCCTTAAAATCATTATGATGATTCAATGAGGTTTTGTATGAAAAGCACCCCACAAAAATCAAGCACTTGATAAATATGGCATACTAGTATTTTAAAAATATGATGTGGATTAGTATGCAGATACACAAATTCTTTCATTTCTTTTAAAAAAATTTAAAAAATACCACTAACAATTCTAGCCCAAAGAAGTCTAAAAAGCTCTCTGGGGTCCCTTTTATAAAGATACTAATCCCATTGATCTCATTAGTCTCATCAACTCTGCTAACCAATATTACTATAATTTTATTGGAGCCTGTTTCTGTCTTAAAATGTTTTTACTTTATAACCTTCTTAGGTATAAGACTCTGTTGTCGGGACTACAGGCCTTCTGGGTGTTTTCTGATGAGGACAAACTCTATTCTGAGAATTGGGCAGCTCTGCTGGTCTTTGACCCACGTGGTACATTTGTGCAGCAGTCAGAAATTTATAACACAATTCAGGGAGCTGCTGCCAGTACTCATCAGTGCCAAGCTGCTTAGGCAAAAACGTGGGGAACATTTTGTCTTATCTACTCAACTCCTTCCCTAAGAACCCAATGAACAAATTGACCCTAGGGAATCAAGCAATCAAGCAGACTACTATTGCCACAGATCCTCTTGTGAGTATCCCAGACAAGCATAAGAGAAATAGAAGGTATTAGAGGCCAAAAGAAAAAAAAAATCAAGAAATACAGAAAAGGGTGGTTGTCTGTACCTGATACTTGAATCTCAGTTCTCCAAATATCAAAGTCTTTAAGAAAGACACCAAAGGGCAAGCAAGCACACTTTTTGGAAGACTACCAAGAGCTTTATTATTTTAATTCTCCTGACGCTACTCTGCGAGATAGTTTTATTTTTTCCCCCCGCCCCCCCTTTTTTTTATTTTTGAGACGGAGTCTCACTTGTTGCCTAGGTTGGAGTGCAGTGGTGTGATCTCGGCTCACTGCAACCTCTGCCTCCCGGGTTCAAGCGATTCTCCTGCCTCAGCCTCCCAAGTAGCTGGGACTACAGGTGTGTGCCACCATGCCTGGCTGATTTTTTGTATTTTTAGGAGAGACAGGGTTTCATCATGTTAGCCAGGCTGGTCTCGAACTCCTGACCTCAAGTGATCTGCCCGCCTCGGCATCCCAAAGTGCTGGGATTACAGGTGTGAGCCACCACACCTGGCCACTTGTTCCCCTTTTATAGATGGGGAAAGTGAGGCCCAGAGAGGTCAAGCAATTGTCTAAGGTCGCATGGGACACATGGTGAATCTTAAATTTAAACCAGAGCTAACTAGCTCTTTCCACTATACCATGTTGACATGGTTTGGCTGTGTTCCCATTGAAATTTCAACTTGAAATGTATCTCCCAGAATTTTCATGTGTTGTGGCAGGGACCTAGGAGGAGGTAATTGAATCATGGGGGCTGCCTTTCCTGTGCTATTCTTGTAATAGTGAATACGTCTCACGAGATCCGATGGGTTTATCAGGAGTTTCTGCCTTTGCTTCTTCCTCATTCTCTCTTGCTGCCACCATATAAGAAGTGTCTTTCACCTCTCGCCATGATTCTGAGGCCTCCCCAGCCATGCGGAACTGTAAGTCCAATTAAACTTCTTTTTCTTCCCAGTCTTGGGTATGTTTTTATTAGCAGCATGAAAATGAACTAGTACAGTAAATTGGTACCAGTAGAGTGGGGCATTGCTGAAAAGATACCCGAAAATGTAGAAGTGACTTCAGAACTGGGTAACAGGCAGAGGCTGGAACAGTTTGGAGGGCTCAGGAGAAGACAGGAAAATGTGGGAAAGTTTGGAGCTTCCTAGAGACTTGTTGAATGGCTTTACCCAAAATGCTGATAGTGGTATGGACAATAAGGTCCAGGCTGAGGTGACCTCAGATGGAGATGAGGAACTTATTGGGAACTGGAGTAAAGGTGACTCTTCTTATGTTTCAGCAAAGAGACTGGAGACATTTTGCTCCTGCCCTAGGGATTTGTGGAACTTTGAACTTGAGAAAGATGATTTAGGGTATCTGGCAGAAGAAATTTCTAAACAGCAAAGCATTCAAGAGGTAACTTGGGTTCTTTTAAAGGCATTCAGTTTTATAAGGGAAGCAGAGCATAAAAGTTTGAAAAATTTGCAGCCTGACTATATGATAGAAAAGAAAAACCCATTTTTTTCTGGGGAGAAATTCAAGCCAATTGCAGAAATGTGCATAAGTAGCCTGGAGCCTAATGTTAATCCCCAAGACCATGGGGAAAATGTCTCCAGGACACATCAGAGACCTTCATGGCAGCAGCTCCCATCACAGGTCCAGAGGCCCAGGAGGAAAAACTGGCTTCGTGGGCTGGGCCCAGGGCCCAGTGCTGTGTGTAGCCTAGGGAGTTGGTGCCCTGTGTCTCAGTTCCTCCAGCCATGGCTGAAAGGGGCCAATGTACAGCTCGGGCTGTGGCTTCAGAGGGTGGAAACCCCAAGCCTTGGCAGCTTCCATATGGTGTTGAGCCTGTGGGTGCACAGAAGTCAAGAATTGAGGTTTAGGAACCTCCACCTAGATTTCAGAAGATGTATGGAAATGCCTGGATGCCCAGGCCAAAGTTTTCTGTAGGGGCAGGGCCCTCATGGAGAACCTCTGCTAGGGCAGTGTGGAAGGGAAATGTGGGGTTGGAGCCCCCACACAGAGTCTCTACTGGGGCACTGCCTAGTGGAGCTGTGAGAAGAGGGCCACCGTCCTCCAGACACCAGAATGGTAGATCCACTAACAGCTTGCAATGTGCGCCTGGAAAAGCCTCAGACGCTCAAGGCCAGACTGTGAAAGCAGCTGGTAGGGAGGCTGTATCCTGCGAAGCCACAGGGGCAGAGCTGCTCAAGAATATGGGAACCCACCTCTTGCATCAGCATGTCCTGGATGTGAGACCTGGAGTCAAAGATCATTTTGGAGCTTTAAAATTTGGCCACCTCACTGGATTTTGGACTTGCATGGGCCCTGTAACCCCTGTTTTGGCAATTTTCTCCCATTTGGAATGGTTATATTTACCCAATACTTGTACCCCCATTATATCTAGGAAGTAAGTAGCTTGCTTTTGATTTTACAGGCTCATAGGCAGAAGAGACTTGCATTGTCTCAGATGAGACTTTGGACTGCGGACTTTTGGGTTAATGCTGAAATGAGTTAAGACTTTGGGGGACTGTTGGGAAGGCATGATTGGTTTTGAAATGTGAGGACATGAGATTTGGAGGGGCCGGGGCAGAGTGATATGGTTTGGCTGTGTCCCCATTCAAATCTCAACTTGAATTGTATCTCCCAGAATTCTCACATGTTGTGGGAGGGACCCAGGGGGACGTAAGTGAATCATGAGGGCCAGTCTTTCCTATGCTATTCTCATGATAGTGAATAAGTCTCACGAGATCTGATGGGTTTATCAGGAGTTTCCACTTTTGCTTCTTCCTCATTCTCTCTTGGTGCCACCATGTAAGAAGTGCCTTTCACTTCCTGCCATGATTCTGAAGTCCCCCCAGCCATGTGGAACTGTAAGTCCAATTAAACCTCTTTTTCTTCCCAGTTTCAGGTATATCTTTATCAGCAACATGAAAATGGACTAATACACGTGTAATTTCTCCTGGCAGGGGAAATGTTAGCTCCAAAAATGTCAGCTTTAGAGTCCCCTCAAAATGTGGCCTAGAGAGGTTAATACATTTCTCAGAGAGATAAAATAATCAGCTGAAGATTTCAGGGCTGGTAAGTTGGCGTACTAGCTCAAAAGCCCACATTCTCTTCCTGGTTCCTGGTTCCATACAGCTGTTCAAATCAGGTTGGGCTGGGTGCATACAGTGGCTCCTTAGACTCCTTCAGGTTTCCCCAATCACTGGGAATTTTAGGGACTCATTCAGGAATTTCCCCAACGTGCTTTAGAGCAAAAAGATAAACGCCAAGCCTAGCCAGTTTCTGCCGGCTTTGGAATAAAGAGCTGTGGTGAAAGGCTGCATTCTAATCTCCCACATGGGGGCTGTGCCATACTGTTCCTACGCACCGAGTGGATTTGCATTTTGAACGAATCTGCTGGCCAAAGATCACTTTAATTTTTCATCTGCCTTTTGCGGGCAACTTTCCACTCTCCTGTGCTGACTGAAACGAAGTATGACACCAGTCTTGCCCAGGCAAGCTGCTTCTTGTGAATAGGAAGTGAACAACCCTGGATTCCAGGCCAGGGGGAGAGAGGTGAGAGGTGAGGTCAGCACATCTGGTTTCTGCCCTCAGACTTCTTTACAGATGAGGGAAAGGTGCGTGCTTTAAAAGGACAGTTAAGCGGGCCCCAACAGAGCCCAAGAGATCTCGGCTGTCCCCTACCTGGGGGATGTCAGGCTTCTTCAGCATCAAGCTGGAAGAGGCTCCCAGGACTGGTGTGGAAGGACAGAGCAGTTTTCCCATGTGATGGGGAACTTGTTTCAGAGGTGTCAAGAGATCCACACTAAACCTGGTGCTGTAAACTCTAGCTGGTTCTCAACTGAAGTTTTTGGGGGATGGGGAAGAAGGGTGATTTCTAGGATAGAGGAAATATGCTGTTGGTTGAATATAGGATTGTACTTCTCTGGATATGTCTTGGAAAATTTCCTTAGGTTTTGGAAGCCTCAGAACCCTCCAGAGTTTCAATTTCAGAGGCTAAGACTTAGAGGGTCCCAACAAGAAATATAAACAGTACGGTCTGCTGGTGATAAAAACAATGGCGGTAGTGAGGAGAGGAGGATATTGAGGGAAATGTTTCTTCTTGGCTCATGATAGTTCCTTTCTGTGAAAGGGTGCAATTGACAGAAACAGTGGGGGCTTCACCTGTGGCATCACTGTCTCTACCCTAGCAAGGAGGAGGGACTTATCTGGTTGGAAAATTTCAGAAGAAAAACTAGCTCCTCCTTTTTGTCCTCTCAGATATGAACTCATCAGCAGAAATGTGAGTTCTTCCCAGCTTCTCCGTGCTGTAAGTCTTATGTGGCACCACTGCCTGGGTTGGTTGTGTTAACCTACCTGCCAGAGGGTGGCGGGTGGGAGTATCTGAAGCCATTGAATCCTGCAAATACAAACCACAGCTTCCATCCTAGTCTTTATCTGTCATACAGGTTAGAGTTGCACTTTCCAATCTGCAACTCTTATGTCTTGTTTCTCTGTGAAGAATGCGGGTGTGGATGGGCATATTTATTGTGTCCCTGTGATAATTTTATGTGTCAACTTGGTGAGGGTATGGCACCTAGTTGTTTCATCAAATGCCAGTCTACATGTTGCTATGAAAATATTTTAGATGTGATTAACATTTAAATCAGTTGACTTTAAGTAGAGCATATTTGTGTCCACAATGTGGGTGGGCCTCATTCAATCAGTTGAAAGCTTTCAGAGCAAAGACTGAGATTTCCCAAGAAAGCAGCAATTCTGACTCAAGACTGCAACATACAAACCCTGCCCGAGTTGCCAGCCTACAGACTCAAGACTGCAACACCAACACAACTGAATTTCCAGCCTGCTAGCTTGCCCTACGGATGTAGACTGGTTAGCCCCCACAGTTGCATAAACTAATTCCTTGAACTAAGTCTCTCTCTCATATATGTCTCCTAATGGTTCTGTTTCTCAGAAGAACTCTGGCTTATACAGTCCCTCATGATCCCAGCACATAATGACTAATAACCGTGGCTGATATCATTGAGTCCTCATTTACTCCTCACAATTACTTACAAGGTAGGCAATAGCATTCCTTCCATTTTAAAGATGGGGGAACTTAGATGTGAAACAGTTAAGTAACTTGCTCAATGCTGTGAAACAAGTGGAGATGCAGCATTTGAATTCAAATTTTCCTGAAACCATAACTGATGTGTTTAACTATTATACCACACAGCCTCCAAACCAGAAAAGGAAGTCCTACTCAAAGTTATGATATAGTGCATAGTTAAGTGCATAGAAAGTCTTTGTCTGTTAGTCTTATGCTGAGTGTCTATATTTTGAGTGCCTCTCTGTTTCAGTGCTGGATGAAATAATTACATGTTAAAGCTGATAGTAATAACCCAATGGTTACTTCTCTGGCCAGCCTCATTGGTGCTTCAGCGCTTAGCTTGGGATGTGATCTATGGTTCTGAGTGTCCTTTTTGTATTTGTTACTCTAATATTTAGCATAATCAACAACTCCCAATGATGGCTATAGGGAGCACACATACAGCAAGGATAGTGGCATGAAGAAATAAAAGAATCATCACTGATAAAATTCACCTTTGAGGATTTATTCATACATTAATCTATCTCTTCATGCATTTATCTGATAGTCAACCAGAAAGGTTTATTGAGAAGTTATTCTGTGCATGTATTTTTATTTCATTCATTCATTTAATCAGAAATGAAATTCTTATTACATACTCTGCCTTGCTAGGTGGATTCTCCCAAATTCACCCTCATTTTCACACCCTGCCTTCAACTTCTCTCCCGCCTACCTCTTGGAAATGTACCTAACTTGTTTCTATTCCTTCAGAGCCCTGCTCTATATTTTCCATGACGATATTTAATTTGATAAACTAATACAGAGAAATGGATTAATGGAACTGAATGGCATAACGGTTAACACATACTCACTGTAAGTGAGATTTCCTAAAAGCACATCATCTTGATGCAGAAGCAATAACTTTTATGATGGATGCTTTAGGCAATATATTATGGGTAGTTTTGGTCTGATGAGGCTTCCCGGTGACATGTTGAGGGTAGCACTACCATTTTGTGAGAAGCCAGCAATGTGTCCTCTTGCATGACATTTTACTTGTTCATAGGATGGTTTTGCCATAAAATAAAAAGAACCAAATAAGCATTTGCATTAAGCAACTATTTATGTAAGATAAGGACAATGATCGAAAGAGGCCAACAGACTTCAAAGTGTCTCCTCTCTGGTTTCATAAAAATATTACTTTACTCGTGTGACAGAGACTGAAGCTGCCTAATCAATAGCCATATTCCTGAACCAACATTTTGGTTAGGATGTAATTCCCACCAATATTTTGGCTAGGATGTCTAGCTAAAATACTACATTTTCCACTCTCCATGTATATAGCTAGTAGGGTGTTTCTTTTAGGAAGGTTCTACAAATAATGCTGACTCAGCTAAGAGGTGTTTGCCTTTTGTTTTTCCCTCTTGTTCCTGCCCGGAAAGCAGACATAAAGGCTGTAGCTTCAGCAGCCATTTTGGAACATGAAGCAACGTTAAGAATTGAAGACACATAATAGTATTGTAGAGTGTAAAGATAGGGAGAGTTTGGGTCCTTGGTGAGTAGGGAATTATTCCCTCCATATTGGACTATCTATGTCCAGAATTCTTTGATGTAAAGAAGATATACATTTCTGCCTCATTTCAACTACTTCAATTTTTATTTCCATGTATGTGTTCTATGCACCTGAATCTAATGGCAATTAACACATCCCCCAAGTTTATCATTAAAATCTATGAACTATATTATTCCAGTGATAATGTTTCATTAATGGAGCCAGTCTGGTATCTTGAGTTTATTCACAGCTAACTGTTCTGCCTGGTTCGTGTGAATGGAAAAGAAGTTTCTGTACATTTTGAGTCACGGCTCCACGTCTCTTCTTTTGAACATGTATCCTTCATTTTCTTTGTTGTCTTATTATTGCTACTCATGGACTGTTCAACGTACTTTTTTAAAATTATTATTATACTTTAAGTTTTAGGGTACATGTGCACAATGTGCAGGTTAGTTACATATGTATACATGTGCCATGCTGGTGTGCTGCACCCACTAACTCGTCATTTAGCATTAGGTATATCTCCTAATGCTATCCCTCCCCCCTCCCCCCACCCCACAATGTACTTTTAAAGAAGTTACCGTCCAGATAATGTAACTTTCACTTTAAGTGAAAAGCTGCTCACTCATTCTCTTCCTTCCTCTTCCTCCCCCTGTCTCCCCAGCTCCCAAATTTGAGTAAAATTATGCCCAGTGTAATTTATTGTGATTTTCCCCCTTCTTCTAAACAATATCTGTGTTAGAGAATTGAACACCTGTAAAACATTTGTTATTCTCACTTGTCCTAATCAGGAATTCAATAAAAAGGCATTCTGAAATCTTGGAAATACTGAGGTTTTTCTGAACTTAAACTGATCTGTTAAACCAGTTAGTTGAGCAAGGCCGGAAGAGCCCTCAGGAAAAATCATGAAAACGAAATTAAATCGAACACAAAAAGCAATTTGCCAGCGGTGAATTTAATTCACAATTTGCCTCCTCTGGAGAAGAGTATTCAGCCTTGGCCACATGCCAATGAGAGCTCCATGCGATAATCTATAGGATTGCACAGTTCCTCTTAGGACAGTAATGAAAGGAAAAATAACATTTGTTCTGCCAAAGTATGTGGACTTGCTGACATTTGCTGAAATACAGATATCATCTGAGTGAACAGGATGTTTTCCTGAAGGTGCTTTGGAGAGCCAGTAGTTTACACATCTTTTCCACACATACATAAGGCAGCTTGAATTTCTGGTAATTGTGAGGGCTTGACCCTTGCAACTATTTCCAATATACCCCTGGTGGCTTTTGGACTTTGTCAAGATCATCTGATGATATACACAACCTGGTGAGAAACTTGCCTTTGTGATTTTCAGTAATGTTTGTCTATTTCTCCCGACTCCTCGTTGGAATGATGATTTAAGGGAGATAGAATCTGGAATTACTGGTGGGGAGGGGAGTTAGCAGACTTTAAATCAAGTGTACCTGTCATTTAAATTGCTTGATTCTAGATTGAACAAAGGAAACATGCTGGGAAAGTCTGGGGGAAAATATGCTACATTTTATATTCTCTGATGGAGCAAATGGGGGGAGATTTTAAAAGGATGGAGATTAACACCTATTCACATTGGATACTTTCATGGCAGAAGGCTCCAGGGATGGATTTGTAGAAGGCGAAATACATGAAACTTGACAGCTAATGGCAAGTCTGAATAGTCTTGCCTAGATGATATGCTGTATTTCAGGTATTTCTGGGCATTTCATTGTTGGGAGAGTCAGATCTAAAGTAGGCTTTGAGGGATGAAAAGGAGATGGTTTCCAGCTAAGAATACAGTAGACGTTGAATATAATTAAGGTGAAACAGAGATGAGTGGTACTAAACATATGATAAAAGCATCTCAGGATGAAATATGATGAATCACTCAGAAGCAGAGAATATGAGCAGAGATGGACAAATTATTCAGTAACACAGTCAATAAGGACTTGGCCAACAGGCATCAAAATATTAGAGGGTCAAAAAATAATCTTAAGGAATTAGAATATGTGTTTTGGTAATATCTATTCCATATATTTTAGGGATAGATACATGGGTGTGTATGTATTCCATTACGCATGTGGGAAATTATGACTGACAATACAACTGCAGGAGTTTTCATGTAAAGATAGATTAGATTTGATAGCTTCAAATTCATTTTTAATAATTGTTTTATTCATTAATAAATAGAAGGACCCAATTTAGACTCCTTATTTTTAGTATTACAGGGAAAACAGTAGCCCTCTCTAATATGGCAACAAGTGTTTAAAGATCGTGTATAGCTGGGGGTGGGGTCAGTTGTAGGGAAAGAAATGATAAGTAATTGAAAATATTGTGCTAGAAAGGGCCTTTGATATTACAATGATGTAAAGTCTGAAGAGTTAAACTGGAATGTAGCAGTCACACAGCCAAGTCTGAGTGGGTAGTTTGGTTAGTGCAGTTGCCATTGAATCCAATCTAATAGTCATCAAATGAAGTCCAATTCAGATTGATGAATACAAGTATGATGCTTACTGTGTACCACGTACTGTGCTAGTTGTTGTGAAGTCAAAACTGAATGTTAGAGCACCTGTTTCTAAGAAACTTAGAGTCCACTGAAGGCACAGGGAAGACATGGAAGATGTTATAAATAGTAAACTGTGGAAAGTGACAGGGCAGAATGTATGTAAGGAGACATATACATTTGTAGAACATGTACGAGGTACAGAAATAACATCATAAGAGAACAGTAACATTGTCTTGTGAGTATGACTTTTCTTAGGTTGAGGGAGTGAAGAAAATGGGAAATTTTAGGAAAGAATTTCCACCTGAGCTTTTTAAACATGAAAAGGAGCAAGTCAGAGACATTCAAGGATGGTGATATGGTTTGGCTGTGTCCCTACCCAAATCTCATGTTGAATTGTAGCTCCAATAATTCCCACATGTCATGGGAGGGACCCAGTGGCAGGTAATTGAATAATGGAGGCGGGTCTTTCCTGTGCTGTTCTTATGATTGTGAATAAGTCTCATGGGATCTGATGGTTTTATAAAGAGGAGTTCCCCCTGCACAAGCTCTCTTGCTTGCTGCCATGTAAGATGTGCCTATGTTCCTCCTTTGCCCTCCACCATGATCGTGAGGGTTCCCCAGCCATGCGGAACTGTGAGTCCATTAAATCTCTTTTCTTTATAAATTACCCAGTCTCAGGTATGTCTTTATTAGCAATGTGAGAATGGACTAACACAGATGGACAGCAGGAAAATAACTGGAGAATACTGATTTAAACATTTGCTTTCTTCAAGGAATGAAAATAGAGCCAGATCATCCATTCATTTCTCTTCCAGATCCAGTATTAAGAATCTAGAATTTCATGGCTCTGATGCCAATTTTGGTTTTGCATATTCATCTTGTTCATTTCGCCATTTTTGATAGAATTGAACTGAAAAATGCATCCGATGCTAAAAGTTTGAAAGAACTTTTGAGATAATCTTTGACTTCCTTATATCATTTATTCATTTACTTTGAAAAATATTATTGAGAATCTACTCTGTTCCGGGCTGTTGGGCACTATTTTAGACACTTAGAATACATCAAGAAAGAAACTGATGTCCTTGCTCTCTTGGAGCTTATGCTTTAAGAGGGAGAGACAGACAATAACTGAAACACATCAGAAATATGTGAATATTACAGTTTGTCAAAAGGCAATAAATGCCAAGGGAAAAAAATTGAGCATGCTATATGTGGGTGGATATATGTCCCAGCTTGCCCAAGGCAGGCTTAGTTTATTTCTGTGGTGCCAGCATAACTATTAGCAGCATCCCCTTTAGCTCTAAAACACATCCTGGTTTACTTTAGATGCTATATAAATTCATAACTGCAGTTAATGGGAATCAGGTGTGTATGTGTGCACATTCCGGGCCCCATACAATAATTGAACATGCTGATCCAGCTAAGTCTCACTGAGGAGGGACTTGAGCAAAGACTTGAAGAAAGTGAGAGAGTGAGCCACACAGGTATCTCAGTGAAGATTGCTCCAGTCGGAGAAGCAGAGGAACAATTAGGGCAAGGTTCTAAAGTTTTAAGGAATGCGGGGCTGGGGGTGTGTAGTTGGGGGTTCATGCAGCTAGAGTGAATTAATGAGGGGCAAGCTGTAGGAGATGAGGTCAGGGAAGGTAGGGGTAGGGAGCAGAGAGTGTAGAACCTTAGGTCATCAGAAGGGAGTTGAGTTTTTCTCCGAGTCTGATGGGAAGGCATTGGGGGTTTCTATATGGCAAGTACATAATCTGACTTTGTTTTAAAAGTATCACTTTGTGGAGTCTATTCTTTGTGAAGTATACACTTTAAGGTGTAAAAGTCAAGGCAGATTTTATAAGTAGGAGGCCCCACAGTACACTAAGCAAGAGATGCTCATGGCTTGGAACAGGGTGGTGGCACTGGAAGAGGTGAGAAGCAGTCAGATTCTGGACATGTTACCAGCCAACAGAATTTCCTGCTGGACAGGATATGAGGGGATGAGCTCCTCATATCTTGCAGCAGTAACAAAAGATTCATTCCAGGACTAGTTCAACAAACAATTTGGTGTTTTGTTTTAACTGAGCACTTCAAAAAGCAGCACTTCTCTCACCTTGCTTCAAAGCCATGCCTCCTGTATTAGTCTGTTTTCATGCCGCTGATAAAGACATACCCAAGACTCGGCAATTTACAAAAGAAAGAAGTTCATTGGATTTACATTTCCACTTGGCGAAGGTGAAAGGCACATCTCACGTGGCGACAGACAAGAGAGCTTATGCAGGGCAACTCCCATTTTTAAAACCATCAGGTCTTGTGAGACTCATTCACTATCATGAGATCAGCACAGGAAAGACCTGCCCCCATAATTTAACTACTTCCCACCAGGTTCCTCCCATGACACGTGGGAATTCAAGATGAGATTTGAGTGGGGACACAGCAAAACCATATCACCTCACTTTTCAAAGCATTGGCAAAATGATGAACCCCATTAAAATTTAGTTGCATACATAGCTGCTTCTGTAAAAATATTTCCAATGTGGATAGTTTTGGTGAATTGCAATGTGGTGTATGTAAGAAAGAGAGCATTTTGCTAAACATGGGACTTTCCAAACAGTAGCAAATAGGTAATGAATGTGTTTAATGATACGTTTACATTTCGACATGTTGGAAAGTGTTGATGGTGGGGCATCCACATAGTAAGTAGAGGCCAGGGTCTGCAGCTCTGCCTGTGTGGCTAACTGTGTGACTCTCATCACATCCCTCGACCCTCTGAGATGAATACCATTTGTTTTAAATGGAGCATTTTATTGTGATTACAGTTCTATGTTTTTGTGTTTACTGTGCTTTCAGCTCTGACATTCTGTGACTCTGAGCACCTTAGGGGAACAAAGCTACAGATAGACATTTAGGATCTTGAGCTCTCATAGCACTTTGTGAGATTGTTATGGTTATCTCAATCCTCTTATTTGCATATTCTTGCAAATTGCAGTCTAGGACTGATATCTTTTCTAACAACGCGTTATTCCCATGGGCCATAATTTAGAGAGGCCCTTATCATGCTGATTAAGAAGACAGGCATATTTTTAAATTGGATAAAATAGTGCCTTCATCTTAGGAATATTGTGTCATTGTATAAAAAATAAGAGTGATAATTAGTAACAATTATTATAACCAATGTTTGAAAATTTACTATGAGTAAGGTATCTTACGTGGAATCTTTTATTTAATTCTAAGCACAAAACAAACAAGACCCTATGGGTAGGTACTCTTCATATTCATTTTAGAGATAAGAAAGCAGAGCCAGAGAACTGAATACCTTTCCCAAAGTAAGAAAATTTGCGAGTGGCAGTGTTAGGATTTGAACCCAGGCAGTTGGCCTCCAGACCATGCACCATCCCAACCACCCTACTTTAATCCTGTCAGTGCACAGAGAGGGTTAGCCCAGCATCTGACAATAGTGAGAACTCAACAAATGGAAACTATTGTGATGCCATGTATTATTGCAGTGAAAATTCAATACCTGCTGGGTAACCAGTGAATCTGTGAATCATCTACACTGAGGCACTGAGGTGATAATTGAAATCAGGAAGAAATGAGCTCATGCAGGGGAGAGGGCAGAGAAGGGTTGAGGACTGAAATTTGGAGGATGAATAACCATATACCCTAATGCACGCTTGGATGATGTTCAACCTTGAAGTGACTATTCTTATAACCTGCAGCAGAAACAAATGTTTCCTTCCAGGTCTGGTTGAGTGACTCTTGGATTTTGGTTCTAACTCTTTAAAACTGTTTCTCCGACTCTGCTTCAAAGCTATGTCTTCCCTTTCAAAACATTTGCAAAATAATAAATCCTATGTCCAAAGAGTCTATTGAAGTTTAGTTGCAAACATAACGACTTCTGTCTGGTAAAGATTAACAATGTTTCTGATATGGATAGTTCTGATTAATTGCTGTTGAAACTCCTGAGCTGAATGTCAAAGCTGGAAAATGAACTCTTAAATGCACTCAAAAGACAAGAGCCCCGTGTATCCTTGAACATAATCCAATCAAAGAGATTGCAAAGGAAAACACAAGAGACAGTATTAAATTCATGGTGACATGAAAGTTTCTTGTTCCATTTTTGAAAAATCACCAGGTCATTGTTCACAAAGAGACTTTTCTTTGATATTGACCTGCCTGATAAGTAAAAAAAACATCTTTTTAAAACATTATTCTTGACTTCTCTCGTTAAACATGTATTAGTCCTACAAAACTCTGGTTTGCAAATCCTGATGTTCAAAGTCATTTTAAAAGAACTAAGGGGAAAGGAAAACTCAGTCAAGCAAATAGAAGTGCTTAATTGTCTATAATGTGGATTTTTAGATAAGGGGAGTATTAGTTGGTAATGTCCATCAGTGAATTGGCATCCTATCAAGGCCTGGCGTTTGACCTTTTTAGAGCTGTCTCCAAGGAATGACAGGGCACAGGGCATTTCTGCCATATGAGTTTTACTGGATGGTAATATTATATCTAAAAAGCTGGATGGCCTTGGACAAGTCACTTAATATTTCAGTTTTGTTTCATTCTTGAATAAAATGAAGATAACACCACCAGTCTTGCTCACAACGAAGTTGTGTTCAAGTTGAAATGAGGTAATAAATACACATGTAACTGCTTTGTGAACTACAAAGCATGGTGTATGTGTAAGATACCATTATTATTATTTTCATACAGCTTGTCCCTTCTTCCTCTTCTGTTTTGGCTAGCTCCTGATGCCATGGGTAGCAATTTTATGGGAAACATGGGGCAGAGAATTACAGAGGTGATTGATGTCTTGACTCTGGAAGTCAGTTTTAAGCTCATGATTGTTGATTACTAAAAGAGATGCATCTGTGTCCAACACTTTTGGTAAATATCAGCTATAAAATTTTTTCTTTATGATATAGTCCATGTTTTGTCTACTCTATTCATCAACTATGTAGAAAATAAGTTACATGATTTCAGGTGAGAACTCTGCTCTCACACAGTCATAATAAATAAACAGTCATGATAAATAGCTCTTGTGAAAATGAGAAAATATGTCTGCTTCATGTTTACATGGGTAGAATTGGTACATAAAATGGATATTTTATTTAAGTTATTTTTTTTTTTAGTAACAAGATTTCACTATGTTGCCCAGACTGGTCTCAAACTACTGCTCTCAAGTGATCCTACCACCTCTGCCTCTCAAAGTGTTGGGTTTACAGGTGTGAGCCACCACACCTGGCCTAAAATGGGTACTTTAAAATGATATTGATTGATAAAACACATTTAGTTCAAATATATCTCTTAGGAAAAAATATATACATGAAAAACTGTGTCTGTGTGTATATATACATATATATACACATATATATGTATATACACACACACACACACAGTTTTTTATATATATGTATACACCTGTATATATATATACACACATGTATATATACACACACACACGTGTATATATATATACACACACACACGTGTATATATATATACACACACACACATACATGTTATATAGAAACATCAAGTTTAGAAATGAGCAGAAGAATCTATAAGGAAAAAAGACAATGGGAAACAATGTCATGTTGGCCTCAGCCTTAGAGAAGAAGCATTTTAATCACACAATCTCACATGAACTGAAATAATTTCTAAATAACAGTTGAATGATGACATAACAAAAATATAATGGTTAGGAAATATCGCATATGTGGTAGGTCATAGTATTTGTTCAAAATAGTCACTGCTTCTCTCTTCCAGACCCATTCCTCTCAGGCCACCAACAATGGTACCAAGAGATGTGGGGCACTTCTATAAGATACCTGAACATGTGGAAGCAACTTTGGATAACAGGAAGAGGTTAGAATGCTTTGGAGGGCTCAGAAGAAGAAAGGAGGATGTGGGAAAGTTTGGAACTCCCTAGAGACCTGTTGAATAGTTTTGACCAAAATCCTGATAGTGATATGGACAATGAAATCCAGGCAGAGGTGGTCTCAGATCAAAATGAGGAACTTACTGGGAGCTGTAGTAAAGGTCACTCTTGCTATGCTTTAGCAAAAAGACTGGTGGCATTTTGCTTCTTCCCCACAGATCCCTAGAGATCTGTGGAACTTTGAACTTGAGAGAGATGATTCAGGGTATCTGGTAGAAGAAATTTCTAAGCAGCAAAGCATTTGATCTGTGACCTCTCTGTTTCCAAAAGCATATAGTCATATGTGTTTACAAAAAGATGGTCTGAAATGGGAACTTCTGTTTAAAAGGGAAACAGAACATAAAAGTATGGAAAATTTGCAGCCTGACCATGTGGTAGAAAAGAAAAACCCATTTCTCCCATTTTCTGAGGAGAAATTCAAGCCAGCTGCAGAAATTTGCATAAGTAAAGAGAAGACAAATGTTAATGGCCAAGACAACAGGGAAAATGTCTCCAGGATATGTCAGAGATTTTCAAGGGAGCTCTCCCTATCACAGGCTTAAAGCCTAGGAGGGAAAAGGGTTTTGTGGGCCCTGCTGCTCTGTGCAGCCTCAGGACATGGCATCCTGTGTCCCAGCTGCTCTAGTTCCAGCCATGGCTAAAAGGGGCCAAGGTAGCTGTTGAGCCATTGCTTCAGAGGGTGTAAGCCCCAAGCCTTCAAGGCTTTCACGTGGTATTGGGCCTGTGGGTGTGCAGAAGGCAAGAGTTGAGCTTTGGGAGCCTCTGCCTAGATTTCAGAGAATGTGTGGAAATTCCTGGATGTCCAGGTAGAAGTCTACTGCAGGGGCAAAGCCCTCATGGAAAACCTCTACTAGGGCAATGCAGAGATTCCCAACTGTGTGGGGTTGGAGAACCCACACAGAGTCCCCACTGGGGCACTGCCTTGTGGAGCTATGAGAAGAGGGCCACCATCCTCTAGACCCCGGAATGGTAGATTCACTGGCAGCTTGTGTCGTGTGCTTGGAAAAGCCACAGGCAATCAATGAAAGCCAACCCATGAAAGCAGTCATGGGAGCTGTACGCTGCAGAGCCACAGGGGCAGATTTGCCCAAGGTCTTGGGAGCCCACCTCTTGCATCAGCATGACCTGGATGTGAGATATGGTGTCAAAGGAGATCATTTTGAAGCTTTAAGATGTAATGACTGCCCTGCTGGGTTTTGGACTTGCATGGGGCCTTTAGCACCTTTGTTTTAGCAAATTTCTCCCATTTGGAATGGGAACATTTACCCAATGCCTGTACCCCCATCTTATCTTGGAAGTAACTAACTGGTTCTTTATTTTCCAGGATCATATGCAGAAGGGACTTGCCTTGTCACAGATGAGACTTTGGACTTAGACTTTTGGGTTAATGATGGAATGAGTTAAGACTTTGAGGAACGGTTAGGAAGGCATGACTGTGTTTTGGAATGCGAGAAGGACATGAGATTTGGGAGGGGCCAGTGGTGGAATGATATGGTTTGGCGCTGTGTCCTCACCCAAATCTCATCTCAGATTGTAATCCCCACATATTGAGGGAGGGACCTGGTGGGAAGTGATTGGATCATGAGGGCAGTTTCCCCCAAGCTGTTCTCATGATAGTGAGTGAGTTCTCACAAGATCTGATTGTTTAAAAGTGTGGCACTTTTCACCTCACTCTCTCTGTCTCCTGCCACCATGTAAGACATGCCTTGCTTCCCCCTCACATTCTGCCATGATTGTAAGTTTCCTGAGGCCTCCCTAGCCACAAGGAACTGTGTGAATCACTTAAACCTCTTTCCTTTATAAATTACCCAGTCTTGTGTAGTTCTTTATAGCAGTGTGAAAACGAACTAATACACCACCCCATATGGCTTGACCCTGCTGGAGAACAATACTTAACATTTTGGATATCAGTCTTGGCCATGGGAGTTGCTTCTGCAATGAAAGGTGAGTAGAAGTGACCTGTGCATTTTGGAGCAGAAACTTTAAGTTATGGCCTTGTTCGGTAATCTCTCTTACCCTTTTGCTACTCCTTCTGCTAGGATCAGAAATGAAGACAACTTGAAGGAGAGCTAATGTTGACTTCCATTGTCATGTTACACGAGCGAGAAATAAGCCTTTATTTTTTTGAACCACTAAGATTTCAGGGTTGTTATTGCAGCATAAACAAAAGAGACCTAACTAATACAGTGTGTTTATTTTATTCTGTTTTCCTCTTTCCTGTTTCATCTATAATCAACACTTAAAAATGGATACTGAGAGGAAAGTTTGGCCAGAAGATTATCATAGTATCGATGCCTCTGACCATGAAGTTTATAGCTGAGTGTCTGGAAAAGAGGAATGCTCTTTTTCATGTTCAGCATAAAAATACTCATCTACCAGGCTGGGATGAATGCAGGCCATGAGGTGGGTAATGGATTAGGAACTGTGACTACATACTTTGGCAGAAAGAAATACAATATTTTATTAGCTATGGTGACCTCTGTGGTCTGTTTACAGTTTGATTCTGCTATTTCTGTTGGCTTTCTTTTTTGAAAGGACTATTCTATTTTTTTTCTCTCCTATTGGCCTTGAATTGTACATTTGTTTGTAATCCTTTCTATGGTTACCCTGGATTTCAATGTGTATCCTTGATTTGTGACAGTTTATCTTAGATTAGTACTTTTATCACTTCCCAAACGAAGCAAAAAATTTAAGAGAACTTAACTCTATCCTCCTTCTGCCCACTGAGTTATGAATGCCACTTATTTTATCAGACTTTATAATCTACACAAGACACTAGTAGGATTAATATTATAACAGTAAATATTCTTTGACTCTTTTTCTAATTTTTTATCTGTATGTTGCTCTTCCTTCCTCACTACCATTTCATGCTTCCATCTGGAATTATTTCCTTTAGCCAAAGAACTTCCATTTATAATATCTGGAAATAGAAGTCTGCTGGTAATGAATTCTCAGTGCTTTTGTCTCAATTTTATACCAATATCTGAAGGATACTTTTCTTGGAGACAGAATTCTAGCATGATTTTTTCCCTTCAGTACTTAGAAGCTACCATTCTGTTTTCTTCTAGATTTCATAGTTTCTGTTAAAAATTCAGCTCTCAGACTTATTGCTTCTCCTTTTAAAATAGTGAGTCTTTTTTCTCTGGATGCTTTTAAGATTTTCCATTTTCTTTTGCTTTTCAAGAGTTTGAAAATAGTGTATCCAGCCATGGTTTTCCTTATTTATCCTACATGGATATCATTGAGCTCACAGAATCTGTGAGTTGATATCTTTAGTATAAGGACAGTATAAACATTTTGCAACTGTCTCTGAGATTAAAGTCCCCATGCAAATAATACATCAGTCTCAAAATTTGAGAGTTATAAAACAAAATGATAAATGGAACTTTAATAAAACATTTAAAATTTTGCTCTTTAAAGGACACCCTGACAAAATAAAAAGAGAAGCCCCAAACTCAGATAGAGTATATATAGTAATATATATATATAAAATATGTTACTACATATATGTGTGTGTGTGTGTAACATACATATTTTTATAGTTTCTGCTGAAAATTCAGCTCTTAGACTTATTATTTCTCCTTTGAAAATACAGTCTTTTTTCTCTGGATGCCTTTAAGATTTTCTAATTTCTTTTGCTTTCTATTTTTCATGTGTGTGTGTATATGTGTGTGTGTGTATACACACACTACATATATAAAATACATCTGGCAAAAGATTTTTGTCCAATGTATATAAAGAATTACAACTAAATGTTAAGAAGACAAATAACCCAACTTACAGAAACAAGGAAAGGGGAGAACATGGAAAAGTTATCAGTATCCTAATTTATTATCAAAAATGCAAGTTAAAACTGCAATTAGATATGTCTACATGTCCACCCGAATGACAAAAATTAAAGTTTAACACTACAAAATTTGGTAATTATTTTGAGTTACTTGAATTCTCATACATAATTAGAGTACAAAGTAGTACTACCACTTTAGAAAAAGTTTTGATAGTTTCTTCTAGATATAAACTTAAAATACTCGAGGATGGATGTGAATAATCATTAAAGTATAATACAAATCCAACATGTAATCCTTATATAGGTCATGTATCTCATTTATTCATTCATCTGTGCATGGATGTTTGGGTTGTTTGTGGTTTGGGGCCTTTATGTTTCAAGCTGTGATGGACATTCATTTTTGTTTTGTATGGACATACAATGAGCATGTGGAGAAAAACTCATACACTGTAGGTGGGAGGATAACTTGCACAATCATATTGATGATCAATTGGCAATATTTCTAAAAGTGGAACAAGTGAAAGCATTGTGGAGATACCACCGAAACTCACTGGTATTCTGTTCTTTATGGTCTGAGGTCTGAGGCAGCTTTGGAGTAAAACCTAGATATTAGCCTCTGTCTTCCCTTCATGGGTGCCCCTTGGAGCAATAATAAAGATAGATAGCTGGCCTGGACCCCCTCTTCTATGGTAGGTGTTAACCCTGTAATTGCTGTGAGTCCACCCTGTGAGTCAGGAAGGGGCTCAAGTCCTCCAAGAAATCCTGAGAAAAAGGTCAACATCAGTGATTCTACTAGCCAGTATGAAAGTGATTTTGTACTTTAACAAGTGGTACCTCTGTACCATACTTGCCTTGGCATCGACCCTGGCCACCTCTCTCTAGTATATTTGGAGATGTGAGGAAAGAACACTTGTCCCAAGTTTATTCCTAAGGTTTCCTCTCCGTTCTGTTTGGGTCTCTGTGTTCTTTTTTCTCACTGGGTTCTACTCACTCAAGACTGTGTTGATAGTGGATGTTACTGGTCCTTCCATGATATGAAATGGCTTCCCATCATTCATAGCTAGCAAATAACCAACAAATTGAACATTAGCTATTTATTTCATATAAGTGGCTTCAACTAACACCATGGCTTCCATTACACCCCCATGCCAACTGCCATGTTGCCCACCCACCATTTTTTTAATCCATTACCTGGGCACCAGGGCCTCCTTGCTGTTTGGCTTGTATTAACTCCTCAGTTCTTGCTTTTTGAAGTAGAAAAGTTTAGTTTTCTTTCTCTCAGTCTTCTACCACTCCAACCACACCCCACAGGCACTAATATGTTTATTCACTCAAAAAATATTTGAGTCCCTTCTAAGAACCTGGCACTGTGGAAAAGTGAGCAAAACTGTGCTAGGTCTTTACCATGATGGAGCTTACAGTTTTATTAGGGAAACAAATGTTAAAGAGACAGTCATACTAAACAAATGCCAAAGTGAAACAATGTAATGTGTAGGGGAAGGGGCAAAGAGAGGTAGAACTTTGTGGGGTTAGGGGATGGAGGATGGGGGGAGGCAGATTAGCTTCTGGGAGGAAATGATGGTCATGCAGAGTTTGAGACCTAAAGAATAAGAGGGAGGTGCTGTTAGCTGCCACCTACACTCACTGATGCTCCCTGTGTAGGCACAAGAGGCTGCAGATGGAACAAATTTAAATCTCGTTCTCTCTTTACATACATATATAAAATAACTTAATATATGAAACTATTGTCTAAGACAAGCAGGCCTTATTTTGAACTCCCCACTGTAGTGGGGATTAATAATGACCACTATTTCTGGCTTTATTGTTCCCCTGTGGGAGTTAAAGACACTGAGGAGACACAGATCCTCATAAATGAACAAAGCAATTTAGCTCTATAGCCTGGGGATATTATTGTCAAAATATACTTTGAAAAAAAGTTTAAGAGTAATTCTCTTCCAAGTTCCATGGGATGGTACGATTGGTCTCCCGTCTCCCCGCCTCGCTCATACCAATTAACCCTCTGAAACAGCTTAGTTCTTTTGGCCTTAAAATAAAAGAAATAGAGGTAATCATTTGAACAAAGTTGAACATTTCTTAATAGGCCCAAATACTCTATTTATTAAATAATAGATTGGCCTAACTTTCCATTATTTTTAAAATGATGTTATATAGAGATTAGGGAAAAATAGCCAATAAAAATTGTTGCAGAAAGTTTGGTAATTCCCAATACATTTGGGATTTATTGGTAACATAAAAATAGAGAAAAAGAGTTGACTATTTATGATGATGTTAGTGGGACTCAATGGTTCATCAGACTGTGTAACTAATTTTAATGTGACATTTGCTAATTACCTTACAGATCAGCCAGGTCATCTTCTCCTAGAGTTAACCTAGTTAGAATAGGGCAAAGTCCTCATTCACTTTTAGAGCTTGTTAAATATTTGATTCCTTCCCGGCAGGTACTCTGGGGTCTTGATATTTCTTATTCAGCTGTGTTTCACTTTTGGGTGCCTTCGAGATGCCAAAGGTTAAGCTTAAGCCTCTGTGGTACCCCACAGTGAGACCAGCCATTATGCATGATACCACATAGCCAAAGCTTAATATGTGGCCAAATTTCATTAAGATAAAACTGAAATAAGATTTTGTACTTAAATATTGTGGAAATAAACAGAGACCAAATCAGGACAAGCAGACTATTCAAAGCTTGCTGTAGTATAGGAGTCAGCCACTGTCACTCGCATTTGGCAGAGGCTGAAAGGTTGGCAGAAGAGTGGGAAAACTTTATAGTAGGCAGCAAGGGCAGGCTTCAAGTATGCCCTGATTGGAAGCTGTTGACACAGGGAAGCTGTAGGTGAGCTAAGAGGTAGTGCATCCTACCTATTTGGTTAGGGGTGCACATTTGGATTTCTTTGGTTTGTTGTAAGCAGGGACGACAATTAGGGAAGCTGTCAGGTACTAATCAAGCCCTGGTTGTTTGGGGCCAAATGCTACAGGGGTTGTTGTTTGGGGCCAAATGCTACAGGGGTTGTTGTTTGGGGCCAAATGCTACAGGGGTTGTTGTTTGGCTTCCTGGATTGTAACGAGACAGCAATTTGGCTTCCTTCAAGTCTGACTTAGAACAGCCTGGCTTCCTGGACTGCTGCTGCAGATTGCAGGTCAAAGTTCTATTATTATACATGGCCTAGTCATTTTCCATTGGTATGTTCAGCCTCTTAGTATTTTTACTGTGCTCTGTCTTATGAGTTTTGCAGCACCGCTACACTCAGGGTGTGTGTTTTCTTCACAAAATATGGGCACTGGGATTTGCTAAATGTCTGGCTGTTGCAAGTCTCCAGAGTACCTTCTTATCACACAATTCAGAGTATTCTAGAAAGCAGGATAAGAATGTTTGCACTACCAAACTCAGCTCTTTAATGATATGTGGACACAGGCAGACATAGCTAATTAAACTACAGTAAGATATGCAGCAATAGGATAAGAAGGACCGAGACCTTGAAACTAAGCTGGGCACTGGTTGGATGAGGCATGCCAGGGGTGAGGGGAGAGGGAAAGAAGGTTCAGGACTCCAACTCCAATAAAGATCTGGGATAAAGTCTGTTTTAGAAGCAGAGAACACAATTATTATATTTAGTACCATTAAATATGCTTTCATTTCATGCTAAGTGCTGTGTGAAGCATATTTTTTTCTAGTATTTTGTGTAAGCTTCATTAAAATCCTATAACATCAATACTTAGACTATCCCTTTTTACAGATGAGAAAATTAAGACTCAGAAAAATTAAGTGTTTTGCCCAAGCTCACATAGCTCGTGAGATACAGAACTGGTACTTGGGAGCAGCAGCTGACCCCAGAGTCAGATTTGCATTCGGCCCCCTCCTCCACCCCCTCAGCTTCTATTCTTGGTGGCCCACCCCACAACCACCAGCTGTGTCTCTCTTGGCTGGGAGGCAGCTCTCTTGGGCGATTTAATAGTAAAGTGGCTTAAACTGTGATAATTAAGTGATTGTGCCTTCTTTCTCCAGATTTCTTTTCCCTTGAGTAGAAAGAAACCATGTCCATTGCCTAAGCAGACATCCAACCAGGGCAAGAATTGCCAGTATCTCCCTCATTTCATACATGCCTTCTTTCTGTGCATGGATGTCTCAAAACCTTTCTCACTTGGATGGTGGAGTGTGATGAAGTCCTTGGGAAGGGGACATGGGAAGGGATTGTACTGCTGAGGAAAGTATTTGGCATCTGACTTTGACTCCCTTCTCCTCTCAAGTAGTCAGTTTTTGTGAATTAGAAATAGCAGGTGGAGTTTTTCATTGTGATAGGGACTTTTTGGGCAACTACTTATAAGCCTTTAGAGCATGTTGTTGGACCAGCTTCAGATTGTGACGTACTTTAGTGCCTATTTTCAGCTGTGGGATTTTCATCCATTGATATAATGAAGTTAGGCACACAGAGGTATGTAGAGGTGGGCAGAGGGGAGTGGTACCCTCCTTAATTTGAAAACCTTCATAAAGACATGATACCTGCATGTATGAAGTACAGTTAAACAGCAAAGGAAGCCTGGGGGGAGGAAAAAAAACATATGTACAGTTTAAGGAAGAGAAGGAATTGAAGTGAGCTGAAGTGAGCAGCCAAATAAGCAGAGAAATTGCCCAGATTATAAGCAATCTAGTGCTATTAAAGTCAGAAATACAAGGTGGGTGGTTATATCAGGCTAAAGGTCCTTTAACACCCCACACCTAAAATCGGGATTATTTTTAAAGAAGGAGGGATGAAAACGCAAAAAGATCAAATGACCCTAAGTTTTGTTAAAGGAAGCTGCAGAGATTAGCATCAAAGCTCCAAGCTTCTCAGTGGCCATCATCTCTCTACCCAAACTATAAAACGTTCACCTAGGCAAACTTAAGTGGAGTGCAAATTCTTAAATAGAAACTTATTTCCAGATGCTACATCAAGATCAATAATCACTATCCCCTCTGCTGTTTAACAAACACACAAATATAAACAGTCCATAAACACTTTTGTCTTTGTAAACTCAGAAATTTTGTCATGTGATTGTGAGTGAAGGCAGTAGCCATACCCAATCTGCTCATCATTGTATATCTAAACCATTACCAAGTACGGTATCTGGAATAATGGATATTTGCGACAACAAAAATATTTCAGTGCATGAATAATGATTCTTCCTTACTCCTCCAAAGGAAAAAATCGTGATGATGTCATTTGATTAATGATGTTTCAAAAATATAACATGTAATTATTATTATTATTATTATTATGAAACGGAGTCTTATTCTGTTGCCCAGGCTGCAGTGCAATGGCACAATCTTGGCTCACTGCAACCTCTGCCTCCCGGGTTCAAGCAATTCTCCTGCCTCAGCCTCCTGAGAAGCTGGGATTACAGGCACGCACCACCACACTGAGCTAATTTTTGTATTTTAGTAGAGATGGGGTTTCACCATGTTGGCCAGGCTGGTCTTGAACTCCTGACCTCGTGATCTGCCTGCCTCGGCCTCCCAAAGTGCTGGGATTACAGGCATGAGCTACCATGCCCGGCCCATGTAATTCTTTTAAAGGGGATTATATCTCATTTATTTATTCACCTATTGATGATGTTTGTGTCGTTTCTAGTTTGAGGCTATTAGGATAAAGCTTTATGAACATTCATGTACAAGTTTTGTGTAGACATAGGCTTTTGTTTCTCTTGGGTAAATGCCTTAGGAGTAGAATTGCTTGGTTCTAGGTCAGTCTTGTGTTTACTTTTGAGAGAAACATCTCAGTCTTTTTCCAAAGTATTTGCATGGTTTTACACTCCCATGAGCTATAATAAAGAGTTCAAGTGGCTGCATATCATGGCCAACATTTGGAGGTGTCAGTTTTTAAATTTTAGCCATTCTGGTGAGCTTGTAGTGCTACTCATTGTGGTTTTACTTGATGAATAATAACGTTGAGCACTTATTCAAATGCGTATTGATCATTTGTATATCTGTTCAAAACCTTTCCCCATTTAAAAAAATGGAGTTTGTCCTCTTAGTTTTCTTTATAGATTAAATATAAATCTTAGATATGGACCTTTTGTTAGATGTAGTTATTGGAAATATTTTACCCCAGTCTGTGGCTTACCTTTTCCTTGTTTCTTAAGGAGGCTTCTAAAAAAATAAAGTTTAAAATTTTGATTAAAGCCCAGTTTGTTAATTTTTTTCATAATATTCAATTGTCGGGATTAGTTTATGGTTTTGATGGCAGGAGCTAGCTCAAAGGCAGTTGTAAAGTGTTTATGCCAACTTTTGGATCTCTCAAATTTTAGGCAATGCAGTGAATGCTTTTGCTTCCAGGTAGCATGATGTAACTTGTAGCAGATCAACACTCCCAGTGCAAAAACTAGAAAAAGCTAGATAAGTTACCAAAGTTGTATAGTTAAAGATACTGGGGAGCTATAGAAGTAACAAAGACCAGATAACTTGGAATTCGGGGGTAGGGAAAACTTTCAGACCTGAGCTGACCAGTCATTTATTCTCCTGGGATATTTGCTGATTTGGGCTGCAGACAGGGTAAGGCTTAATCCAAACACAGTGACTCTACTAGAGGAAAGAACAAATTTGAGGACTTTTATGAGTGCTTGATCCTGGCGGATGGATTGGAAATTTGTGGAGATCTGGCTGGTTTTCCCCATGAGACAGTTTGTTCTGGAGTATACATGGGATGCTGGGTGACTAGACAAAAGGCTAAAGAGATAATGACAAAGAATGCTTCAAAACTGGTGAAAGACCTCAACTCAAAGATTTCATAAGCTCAGTGAATCCTATACCGGATAAATAAAAACCACCACTCTAGGACTTAGTATCATCAAATTGTTGAAAACAAAAGGACAAGAGAAAATCTTAAAAGCACCCAGAGAAAAAAAGACATGGTGCTTCCAAAGGATAAATAAGAAGACTAATAATAGCTGACTTTCAAATAGAAACAGTAGAAACTATCTAAGAAATAAGGAGGAAAATTGGTATAAACCTATTGCTCAGCTATATTTCCAATTTGGCAACATTTCTGAAGTTTAGATGCTCATACCTATCATCTGAGCAATTCCATCTCCTCTCTTATACACACCTGTGAGAACAAAATATTGGAAGCCTAAATGTCTGTTAATAGATGAATAAATAGTATAGATTATTACATAATCATTCAACATTGAAAAATCTGACCAAGTTACAAAATAGAAGTACAACATACACTATACATAATGTTTTAAAATATCAGAACAATAGTTAATGTTTATGAATATAAAATGATAAAATTGTAAAAACATACATGAATCAGAGAGGAATTCACAAGAGGAGCTCAGTTATATTTTGTCTAATTCTTTAATGAAGAAATGAAATAACAGTGTTGACTGGAGAATGCATGGGTATTCCTTATAATTTTATTCGTTCTTACCAGCATGTTTGAAATATCTCACAGTAACACCTTTTAAAAATAATCAAGAACCCTCAGGACTTGGATGGAATTGAACATGCAGTGTTTTCAGGAATATTTTTTAAAAATTCTTATGGTGGAAGGAAATGATGTAATTTAGGGCCTTTCTAGTTCTTTTCTATGTCATCCCCAGCCCAGAAAAGTGCCTGTTCAGTGAAGCTATCCATATAAGTAGATTTGGCTATGAAAATGGAAAACAGAATTTAGGAAATATTCAGCTGACAAGAAAAAAAATCCACCTTCAAAAGAGGTCCCCTAAAAACTTAGGGTTTTATTTATTTATTTATATCATTCCCCATTTGAGTTGTTTTATCATTTTGGTCTTTGTTCTGAAAGGAAATCATTTCTCCTAATATTGGGTGACATTTCTACAAAGCTTATCAGCCAATGCCCTCTTTACTCAGAAACTTTTAGGTATTACAAGAAAAGAAGGCTGCTTGCCAGGTGTCATAAAACCTATTCTCAGTTGTGCTGTTTCCAGATGCCTTTACTTAATCTGACTGCGTGGGTTTGTTCATCCTGATGGACGGCACCCTCTAACATCTGTTGACTGCAACGATTACCTAAAGTTATGGTCAAAGCCAAACCCTACATCAAAAAATGAGTAACTTGTATTCATGAAAGCATTTTTACTTCTTGCACAAATGGCCAACAAGCTGTTCTGTTAAAGAGTGGTGTGTATAAACTCAAAGAGGAAAAGGGCATTTAAAAGGAAAAAAAAGCCATCAACTGGAAATAAAAGTTTTGATAAGTATGAGGGAGACCACGAATTGGAATGCTTTATAAATCAAGTAGGTTTTGTATTAATGTTCCATGTGAATGACTCCCACAATGTCCTTTTTATTAATAGGGCTTCCAACATTTATATTATTTTTTCCCTAAGTTTTAAGTGAAGGGTAGTTAGAGTGTATGTTTTAAATGGGGCAGAGAGCAGTTCTATCACTCATTTCTTATGATTACTCAGTGACTGAGATTAGATAAAAATTTTAATGATTTAAACAGAAAAGCAGATCAGATTATACTGTATTTATCACACCTTTCAGCAAAAACAGGCTCAATATCCTTATTTCTCCTTTTCTCATATTTTTATCTGCCTGAGAAGAAAAAATTTATAGTGAAAATTTATGGATAAAGACATAAAGCTGCAACATAAGCAGATGGTATGGTAGTTTGACTTTTAACTTTCATTTTAAATCAAGCTCAGATCACTTGAATTCCGAAAAATAAATTGTGTTTTTTAAAGTTTTGCTATTTACACTGTCACACATACACCTCTGAATACTGTTATTTCCTTGCAACACAGTGACAAGCATGTACTCACTATTTCCTTCTTAATGGGATTGAAATGGATGACATTCTTTGTTATTATGAAAAGATCAGTACAAAATGTCACCAGAAGTCCTTTAGAGAGGCACACTGTATAACTGGGCAAGCTAAATTCTTCTTCCCATTAACAAATTAGTATTTGGACAATAAGGGCAGGGAAAAGTAAGCAGTGGACTTAACAAGCCCAAGGTAGCCCACACCCAAAGCCACAATGGACCCTGTAAATGATACCTTCAGTTGATGATGCCACATGGGGCAAAGATGGAGGAAAATGACCACTCTTAATCACTGCTAAAGGACACAAAATTATAAACAAGAAATTTGGCACAGGAATGAGAAAAGAGCCTGAGTAAATGAAGGACCCTGAAGGTTAAGCTTCATTAGATTCACAGTATATATAGCTGCTTCTGATTAAAAGCCTGAAAATGTGGATATCCTAATTCTTGGTTGTATTAAAAATAAGTGTTTTAATAAATATGCAAAACTATATAGTCACAGATCACCTTGATAGCACTGATTATTTTACTGAATGATTTGGACCAATTTAAATATCAATTGATAGAAGATGGATTAAATAAATTATTGTACAGCCATCCAATAGAATATTATATGGTTATAAAAAGTAGTAATGCAGATCTATATTCTAATGAGGTTTATGACAAACTGATATAAAATCTAGGTTACAAAATATAAAGTATAAAAATAAGTAAAATGTGATTCAATTTTTGAAAATATCCTTTGTGCAAAATGATAGGAAAAATGAGTTATAATTTATATAGTTCAGTGGAGAAATGGTCTAAGTAACTAGAACAAAATTTGTGTGGAATTAGACATCTATATAGCATATAGTGAATCTTGAGCAGCACTTCACTCCAAGCACACACAAACATACAAAGAGCCTCAATTCTAGATTGATTATGGGTCCAAATGTGAAAGATAAAACTTAAAAAGAAAAAGATAAAAATTTTAGAAAAATAAAACGATATTCCTTGACCTAGAGTAGGTCTAGAACACAAAAAGTGTTCTTATAAAAACAAAAATTGTAATTTGAATCATATTTAAATAATGTCTATCCAAAAATACCACTTAAGGGTGAAAAAGTAGAAGATATTTATAGAACATAATTAAGAGAAAAGATTAGGAACCAGATATATAATAACTTCAACAAATTAATAAGAGAAAATTTACATGACCTAATAGAAAAATGGGCAAAAGACTTGAACAGGCAGCTGACCAAAAAGAGTTACCCAAAAGGTTAATATATGTAAGGCATTCTGCCCAGTGGCCCAATAGCCCCTGTGTCTCCACATCTCTGGAGTACTGACATTATCCTACTACACCCACAAAAGGCTGCAGGGGCACAACCTCTGTTGGACTCAGCAATGCAGCCATAAACCTGGCACCTGAGCCCACATAGCACCTGGCACCTTGGGGTTGTCCAGCACAGCAGGGAGGCAACCTCAAAGACAGAGGGAGCCAATATATGCACTCTCCAGGGCCTGAGAGCTAAGAGCCTGGGGCCTGTCTTCACTGACAACCTCACACACTCTGCCACTAAGCATCCAGATACCACCCCCAGGGGCCCAGGGGCCAGCTTGCCTGGGGCCCACAACCAACAATCTTGCTCACTTCAGTAGTGGAGCTGCTGAGTGCCCATGTCCCCCCACCCAGGAGCCTAAGAAGTGACCCACCTGGGCCTGCTGCTGCCAGCAACCCCACCCAGCATCAGAGCTTCTGTGCATCTCACCCATATGAAAAGGGTCAGAAGTCCACTTGTCTGGAGTCTGATACTGTTGGAAACTACACGCCTGTGCCCAGCCAGAACCAAAGTCAAAGCATACTACCCAACAAATGCTATAGGGCACATATACAGGAAAAGGTATTTCCCTATGAAAGCTACTTCATAAAATTAAAAGAAGTGACTATTACACCACACAAGAAAGATGACAAAACAAGGAAACATGACATCTCCAAGGGAACACAATAATTCTCTAGCAAGAAACCCCAAAGAAAATAAAATTTATGAAATTCCGGAAAAAGAATTGAAAATGATCTTAAGGAAACTCAGTGAAATATAGATGGACAATTCAATGAAATCAGAAAAACCATTCAGGATCTGAATGAGAAATTCAACAAAGAGATACCTATTATAAAAAAAGAATTAAACAGAAATATTGGAACTGAAGATTTCAATTAATAATATTTTAAAATGGAATAGAGCTTTGACAATAGACTAGGCAGAAGTAAGGATTTCTAAACTTGAAGATGGATCTTTTGAAATAACACAGATGAAGAAGAGGAAGAGGTAGAAGAAGAGAAAGAGGAAGAAGCAGAGGAAAAAGAAGAAGAGGAAGAAGAGAAAATTGAAGAAAGCCAACAGGACTTATGGGAGAGCGTTAAGAGAACAAATATTCACATTTGCATTTGAATTGCAGAAGAGATAGGAAAATGCATAGAAAACTTATATAATGAAATAGTAGCAGAAAACTTCTCTTGTATTGGGAGAGGTTTGAACATCTAGATCTATGAAGCTCAAAAATCCCTTTGAATCCTCTTTGAGGCACATTAGAGTCAAACTGTCAAAAGTCAAAGACAAAGAGAATTTTAAAAACAGCAAGAGAAAAGCATTAAATCATATATAAGGGAATCCCCATCTGACTAACAGCAGATGTCTCAGCAGAAACTTTAAAGGCCAAGAAAGAAAACCCTGGCAGCCAAGAATACTATACCCAACAAAGCTATTCTTTAAAACTGAAATAGAAATAGCATTTCCAGATAGGCAAAAACTGAGGGAATTCATCACCATTAGACCAGCCCTACAAGAAATGCTTAGGGGAGTCCTACATCTGAAAGCAAAAGGATGATAACTACCATCATGAAAACATGCAAAAGAATAAAACTCACTGGTAAAACAGATATACAACTGAGAAAGAGAGAGGAATCAAACCTTATCACTGCAAAAAGCCATCAAACCCTAAAGGTAAACAGAAAGAAAGGGAGAAAGGAAAATAGGATATTTTAAACAACCAGAAACAACCAGAAAACAGTTAATAAAATGACAGGAGTAAGTCTACACCTGTCAATAACAACCTTGAATTTAAGTAGTTTAAATTCCCTATTAAATGATATAGACTAGCTGAAAGGATTAAAAACAATAGCAACAATACTCCAGTATATACTGCCTATAAGAAACTCATTTCACCTGTAAAGACACTCATAGGCTAAAAGTAAAGAGCTGGAAAAAGATACTCCATGCAAATCAAAACTAAAAGTGAGGAGAAGCTATCCTTATTTCAGATACAATAGACTTTAAGTCAAAAAATATAAAAAGAGACAAAGAGTGTCATTCATATAATGAAATGTCACTATATAATGAAAAAGCAATCAGTTCAGGAAGAAAATACAATAACTGTAAATATATATGCACCCAACACTGGAGCACCCATATATACATATAAAGCAAATATTATTAGTGCTAAAGGCAGAGATATACCACAATATAATAATAGTTGAAGACTTCAACACCCTATTCTCAGCAATGGACAAGTGATCTAGACAGAAAATAAAGAAACATCAGACTTAGACTACACTATAGATCAAATAAATCTAACTGATATTTACAGAATATTTTATCCAACAGCTGCTGAATACATATTCTTCTCATCAGCACATGGAACATTCTCTAGGACAGACAATATGTTAGGCCAATAAACAAGTCTCAATATTTTTTTAAATCAAAATTGTATCAAATACCCTTTCAGATTACAATAAAACTAGAAATCAATGAGGAAATTTGAAAACTGTACAAATACATGGAAATTACACAACATGCCTCTGAATTACCAATATGTCAGTACAAAAATTAAGAAGGAAGTTTTAAAAACACAAAATACCAAAACCTACAGGATACAACAAAACCAGTACTAAGAGGGAATTTTATAGCAATAAAAACATAAATCAAAAAAGTAGAAAGATTTCAAATAAAGAGCCTAACAATACATCTCAAAGACTTGGAAAAGCAAGAACAAACCAAACCCCAAATTAGTAGAAGAAAAGAAATAATTAAGATCAGAACAGAAGTAAATGAAATAGATACTTTAAAAAAATGCAAAAGATCAATGAAACAAAAAGTTGGTTTTTTTCAAAGATAAAATCAAAAAACCATTAGACTAATAAAAGACAGAAGAGCCAAATAAACAAAATCAGAAATGAAAAAGGAGACATTACAATTGATACCACAGAACGAAGAAGGATCGTTAGAGACTATTATAAACAACTATATACTAACGAATTGGAAAACCTAGCAGAAACAGATAAATTTCTGCAAACATATAACCTACCAAGAATGAACCAAGAAGAAATAGAAAACATAAACAGACAAATAAAAACTAATGAGATTGAATCAGTAACAAAAAGTCTTCCAACAAAGAAAAGCTCAGGATTGGATAGCTTTACTGCCAATCTTTTACTTTACTGCCAAGCTTTTCTACCAAAGCTTGGTAGAATTCTACCAAGCTTTTAAAGAAGAACTAAAACCAATTCTATTCAAAGTATTCTAAAATAATGAAGAAAGGAAAGTCTTCCAAGCTAATTTTATGAGGCCAGCATTATCCTAAGATCGAAACCAGAAAGAGGCACAACAGAAACATAAAACTACAGAACATTATTCCTGATAAGCATAGGTATAAAAATCCTCAACAAAATGCTGGCAAACCAAATCCAATAGTACAATAAAAAGATTATACATCATGATCAAATGGGATTTAACCTAGGGCTGCAAAAATGGTTCAACATACATAAATCAAAAAATGTCATAAGTCACATCAACAGAATGAAGGACAAAAATCATATAATCATCTCAATGAATACAGAAAAAACATTTCATAAAATTTGACATCCCTTTATGATAAAAACTTTCAAAAAATTAGATATGGTAGGAACGTACCTCAATAAAATAAAGACCATATATCACAAAACCACAGCTAACATCCTACGGAAAGGGGAAAGTTGAAAGCTTTACCTCTAAGGACTGGAATAAGACAAGGATGCCCACTTCCACCTTATTTAACATATTACTGTAAGTCATAGCCAGGGCAATTAGGCAAAAGAAGAGATAAAGGATATCCAAATTGGGAAAGAAAGTCAGGTTGTCCTTGTTAGCAGAAGAGGTGATTTTATACAGAGAAAAACTAGAAGACTTTACCAGAAAACCCTTAGAACTGATAAATAAATTGAGTAAAATCACAGGATACAAAAATCAATACACAAAAATCAGAATCAGTAGTATTTCTATATGGTAATAACAAACTGGCTGCAAAAAATTGTGAAAGCAATTTTATTTAAAATGACTACAAAAAAGAATACGTAGAAATAAATTTCACCAAGGAGGTGAAATATCTCTACCAATAAAAACTATAATACATTGATGAAAGAAATCAAAGAAGACACATGAAAAAGATAAAAGACATTTCATGTTCATAGATTGGAAGAACAATATTGTCAAAATAACCATATTACCCAAAGCGATCTACAGATTCAACGGAATATCTATCAAAATTCCAACTATATTCTTCACACAAACAGAAAAACAATTCTAGAATTTGTAAGGAACCATGAAAGATGCCGAATAATTGAAGCAATTCTAAGCAAACAAAACAAAAACCCCAAACAATAAATAAACAAAAACAATGCTGGAGACATTACACTGGTTGAATTCAAAATATACTCTAAAGCCATATTTATCAGAAAAGCATGGTACTGGTATAAAAACACACATATAGACCAATGGAACAGAATAGAGAACCCAGAAATAAATTCATGTATTTACGGTCAACTGATACGAAGAACATAAACTGGGGAAAGGATACCCTCTTTAACATATGATGCTGGGAAAACTGAATATCCACATGCAGAATAATGAAACTAGACCTCTGTCTTTCACTATATAAAAAATCAACTTAAAATGGATTAAATACTTTAATTTCAAACACTATAAAACTACCAGAAGAAAACAGAGAATATGTTTTAGGACATTGACCTGGGCAAAGGTTTCATAGTTAATACTTCAAAAGCATGGGCAACAAAAGCAAACATGGACAAATGGAATTATATCAAATTAAAGCCTTTTGCACAGCAAACATTCAACAGAGCTAAGAGACAACCTTCAGGATGGGAGGAAATATTTGCAAACTCTTCCTTTGACAAGAGATTAATATTTAGAATATACAGGGAACTCAAACAACTTAATAGCAAAAAACCAAACAATCCTATTTTTAAAAAATGGGCAAAGGATCTCAATAGACATTTCTCAAAAGAAGACATACAAATGGCCAACAAATATATGAAAAAATGCTGAACATCACTAATTACCAGGGGAATGCAAGTCAAATCCACAGTGAGATATCATCTCACCCCAGTTAAAATGGCTATATCAAAAAGACAAAAAATAACAAATGCCAGCAAGGATGTGGAGAAAAGAGAAATCTTTTACATGGTTGGTGGAAATGTAAAGTAGTAAAGCCATTATGGAAAACAGTATGGAGGTTTCTCAAAAAACTAAAAATAAAACTACCATATGATCCAGCAATCATACAGCTAGGTGTCTATCCAATGGAAAGGAAATCAGTATATTAGAGATCTCTCTGCAGCTATGTTTATTGCAGCACTGTTTACAGTAGCCAGGGTATGAAATCAACCTAAATCTACCAATAGGTGAACAACTAAAGAAAATGTGGTATATATACACAGTGGAATACTATTCAGCCATAGAAAAAAATGACATTATGTCATTTGTGGAAACATGGATGAGCCTAGAAAACATAACATGAAATGGAAGAAGTCAGGCACAGAAAGAAAGACCACATGTTCTTATCCACATATGAGAACTAAAAAAGTTGAGCTTGGAGAGGTAGAGTAGTAATTACCAAAGGCTGAGAAGGGTGATGAGAGCGATAAGGAGAGATTGGTTAATAGACACGAAATTACAGCTAGATAGGAGGAATAAGTTCTACTGTTCATTAGCACTGTAAGGTGACTATCATTAATAATTTATTGTACATTTCCAAATAGCTAGAACAGAGGATTTTGAATGTTCTGAACACAAATAAATAATAAATGTTTGAGGTGATGGATGATGTCAGTTACTCTGGTTTGATCATTACAGGTTATGTATATGTATTGAAATATCACTTTGTACTCCATAAATAGGTACAATTATTTGTGTCAATTAAAATTCAAAAACACAAGGAAAGGTTTTCAGTTTCAACAGTCGTCAAGAAAATGCCATTAAACCTAAGAGATTATTTCAGACCACCAGAAAGTCTATGTTAAAAGGGAGATAACACGAAGTATTGGTAAGGATATGGAACAACTGGAAGTTTCACGTACTGCTGGTAAAAGTGCAAATAAATATAACCACTTTGAAAACTCTTTGACAATATTTAGTAAAGCTAAACATATGTAAGCAAACTGGCTCCTATCTATATAACCAAAATAATTGGCCAGGCTGTGCATAAAAGACTTGTACTAGAGTGTCCATAACAATACTATCCACAGTAGCCCCAAGCTGGAAGCAATCCAAATGTCCATCCATAATAAAATGCATAAAAAGTACTATAGCTTGCACAATGGAACCCTTTAAAGCAATGAGAACAAGCAAATGTAATGGCATGGGAAAATCAAAGAAATATAAGTCAAGCAAAGACGTCATGCACAAAAGAACACAAATTGATGAGTCTAAGAGTTCAGAAACAGGTGAAGTAAATCTCTGGTGTTAGATGTCACTGGTTACCTTTTGGGGGACAGTAGCTCCTTGGCTTGAGTGGGCCTTCTAGGGTGCTAGTAATGTCTTATTTCTTGATCTAATTGCTACTTAAATGGTTATATCTACTTTGTCAAAGAAAATTGAGCCCTACCTTGTTCCATTTTGCACTTATCTGGTATGTATGGTATGTCCTTAGAGTGTATGTGTGTAAAGCCTTGAAATGCTGTGATGAAATACTGCTTCCACAAACTAAAGAATTGTTAGTCCCGAAATAGATGATACAGCTTACATGTTAAAATAAATTAAGTCAAGGAAAGCAAATGAAGCTCTTTAAAAAACAGCAATGTGTCTTAACTGTTCTAAATTCTTCCTTCTCAGTAGTTTGTCTACAGTGAGGTCTAAATATCTGTTCTCATTGTTGCCTTTTGTCAATTGGAAGCTCATTTGAATGTTTTTCAGTTTTCCTTCTTATTTTCTTTTCCATAAGATTAAACTGAAATAGACTGATGGATCTCACCTCATCCTGGATTTCTTACATTTCTAGGTTTCTTTACAGTTTTTAAGGATGATGTGCTATATCCCAGATGCAGTGCCTAAAACCAGATATCATATTGAGTGATTTGCTGCATTTCTTATTGGCTTGTGTAAATATACCAGTGGGCACCAGAGGAGTCATTATTGTCAATCACATCAGGGATCCAAGCATGGAGGAGTCTGAGAATGCAATTATGTAGCAAATAATTCCATCCAGTGGAGAGGGCTAATGATACAAGAACAGAACTGCAGACAGGGATCTGTGTTTTTGTAAATGAATAAATAATATTATGTTTCCAAAAATGACCGGTCAAATTTAGCTCCGTGGAGAAACTGATCACGGTAATGTACAGACATGTCAAGACATCTCTTCTTCTTTCCTCAATATCTTTAGGAATGAGAAATTAGGAAAGAGGTTGGTCATTCAAACTAGCTTTTTCTTCTCTAGCCAATTAGAACTGTTCAGCTGGGGGAGGCTAAGGAAGAAGGATCGTTATAATTGTGCCACTGCACACCAGCCTGGGCAACCCTCTCTCTAAAAAAAAAAAAAGAAGAAGAAGAAGAAGAAGAAGAAGAAGAAAATATCTAGCTGGGTTTGGGTTAATGGCCTGTAAGGAGTAGATCAGTATTTCAGGAGACTGCTGGTCTGGCAAACATTTAAAGCAAAGACTTCTTTTTTTTTTTTTTTTTCTAATTATACTTTAAGTTCTAGGATACCTGTGCACAACGTGCAGTTTTGTTACATATGTATACATGTGCCATGTTGGTTTGCTGCACCCATTAACTCGTCATTTACATTAGGTATTTCTCCTAATGCTATCCCTCTCCCTGCCCCCAACCCCATGACAGTCCCCCGTGTTTGATGTTCCCTGCCCTGTGTCCAAGTGTTCTCAATGTTCAATGCCAATCTATGAGTGAAAACATGCAGTGTTTGGTTTTCTGTCCTTGTGATAATTTGCTCAGAATGACGGTGTCCAGCTTCATCCATGACCCTGCAAAGGACATGAACTCATCCTTTTTTTATGGCTGCATAGTATTCCATGGTGTATATGTGCCACATTTTCTTAATCCAGTGTATCATTGATGGACATTTGGGTTGGTTCCCAGTCTTTGCTATTGTGAATAGCACCGCAATAAACACACATGTGCATGTGCCTTTATAGTAGCATGATTTATAATCCTTTGGGTATATACCCAGTAATGGGATCGCTGGGTCAAATGGTATTTCTAGTTCTAGATCCTTGAGGAATTGCCACACTGTCTTCCACAGTGGTTGAACTAGTTTACAGTCCCACCAACAGTGTCAAAGTGTTCCTATTTCTCCACATCCTCTCCAGCACCTGTTGTTTCCTGACTTTTTAATGATTGCCATTCTAACTGGTGTGAGATGGTATCTCATTGTGGTTTTGATTTGCATTTCTCTGATGACCAGTGATGATGAGCATTATTTTCATGTGTCTGTTGGCTGCATAAATGTCTTCTTTTGAGAAGTGTCTGTTCATATCCTTTGCCCACTTTTTGATGCGGTTTTTTCTTGTAAATTTGTTTAAGTTCTTTGTAGATTCTGGATATTAGCGCTTTGTCAGATGAGTAGATTGCAAAAATTTTCTCCCATTCTGTAAGTTGCCTGTTCACTCTGATGGTAGTTTCTTTTGTTGTGCAGAAGCTCTTTAGTTTAATTAGATCCCATTAGTCTATTTTGGCTTTTGTTGCCATTGCTTTTGGTGTTTTAGACATGAAGTCCTTGCCCATGCCTATGTCCGGAATGGTATTGCCTAGGTTTTCTTCTAGGGTTTTTATGGTTTTAGGTCTAACATTTAAGTCTTTAATCCATCTTGAATTAATTTTTGTATAAGGTGTAAGGAAGGGATCCAGTTTCAGCTTTCTACATATGGCTAGCCAGTTTTCCCAGTACCATTTATTAAATAGGGAATCCTTTCCCCATTGCTTGTTTTTGTCAGATTTGTCAAAGATCAGATGGTTGTAGATGTGCGGTGTTATTTCTGAGGCCTCTGTTCTGTTCCATTGGTCTATATCTCTGTTTTGGTACCAGTACCATGCTGTTTTGGTTACTGTAGCCTTGTAATATAGTTTGAAGTCAGGTAGCGTGATGCCTCCAGCTTTGTTCTTTTTGCTTAGGATTGTCTTGGCAATGGGGGCTCTTTTTTGGTGCCATATGAACTTTAAAGTAGTTTTTTCCAGTTCTGTGAAGTAAGTCATTGGTAGCTTGATGGGGATGGCACTGAATCTATAAATTACCTTGGGCAGTATGGCCATTTTCATGATATTGATTCTTCCTATCCGTGAGCATGGAATGTTCTTCCATTTGTTTGTGTCCTCTTTTATTTCATTGAGCAATGGTTTGTAGTTCTCCTTGAAGAGGTCCTTCACATCCCTTGTAAGTTGCATTCCTAGGTATTTTATTCTCAAAGGAAAGACTTCTTTGTTGATAGAAATTCTAATATGAGATGAAAAAAACCCTCCATGTAAACAGAAACTCATAATTCCTTCATGTAGCCAGTATGACATGTTCCTCTCATATACAGGATGGCAATCTGCAGGGATGTCTTCAGCATCTTCAAGGCCTAGGTATTTGGCCATGCTATGAAAATAATTATACTAGCTATTTTTGAAAGCATCTACTGTAGTCTAGGTTTCTTAGATATATATTTTGTTTAATTCTCAAACATCCCTGACACTAATGACAGTAGCAGGAGCAGCTTTGAAAAAGATCACTCCCTTTTACTGAATGTTTATGACATGCCAGACACTGCACTAAGGATGTAATTTAAAACACTCTCAAGGTGAGATATCCATTTTTCGGAGGAGAATGTATTGGAATCCCATCATTAATCTATTTCACTGATGTGAATTTGATGACAGTCCTTTGGCAAAAAGAGAAAGGGAGAAAGAAGCTGAAGGAATAAGGGAGAAAAAAAATGATGTTCCAAATTTGTTCTATGTTCTACATAAAGATCTTGTGTCCAGGAGTTGGTGTGAAGAAGAGGTAGACCTGTTATTTATTCTGCCCCTAATCGCCACCACTTTGTTCCTCTCACTGGGTGAAAAACAAATCACACTGGGGTGAGAACAAGTTAAGTATTCAAAGATGCATTTATCTTCCCTCCCAACACACACACACACACACACACACACACACACACACACACACTCCTTAAAAGCAAGAAGTCTTCATTTACAATGGAAGAAGCAGAAATTTCTCAATGCTGGGCAACCGAAATTATTTTCCTTTTTCAAGAGTAATTTTAAGTATCACTGATTTTTGCTTTATGTTTTTACATTAAAATTTACCATCCACCACCCTTACTCTCCTAGCATAAAGATGGTACACCACTCACTGTACTGAGTTTCAGGGTTTTGATGCCCAAGATTAGAAAGTGACTAGTGGCATTAAGACCCTATCTGAAATCCACCGACTGACGTAAAACCAATTCCATTCTAAGAGGACTCAACTAACAGGCTGGTTATATGGATTGAATGAACTTATGTGTAGGGTTGGTGCACATGTACTGAGAACTCTATAAATCTTAGCTTTTATTATTGTTACAGTGTGGATTGATTCCCTAGGGCTGCTGTAATATGAAATCTTCCTTTGGTGGCACCATAGTTGTGGACAATGTGAAGGCAGGAGTTCTCCAACTTATTGCTCAACCTCAGAGCTTGTTAAAAGGCTTATACCCAGGTTCACATGCAGAGATTCTGATTCAGTAGGTCTGGGCCTGAGTTTTCTTTTTTAAAAACAACAAGAACAACAAACCAAGCACTTAGGTGAAGTAGGCACTTGGAGTAAAATGGCTTCACTAGCTTGGCATGGTGGCTCTCGCCTGCAATCCTAGCACTTTGGGAAGCTGAAGCTAGAGGATTGCTTGAGGCCAGGAGTTCGAGACCAGTCTGGACAACATAGCAAGACCTTATCTCTTAAATTGAAAAAACAAACAAACAAGTAATGGCTACACTTTGAGGAACATGAAATTAAAGGAAGACTCCAGAAGAAAATTCCTTAAGTTAAAAAAATTGGCAGGGCAAGGTGGCTCACACCTGTAATCCTAGAACTTTGGGAGGCTGAGATGAAAGTTTTGCTTGAGGTCAGGAGTTTGAGACCAGCCTGGTCAACATAGCAAGACCCTATCTAATAAACAAATATTAAAAAGAAAAGTAACTCTTTTCACCTAAGAAATATAAAATTGTAACTTTGAATATGCTCCTTCAAACTATAATTGCATCACCTCCCCATGGAGATTCTGATTTTTCTTCTCCACATCGTGGGGACTGTGTTCGGTTTGACAATTTCTGTGCTCCAATGTTATCTTGCTAATAGACCTAAAACAAAATTTCTTCCTAACAATCTTAATGACTGTGCCATTAAGACAATGTTACTAAGAAAACATTCCTTCTGAATTTGTTAAATCCTCCTTCATTAAAAAGTTATGAACCTACTCATTAAACAAAGGAGGAATGTCTCTTCACCTTTTATTTCCTATAGTACACCAAAAGGTTTTAAAGGTAGTGGCTGGACGGATGTTTAGAGTCAGGGCAATTGCAGTTGGAGTCTCTTAACTGCCCTTTAGTAGTTGTGTGACCTGGGGCAAGTTACCTAACCTTTCTAGACCTCAGTTTCTTGGTTTATAGAATATGGATTCTAAGAGGACTCAACTAATAGATTGGTTATGTGGATTGAACAAACTTATGTGTTGGGTTGGCACGCATGTACTGAGAGCTCCATAAATCTTAGCTTTTATTATTACAGTGTGGATTGATTCCCTAGGGCTGCTGTAACAAATTGCCATGAACTGTGTGACTTACAAGAACAGAAATTAATTATCTCAAAGTTTTGTGGCCAGAAGTCCAAAAGTCAAGGTGTCAGCAGGGCCATACTCTCTCTCAAGGCTTTAGAGGAGAATCATTCCTTGCCTCTTCCAGTTTCTTTTTCTTTTCTTTTTTTTTTTTGAAATGGAGTCTTGCTCTGTCACCCAGGCTGGAGTACAGTGATATGATCTTGGCTTACTGCAGCCTCCACCTCCCAGGTTTAAGCTATTCTCCTGCTTCAGCCTCCCGAGTAGCTGGGACTACATGTGAGTACCACCACACCAGGCTAATTTTTGTAATTTTAGTAGAGTTGGGGTTTCGCCATGTTGGCCAGTCTGGTCTTGAACTCCTGATCTCAAGTGATCCTCCCACGTCGGCCTCCCAAAGTGCTGGGATTACAGACATGAGCCGCTGTGCCTGGCCACTTCCAGTTTTCGATAGCTCCAGACTTTCCTCAGTGTTTGGCTGCCTAACTCCAGTCTCTGCCTGTGTTTTAAAATTGCCTTCTCTTCTCTCTGTGATTGTCTTCTCTGTATGTCTTCTTAATGACACTTGTCATTGGATTTAGCACCTGCTGGGATAATCCAGGATGATCTAATCTTGAGATCCTTAATTTAATTACGTCTGCAAAGATTCATTTTCCAAATAAGGTTGCATTAACAGGTTCTGGAGATTAGGATGTGAACATACCATTTTTGGGGTTTAAACCCAAAAGTATCTGAGTCAGATCTCAATCATTTAGAGGTTTATTTTGCCAAGGTTAAGAACATGCCCAGAAAAAAAAAGAAATACACAATCACAGAAGCAGTCTGTGGTCCGTTCCTTTTTCCAAAGATGATTTTGAGGGCTTCAATATTTAAAGGGGAAAAGCAGGCTGGAGGGGAAAGGGGGAGGGTATGGTCATATTACTGAATCTACATGTTGTAAGAGAAAAGGAGCAGAATAGTCAATCGTGTATTTGACTCATGTTCAGTAAATCATCACTTTACATAAAGATAAAGTGAACCTAGAGCAGCTCGCTGTGGAGATATCTTACCTTTCGTCTGTAACTATCTGCTTAGGAACAAAAGGAAAGGCAGTTTCTTGCAGGACTCAGCTTTCAGCTTAGTTTTTTTTTTCCTTTTGGGGTTCTGAGATTTTCTTTTACAAGGTCCACCATTCAACTCACTAAACAGAATATGTTTATAATAATTTGTATGTGTGTGTGTTTACAAATTACTTTTATATACATTGCCTCATTTAAAATTTTAATTCTTACAACATTCTTGCAAAGGAGGAATATGATGATTACACGAACACCAGTAATCCAACAAACAATATGAAAACTACTATGAGAGATGGAGAGGAGGAAGAAGGCACGAGATTGCTTCCTATAAAGGGATGTTAAGCAAAAGCTTTATGAAACAACTAAAAGCCTACATGTAACAGGACTTGAAGAATGAGTAGAATTTTGAGCCTTAGATTTCTTTTTTATTTAACCGGAATATTAACATTATAGGCTTGCCACGAGCATTAAGCCACAGAACTCATGTAAAACACTTAATACATAGCTTTGCATATAGTGTTTAATACTTATTTTTCATAAGCACTATTAAATATTGCTTTTTCAATACCTACCAAATACATGATGCAAATTATAACATTCCTTTTCTTGTATAGAATATTATATCCATTATACTTTAAAATGTTTCCTTCTCTTTTTAAAAATAACAGTGATTTTGGTAAATCTTTCTGAAAGTTATCAATCATTTTACGAGAAAAATTTAAAAAGTCATTTATGCTAGAATATTCTGCCACCTACAGGTAACCAGGGCTGCTACAATTCTCACAATACCTCGTTGCTTTTGCCAATGTTAAGTAGACGCAGGGGCATCTACTTAGACTGTAGCAGGGCTCAATAAATACTTGTTGCTTTGTTAATATATTATTGTCAGCACCTGTTAGTCAAAGTGCTTCTTTAGACATGAAAAGATATTCATGCTTTACCCTCATGCTCCTGATTATTGAAATTTCAGAAAAAGCACAAATTTTTCAGCTTTTAATAGATCATTTGATCATATAACTTAATGGTTTTCAAAGTGTTATTCCTGGATCAGTAGCAATGCCTGGGACCTTTTTAGAAATGCAAATAGTTGGACCTCCTAGAATTGCAAATCAAAAGCTCTGGGGGTGGGGTCCAGAACGCTGTGGTTTAATAGGCTGGCCAGGTGGTTCTGATGTATCCTAAAGCTTGAGAACCATTGATCTGGATGTTGGAAGTGGGGGCTTCTATAGAGCAGGTGAATGGGGGATAAGGTGAATCCTGCATGCTTACAGTAGTGTAGGGAGAAGGAGGAACCAGTGAGAAAAGCCTAGCCCAACTGCACAGCTTCATAAATTAGCAAATCAAAAATATTTCATTTGGGTAAACATATACTTTATGTGTTGGCAACACTATGACTTGGCTACTTCTTTCTTCCAGCTAGAGAATTATGGTTTTTTTCTATCAAGACTTTAAGGGAAATGTTGGCTTAGATTGTTTTCTACTTTCTCTTACATTAAAATCATTTATGAGATTAAGCTAAATCTCTTAGGTAACTAAAATTTTACTCACACGCATAGCTAGAACCCAAACTGCAAACCTTTTAGAGTTCAAGAGACATTATTCCACCTTACCTCATTTAAAATCTATAAAGCAGTATAACAAAAGTAGGTCATTATTATTACCAAATATCTTAATGCACAGGATGGGAGAATATTCTTATTTGCAAATATGGATTTGAAATCAAGGCATGTCCTCCTTTAAGTATGCCAAGATCTCAGGATTTGTTTTATGGTACAAAATAACATATCAGGGCTTTTAAATCTCTTTGGCTAAGAAGCATCATGGAGAGGGTAGAAATGCAGTACCAATATGAACAGCTAGTGAAAAACATGACCTGGGTTGTGACAGGGAAAAGAAAATGGAGCATCACAAGAACATTTCTCCCACTTAGCAACAACTGCTGTGAGGCTAAGGGCAAGAGAACTCAACCTAGCAACACTTACTTGTTTCCTCCTAAGAAAGCCTGGAGACCTGTGAATGAAGTCAGAATTTCATCTTCACCCTTGACTTGCTGTCTGAAGGACTCCAGCACATTGCTTAAGCTCCCTAAACCTCAGTTTTCACTGTAAGACGTGGATAACAACACACTCTACTGCAAGAGGCGGTAGTGAGAGTTTAATAAGGAACCGGTTCTCAAACTCGGCTGTATATTGGAATTACCTGGGGATCTTTAGCAACTACTGTCATGAGGTAATCCAGGCAAAAAAGCGCTTAGGATAATGCTTATCCTGTAAGAAGAGTGAGACCTGCAGTAGCAGTTATTATTGCTGCATGTAAGGTAATAGGTTAAATGGTTGTTGCAAGCCAGGGTGCACAGTAAAGTTACCTGGAAAACACTGATACGCAGGCCCCCACTTGAGGCATTCTGATGTGCCTGATGTGGAATGGGGACCTGAGCGTTTGCTCAAAGTCTCTAGGTGACTGATGTGGAGCCAAGGCAGAGAACAGAATTTTGTGCTATTTATTGAAAGATGAATAAAATAAGGGTCTTCCCCTTAACGTGTCTATAATCTTATAAGACAAAACAAGATGAACTGTAATCACAGTATCCTAAGATTTGAGCACTTAACTATGCGCTGGATCTATGCTAAACACATAAATATGGATTACATCTCTGTATGACAATACCATAAGATGGGTACTACTATTGTTAGTAGCAAAAAATTGTTAATATCTCCATTACTTTTTTTTTTAACTTTTAAGTTTGGGGGTTCACGTGCAGGTTTGTTACATAGGTAAACTTGTGTCATGGGGGTTTGTTGTACAGATTATTTCACCACCCAGGTATTAAGTCTAGTTATTTTTCCTGATCCTCTCCCTCCTCCCACCCTTCACCCTCCAAAAGGCCCCAGTGTGTGTTGTTACCCTCAGTGTGTTCGTGAGTTCTCATCATTTAGCTTCCACTTATAAGTGAGAACATGTGGTATTTGGTTTTCTTTTCCTGTGTTAGTCTTCTGAGGATATTGACCTCCAGCTCCATCTATGTCCCTGCAAAGGACATGACCTTATTCTTTTTTTATGGCTGCATGGTATTCCATGGTATATATGTACCACATTTTCTTTATTCAGTACATCATTGATGGACATTTAGGTTGATTGCATGCCTTTGCTATTGTAAATAGCACTGCAATTCCGGCACTTTCTAAGAAGCCAAGAATTTCCTTGTTTTATGAAAATGGAAGATGACTTCAGGATTGTAAGCATGAATGTAGGATCACAGACAGAGTGAAATTTTCTGCATAATCAAAGTGGATACATCTACGATGTCTGAAGAGACCAAGAGAGAAAAAAATCAGAACTGGGGGAGTGGTTAAAGTGCTGAGGAGGTGGGGTGGGAGAGGTAGAGGGAAGAATTTGAAGATGATATAAATACTTGTTTAAGTAAAAGAGGTGTTTACTTAAAAGCATGAGCTTCTACACTGCATGGTATAACTAGATTTCTTATAGAAACCAACTTGTGAACTAAGCACAACTGATGGAGAGATTAAGCAGTCACCTGCTGAGAACAAGGGTTACAGCTCAAACCTGGGTGACATGCTCATTAACGAGGTGAGGGAGCTGAGGTTTAACAGGTTAAATAAATTGCCCTGAGTTAAGAGCTAGCTAATGGTAAAGCTGATGCCCAGGACTAAAATCTTATCTATTTCACCCTGTCAGGTAGATTGTGGCCAGAGGTGTATTCAAGTGTTAAGGATAATAGTCATCTCTCTGGGGGAATTAGGAAGGACTTGAAAAGGAAGACATTTGAGAATGGAGCATGATGGGCTTTGGACAAGACAGGGTAGGAGAGAGCAGTCTGCTTTGAGATAGTGATTGGGCAAAGAAAGACTCCAGGAGGGGAAGTATGATAGGGAAGGGAAGTATGATAGGAAGGTGATGTTTTGGTTGAGGCAACGTGAAATCCTCTGGGGCTGAAAGCTAGAATGAATGTCAGAAGATGCTGTGAAATTAGGGGGGAAAGGGAGGCTTGGACCAGATTGTAGAGCTCTGCATTTTTAGAAGCTTGGATTTAATTTGAGGGACAGTAGGGAACAACTGTAGACTGTAGACTTTTGAGCAGGGAAATGACACAATAAGGGAAATAACCGCATTTTAAAAATATGCCTAGCAGCAATGAGTTTTCTTGCTAAAAATAAAACCATACAATTTTTGGACTGAAAAGGACTTTAGAGCTTATTTGTCTATCAGTTTCAAGCTAGTGGCCTGTGGGCTAGACCCAGCCCAAAGGTGTGTTTTCTTTGGTTTGGTCCCATGATGTGTCTTATCTGTTCTTATCTCTTTCAACCTTTATCTGAAACATGCACTACCTAATTTGTAGTTTGTACTCCTGATGTATTCATTGAGCTTCGTGAAATGGCCAGGTAGAGCTAGAGACAAGAAGAACCCTTTACCAAATAAATTTAGCAGTTCTGACCAAAGGAAACCGGTTATTGGGTGTTTTGGGGCCATGTGTGGTGGCTCACACCTGCAGGCACTTTTGGAGGCCAAGGTGGGAGGATTGCTTGAGCCCAGGAGTTCAAGGCCAGCCTGGGCAACAAAGTGAGACAAAAATTATTCGGGAATGGTGGCGAATGCCTGTACTCCCAACTATTCTAGAGGCTGAGATGGGAGAATCACTTGAGCCTAGGAGGCTTAAGGCTGCAGTGAGCACCAAGATCATGCCACTGGACTCCAGCCTGGGTGACAGAGTGAGACCATGTCTCTAAAAAAAAAAAAAGAAAGAAAGAAAAAAGAAAAAGAAAAAGCTGTTATAGGGTGTTTTTCATCTGATCCCAGTCACATTTCAAAAGCCATCTTTAAAAAAAAAAATCATGAATCCTGTATAACTGTGGTCCATGAGAACTCCTAATTCAAGAACGTGCATTTCAACCCAGCATCATCTTAAAAGCCAGAGGATTCAAGTCTTAGAAATTGACCATATGTCTTTTGAACAGACCTCTGGTCATTCTTTGTGGATAATGCATTTTTTTAAACAGTATAATGCACAGATTCCCCATGCCAGTTTGTAATTATGCCAGTTAATACCAGCAAGTTCTCATTTCCCATGAAAGAGCTATCATTCTCCACACAAATTTCCCATGTTTATGAAGACGTAAAGCATGAAGAATTAGCATAAATATAATGAAATACTTTTTCTTTTGGTTGCCTCCTTTCCTGAGTCCTTGCCACACCTTGTCCTCTTCCTGTTCTTAAATAAGCCACAGACTAATTGGCCAGAATTTGTACATATCCCTTCATTTCAGAGCACAAAGTTCTTTGAAGGGGGGCAGAATAATAGTTCACGTTTTTAAACTGAAGGCATATTCTTAATGATTTTTCCATGGTCAGGGATTGAAAGCCCACAACTTAGTTACCCATGTGGAGCAAAGTGAAAAAAAAAAAAGTTTTATATCAGGTTTCTCAGTTTAGGCACCGTTATTATTTTGGGTCAGCCTACCCTTTGTTGTGAGGTCCTGTGCATTGTAGGATGTTTAACCCCATTTCTATTTTCTATCCATTAGTTGCCAGCAGGATCAACACCCAGTCATGACAACCAAAAATATCTCTAGTCATTGCCTAATGCCCCCTGGGGGGCAACATCTCCCTGGATTGAAAATCACTGCTTTATATCAACCTTAATTTTGCTTTTGAACTTTTTGCTCCAAACTCTGTAGACAGCACAGTGGATAGAAATGAAAAATTCAACTGTAAGTGAATTAAAGTAATAAAATCAGACATGTTCCTTTTCTTAATTAAAAGTTTAAGAGCATTAAAATAAACTTTAAAAGTTGTAAGTAGATGAGAAAATTTATTAGAAGGTTCTCTAAATATTCAGAGGAACCAAAAGGAAAAAGGGAGGGTAAAGAGAATATTTTGGAATTTGGAAATGGTGTCCCTCTCTAAAGAAATTAATGGCTTTTTTAAATGTTACTTTGCAATATGGGGCATGTGAGTAATAGCATGCATTTTCTTCCTTGCCTAGAGTAATTACAGGAGAACATCGAAACATTAAATCTAGAAAAAGTTTCAAAGCTTCATGTAGGAACTGGTAACTAATAAGATGCAAAAAAGAAAACATAAAAGTGACAAAAGATTGTATATTTTTTTAAAAATAAAATAATTTTGGGGATAAGCAAAAAATTAATCTCCAAATTCTTGTGGCTATTAAAGGGAAGACACAGACGGAATTAACTTAGGTTCTCATTTGCTGTGTTTCATCATGTTTTAATGAATAGTAGTTGTATTTTGAACATATATTATAATTTTTATATAATAGTTGTCTATACATGTAGGCTAGAGTGGTATTAAAATGAATGATTATGAAATCAAGATACTACCTCATTGACACAATCATAGAAAACACCTTGTCTAGCAGTTCTTAACCCTGGTTGTGGATTTCAAATGCCTGAAGAGCTTTTTAATGATACAGGTTTGAAAAATACAGATGTCCAGACTCTACTGACAATTCTGATTTAACTGGTCTCGGGGAGGCTGCAGCACTATTATTTTTTAAATAGTTGTCAGGTGATGCTAACATGCACCCAAGTTAAGAACCACTGGTCTCATCCATGGGTTGCAAACCTAAATGGTTACAGGGAGCAGGAAATTAATGCAAATTAATTAGGTGATCTTTGTATAAGAACTTTTGGAGACTGTGGTGAACTGGAGAGTAGATGCCCTGTTTAAAAGCTTTCTGCTGCTCAGTTATAGCCATATGGAAATGCTCTCCTGAGTTTTGTTAGAAACCAGGCATATAGGTATTTTAGAGAAATTTCTCAATTTTGGGGGAATTTCTCCAATTTCCAAATAAACCACATCGGTAGTCGGCCAGTTTGCAATCCTAAAGTCAGGCCAACTTATTTATTTCACCAATGAAGGAACTGAGAACCAGAAATTACACAACTGTCCATGATGATGTACTTAGTGGCAAAATAGAGATTGGACCCACAGCCTCTCTCTCATTATGGTGTTTTGGCTTTTTTCTTCAACTATCGCACGTTGCTGTGCTACAACTGTTCATGTTAATAAAAATGTCTTTTGGGCACTGCCAGTTTGCTAAGTGAAACACACATGTCATCTGTTTTAAACCTCTCAGGGAATTTGTGGACTAGCCACCAATATCCACATTTTACAAATGAGGAAAATGAGGTTAAGAGACATTGACCCACAGTGGTCCAGTGGAGCACAGCACTGAATTAAAGTTTACCAGATGGCAAAGCTTGTGCTGTTAACTCTTTGTTCCCTGTTCTCCTGGAAGTTTCTTTCCATATTGTGTGAGGAGTCTCTCTTGATTCCATTTGGAAGATATATACATAGCCCTAATTTTTGAGGCACAACTCAAGATCCAGCCACATGATAGTCCTCCTGTACTGTACTCATCTGTGGTATTTATGATTGAAGTTGACCCTGCTTGAGGCCTGAGGTCAGCTCTTCACCAGGTCTGCTGGAAGCCCAGGAGAAATGACAGTCCTAATGAAATGCATTCTGAGTAAGACCCTGACAGTCTTGCTATGGCCATGCACATTTGGCATTTTCAGAAGAGATGGATTAATTTAAAAGTAAACATTGGCTTCCTTGTCTCTCCCTGGATTCTCAGCCTGTGCACAAACACACCATGAAGACAGGTCTGCTTTGCAATGGAAAATAATGTGTTTACGAAAAATGAGGAAAAAAGATGAAAAAGGATTACCATTAAAAGCTCATCAGAATCAATGCATATTTTTGCATAACTGACTGGGCATTTACTTTCTCTTCTTTCTGACCTCAAGCCAACATTATTCCAAGGACTGACAATCCCCAAATGTACAAATATCCTTTAGATTTTCACAAAATTTGGGAGGAGAATCTGAAAAATTCCTAAGCATGAGTGTTCGAATTATAAACAGAAACTGAGAGTTCATTTGTTTGCTATCTAGACCCTGCTCTGCAGAGCACTTTGCTAAGGGCTAAGAAGTTGACACTTCAGGGCATCACGTGACCGGATCCCAAGGAACTTACTGTGAATTGGAAAGGCAGTATATATTGAATGATAAAGCAATAGTCATCACAATTGTTGCTGTGAATTCAGAATTGCTATTGTTTAAGTGTTGTTTTTATTTTATCAGAAATCTAGTATAGTTATAGAAAAGATTAGGAAATAGGGATAAAAAGCCAGAAAATTCTCCATCTGTCGTCTGTCTACTTCCAGAAATACCTACCATTATCATTTGGGCATGCCCTTTCTATCTTTTTTACACACATGTAAGAGACTTTCTTTCTTTTTTTAACCCAAGTGGGGTCCTACAGTGAATGGTGTTTTATAACTTGCCTTGTTTTCCCATTAGCATGGTGTAAAGAATTGTAAAGGAGCAGCAGAGGAGCTCCAGCTGCTTCCTTGCCTGAGGCTAGATCACAGGGAGAAAGCTGAGCAGTAGCCACTTTGGGTTAGAGTTGTATGTATTCAAAGTACACATGTGCATGGGGATGAAAGTAGAGCTGTGGTTATGGGGCAGGGAGCCTGGCCCTGGAGATGACAGAATGGAGCAGTAACCATCAAATTACCGCCTCCTTGCTTGGACTAAACTTACCATTATACCTTGGAATACAAATTCCAATTCAATCAATAACTGACATCTAAGTTGACAAACAGTAGCCAATCTGACTACTATTTACCTTTATGTTAATTATCATAGACATTTCTTAGGTAAACAGTTATGTGGTGACTTCCTTCAGTGTGTTGATCATTTACAGATGTATCCACCCATTCGCCCATCCATCACCATGTTCAACAGTCACTTACTGAGCATTCATAATATGGCAGGCACTGGGGAGATTACAGAGAACAAGAGGTGGTCCTTGGTCTTAAGAAGCCTGTATCCCACTATGAGAGAGAGACAAGGCAGCAATGATATGAAATGATTGGAGTCATTTTAGAAGAGGAACTGGCTGCTATGGGAGAACAAAGGCAGGAAGCTAAAACAGACTTACGAATCTGGGAAGCCTTCATGGGAGAAGAAAAGATACCAAAGTGTGATTAAAAGGGATTTTATCAATGATTTTTTTGTTCAGACATACAAAATATTTTAAAGGGACACTAGTGTAGTGGTTAGAAGCAAGGACTTCAGGATCAGATGCAAATTCAGATCATGTGCTTGAATAGGTGAAATCTCACATCTTTACTGAATCATGCCTCTAAGTTTATTTTGCAAATTTGTAATAGGACATTATCCTTGTCCTCCATCAGACTGAGGTGGTCTGAAGTATGCTCTGTGTATAATTTCCCTTCAGTTCCTTTTTACTGTCATTGTCCCAGCATACTCAATATTGACTCTAGCTTCAGGTTCCTGGGCTGTCTCATTGTGCTTGCTCTGGACACAACTTCAATGCACTTGCTGTAATCTATCTTTCTTTCTTTCTTTTCTTTCTTTCTTTCTTTCTTTCTTTCTTTCTTTCTTTCTTTCTTTCTTTCTTTCTTTCTCTCTTTTCTTTCTTTCTTTCTTTCTTTCTTTCTTTCTTTCTTTCTTTCCTTCTTTCTTTCTTTCTCTCTCTCTCTCTTCCTCCCTCCCTCCTTTCTCCTTCCTTCCTTCCTTCCTTCCTTCCTTCCTTCCTTCCTTCCTTCCTTCCTTCCTTTCTTTCTTTCTTGATGGAGTTTCTCATTTTCACCCAGGCTGGAGTGAAGTGGCATGATCTTGGCTCACTACAACCTCCACCCCCCTGGGTTCAAGCGATTCTCCTGCTTCAGCCTCCTGAGTAGCTGGGATTATAGGCGCCGGCCACCATGCCTGGCTAATTTTTGTATTTTTAGTAGAGACAGGGTTTTGTCATGTTGGCCAGGCTGGTCTTGAACTCCTGACCTCAGGTGATCCACCCGCCTCGGCCTCCCAAAATGCTAGGATTACAGGCATGAACCACCGTGAATGGCCTGTAATTTCTTTTCAATACTACACTGCCTGCTGTAGTCACTAAATGAATATGCATGGACAGATAGGTGGTTGGAAAAAATAGAGTTGAAAGTAAGGACATCCTATGTCAGTCTCTTGAACCGAATAGCTTTAGAGCTGCATTTCTCCCTTAAAAATGATTCCTTGATATTCCATCTTTACCATTCATTACTGCTTCATCGCTCATGAAATGGCATCTCCCCAAAGGCAGACTCTTGATATTTTTCTTGCCTGCTCCTGGAGAAGTTAAATAATGCAAACTTGTTCTAGTGAAAAGCTTCTGAATATCTTAACAGACCATGGAAATATTTTCTTCCTAACATACTTCCGATTTTATAATTTTCAGTCACGGAAGAGGTATCAGATCACTGGTCCTAAAATTCTCTTTCTTGACTACTTTGTGGATAAGTCTCTTAAAAATCTCTGATTAAAACATGCATGCAGAAGCATAGAACAAAAAGGAAAAAGAAGGAGGACAAAGGGGGAGAAACCTAATAAGGTAGCTGTGATTCACAGAGAAAAGCCAAAGACTTAGAACTGTAGGAGTTTCTTTGTTTTTTGAAAGTTGGCCTAGAGTTCAAACTGATGTACATCAGAGACGTTGTGGAAGGGAGAAGGAGATGAACCTTGCCTTACTACAATGGTGGGTTTCACTGCAGTGATCTCAAAAATCTCTGTTTCTGAGGGAAATTCAGTACACAGGATAATCTATGAATTAAGCACAGAAAGTTCAAGTACCTTGAACAAGGTACGTGAACAGGAATTTAATATATAAGTAGTCTGACTCTAGAGTCTGTGTTTTCAATATAAATTGATTGAATGGATCAATGTGCTAAGTGTTTTAAATACATTATTTTATTTATTATTGAGAGACGTCTTAGTCCATTTGGACTGCTCTGACAAATTACTATAAACTAGATGGCTTATAAACAAGAGAAACCTATTTCCAACCATTCTGGTGTCTGGGAAGTCCTAGATCAAGGCATCAGCAGATTTGGTGTCTGGTGGGGGCCCACTTCCTGCCTTATAGAGGGCACTCTCTTACTGTGTCCTCATATAGGAGAAAGTGTCAGGCAGCTCTTTGGGGCCTCCTTTAAAGGGTGCTAATCCCTTTCCTGATCTAATTGCATCCCACAGGCCCACCTCCTAATACCATCACATCAATGATTAGGTTTCTTTTCTTTTCCCTAAAAAACAAAAAACAGATGTCCCTCCTTCTGAATAATGATTAGGTATCAACATGTGAATTTGATGGGGGTGGGGACACAAACTTTCAGACCATAGCAAGGGGATAGTAGTGTTTTCAGATTTGTCGATGAGAAAACTAAGACTTAAAGAGATTAATTACTCAAGGACACAAGGCTAGTAAGAGACAGAACCAATATTTAAAATGTAAATCTGAAGTTATAGCATTCAAATTTCATCTGAGAGCTTTCAGGTATGATTTATAAAAATAAAATAATAGCTACCATTTCTAGAGCTTGTGTTTAAGCTTTATCATGTAATCCTTACTGTACAATTTTTTTTTCCCATTTTAAAGTTGAATACATTGATGTTTGGGAACATTGAGATGCCAAAGATCTCATAGGCAGCAAAGAGGAGAGACAAATATTTATTATGATATGTCTGACTTAAAGCCCAAGCTCTTCATTTGCGCATTTTTTTTTTTTTGTTGCTTTTATTTTATTTATTTTGAGACAGGGTCTTACTCTGGCACCCAGGCTGGAGTGCCATGGTGCAATCTCAGCTCTCTGCAACCTCAACCTTCTGGGTTCAAGTGATCCTCCCACCTCAGCCTCCAGAGTAGCTGGTACTACAGGCTTGCACCACCATGCCTGGCTAATTTTTGTGTTTTTTGTAGAGACAGGGTCTTGCTATGTTGCCCAGGCTGGTCTCGAAATCCTGAGCTCAAGCCATTCACCCACCTCGGCCTCCCATAGGGCTGGGATTACTTCTCTTATGTTCGTCTGTCTTCTCCACTAAGCTTGGGGCTTATACTCTAATTCCTAAGCATCAGTAACACAGCTGTGGAACTATGAAAGTTAACAGAAGGTAGAACTCAGCTGCCCCTGCTCACAAGCATCTTTAGAAGTTAAACTAGAAGAGACTCTTAGAGGAACTTCAACAGATCTGGTTTCTTTCTTTCTTTCCTTTTTTTTCAGCTTTTTATTTGGATTTTTTTTTTTTTTTGAGGCAGAGTCTCGCTCTGTCACCCAGGCTGGAGTGCAGTGGTGCGATCTCGCTCATTGTAACCTCTGCCCCCCAGGTTCAAGCAATTCTCCTGCCTCAGCCTCCCAAGTAGCTGGGATTACAGTCGCGCACCACCACGCCCAGCTACTTTTTGTATTTTTAGTAGAGATGAGGTTTCACCATGTTGGCCAGGCTGGTCTTGAACTCCTGACCTCAGATGATCTGCCCACCTCGGCCTCCCAAAGTGCTGGGATTACAGGTGTGAGCCACTGTGCCTGGCCTTATTTGGATACTTTGATATACAAGCTTAGCTGGGGATGTTTGCCAAGAGCCTTAGCTGGGAATAAGAGAAGTTAAAAGTCTTCCTGAAAGGGACACAGTGAAGCTTGAAAACCGAATTTTAAGAATTATAGCCAGGCGTGGTGGCTGATGCCTGTAATCCCAGCACTTTGGGAGGCTGAGGTGGGCGGATCACCTGAGGTTGGGAGTTTGAGACCAGCCTGACCAACATGGAGAAACCCTGTCTCTACTAAAAATACAGAAAATTAGCCAGGCGTGGTGGCATATGCCTGTAATCCCAGCTACTCGGGAGGCTGAGGCAGGAGAATCACTAGAACCCAGGAGGTGGAGGTTGTGGAGAGCCAGGATCACACCATTGCACTCCAGCCTGGGCAACAAGAGTGAAACTCTGTCTCAAAAAAAAAAAAAAAAAAAAAAAAAAAAGAATTATATCCAGCAGGCACCTCAGGGAGACTGAAGTATGCCAACCTACATCAACTGAAATGATAACATCTGGACCTTCAAAATCTCAAGGGCCATCAGAATAGGCTGCTGATTAAGCCAAACCATGTGTAGTAGGCCTGTTGCCAATAAGGGAAACCCCCAACATGGCAGAGTCTTTGTAGTGTTTTAAAACAGGAAAGACAGGGAAGAGATGGAGGGTTTGAATGCTTTTAAGCTGAGTCTTGCAAGGTAGAGAATGGTTGGGATTGGGCATATTTTTTGACATATTAGCTTTCATTGGAGGACTCAGAAAGAAGAAGGTTTTATATTGAGTCTTTTTTAAAAATTTACTTATTTATTTAATAGATAGGGTCTCACTTTGTTGCCCAGGCTGGCCTCAAACTCTCAGGCTGAATCGATCCTCCTGCCTCAGCCTCCCGAGTAGCTGGGACTACAGGTGTAAGCCACAGCACCTGGCTTTGAATAAGTCTTAATGAGCAAGTCATGCATCTTGATAAGTAAGCTATTTTAATTTGTAGGCAGTCCTAGCTTCCAGGAATAAGTATTTCCTTCCAGAAACAGGCAGCTATTTATTTTGCTTGTTCTCAATATTGTTTAATACACACATGAGAAAATATGCCTGGTCCCAGAATTGTTTCACCAGGGGCAGGAAATTAGGTTGGTGTCAGTTCTCAGACAAAATGTATCAGCAATATTCAAAAGTAGGCCAAAGGACTCTTGCTTACAATGGCCCTGTAGGGAGAACTGAGACTTATACATACATAAGCAAGAGGGCTTCCTTCAATAATTAACTGATAATTAGGCAAGTCCCAATTTATCTTTTCTTTTCTCAAGGACTCTGATCAGAAATAACATCTCTCTAGATAGTCAGAAGAGGTTTTCCTTTTTCTCTGCCCAGTGTAAGCAGCTGTAAGCTTAAAGAGATTGGTCGCATAAGAATTAGTCAAGGAACCTTTGAAACATGCAAAATATGGACCCCACCTGGGTAATGTTGTGGGTAGGACCCAAGACTCCACTTTTTTTTTTTTAACATGGAGTTTTGCTCTTGTTGCCCGGGCTGGAGAGCAATGGTGTGATCTCAGCTCACTGCAACCTCTGACTCCCGACTTCAAGTGATTCTCCTTCCTCAGCCTCCAGAGTAGCTGGGATTACAGGCGTGCACCACCACGCCTGGCTAATTTTGTATTTTTAGTAGAGACGAGGTTTCTCCATGTTGGTCAGGCTGGTCTTGAACTCCCGATCTCAGGTGATCCTCCCGCCTTGGCCTCCCAAAGTGCTGGGATTACAGGCGTGAGCCACCGCGCCTGGCCGACTCCACATTTTAAACACACATCTTCTCCTCCCTCTCCCTAACCATCACCATTATCAAATGATACTCCTGTAGAGGTCTCATGACTGAACTTTGAGAAGCTCTAGTAACTTTGAGTTGTCTTGGTTATTGTAGTATCTATAACTGCCAGTTGCAATTGGTGGGTGTTGTCTGCTTTCTCTGGAGTTTCCCATTGGTTCATTGATGTCCTGGGCCTTTTAACATGGCTGTGTTATAAGGAATTAATTGGATTGACCTTTATTCTCTGGTAGATAATATAAGAGAACAGTGTCCTAGAATCTACTAGATTTGCTTAAAAAGACAATTCATTGTGTTCATTAAGTTAATTCTCTTACTCCTCATTGTTAGCTCCTGATGGTTCAGTGGAAGATTATCATACTTAGGATTCACATTAAAGGGAATTTTTTTAATGTGCATATTTGACAAATTCAGTCTTCTCTTTTATTTGTATTTTTATTTATTTATTTATTTATTTATTTTTTAGACAGTGCAACCACCCAAGGGGTTTACCTTGCCCACCGCCTAGACAGAACTGATTCATCAGGACAGGAGCATTGCAATAGAGAAAGTAATTCACGCAGAGCCGGCTGTGTGGGAGACTGGAGTTTTATTGTTACTCAAATCAGCCTCCGGAGCATTGGGGAGCAGAGTTTTTAAGGACAACTTGGTGGGTAGCGGGAAGCCAGTGAGCCAGGAGTGCTGATTGGTCAGCGGTGAAATCAGAGTAGAAGCTGTCTTCTTGCGCCGAGTCAGTTCCTGGGTGGGGGCCACAAGATCAGATGAGCCAGTTTACCGATCTTGGTGGTACCAGCTGATCAATCAAGTACAGGGTCTGCAAAATATCTCAAGCACTGATCTCAGCAGCAGTTTAGGGAGGGTCAGAATCTTGCAGCCTCCAGCTGCGTCACTCCTAAACCATAATTTCTAATCCTGTGGATAATGTTAGTCTAGTCCCCAGGCAAGAAGGAGATATGCTTTGGGAAAGGGCTGTTACCGTCCTTGTTTAAACTATAAACTACAAACTAAGTTTCTCCCAAAGTTAGCTCAGCCTGTGCCCAGGAGTGAATAGACAGCTTGGAGGTTAGAAGCAAGGTGGAGTCAGTTAGATCTCTTTCACTGTCTCAGTCATAATTTTGCAAAGGCAGTTTCAACAGTCTTGTTCTGTCACCCAGGCTGGAGTACAATGGTGTGGTCAAGGCTTACTTCAGCCTTGACCTCCAGGGCTTAGTTGATCCTCCCACTTCTGCCTCCCAAGTAGCTGGAACTACTGGCATGCACCATCACTCTCAGCTAATTTATGTATTTTTTCTAGAGATGGGGTTTTGCCATGTTGCCCAGGCTGGTCTCAAACTTTTGAGCTCAAGCCATCTGCCCTCCTTGGCCTCCCAAAATGTTGGGATTACAGGCGTGAGCCACCAGGCCTTGTCTCCTTTCTTTTTTTTATAACTATTTGTTTATGAGTTATTTTTAAAAGATGATGCTACAGAGAGATATACAGATGCATGTAAGAGACACCTAAAATTTGACCTTTTACAGATCCTAACATTTGGGTTAAGACTTTAAGAATTTTTTCTCTGCAAACACAATGCTTTTATATTTTTATGAAACTGGAATTATATAAGTATTAATATAATACTTTTTTCTTAAAAAGCTTACTATGCCATGTACATTGTTTATATTAATAAACTTAGTTGAATACTTAAGTAGTTTCCTTTTTTTTTTTTTATTATGGTGAAAATGCTCCAGGGAACATTCTGGAACACTAGTTTCCATAATTGCTTGTGTTAAATAACTAGGTAGAATTACTGGGTCACCCTTAAGATTTAGACACATAGTATCAGATTGTCCTTAGGGAAGGCTTACAATTGTGTTTTCCACACCCTCCAATGTGCTTACTCAGAGAAGCCTTCCATGACAATAGCATTCCGAATCAAATTGTATCACCTCTACCCCAAGGCTCTTTATTCTATTAACTTGTTCTGTATTTCTTTGCACTTATCGCCACTTGACATACTCGAGTATTCTTCTTGATATACTTGACATTCTTGATATTTCACTTATCTCAGAGAGGTGTTCTGTCACAGTAGCCTATAAGCCCCAGGAGTGCTGGGACTTTATTTCTGTTCACTGTTGTATTTCCAACTCTAAGAACAGTGCCTAGCATATATTAGATCCTCAATAAATACTTGTTGGCTGAATCAAGGACTCATTTCTTTCTTTCTTTCCTTTTTTTTTTTGTTTTTTTTTTTTTTGAGACGGAATCTCGCTTTGTCACCCAGGCTACAGTGCAGTGGCATGATCTTGGCTCACTGCAACCTCTGTCTCCCGAGTTCAAGCGATTCTACTGCCTCAGCCTCCCGAGTAGCTGGGACTACCATGCCCAGCTAATTTGTGTATTTTTAGTAAAGGTGGGTTTTCACCATGTTGGCCAGGCTGGTCTCGAACTTCTGACCTCAGATGATCTGCCCACCTTGGCCTTCCAGAGTGCTGGGATTACAGGCGTGAGCCACCGTGCCCGGCCTCAATGACCCATTTTTAACAGGAGATATTATCTTTCCTATTCTCCGTCATAGAGAGCCATATTCCAGTTGAATAGCAACATAAAATACAGTCATATGAGGACAGCATAGCCAATTAGTGTGTTCTGTTACACCTGCCTTCCATCCTTTCAGCCAGCTCTTCTTCAAATGTCCCAAATTTACTTACTTTAAATATGGAAATATTACTACTGTCAGGATGGCAAAGTTTTTATCCCGCCCCTGTAGTGGACATGACCTTGGATCTGGGATTGGCAAATGTTTTCTGTAAAAAGCCAGATCATAAATATTTTAGAGTTTTCTGGCCATACAGTATTTGTCACAACTACTCAGCTCTGCTTTTGTGAGAGCAGCCATTAACAATAGGCAAACAAATGTGTGTGACTGTGTTCCAATAAAACTTTACTTACAAAAACACCTAGTGGATGAGTTTTAGCTTTAGTTTGCTCACCCTTGCTTTAGAATCAGAATCTTAATTAGTTTTCAATAGTTCAATTTTATAAAGCATCGAGAGCATGTCTATCCAATGAAATGTATCCACAGCTATGGACAAATATGTAATTTTAAATTTTCTGGTAGCCACATTACAAAAAGTATAAAGAAACAGATGAACTTTATGTTAATACATTTTCTTTAGCCAAGTAAATTTGAAATATTATTTCAACATGTAGTCAATACAAAACATCATTAACGCAATATCTTACAGCTATGTATGAAGTTTTTGAAATCTGGTGTGTATTTTGTACTTCTAGTACATCTCAATTCAGTCTAGCCACAATTTCAAGAGCTCTGTGTAGCTCCTGGCTACTGTATTGGACAGTGCAGATTCGTAGCAGGTGTTTTCAACCTTGGCACTTCAGAGACTTTGAACAAAAACGTATTTGGTTAAGGGGGCAGCACAACTCATGATAGGCTATTTAGCAGATGTCTTTGACAACTGTCTATTTGATGTGAGTAGTGCCTTCCCAGTTGTGAAGACCAAAAATATTTCAGACATTCTAAATGTCCCCCAAGGGAAACATTGTACAGTCGGGAGCCATGTATCTAGAATAAGGATTCTAAAACTAGGTCAGTGAATCCCCTGGAACTGAATACAACCTTTAGTGCCTATGTGATTTGGGTCAGGGGTGAAGTGGGGAGGAAAGGGTCTATGGCTTTCTATAACTCCTCAAAGGTGTCTGTGATCCAAAACAGGCTAAGAATCACTGACTGAATAGAAAGAGATGTTAAATTATGCCACTATATGCATATCGCCAATTAGTTCACACCCTAAATACAAGCATTTGCCTGTATTCTTTCAAAATGAAATAAATTCCCATAATGACCTCCCCAAACTTTGATCTTTCTGAACTGTACCATTGCTTTTCTGTCTTGATTCCTTAGTGTTGGAGTACTGACTTTGAACATTTCTCTTCAAGCATTACTTAGCAAGAAAATCCATGAAGGGGTAGATTCTAGTTAAAATATTGCAGTAATGGAGAGGGATTATGTGTAACATTTTAGCAACAGGAGAGTCGTTATTATTTAACTCTTAAGTTGGCAAAATGGAAAGATAATGAGATTGGGAGTCAAGAAACTCACATCTTCTAGGCAGCTGTGTGACCTAGGCTGAGTGAGAATGACCCCCATCCTTTCTCAGAGGGCTCTGAGAAGGAAGGGAGATAACTGGTACAGAGAATAGTAACGTTATTTCCTAAAATAGTTGTTCTGATTCACACTCAAAAGTCTGCTTGCCTATGTCAATCTGCAAACACAGACTGGAGTAGTTTAACTATGATGACAAGGATAATGAAGGTAAGCTATAATTAGCTTTTCCTATTTCCTCTAGATGGTATAAAATATTAGGAAGAGTTGATAAAATCATTAGAATATAAACTATCTCTAGTGGATGTGAGCATCTGAAAACAAAGGTCCTTAACCATCGGCTCCAGTCCCAGGTGATTATTTTCACTGTAATGATACATGCTCTCCCCAAATCTGTGATGCAGGGATGAGGAGACTCACATTCTTTTTGTGCAGTTAAAATTTGTGCACTTTGAATCTGAATTAACTGTGGGTTCTGTGGTTGGATATTACTAAGAGACTTCTAACTATCTGTCCTAATTGAAATACTTTCCTCAATACCAACACATTTCTGTGCCCAAACTGGCTTCCTTGTTTAGTCACATAGATATACCTACTTCTTACTCACTCTCCCAGAGCAAGTTGAGCCACCCTTTGGGCCACAGTTCACATTCAGGAAGGGCTTAGACTATTGATATATAATTTTAGACTTTTTGAAAGCGCCTTTGCAAAATTATGACAGTAAGAGAAATCTGACATAGTTGACTGCATCTTGCTTCTGAACTTTAAGCTGTCCTTTAGTCATTCCTGGGTATATGCCAAGCTAACTTTGGGATGAATTTAATTTATAGTTTATCCTTAAAGCAAGAATGATAATAGCTCTTCCCCAAACTAAACTGCCTTTGTAAAACCAATGAAAATTCACAAGGTTAGAATTATGAGAGGGACCTGAGTTCTGTTAAGATGTTGGTATAGTTAAGTGATAATGAGCTACCGTTTGGAAGTCATGAGATTTGTGACTTCCCTAATTTCTCCTGTAGGTTACATCACTATTGTAGAACCCATGATTTGCCTTTTGAGATTTCTTTTCAGACTTTTGCATTTCTGACAAGCAGCTGACTTCACCAAGACTGGCAACTCATGACCCAACTGGTCCTGTGATCCCCACACAGGCTGACTCAGTGCACAGGGAACATTTTCCACATCCCTGTGATTTCATCCCAACCAATCAACATTCCCCATTCCCTAGCCCCCTGCCTACCACATTATGCTTGCAAAAACCCTAATCTCCAAGCCTTCCGGGAGACTGATTTGAGTGGTAACTATGTCCATGTGGCCAGCCTCGTGTCAATTAAACTCTTTACTGCAATGCTTGCAGTCTCAGTTAATCAATTTGTCCATGCAGTGGGCAGGAAGATGAACCCAGTAGGCGATTACATTTTTTTTTCTTTGCGATGGAGTCTTACTCTGTTGCCCAGGCTGGAGTGCAATGGTGTGATCTCGGCTCACTGCAACCTCTGCCTTCCCAGCTCAAGTGATCCTCCCACCTTAGCCTCCTGAGTAGCTGGGACCACAGATATGTGCCACCATGCCAGCTAATTTTTTGTATTTTTGGTAGAGATGGGGTTTTGCCATGTTGCCCAAGCTGGTCTCAAACTCCTGAGATCAAGTGATCTGCCCACTGCACCTCACAAAGGGCTGGGACTGCAGGTGTGAGCCACCGTGCCTAGCCGCAACTGCATTTTAATGCTATCATATTTTCTCTACAAATTCATACTTATTGTCAGAGAGATGTATTGACAGGATTGAAGAAGAATGACGTCATCATATACTTTCATACCTGTGACCTAGTTCTGGAGCACCCTTCTCTTAGTACACTTAGAGCTAGATTTTTAAAAATAGTCTCTGTAATCATCTTACAAATAAGACAATTATATTGCATTTGTGTCAAAATTATTAACAGGAAAACAGACTCCAATTTCAGAAACAAAATATACCACTAAATATAACTTGGCATTTCTTTATATTTTAATATATCAAGATCCTCAAGAATTTAGAGGGAGTCTGGTCCTCTCTTGATGGCTGACAGGTTTGTCTTCCCCTTCAGACCCAAAGGGAAGTGAGGACATGGATGGATGCTAAAAGGAAGACCCCGGTGGGAGGTGGGGGAAAGCAATGTAGGAGATCAGAAAGGAAACAGAGAGGGCCCAGGGACACAGCATCCTGAGGAGGTCAAGATAAGACTTTTATTATTATTATTATTATTATTATTATTATTTGAGGCAGCGTGTCACTCTGTTGCCCAGGCTGGAGTGCAGTGGCGTGATCTCAGCTCATTGCAACCTCCACCTCCTGGGTACAGGCCATTCTCCTGCTTCAGCCTCCTAAATAGCTGGGCCACCATGTTACCCAGGCTGGTCTTGAACTCCTGGCCTCAAGTCATCCACCTGCCTTGGCCTTCCAAAGAAAAGACTTTAAAATAAGAAAGAAAATAAATGACCCACAGTATGACTAGGACATCCAAAGCTAGACATTTGTCATGTGAAAAACATCAGTATCCTCAGGGCACATTCATATTAACAGGCAGGATAACTGGCATCTCCTCAATGCCCAGGACCTGCGCATTTGGGGATATGTCATTCCTTCCAGCTAAACAGGAAATAATACCATAAAGGAGTTTGATACAACAGGGAAAGGGTGAGGATACAGCCTGAAGATTCTAAAATGCCTGCCCAATATCTTCCTGCCAAGTCATTATAATCTCCTGTGGCTCTCGGTCTTTTTCCAGCCTTACTTTAAAGGCAAACAACCTTTTTCTCTAGCATTTTATGACCATACAGTGTAAAACCAAGTACAGTCTAAAGCCTTTGTGGTTTTATTCCCAACTATTGGGCTCTTAAAAAGTTTGGGCTCATATGTTCAAAAGGCCTGAGAATTGAAACAGAAGACACTTTGAATTTTACTGGATTGAACACTCCATGAAGTTTTGCCACTGGAGGGCACCAGTCAACAACATTAGATGCCAACCATTATTCCTGTCTAAAGTTTTTTCCTAGGAACTTGACTATGGAGTCTAAATAGAGTCCTGTTTCACAGATTAAAGTGGAGCCACTTTATCCTTTCATAATTCAGGATTTCAAAGACCAATTTCTTAGAATAATTGGAAATCACAACATTTCATACTCATTTCTGGAATCAATATTTTTAGCCCAGTTCACATTAACCTAGTAGGTTCCCTCTCAAAAGAAATGACAGGGGAATATTTACCTATAATCGTTTGGCAATTACCGTTTATCATAAGAGGAGATCTGCATGGTCTGACCACAGGAAATGTTGAGTTTAGTAGCGTTTAAGGAATGGTCAAATTCAATACAAATATTTAATTTCATTTAACAAATGTTATTTTCAGCTTGTTTGGGAAATACTTTAATTTGAGACACTTTGAACTAGATATTTTAATGGACATTCCCCTCCACTTCAACTTTTTTTTTTTTTCTTTTTGAGATGGAATCTGGCTCTGTTGCCCAGGCTGGAGTGCAGTGGTGCAATCTTGGCTCGCTGCAACTTCCACCTCCCAGGTTCACACGATTCTCCTGCCTCAGCCTCCAAAGTTGCTGGGACAACAGGCGTGTGTCACCATGCCTGGCTAATTTTTTGTATTTTTAGCAGAGACCGGGTTTCACCGTGTTAGCCAGGGTGGTGGTCTCTATCCCTTGACCTCGTGATCCGCCGGCCTCGGCCTCCCAAAGTGCTGGGATTACAGGTGTGAGCCGCTGCGCCCGGCCTCCCCCCTCAATTTAACATCTAGCCATATCATTCTTGTGTATGAATATTATTATGGGAATAATCAAATCATCCTCTCTGTCTCTATAGGATACCCCATGGTTCTCCTACCACCAGATGCTACTGAGGCTAAACTGACTGGACTGAGGAAAAATATCTGTGGGGAAAACTTTCTTTCAGAATCCAACTTTGAACCAGAGAAATCCATTCTCTTGAAGCTGTCTGCTGTGGAGAAGTTGGCCTTACCAATCTGCCTTTGAAGTTCAAGTTATACAGGTTTGCATTTTTTCCTTATTTTACTCTACACTCTCCACTCTATTTTTCAGATGACTACCTGCTTGTCTTCATGTATTATAATTATTGTTGTTCTGCTTATTATTTCTGCTTACCAGTTTTCTTGGCTCTTTCTAGTTTTTGCTACTCACCTCAGTCTGAACCCATATAAATCTTGGACAGACTAAAATTGCACAGTGGGATCATTTCATTCACATGAGTTTGCCAATATGTGGGTATTAACAGGCAAAGGTGGCTGAGGATGGCGATTTGGGTATTAACTGGTAGCGGTGTCCCTGTGTGTGCTATTTTCAAAGTTTTTGCTGATACTGTAGCATTGGCTCTTATATAACTCAATATCCTCCTACGTGAGAAATTTCTTTTGGTCTACATGTAGGAACTTTGTCTTTAAAAAATCTATTATCTCTCTGAAAACACATGGACGTATAGAGGGGAACAGCACACACTGGGTCCTATCAGAGGGTGGAAGGTGGGAGGAGGGAAAGCATCAGGAAAAATAACTAATGGGTACTAGGCTTAATGCCTGGGTGGGTGATAAAATAACCTGTACAACAAACTGCTGTGACACAAGCTTACCTATATAACAAGCCTGTACATGTATCCTGGACTTAAAAGTTAAAAAAAACTATCATCTCTCAGCTACCTCACAGGGATGTTTTGACATTATATGAATTATGTTAATTAGTGCCAGGACAGTGCCAGGTGCAGACAGTCTCAATAAATATGAGTTTCTTCTCTACTTCTTATTTCTATTTCCTTTTTTTCTTGGTGCCTAGAGACAGATTTTATATCAGAGCAACTGTATTGACCAGAATGACAATTCATTTGCTTTACTCCTCTTTTCTCAAGCTTGCTATTTTACCATATTGTTCTTCTCTTGAAAAAACATTTTTTTAAAGTCGTCTAAATGATTAGGGGCAGAAATAAGTATCTGAAGAAGAAATGTGGTAGCCCCTCCTGGGATGTGGAATCCTGAACAACCCCCAACATGAGAGATCCTTCATGAGAGATTGGGTCAACATGGTATTCTTTCAGGGGAAATCTGTGCCCATATAAATGAATCGTAGCACAGACCTGAGTTCAGATCCTTGCCTTGGCATTTACAACTTGGGTAAACTTGAGTAGAGGGAGAATGAAGAGTTTTGGAACTCCTTTCTCTCAGCTGTACAATGGAGACTAATAACGCTTACCCAATGATATTCCTATGAAGACTCAATAAAATAATAAAAATGTGCTTGATATCATTGTTTTTGTTGTTGTTGTTGTTACTCAACTAGATGGTTACCAAAGGATTGTCTGACTCTGGAGATTTTATAAATGGGATTGCCTAAAATGATAGGTCTGCCCATGATAACCCTTAAACAGCCCCTCTGCTTCACCCAGCTGCTCATCTTCCTGGCCATGCACACATCTTATGCCCCTCTGCACTGGTACTGCAGCTCATAGGATTCCTCCTCATTGGAATCTACAGAGATGATTGACCTCATCTCTCTAAGTCTTTCCCATTGTCTTGAGTCCAACTGACATCATAATTCTACAAAGCATCCTTGTCCCAGAGCAAGAGAACCTGATCTCTATTTCCTATGAATGTTTATCATTCTATTTCCTTCTTGCCGGGTGCAGCTTCCCTGGTTCACTACAAGCCAGGTTCGTTATTTGACTGGCTGTGCTACATGGCATCAGTGAAACACTTACCACAAGACAACTCCTTGACGGTAGAGCCTCTGGCTTTTTCATCTCGATATACCACATACCTAATTCAATGCCTAGCAGAGAAGTCACTCAAAAAACACTGTAAGAATAAGGAAACCACTTATTTGATATTGTTATATATATATATATGTATGTATTTTATGTGCCCATAAGATACTTTGAAGTTCTTTGAAGTCAAGTACTTACACAGAACATTAATGTTAAAAACGAAATTTGGGAAGAATAAAAGCCAGACATTATGTCCTTTTTGGTGGAAGAATACACTACCTATGATGTAGCTTGTCAAAAGGATTGATCCTGAATCTCATCAAGCTTTAGATCCAGCCACAATTTATAGAAAATACAAAGAATAGAGAAACACGTTGATATGGTTGATATTGGCTCTGTGTCCCCACCCAAATCTCATCTTGAATTGTAATCCCCAAGTGTTGAGGGAAGGATCTGGTGGGAGGTGATTAGATCATGGCGGCAGTTTTTCCCATGCTGTTTTTATGACAGTGAGGGAGTTCTTACAAGATCTGATGGTTTAAAAGTGGCAGTTTGCCCTGCACTCTCTCTCCTGCTGCCATGTAAGATGTGCCTTGCTTCCCCTTCACCTTCTGCCATGATTAGAACTTTCCTGAGGCCTCTCCAGCCATGTGAAGCTATGAGTCAATTCAACCTCTTTTGTTTATAAGTTACCCAGTTTCAGGTAGTATCTTTATAGCAGTGTGAAAATGGACTAATACACATATTAATGACAACAAGAGGTTGCAATCCTCAAAATTCAGACTGTGGAACATTCCACTATAGTGGTTAAACTGTCCCTTGACTGTTTTTGTACACCCTCAAGCTAAAAATGGTTAAAAGATGGTTTTAAATTTTATTGCTCTATTTTATGTATGTATGTATGTATGTATTTAAATTTTTAAAAGTTTGAAAAAATAAACAATAGATGACACAGATGCTTGCTCTATAGGATTAACATTCCAACTTTTTTTTTTTTTTTTTGAGACAGAGTCTTGCTCTGTGGTTCAGCCTGGAGTGCAGTGGTGTGATCTTGGCTCACTGCAGCCTCTGTCTCTTGGGTTCGAGCGATTATCCTGCAGCAGCTTCCAAGTAGCTGGGACTACAGGCACACACTACCACACCTGGCTAATTTTTGTATTTTTAGTAGAGATAGGGTTTTACCATGTTGGCCAGGCTGGTCTTGAACTCCTGACATCAAGTCATCTGCCTGCCTCAGCCTCCCAAAGTGCTGGGATTACAGGCGTGAGCCACCGTACCCGTCCAACAACCCAACTTTTATGACAAATAAATTGCAAATGAAAGGAGAGATTAAAAGAGACTGAAGTCATAGATCAACTGGTTGCAATGAATTGATTTTACTTAGATTCTGATGCAAACTAAAGAACCATAAAATAGAAAAAGAAACATTCATAACATTTATGATACAATTGATGATATTTAATAATATTGATATAATCAATGATATTTTATGTCTGATAATGGCTTGAAATTTATGTTTATTAAAAATAGTCCTTATCTTTTAGATAAACGTACTGAAATATTTATGGATGATGCTGTGTGGGATTTGCTTTCCAGTAATAAGGGAAAGAAAGCAGATTTGGTTTTGGATTAAAGCAAGATTGTCCATGAGTTGCTAATTTTTGTAACTGGTGACTTATTTATGAAGTTTATTATATTCTTCTGTCTATTATTTCTTCTATGTTTGAAATTCTATGTAATAAAAAGTTCAAGAAAAAAATGAACAAATTTCAGAGTTCTATCTGGGCTGATTCCAGCCAAAATACCTCTGTCATGGCACTGGATTTTTCTGATCTCAGTTTCCTTATCTGTAAAATGGATATTATAATAGTGCCTACTTCATATGGTTATTGTGAAAACTATCTGAGCTAATGTATATGCAGCTCTTAATGCTTAGTACATAATGAAGCATTCAATTATTCTTAAATAGTGTTGCTGCTGCTGCTGTTAGTACTTTAACTCTCAGAAGGTGTTGCTATTTATGAATATTAGTTGCTGAGATGGTAAAGGAGGATAAGACAATAGAATTTTTATTGGGAAAACAGCTAGTATAATTATTGCAATCTACAGGTAACTGGAGACTCTGTAGTTCCCATCTTCCCCAACTGCAGTGTCCCTAAGGGGAGTGGGAGAGGATGGGAACCACACAGCCTCCAGTTACTTGTAGATTGCAATGACTATTCTGGACCAAGTTGTCAAACCTTATAATAGCCTAGTGTGGGGCAAGCTGTCTAGCTGGGCACTGAGCTTTTCCAATCAGGAATGTCACCTAGTAACCTGAAGGTCAGGGAGAGAGCAATACAATCAAACACTCAAACCAAACCTAAGAGCCATTTATTAAACTCAGCTTTATAATAATTTTTGATTATTGATGAGAAGTGTATTGCCAGAATAAAGACTATCTAATACAGGCTTAAGGGGGAAAATAACTTGAAAAGTAATTTATCAAATCCTTATTGAATATTACCATTTCAGGGAGGCAATATACCACAATAATTTATAGCAGCACTATCCATAGTGCTGGTCTTTGATGAGATAAACAGCTCGCTCCAAAATGAAAATCCACACATTGCTTCCTTACTAAAAAAGTCTTGCTATTGAAAAAAAAAATGTCATTTGAAGTAAACAGTATGCTTAGTGACATAGTTGATTTGCATGCTGGCACAAGCTCCTTATGTTCATAGTCTGTTAACTAGAGCATAGTCTACGTTTTTGAGTGAAAGTAGTTTAGAGCAGTGGTTCTCAACCAGAGGCCGTTTTGCCCCCCAGAGGTCATCTGGCAGTGTCCGGAGACATTTCTTATTGTCACAACTGAGTGGGAGGTGCTGTGGCATCCAGTGGATAGAAGCCAAGGATGACCTACATTGTAGTGTCCTTCACAACAACGGAATATTCCACCCAAATGACAATACTGATGAGGTCGAGAAACCCTCTTTTAAAGCATATCTTTAGAGTCAGAGATGGGAATCGAACTCCAGCTCTGCCATCTACAAACAGTGTGACCTTGAGCAAGACGGTTTTATCTCTCTGTAAACACCAGCTTACAGGATTGTTGTGCAGATGAAGTGAGCAAACACAGACAGACCATTTAACATAGACGAAGATCAGGTTCTCAGTGTTTTGGGCAGCTGTGTATACTTCTTAGACATAGCCCTTGTCCTGGTTACTCATGAATTGTCATTCAAGGACTCACTATGTTAATGGCCAAGATACAGCATTTTTGTTTGCTTTCTTTCCTCTCTCTTTCATTCTTTGATAACAATTGGCAATGGGTTCTCTGAAATCTTTTATTTTGAGGACCTAAAATGCAAATGTATTTCACTTGTTGCTGAAGATGAATGCCAAACAAAACCAAGCCAAACCTTGACTTTGATTTTTTGAAAGGTAAACCTTATTGTCAGAAAGAGCTGTGCCATAAACAAAGCTGGGGAATTCACTTGAAACTCCTCTTTTTATCCCTTAGGATGAAGTATGACACATGCCTAAGAGCTTAATGGTTTACAATTTGGGACTCCTACTGTGTCCTTCTTTTTGCTGATGATTTTATGATTCTTTTACACACAACATGATAGATCCTTGAGTATCCTGAGCTTTCAATCTTTATGCTTATTTTTTTGCAGTTTGAGTGAAACCTTTCAGACAGAGCTGTGAAGATGTGGTTCTTAAATAAAATATTTTTCTACTGTGCTAATAACTCATACATTCTCTACGTTTCTCTTCTATACTCAGGGTCAGTGGGATATGCCCATTTTTCTTAATTCTATCTTGCCTGTTTTTTTCAGGCTTCCAACAGCTTTTTATGAAGGCACAGCATGGCTTGTTCCAGGTGCTGGCATTTGGGGAGGGCTGAGGATTGCAGAGGGGGAGGGGATACTTTCTCATCCTTTTTCCATCATTCTATTGACAATAGCCTTTTAATGATTTGAAAACTCTTTGTAAATGCCCTAACAACATGTAATATTGCATTACAAACCCACATAGGAGACACAATTCAGACAATAAAAGCAGTAACACACTTTTGTCCTGCTGCTAAGTTTTAATGGAATGTATTTTATTGAGATCTAATGTAGTTTTTCACCAGAGAAGCCATCTACTTGCTGAATTGCCACATCTCTGGAGTTGACATTCTTCCTGAAAAACATGGGATGTTTGCATTTCTGGGTCAGGTGGGAAGACTGTAGTGTCAGAATAGAAAATGTTGCAGATTTCAAGTATGAACATGTGACCTCATTTGTGTATACATGCCACCATGGTCTTCCTGGGCCCAACTGGGCAGTCAGTAGACAGCGGTGCCTATTCAAAGCTGTTGTTTTTCTTAAGACTTTTGGTCAATATAATACAGCCCAGTTAATATTGTAGAAGCCAAGGGAACATTTCCCCTTTGCCCTCTGAAAATTCACTGAAAATCACTGACAAAAGGTAGACTAATAGGAGAAAAGGCATACAAATTTATTCAATCAAACTTTTACATGGCATAGGAGCCTTCAGAATGAAGACCAAAACGTGCAGGGGAAGCTGTCCATTTTTATGCTTAGAATCAACAAAGTTGCAGCAGCTGTGTAGAAATATGATTGGATAAAAAAAAAATGATTTAGTGCTAACGGGTTGAGTGGAGATCCCAGCATGGTCTGTCTGTCTAGATTCTTCTTGGCCTCTCTATGCAACATGTCATCCTTCTGGGTGTGGGGTGGAAGGTCTTATGACCTATAATTAAACAAGATAGGCCAGATAATTTCTTTATGGCCAGTTTTTGCACAGAAAGGAAAGCACAAAAGTTAAAGTAATATTTTAGATTTTACGGCTGGCTTTGGGAAAAAGGGGTTCTGGAGTCTATGACCACCTTGCAGAAGAGGGATTCTAGTTTCTATGGCTAGCCTTGAGGGAGAATCCGACTGAGAGACAGGAAGGCAGGGGAAGGTTGGAAAGAATCTTTTGCTTCTGAGGCCTTCATTTTGGGGTATCATCTTCTGACCTCTAACAATATAATCCTTTAATTAAAGTGCAAAACTTGTATGTGAGTGAGTAACTAAACAGAACAAAACTGATATTTTTAAATAATTTACTTCGGAGAATGGAAGCATATACGATTCTCCAAACATAATCTAAAGCCTATTTTTCTTAGCATATGTATTATGTCTTAAAAATCTGACATCAAACCCACAGGAAATTTGAAAAATTGTGTGTCCTTCCTTCTGTATTCTTATATCTTGTGATTAAGTGATTTAGTTTAGTTCTTATGACCTAAGTTTATGAGCGTGTCTTTTGTTAGATAACCCTGCTCTTTTTCTTCCTGAGTTTCTTCCTGATCATCTCAAGCAGGAAATACTTCTCTCTAAACCTTATTCCTTTCTTATTTCATTGGTGAGTCTGGATGAAGGTCATTGCTCATGCCTTGCCTAGAGCCTGGTTCTCTCTTAAGCCTGCAGCAAGTGTTGCATGCTCTCCCTGTAACTCTGGCCATTAAGTCATAATCTCACCAGGACCAGGCCCTCCTGGTCCAATCTGCCAGGGAGGCCTGCACACCTCTAGCTGCTGTATCTGCGACTGGTTGGACACAATCAGTTCCAGAGGCCTGTTGTAGGAAGCCCCATTTTGGCCTTCAATCCAAATTACCTTTTCCAATTCAGTTTCACCACTAATAAAGATGATCACTCAAAGTTTCTGGGCCAATTTCAAAACTGAGTCAGAATTTGGAAGAGGTAATGATGAGTGGTTAGGTTTTCTACAAATTGTGACATTAAAAAAATTTAGTACAGTTTATTTCTTGTGTTACATATTGCCAAGTCTTGTCATACAGCTAAATATCAATACTCCATTTATCATCATTCATTACAATTATCTATGAGGACATCCTAAGGCCAAAGAAATCTATTAAATTGCCCAGGATAAGATATGTAAGTCATGGATCAAGCCTTTGAACAGCTTCAATCTATTAAGACGTTTAAAATATATAAGTTGATAAAAAATAATACAAGATTTAAAAATAGTAAGTCAAAGAAAATATACATATAATGCCATAGGGATATCACAAAGGGATTATAACTCCCTGCTGGGAAGGGCAAGAAGTCTTCTAGAGAGAGAGGACTTAGGATGGACCTTGAACGATTGGTAAGATTTAGTCATGCAGATAAAGGAATGATTTTTTTTTTAAGGCCTTCCACGTAGAGGGAAAAGTGAGTGTGCATGTGGGAAGGAAGGAAATATGGAGTTACTAGGATAATATTCATCTAGTGTAACTTGAGGAGCTGTGGCAGAATGGGTGGACATGAAGTGGGGAGCAGGAGACATAAGCCAAAAGGAAACTCTGGAGTAGCAGTGGAATAGTTATAAAAGCTAAAGAGCAGAGATGAGCTTCCTGCAGTGTTTGGTTTTCTAGCAAGTTCCAGTTCTCATGTCAGTGTTATTTCTCATTAAAGACAAAGCCCCAAGGATCTTATTAACTAATTCAACTTTGAAAACTGTGTAGCCCACTTTATTAATAAGAATAGATCAAGGGTGAGAAGAATATTTAAGTGGCTCTCTGAGGCCATAGGATTTCTCCCTGACACTGGTTATCAACCCTAACAGTCAGGATTGGCTGGGTTATGCTGCAGTAATAAACACCCCCAAAATTGCAGTGGCGTAGAAAAACAAAGAATTATTTTTTACTCACACTAAATGTTCCATTGAAGGTGAAGAGAGAGTTTCTGCCTGGCAGGGGAAGTTTGGAGAACTGAGTGTTAGCATTTAAATGTTTCTATTTGGAATTAATAAAGGTCACCTTAGCTAGCATTTCATGGACCAAAGCAAATTACTTGGGCATGACTAAATTCAAGAGGGCAAGGAGATACAAATCTTTTCACGTCTGCTACAGTCTCCTCAGCTGGTTACCATAAGTATACATCCTCATTTTAGTACTACAATTCAAACCCCTCTAAAATGTCTCCAAGAATAATTTCATTTCTTGACTGTTTAATTTAGGCCAGGCACTGGGCTGACCTTTTTAATATAAAATTTCTCTTTGAATTCCTATAAAAATTCTCTGATATTGGTTTTAGCAATTGGTTTTAGCTGGTCAACTCCTGACATTTGTGTTCTTCTTCACAGGATCTGCGAGGCTACCTGTGAATGAATGGTTGGTTGGTCACTACTTGCAAGTTTTTCAGGAGCTCCTGAAAGATTACTGCATAAATAAGGGAAGATGGAGACCAGACCTCTGGCTACTGTTGCTGCCACCACTACAGATACCACCTTCACCCTTATGAACCCCCTATTTACTGAACATTCTCTATATGCCAGGTAACATGCCCTGCACTTGTGAAATAAGGACTGTTATTTCCCCTATTTTATAAAAGAGGAGCTGAGGCTCAGAGAGATTATGTTACTTGCCCAAGATCAGATAGCTAGTAAGTGGCAGAGATGAGATTCTGTCTGAGTCCAGCTTACACCATAACTGATATTCTTGACAATCGGGCTGGATAGAAAAGGATAAGATATGAGAATTTTGGTGCTATGATTTGAATTTTCCTTCCAAAGCTCATGTTGAAACTTAATCCCCAAAGTAACAGTACTGATAGGTGGGGTCTTTAACATGGAGTCCCAGAATTGGATCGTGAGGGCTCTGCCCTGATAAATGAATTATTCCACTCATGATTAATGGATTAATAGATCATCATGGGAGTGGAACAGTGGCTTTATAAGAAGAGGAAGAGAGACCTGAGGTAGAACACTCAGCGCCCTTGCCATGTGATGCTCTGTACTGCCTTGGGACTCTGCAGAGTCTCTCTACCAGCAAGAAGGTCCTCACCAGATGCAGTCCCTTGACCTTGGCCTTCTTAGCTTCTACAACTGTCATAAATAATTTTTTCTTTATAAATTACCCAGTTTTGGGAGTTCTATTATAAGCAATAAAAACCAGTCAAATACATTGAGTTATAATTATGATGTTTAAGATGGAGGAAAATGAACATGGAAAACACTAGAGAAATGAATGCTAAACTAGAGCATAAGCATTGGGATTGTGAAAAAAAGATATTTGAAATATTTTAAAGATATGGAATTTAAAAGATTATGAAACAGATAAAGTATAAGAGAAAGAGAGAAAATGAAAAATGATCCCAAGATTGCAAACCCTTAGTATTGGTGAAACACTCATAGCTGGGGGAAAAAGTCAAAAGGAAGAGCTGGCTTGTGGGTACAGATGGAGAAATCCGGATTTATTGAACCTTTCTTTGCCAGCGGGGTATTTGTGTAAAAAGAGCTATTCATTTATTCTCATTCATTTAGCATGTAAAGAACACAGCTAGGCATTGGAAACACATAACAAAACCTATTTCTGTACACATTTAGAAATGTGGATCTGAAAGATCAAGATTTTGGGTTTCATTCATTTATTTATTCAAACATGTGTTGAGGTCTTTCCAAAGTATGTGATAAATTAAGCAGAAAGGACAGAGAAATTCATGAAAATAGGTATGATCATCAAGGAAAACAATAAAAAATGTAAGGTAAAAGGCCAAACTTAAGGGAATGCCTTTATTAAGGGATATGGGAGGGAGAAAAAATAATTTGAAAAGAAGTTGTCAAGGTGGGAAGAGAGCAGGACAAAACAGTCTCAGAATTGGGTGTATGAGAGAGATTTTAGGAAGAAGAGAGGGTTCAGTAGTGCCCAAGACCAGAGCTCTCAAGGATGGTAAAGAACATTTTTGGGGCTGTTTTGATGTTTTAAAGGTTGAGGTAGATGGCACTTTTTTTTTTTTTTTTTGAAATGGAGTCTTGCTCTGTCACCCAGGCTGGAGTGCAGTGGTGCAATCTCTGCTTGCTGCAAACTCCTCCTCCTGGGTTCAAGTGATTCTCCTGCCTCAGCCTCTGGAGTAGCTGGGACTACAGGCATGCACCACCACGCCTGGCTAATTTTTGTATTTTTAGTAGAGATGGGGTTTCACCATATTGGCCAGGCTAGTCTTGAACTCCTGACCTCATGATCTGCCCACCTCAGCCTCCCAAAGTGCTGGGATTAAGGCGTAAGCCACCGCACCCGGTATACGTTTATTCTTTTAAGAAGCATGGTAAAAGGGAGAGAGAAGAAGGGCAGTCCTGTAGAGGTCAGAGGGACATAGGGAGGTCTTTTTTCAGGGTAAGCAAGCTTACAAATGGGCCAGTGAGAGAGAGGCATTCTAGATGAAGCAGGATTGTGGGAGGTGGGTATTTTGCTGGAATAAGATGCTGGGGTAGGTGGAGGGAAATGGGGGCAGGGATGTGGGAGGGAGGGATTTTGTATTTATACAAAAACAAAATATGCTTATGGGTGGCTTTACCAGCAGGCTCCTCAGCTAAAGGGAAGCAGCAGTAGAAACAGGAAGGATTCAGGGCTGGGGATGGGAATCATGACAGTGGCTGGAGGAAAGAGTGGTGAAGACTCCAGGGCTAGCATACTACTTTCCTAGTGGCTGCCTTAACAAAGTGCCGCAAATGGGGTGGCTTCAACAGAAATTCATTCTTTCACATTTTGGGGGCCAGAAGTCTGAAATCAGTTTGTCAAAAGGCCCATGCTCCCTTTGAAGATTCTAGGGGAGGATCGTTTCTTGCCTTTTTCAAGCTTCCGGTAGTTGCTGGAGATCTTTAGCATTCCTCAGTTTATGGCAGCATAACTCCAGTCTCTCTCTGTTTACACATGGTGTTCTTCCCTGTATGTCAGTTTGTGGCTCTGGATCTCTCTTTTTCCTTATAAGAACGTGGGTCATTGGATTTAGGGCCCACCCTAATCCAATATAACCTCATTTTAACTCGATCGTAACTGCAAAGCTCTATTTGAAAATAAGGTCACATTCTGAGGTTCTGGGTTAACATGAGGTTTTGAGATCACTACTCAACCTAGTGCTGCTGGTAAGAGCACCTTTGACATGATGAGTGTAGAGTGCTGCCAGGGCAGTCAAGAAGGGACAAGGGTGATGATGAATAGTAAAAACCTAGAGGCCTTAGAGAGCCAAAGGAGGGTTGGAGGTTGGGAGAGAAAAGTGGGAGTAGGTGGCCTTTATGCAGAGAAGGAAATTTCAGAACTGCAGACTTTGGGGTTTAGGTACTATGTCAGAGGTAGAGAGCACAGGACTTAAGTTCTTCATGGGTTCCCATAATCCCCTATCTGACTTAATGGAAAGATAACGTGTAAAGACCAACTCTTTGTGAAGAAGAAACAAATCCGGTCAGAATGTTCACCTGTGTGCTAACCACTCCACTCCTGTAACAGATACCCATCTGTTTATTCATTCACCATTCATTTACTGAGTGCCAACCCCATATCATAAATTGTTCTAGGTTCTGGGGATACAGCAGTAAGACAAACAAACAAAAACAAATGCCTTTGTCCCTGCCCTTATAAAGACTGTATTCTTTAAGGGACAAGGCAATAAACAAACGCATAAATATACAAATACAAAATATGTCTTGTGTCCTCTCATGGAGGACACATACCACCATGCCAAGACTTTGCCTCCTCCTTAATTTTGTGCATATGGATAAGCACTTGTCTTTGTAAAGTAGTGGATTTTGATAAATCTTTGTGCAATTCTTCTCTATGTCCAGAGAGAGTTGAAGTATGGCTTGGTACCATAATGAATAAATTAAGAAATCTTTCAGAAATATTCATGCATGTAGAGCTGAGAAAGTAAGACAAAGTGAAATAGGACCTTGGAACTTTTCTTGAGTCTTAGGTCAGCTTTTTTCGGACTGGATTGGAGCATGAAAATAACAAGAGGTATGTTTGAGTGTAATAAATAATTATCTTTTTTTTTTTGGCCAGTTAACCCTTTCTGAGTTTACTGGGGGTAAAGCAGATATAAAATTACACCACAAATGCTGAGCACTCATAGGGGCCTGGCATGTGACATAGCCTCAAACAATCAGAAGCTACCATGCATGGTTTGGTTGTTGTTTCACAATCAAGTTCTGAGAGCAAAAAGAGCAGCAGCACAAATGTCATCATAATCAGTGGTGATGCCAGTTCTCTCCTCTGACCAAGGTTCTAGTGTGGATCTGGGTGCTATGTTGGTCACTTGGCCTATTTCAATAATTCCGTGACTTCCCACGTGTTAGCCTTTTCAAATAAATTCTCTATCTGCCTTAATCTTTACACTGTCTACTTCAGCAGCTAGTATCTCTAAGAATGCTAACTGATATATTGAGTTTCTAGGGATATTTTTCTGCTTTTTTGTTTTGTTATTCTTTCAGATAGTTTTTGAGCATTTATTATATGCTAGGTCCTTTGATGAGCATTGGGAATATGTAGTAAATAAGGCATACCCAGTCCTAGTCCTCAGCTAATTCATTGTTTTGGGCAGAAGACAGTCAAGTGAGCAAGCAGTTACAATAAGATGAACCATGTGACATGATAGCACCAGAGAGCACAGAAACTAGTCTGCTGGTCTCCATCCTAATCTATACTTGGTGGCCAAATAGGCAGGGGAGCCCAATTAGATGCTTGGGGTTAGAGAAAGCTGGATCCATATCATGAAGAAAAAAAAAAAAAACTGGCAGGAACTAGGTGGAGTGGGAAGTGTCTTAGCCTAGCAAAGAATTGAAGAGGGACTCTGAGCCATATTGGAAGCTTAGGCAGATAAGTTATGTGTTCCAAATCAGTGAGCATTGAGATGTAGACTCATTCCAGATCCCTTTTTGGATGGGGCAGAAATCCCTAATAGCCTGTCAGATGTGGGTTGTATTAGTGCTAGTACTAAGTGAAATTAAGTCATCTAGTAGTCTGTTTTCACTCTAACACTTGAGTTTGTCAAATACTACCACTAGTAGTAATGTGTGTTTACATTTATTGACCACTGACTATATGTCAAGGTCAAATATATGTTATTTCATTTAATCTTCTGGGATTTTAAGATAGAATCTATTCCTATGGTGATAGAGATACAATAACTGTGTCTTAACTGTGTCTATATGCTTAACCTGTCTTCCATATTCCTGGGCAAAACTACATTTCCCAGCCTCCCTTGCAGTTGTATAGTCATGTGACTATGTTCATTCTAATAGAAAATGAATGGAAGTGATATGTTTGGTGCCAAGGTTGATGCCATAAGACTATAGGCAGGTCTCTTTGATGTTCTGTCCCCCTTTCAGCAAGCTAGAACCCATGGAAATCCAGCCTGTTTGAACCTAGAAGATAAAAATGAATTTCAAGGGGATAGCAGAGTAATATCGTGGAATGAAGGATCTCCGAGTGATTGCATTGAATAGAGCCACCCACTAATCTGCAATGTTCCCTTCAGACACTTAGATGTGGAAAATACAAATTTCTCTGTTAGTTAAGCCACTGGGTAAATGTCATGAGGTCTTCGTATTATAAAGCCTATCTTTAGCCTAAATTAATCTCCTGCCTATATTTCATATATAACAAGTGTCATTGTTGTGATGTTGTGAACAATGACAGATGAGGAAACCTGGCCCAAAGACAGATGGAGTCATTCTTCTGAGATCACACACTTAGCAAACATAAGAGACTGCATGTCTCCAGATTTAGAGCCCTGTGCTCATGGTCTCTAAGACTGGCCGACTCACAAAGGGCAGTAGGACAAACTGCATGGGCTAACTGTCGCAGTGTTTGGCTTTTGAGAGAAATGCCAAGGAGGCCAGAGACACACTTTATTTACAGTATTGCCTTACCTGGAGAAGACATAGTTTTCTGTACATGGTCAAGAGTCTAAGTAAAAGGGGAAAAAATGTTTGAAAGTGTTCTTGTGAAAAACTGGGAGAGGGCTCATACTAAGAACATGTGCCGTTTGTTGAGCAGAACAAACAAACAGACTTTTGGCAAAGAGATTTACTTCAGAGAAGAAAAGAAGTGCCTGTGGTGGTGGAAAAGGGATGCAGACGCTGACACACAGATGGGAGAGCAAGATGCTTGCACCAGCTGTGCACTAAGGAAACTTATCGCAGCTATCAATTTTCTATTTTTGTTTCCATAATTTATCAGTTAGACTTATCACACTGAGAGTGCCTCATAATAGACTCTAGTTTTGAAAATGCAAGGACCAGTGTTAGCAAATGTTCTTCAAGCACACACGGGCTCACATGTGATCTGTAGAGAGAAACCTCACAAAGGGCACGAATCAGTTCTGCGTGTTCTGTGCATCTGTGGGTCCCCATTACCTTGGCTTCGAATTATGCCTGTTCATGATGAACAGGTGTTTGAAATAAAATCAAGGGGAAAACCACTATGAATTCAGCCCCTCTAAAGTCATTGCAAGAATATCTAAAATTACTCTTCTTAGACAAATTGCTCCCACAAGCCCAGATGATTTTTTATCTCAAGGGTGCACAGGGGATACTAAATCTTCTTGCCGACACAAACTCGTTTTCAGACGGGCCAGGGATTCCATTCATCATGCATGCAGGTCTCAGGATGCTGCATACTACATTAAAGGTTAAACCCGAGAAAGTTGAGGCGATGTTGCCTTGGCCTAGCATGGGGTGACCATGTCAGTAGACACCGGGGGTGCTTTTCCATTTAGCAATGCAGAAGGATGGGTAAGCTCATTATTGGATTAAATAGAAAAGCACAGAATTTGAGTGAAAACATTCAAAGTCATTTGTGTAAACAATCTTCCAAGATGAAGAGATTAAAGGATTTAAGGGATAGTGAGTTCCAAAGGAGTGTGTGTGCGTATATATTATACACACACATATATATATACGTACATGTATCTGTATATATACACACACATAATTTTAAAATAAAAAGTGAGAGCTATGCAAGCAGTTTTGATGACTTAAAATTGTAGAAACCTTTTTCAATGGCTTCTGAACTAAATGTGTAACTTAATAAATATATTTCTTAGTGCCAGATACCAGCATCTGGCACCTGTTGAGGCTGAAATCAAGTTTACTTTGTGGAATGGAGTTTTCTTTGGAGCCAAGGGAATTCTCTCTGAAAGAAAATCTTTCTTAGTTCTTCATAAATATGCCAACAGAGTTTTCTGCTGGACCAAGGAGAGCAGAGGAAGGCAGACCTCAAGGAAGAAAGCCAAGTTCACTCATTAGCAACTTCATCAACACTTTTTTTCAACTGGCAAATTTAGGGCTAATGTTTTGTCACAAAAGATTTTAGAGCTGTGCTTTTTCTCCCCCTCTTCAATTAGAGCCTGTGTCATTGGTCTTAGCCTTCAGGTGATTGGATCAGAGAATGTAATCAACTGCTCAAACCTGGCTTTAGTCAAATCTAGACAAAATAAATTACAGGATAGAGATATCATCTTAGATTACCTTTCAAAAATTGACACTCAAGACAGAGGAGATTAGAATTTTATCTACCAAATTAGTTGCATTCATCTCTTGAACTGAGGCTGCCAAAATGTCAGAAATCAAACCAATCACAGCCAAGAAATATTGAAAGAAGTGAAACCCAAGGGGAAATGAAAATGCATTTAGCCGAAGGAGGCAAGTACAAATAATGGAAACAGATATCATTTAGTTAATTCCTAGTAGGGAATTGCTTCTTTGCCAGGATGCTAGTTAAATGCACATTTGTGTCAAGTTGGAACAGCTAAAAGATTCTGAATTCAGGACTACTAAATCCTCAGTCCATTTGCTGTGGACAAAATGCAATTTTAGTGCAGGGTCAGAATCTTTAAGCTGTGATTCGTCTCTTACTTCTACCCAAGGAAGGCACTAGACAGGGTTACAATTTTTATCTGTGTACTAAAAAGTATACAGGAAAGAAATTTGAACTCAAGAAAATGGATGAGAGAGTGGTTTATCATCTGGGCTCTTGAATCAAGCTAGCTAAATCCAGGAGATTCTAAACTCTTCTTTAATTCTTATTTTTAATTCTTAGACATGAATTTTAGAAAATGTAGCACTCTACCGCAGTGGAGTTATTAATTATGTCTTGATAAAATTATATTAAACCTTTTACTTATTTCTAGACACAAGAACCATTGATTGGTATTCCATTTATTGACCTTCTTGCCTAAATTGGAGCCACTTAATTGGCTTGAAACAGATATGGCCTGGACACAAAAAATGATGATTGTGATTAAGTTCTGTTGGCCACAAGATTCAGTGTGGACCGGAGCAATATTTGGTGACTCTGGGCCATTTCCTAGACGACATCCACAGACACAGCAAAGAGAAAATGCTGGGAGTTCAAGGAAGGGAAATTCAATAAAAGAATGAGAAATTCAATAAAAGAATGAAACCAAAGAGTCATGTGTGTGGAATAAACCAGTTTCACTGAACTAGTGCATTTGTCTGCTAGGGCTGCTATAGCAAACTGGCTTCAACTGGGTGATTTAAACAACTGAGAGTTATTGTCTCAGAGTTCCGGAGGCTGGAAGTCCAAGATCAGGGTGTTGGCAGGGTTGGTTCTTTCTCAGGGCTATGAAAGAAGGACCCATTTCAGGCCCCTCTTCTGGCTTGTAGATGGCTGTCTTCTCCCTATATCTCTTAATATCATTTTCCCTTTATGCAAATCTCTGTGTCTAGACTTCCTTTCTTTATAAGGACACCAGTCATATTGGCTTAGGTTCCCTCCACCAATCACTTCATTTCAATTTGATTACATCTATAAAGATTCTATCTGCAAATAAGATCACACATTCTGAGGTACTGGGGGTTAGAACTTCACCATATGAATGTGGGGGGACACAATGCAACTGACAGCCACAATTAACACACTTACTGTTCTTTTTCCCTTCACATGTGGTCTCAAGTGTTCAGAACAATCTGCAAAGCTGATGTCATTGTTTTCATTTAAGGCTCAGAGAACAAAAGGAAATTGCTCCAAGTCACTGAGCTAATAAGTAGAAGAGTTAGAATCTGAACTCAGGTCTTAATGGTTTTGAAACCATGGTCTTTCCACTCTGTTATTATTCAAGCAATGTTTATTGAGCACCACAGAGTATCAGACATTACATTAGGTATTAAGAAATTCAGAGATCAAGAAAATCCTTCACCTTATCTTTGAAAACTGCACATTCTCATTAGGAAACATCTTACTCCAGGAAAGCTCTAGAAATAATGCAATTCTTCCATAAAGCATATAGTCATAAAGCATGCATGTAAACCACACAGGGCATTTTAGGTGTGACAAGATGTTTGATGTTTTAGGTATCTTTCCCATTGCTAAGAAATGGTTAGAAACAGTAGAAACCCATTGGAACAAATAGAAATTCCAGTGTGGGATTACACAATTGGCAAAACTGGCAGGCATATGTTTATTAGACTTGTAAAACTTGAATACCAGAGAAAAGATAAACATTTAGTTTTGATGTACTTATCCAAAATTTTACCATCAGAAAATCTAGAATTAATCTATTTTTAATTTCAGTCTATAAGAATGTATTGCATTTCATGGTGCAGTATTTTTTAATGTATTGCTTTGTTGTTTATGGCCTCAAACACTCAGATAGTCAAAAGCTCTGGGGAACTCCTTCTCTCCTTCCATTTTTATTTCCAAATGCCAAAGTCATAGAGGCTGAGTGAGGATTGTTTTCATGAATAGATGCAATGAATTAGAAACAATGAATTGAGAACAATGACTTACATCTAGTGACTTTTTCATTCTTTTCTTTCATGAAACAAACCACTGTGTATAGTATCACATTTATTCTTTCATGTTATTAAATTTCTTGTCAAAATCTTACTTAAACCACAGAGACAAAGATGGATTCTCCCTCTGTGACTCTGAGCAGTTAAATTTACTTCTCTGACACACTGCAAGTTGATTTAGAGCTAATCTGCCTGCTTTTTATTGGTTTCGTGTAAAACATTGCTTTCCTTGGTTTTTCTTTCGCTCTGGATTGTCTTATAGAAATATGTAATTTCAGTTTATACTATGTGAAATTAGTCTCCCTGAGAAAAATCCAGGAAAAATTTTATAACCAAAGAAAAGCATACATTATTCATACACTTTGAATTTCCCCCATGTAACAACAGGCAGGAATGCTGACAATCTGAGGGGAGAGGGGTGATAATCAATACTTAGAAAATAACACTAATAGAAAGTAAAAACCATGCTTCAGACCCAGTTAGCAACATGACAAACTGCTGCATCCACTATTTGTCTGTGCTTAAGTCTGGCCTTACATTACAATGGCCAGAAACATTCGACTTAGATCTGTGATACCATACTGAATATTTCTATTTATGTTGTTAATGAATAGATTAATTGTGGACATGTAGGAATAAAAGAAAAGAAACCATCAATAATCTTAGAAAACCAGAATAGGTGCTGGGCACGGTGGCTTATGCCGTAATCCCAGCACTTTGGGAGGCTGAGGCGGGCGGATCACGAGGTCAGGAGTTCAAGACCAGCCTGTCTAATATGGTGAAACCCTGTCTCTACTAAAAATATAAAAATTAGCTAGGCATGGTGGCACGAACCTGTAGTCCCAGCTACTCAGGAGGCTGAGGCAGGAGAATCACTTGAACTTGGGAGGCAGAGGTTGCAGTGAGCCAAGATCGTGCCACTGCACTCCAGGCTGGGTGGCAGAGCGAGATGCCATCTCGGAAAAAAAAAAAAAAAAAAAAAAAAGAGAAAACCAGAATAGGTTTACTAAGAACCAGTCCCACAAATGAATTTCATTTTCTGACATTTGCTAAGTTTGAAATGTGGGCCAATTATAGTCTATTTCAGTGAAGGCTTAGTTCTAGGTTTTCAAGATATCCATTTGAAGAAATTTGGATAGGGTGGTAGTATAGTTAGATATACTGCCACTTCTTTGGCCAACCAGACTTCAACTATTATTATTTAAATTAAATTACTGAATTTAAGTAATTAATTAACTAATGTTAATTTAGAAACATTCTAGGTGGTGTGATCACACAATCTGAAGGTAGTTTCTTTTTGTTCAAAATTTTTTGATTTCAATGAATATTTATAGATGTCCTACCATGTGTCAGGTGCTTAGGGTAGGCATTGGGGATGCCATAGGTATTAAGACATGGTCTCACCTTCAAGATACTTGCAGTTCATTGTGAGAAACCAAAGAAAGTAGAACATGCTAACGATAGGAAGGGATACATACTATACTATAGCGTGCATACTATGACAGGATTAGTGTTCTATAGGGTGTGTAGGGTCACCAAAGAGAGAGAGAAAGTAATAGAAGCTTAAGGAAGCTGTATGGAGAAAATGCTGTCTTGAATGAGAGAGAAAAGGTAACTAAAACAGAACCAGGTAAACTGCAAGGGTGACTGTGGAAGAATGTGACTCCTGGGAGAAAAAAATACATCAATGATTTGGATCGAGATGGAAGCGACCAGTATACTGGACACTGATGTTGCCTTGCTGATATTCATTGCATACCAACTTCGTTGTGAAAGATTAAGTGGTCTAGATGCTGATACCATTCCCAGGCATTGGACTTGATTAGTTAAAACCATCATAACCATCCTATAATCCTTGCCAATGATTGGTTTGGAATCCAGGCTTATGTCATTCAGTTCATAGCACTTCCCTGACATCAGGGTTTGAGAGGAGGTGGCCCCATGGGAAACAATGAGATATTTTCTTGGAGCTTCTGGGAAATTGTCACTAGAATAGAAGGTACATCATCTCTTATACATAAGCATGGAAGTGTATAGCCCCAATTGCTATAGCAGGCACCCATGACTATAAGGAAGAACAGCCGTAGGATGCCGCTGACACTGTTGCTGAAGGAAGAGTAGAAAACCCCTGAGTCCTGGATAACATATTATAACACAGATCAAACATCCATCTCCAAAGCAAGGTCTACCCCAGCACTTCTGGTAATAAGCTGATAGTCTCCTTTTCCGTTTAAACAAATTTGACTTGCCCTTCTTTTTCTTGCAGCTAAAACATCTTAAATGATAATGCCTGGTCATCACATTAACAGATAATTTAAAATTGTAAAATTAGAAAAGATAGCAAATAACTTAGATAAAAATGATAGGATTCAAAGAGAGTTTATTGGGCTACACTATATATATATGTATAATATTTAAAATCATATCCCCAAAATGGCATAAAGAAAAGTCAGATGCTATTGCAGTTTGTGTGAAGAATACTCCGGGATATTGTGGCACTATCTGTTTGACACAAATTACTTATATGTCATTCATACCAAATATGCAACCTGGGTTGAGTTAGCATAATACCTTCAGGTCTGCAGAAGTCACAGTCCATTTCATCTCATTTGCTGTTTGTACCACATGTAGTATCCACATTCTTCGAACCATTTTTAAAAAGGTTCACTGATAAACTAGGGCACTAGAGAAAAGTCAAGTCTAGAAATGAAGTTATTAAAAGATGCTTGAGGGGACAGTAAATGATTAGCACAGGAATTACAAACAATGGTACATAAGCCATTCCTCCCATCTCCTGTCTGCACAGCAGACACGATCCTTCAATCACAAGATTCTTTGCCCCTGTATCTGGATGCACTTTTGACATTTTTCACGAAATTGGCATATGAGATAAACTTATTTACCACTCCTGATTTACCTAGAAAGGAAGTAGCTTAAAGCAGAGGGTTGCAAACTCACATGCCTTCAGGCACCAGGCATGAACTTAATGAAGAAACTCATTGGGTATAAACTAAGGTGTGGTGGAAACTGGAGTAGAAAATGCTTGGTGTGAAGGCATTCATGCTCAATGCCTAAAAAAGGAGTTCAGTCTAAATAACACCTGTCTGCAAGCCCATTCCAGTCCTTAGATGGTTTGTAACCTCTGACCTAGGCAACCGAAAGAAAAAATTCTTCAAATATTTGAAAGGCTGAACACAGCAGTTCTCAATCTTTTTGGCACCAGGGACCAATTTTGTGGAAGACAATTTTTCCATGAACTGAGGGTTGGGGTGGTGGGAGGGGATGGTTTCAGGATGATTCAGGTGCATTACATTTATTGTGCACTTTATTTCTATTATTATTACATTGTAAGGTATAATGAAATAATTCTACAACTCACAGTAATCTAGAATCAGTGGGAGCCCTGAGCTTGTTTTCCTGCAACTAGATGGTTCCATCTGGAGGTGATGGGAGACAGTGAAAGATCACCAGGGATTAGATTCTCATAAAGAGTATCCAACCTAGATCTCTTATATGTGCAGTTCACAATAGGGTTTGCACTCCTATGAGAATGATTGGGAGATATGGAAGACAGACTAGAGTATACATGTTTTATAATCATTGAAATTGTCCAATGATTTTTTTTTTCTGTTATGGAGAGTACTCATGGCAAATCTACATAGTCAACTCTCAGAGTTGGAGAGTGGGGTTTTTTAAGCTGGATCCATACAACCTGCGAAATTATATATAAAATGATGTGAATGCATGCATTTTCCTAGGGAGAAGTTCTATGGCTTTTTCTAGATTATTGAAAAGGTCACTTTCAAAAGTGTTTAAGTAGTTGGGGCAGATGCAATGCCATGTGTTTCCTACATTCCGTTTCCATTTCCTCCTGGGCACAGAAGACTGTATTTCTCAGTCTCCTTTTCATTTAGGTGGGGCCATTTGACTTAGCTCTGGACAATAGATAGTGGGCAAAGTTCATGCCCAGTTCTTTAAAACTTCCCACTCTCTTCTCCATGTTCACTGTTTTCACTTATTTTAGAACAATAAATATTTATTTCCTGAGATATGGGTTTTTTGTTACAGAAGTTAGCCTATCCTGACCAATTTAAAATAATATCTGCCGAGTAAATGTAAATAGATAATCCATAAAGTTTGAAACATTATACTCATGACTACTGCACAAATCAAAATATCTCAAGTGTTTTGAAGGAGCTATTTCCTTAAAATATGTAATTCAGAATTGACATTGATAAATTTTGGGCTTTCCAGGTCTTCATGATTAATGGCATTAAAACTACAAATAATGACATACTATTACAATTTTTTTTCAAGTAATTTCTAAAGAGATATTCAAGATCTAAATGTATATCCATATTCAAGTTCTATCCATTAAGGACATATTTATTTGAGTTTTCTGTAAAGGACACTTATATTGACAAGCTAATTTTTCTCCATATTTATATTTTGAATGAATCTGTAAATAGTTTGCTCTATTGGTGGCTTACTCTAAAAGCTTCAGTTCTCAAAATAAATTTCAGAGTCACTCTTTTAACCCTGAATGTACTTAAGAATAACATGAAGAAAATGTTAAATATAGGTATTTAAGCCTTATCCTAAGAATTTCAGATTTAGCTGGCGTTAACATTTTTGGAAAGCCTCCTAAGTGATTCTAACGTATAGCCCAGTGGAGAATAGTGGTCCATAGTATCACAGCTAATAACTTTGGCTTGGTTTCATCAGTTTTCAACGTCTGGTTCAAACTTACCTAGCTGCATCACCCACCATATTCCACCAATCTTAACCCACATATCTTATGCTCAATTATTATTGTCTTTATGATCCCCTTATCTTTCTTATCAAATATCTTCAGTAGTCTCTCATGCTCTCCTTTTAGATTCTACAATAGGAACAAACTGGAAATACAGCAGATAGATTACACCATGGTCATTCACAGTCCTATTCACCTTTGTTTTCCTCAAGTAGACAGACAAGAAAACCAAAGTACTCATATTCTTGGTTTTGGAAGAGTTTTGAGTTGGTCAAGGGATACCATTTTTTGCTAATGACGTCAGCGTTCTTAGGCAGAATTCTCTTTATTGAAATAAAGCAAAATCTCTTCAAGGAAAAAAAGAATAACCTATGCCTCTTTGTGTTCTCTCTTCCTTCCTGCTGGTACTACAGATGTGAGGTTTAGTAGCAGAGCAACCATCTTGTGATCATGAGGCAAACAAAATGAAGGTTAAGGCCTACAGGTTGAGGATGGAAAGATAGAAGAGCCTGTATCCCTGTTGATACCACTGAACCGCCATGGCACTCTTGGACCACCATACCAAAATATGTTTATAGCCACTGTGGTAGGCTTTTCTGTGATTTCTAGCAAAATATATTCCTATATAAAATTACTATGATTATATTTTGAGCTCTTTGATTAATCAGATTAAAAATTCAATTCAATCATCTTCAAATATAGCAGCTATCAAGGGTAATTTTGATATCAGAATTGAAAAGAAACAATATGCTACAACACAATGATTAACTTTATAATGAGCAGAAGTTAGAAAGACTTATTAGCTAAGTAGGGGAAATGCTGGGATCACAATTTGGAGATGCCTAGAAAAGTGTTTTTCCTTTGTTTTTGTAAAAAGGCTTTAAAATATGCTATTTCTTTAGTGTCTGTGGTTTTTAAATTTTTGTCACAGCTCTATCAGCCCTTTCATTTGTTCATTCATTTATTAAATCAGTGTGACACCTTAGATTTACAAAATGGCTGGTGGCAGAATCTAAATAATTCACTCGGGATTAACAAGTCTTTTAAATGAACATGATTTTGCTTATTCATGGGCTGCATAAATTCATGACAAAGTACAGGTCCTTCTTGCAAAGGATGCACATTGCATTAGTAATCCAGGAATATTTCTTTGATGAATTCAGTTAAAATTGACTCAGTTGTTAGAGCCTATGGGATAATGAGAAAACTGATCCCGCCAAAATCCAGATATTTTGTGTGACATATTGTACATTTGAAATATATCCTTTGTTATGCATATCCCCATTGAAGTCAAATGGCTGGGTTCAATAATCAAATGGATCTGGAAACCCAAGTATGCTTTTTTTGGGTAATGAAAATGGGTCTATAAAACATTTACGACAAAGTTCAAAATCTAAGGTTAATACAAAAGGGTTTGAAAGCAATCACCAGGTAAGTACAAATTTAGCGTAGGAAATGAAAGGCAAAGATGGGGAAAGAAAATGAAGAGAAGCACTGAGCGGAAAGGGATTTGAAAGGAACATTAATACTTTGCATAATGAAAAAGAATATATGTAGATGATAGTGAATATGGTAATGGTGGAGAATAACTGATGGAGTTACTTCAATCCACACTAGAGAAAATTGATAATAAATAAAAGTCAGTTGGCAGATCTGTGGGTGTTCTGCACTTTTAAAAGACCCATAAATCAAGGGCTTGTAAGTTTCAGGATGAGAAAATCATGTGGGGCCTGCATCTAATTTCTCAGACTTAAGGAAAATGTATGTCATGTCTATGGCAAAACAAAAACAAATCCAGGAGAGCTATTTCACAAACACCAGTGAATATACAGATCATCAAAAATTGCCTTCTAAAAATATATTTAAAGAAATTTAAAAGCGATAAGACCCTCATTATTTCCATTTCTTTGCAGATTGCCAATGTGCCTCTATTATTGTATGCTCTTTTCCTTTCAGTACATGCTAATGAGAAAACAATATGCATATGTATGACCTGGGTAGAGCTACATATGTGAGACAATTCTCTATGCATTGATTTGCCAGCTTCATTTCTGTCGGTGTCACATATTTGAAGATCTAGAAGAAAGTGCTGGAGGAGGAAATTTCACCCAATCACAGTCACCCAGTGTGTACTCAAGAAGTCAGGTCATGTTTCATAACTACTACCACAAAATGATGGAACTGTCTGGGACTCTGAAAACCTGATCATTCTTCTTTTACTAATCACTCCATTCTCAAAAATCAACATTGTTTTTGGTTAGGTCCTTGTATGACAGCTGGATCGTGCATTCTCTTATCATTAGCTTTAAGACTTATCCCTGTTCTTTGCACACATGATAAACAACATTTTTAATAACAATTTCCAGTGAACGAATGTGACCAACTCTATGAAGGAGAGAAGAAAGAACTACCCCAAACACTGAAGAGTTTTGGCAAGCATTAATAAATTTGGCCATAGTTCTATGGAATATAACATCAAACATAATTTAATTTCATTTTTTAAGAGATAACCAGTGTTAATGAAATTGGATTTCAATTAACGCCCAAATCCTTGCATGCTTCATTTTTCTAAGTGGTTAAGGTTTTTTTTGTACAACCTGGGTTCAAATACCAGACATCGGAGCTTGGGCAAATGAATTAACCAAGAATTTTCTCTTTTGTCCAAAAGAGATAATAATAAAACCTAGTTCAAAGAGTTGCTATAAGATTTGTATGAGATCATGAATGTACATCACCCTTTCCCAGTACACTAGCTCACTTGCTTTTAGGTCGTGAAACACAGATTAGGTGATTGGTGAGGAAAGATAGCCTGTGCCTGTTAATGATAGGACCGAGTATATTGGGTTAGTTTTTTATAATATTGAACTTGTAAAAGATTTGAGTCAAGTATAGGTGACATTATCCCTTAGCACACGTTTCTGGCAGTGACTAGTTCATGGTTCGCAATAAGAGAATGTTTGAGATCCTGAAGGGAAAAGGAGATAGGACGAAAAGAACTTAGAGCAGGATGTGTGACTATGGGAGCTGAAAGGCACTGATTGGTTAGGTAATTTCAGTTTTAATGTTTTACTTGTGTTTTTCTACTTTTTCAGATTATTGAGAATAACAAAAACAGTGAAGACTTTGAGTAAGGGGCAAGACCTTACATAATTTACAAATAACTGCACCAGTAAAATGTCTTTTTCAATCATTTCATAGGTAAATTGGAGTGTCCCAGGTAGGGGTCACAATTAGTTTAAGGTCTTCACTGGCTTCAGCTTTAAGAAGCCATTGAGAAAATTTAGGTAAAGTTTTAGAAAAATCAATCTAGAGTCTAGAAAAAAAAACTAGAGTCTTCTCTAGTTATTTTTGCCTACGTATGAAGAATCTTTTGTCCATAGTGTTTCTGGAACCACAGCTAAATTCTAAGATTTTTTTGAATCATACATAATGAGGATGTATTAATATCCATATCAGCCATAATTTCATTGTGTGCAGGAGAATTTCCTGAAACATCTAAAAATAATACTTCTGTAGTATGTTTAATCTGGCAGTTCCACTGGCAAAGTAGATCTTTACCTATTAAATTTGCAAAAGTTGTGTCAGGAAAGAAAGGAGGGTTTTTCCAATATTGGTCTCAAAGTAACAATTTTATGTTGGAACACTGGAAAAGCTTTAGAATCACTAGAAAATCCCACCATTTTAGTAGTTTTAGTGCTCTAAAGGATGAGATCTGCTTCTTTAGTGGGATTGATGGTGTACAGAGTGGCACTGATCAACAAGAAAAGTGTATTGTTGTTCATTTATATTTGTAAACAATTCCCCTCTGGAGTTTAGTGAAAGGACAGGAATTGGCAGCTTCCAATAGTTTTCTTGGAGCGGTATCTTTCAACAGATTTGTACAGTTGTCTTTTTGTTTCTCAACCAATAAGTGACATGGGTCTTCCAATAACACTTTTGTTTGCAATATCTGTAAGTGTCCTCATTTACAGGTTCTTGATTCTTAGAGAACAGAGTATCCTTGGCTCTTTGGGTGGTTAGTTGTTTTATCTGAGAATCAGATATTTGTTTTTATTTCTAGCTTATTTACTTTCTAGAACTTCTTGACAATACTCAGCTACATGTTGCAGATCTTCTAAACTGGAGATATCTCACTCCAATTATTTTTCTGACCAAGTCCCCATTTCAGATTTGAGTCCATTACAAAAGACAGGATAGGTTCTATTGACTTCCACTGTTGAGTCTACTCCCAGAATATTGCTTGAAAGTTACCTGAAGTCTATTTTTAAAGTCTCCCAGTTACTCAAACTTTATTTTTGTTTATAATTTTGAATCTTTGAACAATCTTCTTTTAAGGGAAAGGCTTTTGGATGTCATGTAGTGTATTTTATATTTTTCTTATGTATGGCCAGTTTTTGAATTGTGCACAGTTGGGGAATTTAAATATTATTCTGTTCTTTCCTCTCTCACTATTTTCAATTATTTTCTAAGCCTTGAATGCTTACAATTCAGTGAACTAGTTGGTTCAGATATAGTAGTCTAGGATAGTAAATATCTTACAAACTCTGGAATTCCATACTAATTTTTCTGGTCTGTCTTCCTTGAGGAGTAGTCATTACACCCCTTAATTCTGCTTGAACTGGAGTTTAAATTCATCCTGTATAGATCTGCCTTCTGGTTTAGCAATTTTAAGGGAATATTGTGCAATGTGATTGTTTTATAAGTTCAGATTCCTTCTGTCATCGTCTGTTTAATTGGTGTTTCTTTTCCAAAAGTCATCAGGGGAATCTGGTTGCAATCCTGCCACAATGAGTTAGTGTTTAGAATGTGTGAGGAATATGACTTTTTCCCTAAAGTATACTCTTATTTCCTTGAACACTCATAAGTTTTCTATCTCTTGATATATTTGAATGATCTTAAATTCTGTTGGTTTGGGAAGATCTATTAATGAACTGAACTAGCTTTTCTAATTTAAGAATTTTGTCCCCAACAATCATTCCTTATTCAGGCATTCCCTTTTCCTGTTTCTGGAGTAAAATAGTGTGAGGGATGGAAGGCAAATCAGTTTTCGTTTCTGTTTGTCTCAACTGATGGTCTCCTTTCTGAAAAGATTTCCAGGCTCATATTGAGGACTGGCAATGGGAATAGGGAAAACTTTCTTAAAAAAAAATCTATAAACTGTAAATTTTGTGAAAATCAATAAAATTAATCTAAAGTATATGTCAAGGTTCTAAATAATTGCTATAATATACTGTCGTAAAAGTGGTCAAATCTGCTGGTCACTCTTCCCTCTGGATCTCTTGATACTTTCTCCTGAGAGGTGGAAAGGAAAACGATTGACTTCAGCTCAGGCACCTCAAGGGGGCTTCAAATTTGCAAGCATTTGACTTGTGATTGCAGGACTCTACTTTTCTAGAATAGTTTTTAGAAACATGGACTTTTCCCATAGGTTCCTTCTAGGGATTTATGGCTCCTCAAATCTGCATTTGTGTGTACAGTTTCATTTTTCATTTGCTCTTTATTTCTCCTTCTATGATACAGTCACACTGAAACTGGAATTCCTCAGACACAGTTTCCTCTACCTAAGACTTCAAAATGTGTTCTCCTTTTTGGAAAATATTCCCTTCCCCTCGTCTCATCTTTTACCCCATTGGCCTGGTAAATGTAATTCAACTATCAGGCCTCATCTTAAACAGTTATTCCTTCTGTTTAATACTTTCCTTTGTTATTGAATCTGTAAGAGCCTCAATGGGTTTGTTCTTTGCTGTCTTTGCAGTGATAACCCAGCCCCTGGTATACAATGAATGCTAAAAAATGTGTTAAATAAATAACTAATACAATATGTAATAGGTTATTAGGTCAAAAAGGGAAATTGGAAGGTTACCTGTGGATAATGCCATATCAAATGTTTCATCACCTGCAAAATACCACTCAAATAGCTTTGAAAAGAAAAATGTTACCCAATATTGGCACTAAATTCACTAGGCTATTACAAAAAAGATTCTACTATTGGACATGTATATTCAAGGAATTAGTTGGTGTATAGATTAGAGAGTGTTTAGAGGAACTTTAGGCAGTTTCTCCACATTTAAAAGAGGAGGAGGACAATTTTAAGTTTTACTTGTAATAATTTATTCAGGAAAGTTTATTCATATAATATCACAGTCAGTGAAATGGAATAATTCAACAGATATTTAGAAATATTTGAGTGCTCATACATTATGTAAGGGCTGGTAAATGAATGAATGCAATGAATAATCCACAAACTGGTTATTATTTAATAACTTTTAACTCCACTGTCCTCTACCACCTAACAATTGTTTTGGTGTCGAGTACAAGTCACAGACCACAAACCAAGAAATGTAAGAACTGGTAACAATTTTAGTTTTTAGAACTTGAGTGTTTTAGAACTTAATGTCTATGACAAGATTCTATTTTTCTAAGTGGTAAAAAAAAATTAATTTCAATGAATTCAGGGCTTCCCTATTTCCTCCCTTTCTGGGGTTGTATCTAAATTCCAGTGGGTGTCTGTAATGTCACAACATATTAACTTAGAGCGTGAGTGGGCACAAGCTTGTTTGGGTCATTATTAGCTCTTAGCACTGGCATTTGCTGGTAAGTTGCCATTCCTATATGGACTTTGGCCATTAGTCCATGTGGCTACTGTGATTCCTCCTTGTTTCTAACTGCCAGACATTTTCCAATCCTTCTTCTCTCTGTCATCTGGGGGCACGTGGTAGACCATCCCCCATTCCTGCACTACTCTGAGTACTGGGGATCTCTGCTCCTATGCTCCCTGGCCCTTCCAGACTCTGTGGTGGTCACTGAAACTCTCTAAGGAGGTCTCAGTCCCATCTGCCTAGAGAAAAATTTTCTGCATTCACACTGTGCTGGGTGGAAAAAATAAACAATATCTGGCCATCTTTTGGGCTTCAGCTAGTGTATTATGATAGTAGTTGAGCTGTTTTATGAGACATGAAAATAATGTCACTTGAATATGGTAGATGTTCATCTCTCCTTCATGTGAAAATACTGGAAGGTGGTTCTGTGCTAATATGGTGTTCCAAGGCTGATACAATCCTTTAAATATGTCATTATCAAGGCTTCATTACCTTGTTGCTCTGCTATCCTCATGCTGTGGCTTTATCTCATAGACCAGTTTTCACTATTCTTTTTCGTTTAAGTCATGAGGGAGAGGGAAGATAGGCCATACTTAGTCACATGATCAAAGCCAGCTGCATAGAATGCCAGGAAATACAGTCCTTTGACTGAAAGGCTTTGTGGTGATTATAATGCGCAATCTCTATTACTAACGAAGAGAGAGAGAGAGAGAAGATAGATATGGTGTACGTATTGAGGGTAACCAAGGAGAATCTGCTACACCTGGGACAAGGTCCTTCCTTCCTGTTCTAGGTTTTCTTTTTTCTTTTCTTTTTTTTTTTTAAATTTTATTTTAAGTTCTGGAATACATGTGTAGGATGTGCAGGTTTGTTACATAGGCAAAAGTGTACCATGGTGGTTTGCTGCATCTATCAATCTGTCACCTACATATTGAGCCCCACATGCATTAGCTATTTATCCTGACGCTCTCTCTCCCCTCACCCCGAGGGGACCTGACAGGCCCTGGTGTGTGTTGTTCCCCTCCCGGTGTCCATGGGTTCTCATTGTTCAGCTCCCACTTATGAGTGGAGAACATGCTGTTCTAGGTTTTCCATTGTCCCCACCTTGGGGCTCAGCCAAGGGTTCAGGGGTCCTTCTTGAAGCCCACCCATATCCACATTCTTTTTCCCCACTAATTCTCCTGTTTTAGCAGCCCTTGGTTATGAATGTGGTGGGGTTTAGGGAGAAGGACCAAAGGTCAGAAAGTATTCTTTCATAAAGCACTCATCTTTTGTCATTACACGATTATGCTATCTTAAAAGCCAAAAGCCAAAAATTGATCATTTTGTGTTCTTCTGAGTCATCCTTTTTATTCTTTCCTGAGATCTTGAACATAAAACACTTAAGCTAGGGCCTAAATGGGGAAGAGCCATGAAATAGCAATAAATATTAGAAACAAAAACACATAGGTCAAGACATCAAAGCATTATCTGATTACGTATGAATAATCTGAACTCTAATTTCAAATAACTTAAGTTTGAAATTTTGGTTCTGTTGCTTTCAATTAACTTTAACAAATTCCTGAGTTTCAATATTTTCTTCCACAGCTGTCTATATAGAAAGAGGTCATAGGGACTATTAAAATGTGACTAATTATGCTTTCTGAGAGCAAAGCAAATAACTACTAGAAAAGAAATTTCCTGCAAGGAGTTTAACAGGGTATGGTATTTTCCCTCCATGACTGACAGTCTTTCCTTCTAAGTATAGGCAATGCTGAAATCTGGATTAAAATTTAAACTTTTGTAATAAAAATATAATTTGAAACACCTCAATTCGTATATATATTAATGTGCTCAAGAAAAATTGACTTTTTAGCAAATGTCTTAAAAGAGTAGCAGAATATGCATAACTAAAGAATGGCTTCATCATTTCACTGTGGGACTGGTAGGGTTAAGTTCCCAGTGCTTCTAGAGAATAATGAGAAATCATATGTTTGTTTTATTTTCCTCTTGCATTTGTTGTGAATGGAATTTCAAACGTGTCCAATAAATTCTTCAAGTATATAAAACTGTTTTAAATTGTTATTTTTCTAACATGACCTCAAATTAAACACCTGTCCATAAATGGCAGCTGGTTTTTTAATAAAAAAATGATTATAAGAACTAATCTCACAGACAACAGGCTTTTGACTCGAAGGTAATTTAACAAAGGTATTTCTTCATTTGCTGACTGTGTACTGAATTGTGCCTGAGACATTAGTCCTATCTTTTTATTTAAGAACTGCTGTCAAGGGACAACTTATAAAAATAGAATCTCATTAGTATTAATCTTAATAGTTCACTCACAAAGCTCATACATGTAATTCTGTCTGACTATTCTCCATGTCACAGAAATGGCTTCCTAGCTCTGATTTTCATAATGAAGCTTCAACCAGTCATCTCCCAATTAGATTATTCTGCATATAGAATGGAATTTAATGTATTCCGAATGAGAATGATACTACTGGAAGGGATATGAGTGTTCAAAGTCTGGCCCTTTTGTTTTACAGATGAGGAAACAGAATTTATGTGACTAGTTCAAGGTTACACAGCTATGCTATATGTATTTTAAATTATAATGAAAATAAGGCATGTGTTAATAAGTACATATTTCCAAAGCTTAGATTTAGAATAACTTCATAAATATGATGGAGTTGCATCTTTCTGGTTGTTAGTCTAAAGATATCAGGTAGGTGAAAAGCATATTTCCAAAGCTTAGATTTAGAACAATTTCATAAATATGATGGAGTTGCATCTCCCTGCGGCGTTAGTCTAAAGATATCAGGTAGGTGAAAATCACATATGGTCAAATTACTATTGTCTTTCACTTCATTTCTCAACATTGTAGTCATTAGAGTGCTTGGCACCACGGCTTAATGAATTTCTGTTCTCTATATTTTTGGTAATGTAGATGCAAAATTGGCTACCACATTGGAAACTGATATTGAATTTCTCAACGAGTCCAACAGAGTCAGTTTTCCTCCAACACTGAAACAGACCTTGCTTTCTTCAGTTGAGCAACAACTAAAGATTATGGACCCAGCTCGTGTGGAGGTGCCATATTGCATAAACAGTGCATACAGTGAGCCCTCGCATTCACACTCAGCATGATGTGATTACGACAGTATGTATTTCCATAGGGACTAAATCATGCTTAGGCAGAGCAGTTTTACATCTTTCTCATGCCCATTCACTTTAGGGCATGTGTTTGTTGGGTGGCATTGTCAGCATTGTTTAATTATTTACCTCTTTTGCATTATTTAAATTGGTTGTCTCTTTGCTTTATTTTTCTTTTATAGGAGAAGTGACGATATTTAATAAAATTTAATGTGATGGTGCAACTTCAATGTATATCTATATACTCATAGTAGTTTTAGTGATGTTCTATTCAGTTCAATAAACATTTATTAGAGGCTTATTTTATGTTTGCAAGTATACAACATTTATGTAAAATCTTAGGACCAATCAGGAAAGACTCATGGGAAAGTCCTGAATCAGCTACCAGTTCTCATCTTTCTTCCTCTGACTCATACATGACTCTTCTGTCCTTTAAATAAGAGAGTGATGCTTTATTTGAAGGATAGTGATAGTGACTTGTGGAGTGAGTAAAAGTACAGCTCCTTATGGTGAAGGTGTAGAAGAGGACCAAGGAGATGTACAGTCAGCCCTGCACATTTTATACTTGATTATATTCCATCATGTGCATATTTTTACTGTTGTACTACAGATACCCACCCTAATCATTTTTATTTAGTTATTTTTTATTTTATTTTAAATTCTGGGATACATGTGCAGAACACGCAGATTTATTACATAGGTATACATGTATCATGGTGGTTTGCTGCACCTATCAACCTGTCATCTAGGTTTTAAGCCCCACATGCATTAGGTGTTTGTCCTAATGCTCTCCCTCCCCTTGCCCTCCACCCACCAACAGGCCCCGCTATATGATGTTCCCCTCCCTGTGTCCATGTGTTCTCATTGTTCAACTCCCACTTATGAGTGAGAACATGTGGTGTTTGTTTTTCTCTTCCTGTGTTAGTTTGCTGAGAATAATGGCTTCCAGCTTTGTCCATGTCCCTGCAAAGGACATGAACTCATTCTTTTTATGGCTGCATAGTATTCCATGGTGTATATATGCCACATTTTCTTTATCCAGTCTATTATTGATGGGCATTTGGGTTGGTTCCAAGTCTTTGCTATTGTAAATAGTGCTGCAATAAACATATGTGTGCATGTGTCTTTATAGTAGAATGATTTATAATCCTTTGGGTATATATCCGGTAATGGGATTGCTGGATCAAATGGTATTTCTGGTTCTAGATCCTTGAGGAATTGCCACACTGTCTTCCACAATGGTCAAAGTAGTTTACAGTCCCACCAATAGTGTAAAAGTGTTCCTATTTCTCCACAGCCTAAATTTCATGCTCATGGATAGGAAGAATCAATATCATGAAAATGTCCATACTCCCCAAAGAAATTTATAGATTCAATGCTATTCCCATCAAGCTACCGTTGACTTTCTTTACAGAATTGGAAAAAAAACTACTTTACATTTCATAGGAACCAAAAGAGAGACTGTATGGCCAAGACAATCCTAAGCAAAAAGAACAAAGCTGGAGGCATCATGCTACCTGACTTCAAACTATACTACAAGGCTACAGTAACCAAAACAGCATGGTACTGGTACCAAAACAGATATATAGACCAATGGAACAGAACAGAGACCTCAGAAATAACACCACGCATCTACAACCATCTGATCTTTGACAAACCTGACAAAAACAAGCAAGGGGGAAAGGATTCCCTATTTAATAAATGGTGCTGGGAAAACTGGCTAGCCATATGAGGAAAACAGAAACTGGACCCCTTCCTTCCACCTTATACAAAAAGTAACCCTAATCACTTTTTGACAGGACATTCAGAGTGAGCCAGTATCAGGATGCAGAATCTGTAAGCAGACAGAGATACGTTACCACACTTTTAACAGATTCATTGGGAGTATGGAGTGTGGATATTGCTGCCTAGGGTTGAGTGGAGATTACATAAAATTACAGAGGAGCAGAGAGGTCTTCTGGGATTGGAGAATGATCAAGTAACTTTTGAGACCTTATTACTGTAGGATCAGATCAACAGGGATGGATCTGACCATGACCTACTAGTAGGAAAGTACACAGAGGCCCTTAAAATAATTCATAATCAAGGTAGAAGGAACTGGGACTAGTGGACTAATCTCTCTGAAAACTGTTTTATATGGAAGAGTAATGTTGGGGTTTTGTCAGAGAGATTGTTTCCCAACCCTGTCATCCTACAGGAAAGTCTGTGTGAGTGATTTTAAAAGTTTTAATTCGGAGTTATAACATTTAGCAGTGAGTATCCATCACCAGTAATTTCACCAATGTGTGACATCAAGAGGTAGAGAAGCAGTAGCAACAACATTCAATGCTTGAGGCTACAAGCATTGACATCAACTGTGACTCTTTCAGCATCCAGTGGTCATGTCTTAATTTCAGATCTACTTGGCAAGAGTACATGGCAGCTAGGACTAACCTACACTTATATTCTTTGGCATGACTCCTGGGAAAGAAAATCACTGGAGGAAAAAAGTGGAGTCCCGCTCTTCTGATCATGTACATTCTGGGCAATATAAATGTGGGACAAACTGCTAGAATCGGCCCTGCTGGTGATGTTTTTTATTGAGATGACATTTATAGTTCCTGTGCATCTCCTTAGACTGACAGTGATGTGAGGGTAGGGCTTGTGTCTATCTTATTCCCTAGCACCCATCCTGGTTCCTGGTAGATAGTACACAGACATTGAGTAAATTTTTAATGAATGAATAAATGACAGAATGGCTGTATACATGATTCCTCGATTAGTCTGTGAATTCTTAAATTCAGAAACAATGTCTAATACTGAGTATACTTCCTATTTAGAGTTTAATTTATTTTCTTTCTCCCTTTTGCTCTATAATGTTTTTAGGTCAGCAAGGATTTCTCTTCTACTTTTTATCCTTTTTTGCCCCCCTGAACTCTCCTCCAAATACTTCTGGCCTTATCTCTTGCCTTCTCATCCTCTAGATGGCTCTCAGAAAACACTTAACCTTCTAGTTACATTACCAGTTTAATGAGTTAGGCTGCTTCTCACTCAGTCCTCACAACTCAAGCAGTGGATTCATATACTATCTTTTGTTTGGAAAGAGAAGACAGCTATACAAACGAATGTTCAAATGTAATGTTTTTCTATTGTTAAACTATTCTATTACAACTCCAGCTTCACAGTACTTTAGCAACAGCACAAGGTCTGAACAAAGGTGATAATTTTATAGCAAAAGGAATAGTTTATCTCTCTAGAGAATAAAACTGTCATTGATCTTCATGATAAATTGAATCTCAGGGTCTGAAAATATAGACCTTGTTTTTCTTTTTTTTTTTTTCATGATAAAGATGACCTTGCCACTATTATAAATCAAAAGTAACTAAGGTTTTTTGCTTTCATAAAGTTACAAAGAACAGAAAAGTATCCCCGTGACCCTTGTCCACCACCACATACCACATCTGGGGAGACTTCACAGGTACATTCTTTAATTTCTATGTGTTGACATTTTCTTTTTAGCCTCCTGGTTAAGAAGAGGGAACCTACTAAATATATTTCTACACATTGAGGGGACAATTCTTTTAGTAAAATTTCATGACTGTAAAAACAAAAACAAAAAGTAATAATAACAGCTCAATCAAAAGTCAATTTTTAGTTTAATGTAAGGAAGATCCCAAAAGAGAAGGTAAAAATACGAGATTTGATTTCCATTTGCTAATTTACACAATCCAGGTGAACAGCATATTAAAAATTACTTATTTTTTGAGATAGGGTCTCACTCTTTCACCCATGCTGGAGTGCAGTGGCACAGTCATGACTCACTGAGACTTGACCTCCTAGACACAAATGATCATCCCACCTCAGCCTCCCAAGTACCTGGGACCACAGGCATGCACCACCATGCCTGGCTAATTTTTTATTTTTTAATTTTTGTAGAGACAAGGGTCTATTTTTCCCAGGCTGGTCTCAAATTCCTGGGCTCAAGCAATCCTCCCACTTTGGCCTCCCAAAGGGCTGGGATTACAGGCATGAACCACTGCATCCAACAAAAATTATTTTTTTAACTATTAAACCATATCCATTTTAAGGTAAGAAATTAGAGGTGGAATGAGAATAAATTTTTATTCAATTTTACTCAAGAGGTATTTACTGGGCACTGTGCTTTCAAGAACCTTACATGGCAAATCCACCTGTAATTAAAACTACATGTGTTGCAAGAAAAAAGTGCTATTAGTATATGGAAGAGGGGGAACTTAATTTTAACTTAAACATTACAGAAAATAAATTGTGCACATGTACCCTAAAACTTAAAGTATAATAATAATAAAAAAAATAAATTATCCAGACGTGATGGTGGGCGCCTGTAGTCCCAGCAACTTGGGAGACTGAGGCAGGAGAATGGCTGGCATGTACCCGGGAGGCGGAGCTTATGGTGAGCCGAGATTGCGCCACTGCACTCCAGCCTGGGCAACAGAGAGAGACTCCATCTCAAAAAAAAAAAAAAAAAAAAAATTACAGAAAATATAATACAGGTGTTGGCATCCAAGAACTGAGGGCAATTTGAACAGCCATAAAAGGGGGAATGCCAATAGAGGTGAAGGAATAGCATAAATAAATCATAGACATTGTAAAGTCCAAGGGATGTTCAAAGACAGTGAAATGTTGAGCTCTATATTGTAGAAGGCACAGCTGGGAGGATGGCATCAAGTCATAGCATGGAGAGTACTGGATAACAGATTATGTGGGCTGCCATCTATTCTGCAGACAATAAGGCATGGGAGCTACAGGTGTGGGAGTCTGAAATCTGGCAAAATTGAGTTTGAGACCCAGAGCCAACATTTAATAGCTATGTGGTCTTAGGCAAACTACCGGGTTTCTCAGAGATTCATTGGTAATGTGGGTATGATAGCAATTCTTACCTTACTTGAATGCTGATGGGGTAAATGACCTAATGCACACAAGACATTTAGCCCTGTGCAGTACTAAATTAGTATGAGGAAAGCATTAGCTATTACTAATACAGGCAATGTGGAACCATAAAAAAATTGTAAATTGGAAGATGATGTCATATGTGTTGGATAAGGACAGAGTTGAAGGCGTTGGGAAGTATGGATTGGGTGTATGGAAGGTCAGAGAGATCATTTTTGAGATTACTACAAGAGATTATGAAAATCTAGAGTAATGGGACACAAGATTAGTTGCTGGAGACAATGTATGGAAGAGGATTATGAATTTGACTAGATTTGAGATGAACTGGAAAGTTTTTAGCTCTTGATAGTTAGGGAATGCAAAACGATATCAACCAAGAAAATAGTGATCCTATTACCGAATATTGCAATTAAAATGGTACATAGTTACTACTATGGTTTTTGTGTTTGTGTGCCCTCAAAAATTCATGTTCAAATTTAATTCCCTGTGTAACAGTACATAAAGAGGAAGGGTCTTTAGGAGGTAATCAATCAGGCCATGCAGGCTCCACTGTCATAGGTGAAATTAATGCCTTATAAAAGAGTAGGCGATAACTAGCTAGGCCCCCTTTACCCCTTTTTACCCTTCTGCCTTCTGCCATGTGAGGACACAGCATTTGTTCCCTCCCTTTTTAAAAGATAAATTTCCTAAGTATTAGGTTGGTGCAAAAGTAGCTGTGGTTTTTGCCATTAAGAGTAATTAAAAATAATGGCCAAAACCGCAATTACTTTTGCACCAACCTGTAAAAGGAAGAAATGAAAGCTAAGAGGTTCAATAAGATTAAAGATTGTGATAATTTATAATTTATAAACTCTTTAGTGTTTCCTTTTCTCAAAATAACAACTGAAGGCTAATTACAGAAGGGGTCGTGGGGATAAAAACTCAAAGAGAAAAAATAATTTAAAAAATTTTAAGTTACATTTCAACAGAAATTAATCAGACACTTATACAGCAGGAAAAGCTTTTTTATTCAAGTACAGCTTTTTTTTCTGTCAATTAGATGGTTTTTCCACTCAAAATGATCCATCTTTGTAATTGATATAAACTCTCACTTGAAAATGAAAGGCACTGGAATGCAGAGCAGATTTTCAGGCCCAAACGGAACTGTATTTGAGACTCAGATCCTCCATTTATAAGCTGTCATATCTTGTTATGTGAAATGAGTATAAAGTATTATTTGTCAAATAGAGTACTTGTGTGCCAAATAGAATAATGCATATTGATATGGTTTCCTTCTGTGTCCCCACCCAAATCTTATCTTAAATTGTCATAATCCCCATGTGTTGGGGGAGGGACCCAGTAGGAGGTAATTGAATCATGGGGACAGGTCTTTCCCATGCTGTTTTTGTGATAGTGAATAAGTTTCACGAGTCTGATGGCTTTATAAAAGGAAGTTCCCCTACATACGTTCTCTCTTGCCTGCCACCATGAGCCCTTTGCACTTCCTTTGTCTTCCACCAGGATTGTGAGGCCTCCCCAGCCATGTGGAACCGTGAGTCCATTAAATCTCTTTCCTTTATAAATTACCCAGTCTCTGGTAAGTCTTTATTAGCAGTGTGAGCACATGCTACTACATATATGAAGGGCTTAGTGCAGTTTCTGGCATGTGTTTATACTCAATGTATAATAGGAGATGGTGGTGGGGGTGATGGTGTTGCTGGTCATGGTGGTGTTGGTGATGGTGGTGGTGCTAGTAATGCTACTAGTAGAGATGGTGATGGTGATGGTGGTGGTGGAAAACATTGGTCATGTATTTTACAACAGGTCTTCACAAACTAATGTATGTGAAAGCCACCTGGATATCTTGTTAAAATACACATTGCACTTCAGTAGGTCTGGAGTGGGGTCCCACATTTTTTATCTCTAACAAACTCCCAGGTGATGCTGATGCTGCTGGTTTGAAGAACACACTTGGTTTGAAGACCACAGACTGTATGATTGACGGTCTCGAGTTTTGCGAATAAAAAAAACTAAAAAATAATACTAAAAAATATTCGGATCATTTCTCAAATGAAGAGAATAAAGAGAGTATAGCAACTTTTGCAGTAATTGTATTCTTTGGAAATAATTTTTGTTTTCCAATCCTGTGCTTTGACCATTGGACTATTAAACTTGATTCAGTCAGGTTTGTTGAGCAAGTACTTCCTGACCTCCACATTAGTCAACAGCTATGCAATGTAGGTCTTTCCTCTGAGAAATTTACAATTTATATAGAATGACAAAGCACATGTAAGTAAGGCGTATATGTGGCAATACAAGGGTGAATAAAATAAAGTGCAAAAGTGTACAGAATGAGAAATCGGTGCTTCTATAGGACAGAAAGGGGAGGGAAGCTGCTGTCTTTCCGTTGACTATGGTGATTATTGCATAGGCATTTGTTTTCTTCTCACATATAGGCCACTATACATATAATGACCCATCCCAAGAAGCCAAAACAAACAGCTCTTCCTAATAATCGTGGGATTAGGAGAGCTCTGAGACATGCAATCTGAAATTCTATAGGTGAAGTCACCAAGATCTCTGGTGAAGATGAGAAGATGCAGAGAGGGGGAAATATTGCTGTAGGTGGTAGTTTAGGCACCCCACACTCAGCATTTCTCACTAGGGCAAGGAAGAGCTACAAGGGTTCATCAAAGTATGAACTGTGTTCTATGGTATTTCAAAGCCCCAGATTGCAAGCCCATCCAAGCACAAAATGATGAGCTGTTCTTAATAGTTTGGGGATGAAAACAAGGTGGAAAAAGTTAGATAATGCCATATAAACACTTACTCCTCAAATGCTTAGGGCTTCAAGAAAATTAATGAAAACGTGCTAAAGACACACCTAACCAGACCAAAACAAACAAACAAACAATAAGATATGGTGACAATATTCATATCACATACAACATGTATTTTATTTGCTTCTCTTCTCAAGACTGTTCTTGGGGCAAAGTCAGTGAAATAGCAGCACTTATATATATACACATGTGTGTTTTTATGTGCACACAAACATTTACAAGGGCCCAAAGGCAAAAATACTTTATCATTGTACAAAAATTAATTAAAGGAAGGGAAAATGTAATCAATTAGAGGCAAAGTGCTGTGTAATATAAAATATTTTCTAATCATTGCATCTAATTAAAAAAAGAGAAGATCATGACTTTTAAAGGTCTTTAATTATTGTGGAAGAAGAAAATTAATTAGCAGAAATTCCCAGCTGAACATTTAGAGATGTCTGTACAAAAGGGATGTCCAAATAAGAAGGTTTGGTAGCCAAAATGATATGTAGAATTTCTGAGAATGGAGAACTGTAGAGAACTCTGAATAATACAAGCCTGTTTTCTCATCATAAAATGTTTTTTGTGCATACTAGGACTTAAAAGAAGACATATTATATTCTGTGATTTGGCAGGGTAGACTATGGGGTCTTCTAGTAAATCGAGTAGACTTGTATTTTTTTTTTACCTTGGGTATGAAAACTAGACTAGTTTTCAAAGAATTAGCTTTGGAAATCAATCTACATTCAAAGATTGGAAGGTGCTTCAAGATCTTCCAGTGGCCTCAGGGTTTTTTTAAAGTATGAACAGGAATTATTTCTTCCAATGATGGAATACAATCTGTTGGTCTTTGTTGTTCTGGTTAATAACATGATGGATATCAATGTTGCCTCTATTAATTTAACTTTCTCAATTTCATCTTCTTTGTTATCGGGTGATATTCTTTTTTAATATTATTTTATTTTCTATTTATATAAGCAACACACGCTCATTGAAGATACTGTAGAAGACAGATTAAATGTTCCAAAGGAACAAAGGAAAATCAGGTCATTTTCTATTAGTACAACTATGGCAAAAAGCACAGTGTGAATATTATGAGATTTTAGAGCATCACAGTTTTTCTCTGTGCATAATGTGGGTGTTAATCAACTTTGATAACACTTTTTAACATTTCTGTTAGATATTTTATAGACATAATTTTTCTATTATTTTAAAGAATCAAAATGGAAAAAATATTTATGTAGTAGCTTGTTGAGCAAACCATAATCTATAGAAATCAAGCAGAAAATAAGCTTATTCATTCTTACAATGGCATCTGCTCACTAATTCTGATGAACATGTGCTTTTCCACCTCTTAGTTGAAATCTCAGGTTAGTCTCACTAATTTTCTGCATCTCATATAAATATCCCAGACTCTCACCCAGCTTACAACTTCCCTCCTTCAATTCAGACCTGCTTTGGGCTTATAAATCTGATGTGAGGTTGGAGTAGGGAGTTGGGGGAAGTCTCACTGGCTATTTTGTAATTTCTTCACCTTATGTTTTATATCCACTGTCTGACTTTCTGGGCTGCCTCTAGTTTCTCCAGGGCAGGAGCAGAAGAGGAGAGAGAGAAGTCAGTATCAAAAAATACCTTATCAGGCTGGTATAACTACCATTTGCTTTGGTGACCTCTTGGTATTCAAATGTCCAAAACTAATTCTGTATTTTCTGGGTAATTTTGTGAGTTCTTCAGAAACCTTGCAAATGTTCCTAATAAAAGCATAGCCCACTGTAGATATGATCAGCCCCTCAGAATCCAGTTTCTGCCAGACCGTCCTTCTTTTGGGCTCCAGGGAGTCCTCTTGGAAGGATGGTTCTTATGATAATTCTTTCTCCCTGGTCCACATTGGTAAGCACATTTGCTACTTCCATGCTTCGGGAAGGCAAGCTGTTCTTCGGTAAACTCAGATTCTCCTTACCTGCCAGGCAAGTCTCTCTGGTGTGTGCCAGGAACCAACCCTGCATCCTCAAATACTAGTTCAACATTTCAAGTTTCAGGGTGATTCTCCAAGAAGCAGACTCCGAGACCAAGATTTAAGTACAAGTTATTTGTGTGAGAGGTGATCCCAGGAAGAACTATTAGGGGATTGAGACAGGGAAGGGCAGGAAGCCAATAAGGGGCAAATTATCAAGCAGTTTATGCCACTGAAAGCAACTGGGACTCATTCTCATTGGGGAGTTTTGGGAGACAGTGTTGCACATGCTTGGAGTCATCCCCATTGGGGAAAGATGAGCTGGGACATTTATCCACCAATTCCTTTCTGCCTTTCACTGAGAGATCCCCTGCCTTTCACTGAGGGTGTTATATCCCCTTCACTTCTGCCCACCTTGTGTACAGGACAAGTCAGCTAGAGAAAGCCTGCAGTCAAAGAGTTACACATGCTTGTATTTGGGATCTGTTGGGTAGTGCGTACTCAGAAGGAGCATGTCCACAGATAGTATCTGTTGTCGTTTCCTGAGAGGAGGAAAAAGCTGCCTGTTTCTTCTATTTCCAGGCACTTTTTATTTTTAAATTTCCATGTTGTTAATGTATTCATTTATCTATTTGTCTATATATCTATCTATCTTGTGATAAAGTATATGTAATATAAAATGTACCATTCCAACCATTCTTAAGTGTGCAATTCAATGGCATTAAGTGCACTTACGATGTCGTGCAACCATATCACTATCTATTTTCAGAACTTTTTCATCATCCCAAACAAACTCTGTATTCCTCATTCTCCACTCCCCACAGCTCCTGGTAAGCTCTATTCTACTTTGTCTCTGAATTTGCTGGTTCTAGGTGCCTCAGATGAGTGGAGTCAAACAACGTATGTCCTCTTTTTTGTGTCTGCAAATACTTCTTTTTTATACCTTTTAGTTAGTGGCTGATAAGCTAAAAGTTTACAAAACTAGTTCTACGAACTTTTTATCGTATGCTGCTATGGTGGCCTGGCAGTTTTTGTGGTGTTCTCAGCTTCAAGACCAGAGCCAAAACAGAGAGGGAAGGCCATCTTGACAGCCTGCCCACATTGATATCAGCTCATAATAATCTAAACACTGTATATTTCATTGAGACAAATCAAACATACGGTTTTGCCCATTAGCAATACATCCTGCCATATCATACTTGGATAGACCCTGATGCATAAAGTAGTATGATTATAATGTTGCTGGAAGGCTCAGGAGGGCCTCTGGATGCTGGTGGAACTCCAGCCCCAGCCAGTTTTTCAGATTCTTGACACCATCTTGAGAAAGAATTCAGGGACAAGTCAGAAGAAGCTTTCATTGCAAAGCAAAAGTACACACTTAACAGAGAAGTGCAGGGGTAGTACTGAGGGGTCACTCACAATGAGTCTGGGTTTCTAATTTTATGGTGTTTCTTTAATTAGGGTGTGAGATCAATTACTAGGTATTCTGGAAAAGGAGGGGATTTCAGGGACCCTCCCCTCCAGTTGCCACCCCCTTTCTCCCTTGTTTGGGTTTGCCTGGAAGAGTCATGGCATGTCACCCTGATTGGGATTTTGAATGTTTTCTCTTCCTTATTTTGGGTTTTCTATTATCCTATGGTTTCTTTGCCTAGTTCTTGTTTTAGCTGGTTTTTGGGTTTTTCCATCCACCTGCAACTACCCAGTGCTATTCCTATCTGAATAAGAGCTTCAATGGGCAATAATTACTTTTCCCCCTTGAGGATTTTAGTTTTTCCAGAAATCTGGAGGGAGATAAAAATAACTTCTTTAAAATTCATATTTACTCTCTAGGATTAAATGGTCCTTCAAAAAAAAAAAGCAATATTTTTAATGAAGGATAAAAAATTACAGAATTTACTGGTTTCTAAGGTCAAGAAGTGTTGATTTAATAGCAAGCTTGCTCCTTGAAATCCATTCCAGTCATTTATTTATTAAAAATCTTTGTTATTTTATTTATATTTAGTGTTATTTCAAAAAGGGTTTGAGATTGGTTTCAAATGGCCTGGCAGTGTTAATGCAGACAGTTATATTGAGAATTAAATTTAGCTTTATTGAATAAAAAAATATATTCTTGACATAAACTCATCATCTCCCCAGTATTCTGCTATATGGAAAGGAATATGGAGAGTAACAAGTTGAAGTTCATCAGATTTCACCATCTCTAGTCTTAAAAAATTTAAGAGAATGCCATTTGAATGAATAACTTGGTTGTGTCTATTTATAACTTAGAGCCAGAATTATATATGATGTGTATACATTTTTAAAAACAATAGAAAGTGGTGCTATGGGTGGGGGGTGTGGAAGAGGGGGATAAATAGCCTATTTGGAAATGATGGTATTGAGAGGTCTATATCTTAATAGAACTCCAAAATATTTTAAACTGGGGACACAGAGATGCAACTGAGAGCAGGGAGAGAAAGTACTATACTAACATTTTTTAAAAAAAGAGAAAAGAGGGGAAATATTCTAGCTTAACAATAAGCTTACCTTAATTTTTATTTACCCGCCCATTTATTAGGAAGGGAGGAAAAGAGAAAGGTGGAATGAGCTCTGGCGAGAAATGTTAAGGTTACTTGCATGCAAATAAGGATTAAGTTGGATCACATTGGTCACACTTTCAAGCTGGCCTGGCTCTTCCAATTTTTTCATTTCATTGATATTATTATTGCAAACTTGATTTTTAAGTACGTTTCACATATTTATACATGCCAATGCAAGTCAAGTAACAATTATTACGTGTGATTATGTAAATGGGGACAAAGGCAGATTTGAATTGAAAGTAGAAGAAATAAAAGCCATTACTCCTGCTGGTGAGGATTAGATGTGTTCATGCTTTTAAATTTTCCTAATGCTACATTTTATTTTCAAAAAATATTTCTTAACAGTTGAAGTGCATTAATGAGCAACAGACATCCACAACCAATTAATTTTGACATGACCAATTTGAGATTTGTAGGTTGGAACTAGACTGGAGTTTACTCTTGTATTTTCAGTTTTAGCGATCAAAGAGTAAAATAAGCATAACCAGTTGATTGAACAGTGTGAATAGGGCAGGACACCAGCATGAAATGGTCCACGGTTTCGTTTTGTTTTTTTTTCCAATAACTGCCTTCGACTGTGTCCTGTCACATCTTCCCTGTACTTTAAGGACATCTCTGGCAGAGTCCACAACTTTCCCTTGGCAATGACCTCTAGCCAAAGACCACCAGGAACACATCTGTGATTAACAAATGGAGATTATTAGTCATTGCAGAGAAGAAGAACACGTACCATGGGAATTGAGATATCTCAGTAGGAAGGTGACATTGAATAAAATGTTGAATAGAAACATAATATAGAAATAATATATAAACTTTGTAGTTACAACTAGCTAGTCTAATGCCAGAAGTTTTTTTTAAATCACAAAATATGCTTGGTCTGTTCAAAGGGTTTATTCAGGTTATTTTTAGCAATTGGCCTTTTAAAAATCTTTAAAGTATATCACACAGTGACTGAAAGAAGTAAGCCTAACTAAGCTGTGAACTCACTGAACAAGCAGAGATACCAAACTGACACTCATGAAGAAATTAGATGAGGGAGTCTGGGAATTTAAATGGCACACAGAACAATGAAAACCGCTAACGAAAATATGGCAAACAAAAATTCCTAGCCTGTTAGAAGGAGAAATTATCAATGCAATAAGCACCAAGAGAAAATTTTTCTGAGAGCTTAATTTAGTCAATGTAAAAATAGAGAAGCAATGTATTGTCATCAGTACTTTTGCTCATGTTATTTTGACATCATAAATCCTTTTGTTATTGGTCAATGGGGAATAATCAGCATGTTCAAGAAATTGTTGCCTTTTATCCACATAGATTTTTGTGAGAATCAAAAGGAGCATTGACATTTACAGTATCTTAGCTGACAAAAACAAATCAATGGAAACTTCAGAAAGGGTGTTCATATTTATAATTAGAATTAATCTGTCATTCATTCTGAGTCAGTAAACTGGTTGCAAATTGTGGGCAGGTAAAGAGAATGTTGTCAGAAGATGAGCATATAAATACATATGTAACATTGTCAGTTTAATAATAAAACTGATATGAAATGAAATTTCATGGTGCTTTGGTTACTGTCACAGAAATCATTTAAATTTAAATTATAGCAAACAAACACAAGAAAACCCATTTTAAATCCAACAAGTTAGCATGGGTAATTCATTGAGCAATATCAAAATATTTTCTATTTCAGACTTGGATATTTGGACTTAATCATACTCACTTGTGTGGAAAGGGGGACAGAAAAGTAAACTTGCTCATTTCCAATTAAACCCAGGAATGAGATTAAGACCACATTCTTGAATTTTTGGTTCAGGTCTTACCCAAGTAAGCAAACTCATAGCTTCAACTCTTTGTTTGGTTCTCATGAAACGAATGAGCAAATACAATGTCAAGCAGCAAATTTTACTTGCTTTATTTTTTCTACATGTAAAATTTCACTTGAAAATATGAGATGAGCAGTTTAGAAGTAAAGTGCATGGAATTTGGAGGCAAGAAGATTTGAGCTTGTGTAGGTGCAATATCAACACTTGACTCTGTCATCTGGAACAATCACATAAACTCTGTATCCCTTGGATTATTTACATGTTCGGTGGGAATTAAAATACTACTTAAAAACAGAATTATTATGGGAGATAATTGTGATCATACCTATAAGACATTAAAACATACTCCATGACATATAGTAAGCACCCAATGAATATAACTTGCTCCATTAAACCACCAAAATCTTTACTATTTTTCAGATATACATGGTTTATAAGGCAATAGAATGTGACATGTACACAATCCATTCAAGCTTTGTGCACTCTAGTATTCCCAGTGTTTAGTACACCATAAATCCTCTACAACAATTTGTATTTAATACCAGCAAAGTTACACTACTCGTCAGGTAAAAGCAAACCAAGATTACCAGATACCACTTCACATCTACTAGGATGCTAAGACGGCCTTAATCAAAAAGACAAATAATGTGGAGATATTGGAACCCTTATGTACTACTGATGGAAGTGTAAATGGTGCAGCTACTTTGGAAAACAGTGTCGGTTTCTCAAAAGGTTAAGCATAGTTTCCATATGACCTAGCAATTTCAATCCCAGGTATGTACCCAAAAGAAGAGAAAACATATGTTCACACAAAACTTGTACACAAATGTTTGTAGCAACATTATTCATAATAAACAAAGTGTAAACAAATTTTCATCAGCTGATGAATGATAAACAAAATGTGTTATATTCATACAATGGAATATTATTCATCAATAAAAATGAAATAATGTCATAATATATGCTACAATACAAATGAACATTGAAAACACTACACGTGAAATAAGCCAGTCACAAAGACTGAATGTTGCGTAATTCCTTTTATATTAAATGTCCAGAATGAGCCAAACTATAGAGAGACAAAGTAGATTAATGGTAGCCTAGGGCTTTGGGGTTGGGGAGAGGTGTTGAGGGGTAACTATTGGTAGGTATGTGGTTTCTTTTTGGAGTGATGAAAATGTTCTGAAATTGTGATGATAGTTATACAACTCTGTGAATACACTAAAACATTTAATTGTACACAAAAAATCATAACAAAGTTAGTAATATCAGAAATTCTGACACTACATGAATATATAGTTAATAGACCTGATTACAACTTCACTATAAGCTGCTGCCAACACTTGGAATTAGAGAATGCTTAATTCCTTCTCCAGGATTCCATCCTTTCTAAATGCAAATGGCCCTTCTGTGGGTAACATATTGTCACTAAATATTACCCCTTCATGTGAGTTAACTATAATTTTTTTGGAGGCTCACATACTGCAAGTAAGTTTTGTTGAGAGGAAGATGAAGCAAAATGAAACATCTTTTGATGCCCAAGCAACAGCTAAGGTAGTCCATGTACTGTTCCTGCAGAACGTTCTCCCTTAAGTCTCCTCTTAGGGCTGTAGGACCTCACTCATCAGGACAGCATGCACCTTGGTCACAGGATTTATAAATATTGAGGCAAAATTCTTCAACTTATTAGAGGACTAAACCTGTTTTAAAATAACCATTCCCTTTTGTATGAACCAAAAAACTTGGTCCAGCGAACAGCCACCCTTATTTCCTGTTTTATAGCAGGAGATATGACATAATCAAGACCACAAACAGGCTACCTGCAGGACAAATTGGGACCCCAAGGAAATGGTTTGCTTTGTCTGCATAGTGGTTTTTGAATATTCTTTTGTCAATATCTCAAGTGGGGCAAGTGCTCTGTAATTCACCAGGATCCCACTGCCTCCCTAAGTGACGTGCCCATTCTCAATCTACTTATTTACTTTCTTGGTCTCTATAAACATTTGAGTTTGTGACTGATAGTCTAAAAATTTAAATAAAAGAAGGTCACCCACTGAAGTTCAGGTTTCTCGTAGGCATTGTAAAACTCCAAAGAAGCTGGCACATGCCAAACTTTCCTTCTTGAGCCCCACCCAGCTATAATCTGAGAACCATCGGGTGGCTAAACCATGGTTCTCACACTTGATTGTGCATCAGCATCACCTGGAGGGCTTGTTAACACACAGATTTCTAGGTCCTACCTCCATGGTTTCTGATTCATTGGGTCCTGGGTGGGACCTGAGATTTGCATTTCTAATGAATTTCCAGCTGATGCTGATGCTGCTAATTTGGGGAGAACATTTTGAGAATCTAGACAAACCTAAAAGCAAGTATCAGTTTTATTTGTATTTAGCCTGCAGCCCAAAAGTAAATTAAAATAATTAAAATTAAGATAGCTACCTTGGGCCAAATGAGTGCTTGCCCATGAGACAGGCAGGTCAGGCTCATTTTGGCCAAAGCGACTAGAATAGTAGGAAGACTTTCTAAATTTACTGGTGGATCCGAAGATACAGGTGTTAGGGACAATCAGTTCTTAGGGAGAATGGAGCTAAGTGATACGGAGGCAGCCTGAGCCTGAAGCCTTCCGTCAAGAAAGGGCTGGGCGGTGTTGCTCCACCTGGGTGTACATTACATACAGTCATTAGGGGAATGTGTTCAAGCACCTCCGGGCTAGGAGAATCCTGGCTGGGTTGAGCTGGGTGGTTTCGTGCCTCTCCTCACACTGAGCACAACCGCACTCATTGGACTCACTCAAGGGGTAGAGAGTGTGAGAAACCAGAAGTTCTTTTTTTTTTGTTCTTTGTTTTTTTTTCCCTTGACACAGTACTCCTTTAATCCCACAATGCTCTGTGGTAATTTTAAATCAGATACATTGAAAGGATATTAACTTTTACAATAATATTGTACAATTAAAACTATATATGTAAATCCAAGAGACTGGAGGAGTCTACATATACTGAGTTTCTTATTTAACAATAACTGATGATTTTTATATAATTGAGAATAAATCTTTATCAGATGATGAGACTCATAGAGGATAATAGGTCAATTATTATGGTAATTTTAAAAATCTCTTCTTTTATTATTATTATTATTATACTTTAAGTTTTAGGGTACATGTGCACAATGTTCAAGTTAGTTACATATGTATACATGTGCCATGCTGGTGCGCTGCACACTAACTCATCATCTAGCATTAGGTATATCTCCCAATGCTATCCCTCTCCCCTCCCCCCACCCCACAACAGTCCCCAGAGTGCGATGTTCCCTTTCCTGTGTCCATGTGTTCTCACTGTTCAATTCCCACCTATGAGTGAGAATATGCGGTGTTTGGTTTTTTGTTCTTGCGATAGTTTACTGAGAATGATGATTTCCAATTTCATCCATGTCCCTACAAAGGACATGAACTCATCATTTTTTATGGCTGCGTACTATTCCATGGTGTATATGTGCCACATTTAAGCTGATAAGCAACTTCAGCAAAGTCTCAGGATACAAAATCAATGTACAAAAATCACAAGCATTCTTATACACCAACAACAGACAAACAGAGAGCCAAATCATGAGTGAACTCCTATTCACAATTGCTTCAAAGAGAATAAAATACCTAGGAATCCAACTTACAAGGGATGTGAAGGACCTCTTCAAGGAGAACTACAAAGCACTGCTCAACAAAATAAAAGAGGATACAAACAAATGGAAGAACAGTCCATGCTCATGGGTAGGAAGAATCAATATCGTGAAAACGGCTATACTGCCCAAGGTAATTTATAGATTCAATGCCATCCCCATCAAGCTACCAATGACTTTCTTCACAGAATTGGAAAAAACTACTTTAAAGTTCATATGGAACCAAAAAAGAGCCCACATCGCCAAGTCAATCCTAAGCCAAAAGAACAAAGCTGGAGGCATCACACTACCTGACTTCAAACTATACTACAAGGCTACAGTAACCAAAACAGCATGGTACTGGTACCAAAACAGAGATATAGATCAATGGAACAGAACAGAGCCCTCAGAAATAATGCTGCATATCTACAACCATCTGATCTTTGACAAACCTGAGAAAAACAAGCACTGGGGAAAGGATTCCCTGTTTAATGAATGGTGCTGGGAAAACTGGCTAGCCATATGTAGAAAGCTGAAACTGGATCCCTTCCTCACACCTTATACAAAAATCAATTCAAGATGGATTAAAGACTTAAAAGTTAGACCCAAAACCATAAAAACCCTAGAAGAAAACCTAGGCATTACCATTCAGGACATAGGCATGGGCAAGGACTTCATGTCTAAAACACCAAAAGCAATGGCAATAAAAGCCAAAATTGACAAATGAGATCTAATTAAACTAAAGAGCTTCTGCACAGCAAAAGAAACTACCATCAGAGTGAACAGGCAACCTACAAAATGGGAGAAAATTTTCGCAACCTACTCATCTGACAAAGGGCTAATATCCAGAATCTACAATGAACTCAAACAAATTTACAAGAAAAAAACAAACAACCCTATCAAAGAGTGGGCGAAGGACATGAACAGACACTTCTCAAAAGAAGACATTTATGCAGCCAAAAAACACATGAAAAAATGCTCACCATCACTGGCCATCAGAGAAATGCAAATCAAAACCACAATGAGATACCATCTCACACCAGTTAGAATGGCAGTCATTAAAAAGTCAGGAAACAACAGGTGCTAGAGAGGATGTGGAGAAATAGGAACACTTTTACACTGTTGGTGGGACTGTAAAGTAGTTCAACCATTGTGGAAGTCAGTGTGGCAATTCCTCAGGGATCTCAAACTAGAAATACCGTTTGACCCAGCCATCCCATTACTGGGTATATACCCAAAGGACTATAAATCATGCTGCTATAAAGACACATGCACACATATGTTTATTGCGGCATTATTCACAATAGCAAAGAGAAACCAGATGTTCTAATGGTGGAAAATAACATGACTTGGGAGACTTATCAAATCACTCCTCAAGCAATTTATCATTCCCTAAGGTCCTGAGAAAATGGATACTGAACATATAGAGAAAGCCCAATCTCTGGTGCTTCACAAAAGCTTTCCTGTGGGGCCAAGACCCACAGTATAGGGTAAACCATATTCCCATTCCCCACTGAGATCCGGTCATCTGGCCTTGCCAGCTTCCTGCACCTGCCCCTTCTACTGGGTTAAAGAAAGGGACATTCAAAAAGTGGTCTACCTGTGACATCCTCTTCACTCTATAGAACTATCCACTTCCTTTAATAGTGTTGTTTTTGTGCTTCAGTGTTAACTCATTTCCAACAATATGACGTGGCTACAAAACTTCCTCCAGGGGATTAATTATATACTGCAGCTCACCCACCATGGCAATTAAAGGAGAGAGGAGATTTTCTCTAGTCTTGTGAAATCAGCTTTCTTGTCTTTTCTTTCACTCCTGTTGAAATATGTGAAATGTACATGCTTTCCCAAACCCCAACCTGGGCTTGCCTAGGTGTGCTGAATGAACCAGTGCACCTGATCTTTCACTGGCACATGAATTAAGCTTTATGTTATGGACCAAAGTCTATTTTGGCTAAATTTATAAAAATATTTAATCATTTATTTCCAGCAGGTTATTTATATGCACATCTAGTCTGTTTTCATGACTATCATTCTTGTCCTTTATTCTTGACAAATGACTGATTAGAAAGGTTTCCATTTCTATACCTTTCATTTATCTTTAGTGTCTCTCATAAATGTTGAATTAAGCAGGTTTTATGGAACTTATCAAAAATTGTAGTTTTCATCGAAAGTGACTGTGACAGAGTAGATTTCTATACTTTCAACTTCAATAACTCAGAGTTTCTAGGCTTTAAACTGGAAGTTTCTCATACTACAGAAATTGTGTATGTGTCCTAGGAGTACAGCTGTTGGTATGTTGTTTCATGTATGCCTGTTAAATTTATTAGAATTTAGCAAACTCAAGGGGAGAGTCAGGAAATAAATAATTTTTATGAATTGGAAGTAATAAGAATAATATTTCCTACTATAGAAATAAAGATGCTTTATCTTTCAAAAGATATTTTGCAAAGGGTATTTTTGAAAATAAACACTTACTGGGCACTTACTATGTGTCAGTTACTTTACATGTTTCATGTCGTTTAAACCTTAAGATAAGCCTGAGGTAGGTATTATTATGACTTCCAGTTTATAGATAATAAATCAAAGCAAAGTTAAGGTTAAATAAAATGTTCAATATTAAATAAATGGAAGAAATGTTATTTTAAACTAAGATAGCCTAATTAAAATTATACATATATGCACATACATATGTGCATATGAATGAATATATAAATATATGACATACACATACATGCACACAAATATATTAATATAACATTGTATTATACTGTGGAAAACTAAAAACTAGAATTACTACCTGTCTACTATTTTACCACTACCACCACCACAACTTACTCTACCACCATTATTTCTACATTTATTACGTACTAAGCATTCCACATAGACTATCTCATTTAAATTTCTCCAAACCCTTTAAGTAGGTACTACTATTGTCCTCATTTTACGGGTGAGAAGGCCAAATATAAATAATTGACACACCACATAGCAGGTAAGTTAGAGCATGCCTGACTCCAGAAGCTAAACTCTTAATTACAGTACCATACCACCATGGGATGTAAAACAGGAGTGAGAATTTTATCCCATGTGCAATTAGGAGCCAGAGAAGATTTTAAAGCAGGGACCTTAATGTGATCCAAAGATGCTGCATGGGCTTTGGCAAGCACATTATGGAAATCATTAACTAAATTGTTGAAAATATTCTCTTCCCTGTTTTAATATTTCCTGTGGCTGACAGCTGGCATCCTCATTATGAGATGGTTAATACATTATTGAGCCTAGCAAAGTGTTGGTCCTCATTGGCTGGGAGCCATTTGAAGTTTTACCGTTATATGTATGGAAGGTAGTTAGCTATTTGTGTATCTGCTTTTCCTAATCAATAGTGAGCGATTTGATGACAAGGGCCTTTATTCAGGGCCCACCAACACCAGATGGAGTTGAATGTTCTGGAAATTAGTAAAGGAAAAAGAAACATACAGAATTCATTCTTAGGTGACAGGAGGCGAGAAGGAACATTTTATGGGCATCTGTTGGTAATCCAGTCATACGTGCAAGTCTTCTGAATAGCAGCATTACCTATTTGCCAGGCCAGCAGATTTTTCATTTATTTTAGAATCCTGACGAATACGAATCACCTCTCTCCCTTTTCAGCATCACTATAGAAATAATGCAATAGTCTGAAGGAAAGGGTGGAGGTTTTTCCTTAGAAAATGTAAGAGGATCTGATTTATGTCAGCCTACCTCTTACAGATGCATCAATGTCACTGCCTCACTAAATAACCAAATTAAATGGCTGGAAAAGGGCAATCAAGGTGGCTGTCACATTCCAGGGAGTGGAAGTCAGGGCAACATCTGTTTTGCCTGCTGTTTCAGAACTCACCGGAGCAGTCTATAAACTGGGAATTAAATTTCCACTTTTTTCTTCCTTGTTGGTGGAGACTGTGTGTGCGAATTGCAATTACTTCGTTGAGGTTGGTCTTCCATAAGTTCCTACGTGTGAAGAGGACGGTGGTGACTGGCACACAGTAAACCCTCAAAAAATGCTATTCCTGTCATTTGTTGTGAGTTACAGCATATCCACATTTATAGACTTGCAAAAATAAAATTACAAATCTCAAAAGTAAAGATTATACTAGTATTTCATATGTTAACTTGATTTTTTTTTACCTCTTTTCTCCTCTTAACTTCTCACCATTTTCTATTGCCTCTGTTTTCTTGAACAATGGATAACTGTGAAATACTTTGTTTCCTTACAAGAGGACCAATAAGTTATTCCATCAGTGTTCATTGAATATCTATTTTGTGTCAAGGTCTGTGGTTGCCACTAGTCATACAACAATTCAGGCAGACCCTTAAGGAGCTCACAGTCAAATAGTGGAGACAATCATAGAACGAGGCAGTAACAAGAGAATGTTCTAGTGCTAGAAAAGTGCTATTGCTTATTAGGTTTTTGTTAAGCAAAGGGAAAGAACATTCTGAATCCTTGGGAAAGATATCCCAAAGGAAGTTAAAAAAGATATGCCAGGCTTTAAATGACTGGTGTTTGAGTAGATGGAGATGGGGCGTCCCAGGCAGAGAGAGTTGTGTGAGCGAGCATGTGTAGTGTGATAATCTGTACTCAGATGGTTAAGGCAGAGCTTTCCTGACTACGTTCTGAAGATTCTTAATATTAGTCAGCACTCTGGGGGAGAAGAGGTTCTGCAGTGAAGTAACTTCTAGAAATGCTAGGTAAAGGGAAATTAGATAGGCTTCTACACTACAGGGCATTGCTCATATCCTCCCCAAGAGGAGGGCACATGGGATGCGAGGTTCACTAGCCTTATTTTGCAATACAGTGCTGGAGGTAGACCAGCTGGTTTGACTCTCAGCTCCTTTACTAAATAACTGTGTGAAATTGGGCAAATTATATAATCTCCCCAAGCCTCAGTTTCTTTATTCTTTTTTTTAAAAAGGAGAATATTAATCTTTACCTTATTGGGTTGTATAAAGCTACTTAATGCAGTTAAAGTGCCTGCTTAGTGCAGTTCATGGTACACTAAAGTTTTCGATACGTATTTGCTATTCTTTTACATTTCATGAAAACATTATGTTGAAAATCACATCATGCTAAAATAAAGTATATTTATGTATTTGGATGAGATGAAGCATTCTTGTCAAAGTAGATCAGCGGGATTTGATATTCTATGTCAAATTTCGCCCCATAAATCATCTTTTCTTCTTTGAAGAGAAATAAGAAATACTAGATACAAGTCAGATATGCTAGACCAATTTAAATTTCTGTGTATAAAGCATCAACCCTAAAAATTGACTTTTTAAAAGAGAATATGAAAAATATGTATACATTAGAAAAACAAAGAAAGTTGGCTTCTTTATAATCTTGACACAGTAAATAATGAAAGTTGAGAAAATGTTTCTGTTGGGTTCAGTTTTGGGTAGAGTTCTGTAGTATTACCTCTTTGGGTGAACAATGTAATGTTCAAAGAATTATGACAATAATTTTCTCTGCAATGAGACCCTTTACATCCTAGCATGCAGGTTGCTCTGTAAGTCATTAATCCTTGCAATACCTCAGTGTTATGTAGTGATGTTAATTTACTGCCCTGTGTGTATAGATCAGGGTGGGAAAGGAGAGTGTCTGAATCTGGAAGAGAATCGTAAGCCATCTCGTGCTAGGTCCAGACCCAAAGCACACAATCACTTTTCTAAAGACAGATTATAACAAGGCCTCTGTTCTTTGGGTACACTCTTAATTTTTCTCCTTTCTGTAGTTCTTTATGCTATTTCTCACTTTCAATAAAACCAATTTATAAAATGGAATCTGTAAAAGTCAAGACTGATTCTCATTAATAATTGGCAGGAGGCGCCTCTCTGAAAATTGCCAATTTAACACCATAGGAAGCAACAGGAAAGGGGAAAAAAAATCTTTCTACCAGAGCTATGGGGCATGAAATGAACACCAGTTGACAGATTCCTGCTTAGTTAAAAAATGATTTGATTAAATGATAGAAATTGATCATTGAGAGAATTTCTGTTTGAGAGGAATCTGGAATTTGGACTTTGATTCCCACTGCTCTTACTCCATCAATTGTTTGAATTGCTCTAAGAGGAAGCACAATGTGAATAGAAGAACTCCACTTAGACGTTCAAGAAAAGGGAATAAGCCAGCATGCTCGCTTCTATTTAACTGGCCTGTAAAATCACCAAGCTCCGTTTTTATAGCCTGTCCTTGACATAATTTTGTCAAGGATACAAAGGCCACCTTTTTCAGCCCCTTCTCTGCCTTCCTTCCTCATCCCTCTACCCCAACAGCTGCTGTGCCACAAAAACTCTTGTTAAAAATCTGTGTTTTAGAGATTTTTTTTTCTGATCCCAATTAATGGCCAATCTGGGCAGTTTGCCAAGGTGCCAGTGTCAAAGAATATCATTGGAAAAGATAAGATATCATTGTAAAAGTAAAGGCATGGAAAAATAATCTCTACTAGGATTTCTCTCAGGGGAAGTTTCAGATGTCAGGATTGCAGATGTAACTAACTATGGTCACAGTTAGGGCAGGGAAGAAGGGCTCAGCAGGTGGCAAATGGGGAGCATACCCTGCCTGGTTACAGGGTCTCCAGGTGATGTTGCTGCTGGGCTCTAGTCCGTTGTTGTTGTGCAGGAATTTGGGTGCAGGGTGAAGACATCGTTTGGTTTTTAAAAGAAGAAGGAAATGCAGATTCTTCTTATGTTAAAATCTCATGATTTTTTAAAGCAGGCATCTAACTCAAATTTTCTTTTTAACCAGTGATCAGGCAAAACATATTGCACCCAGGTCACAAGCTTCAAAATTCTGCTGAATGTGATTGGCAGGGCAAATTTGATCAGCTAGCCTTGTGTAATTGTGTGCATGTGCTTTGGGCGGTGCGATGGTAATAAGAACGGTCAAATACAGCCAAGGGGACAGTCGAGTCACCATAACTGGCAAACACTTATCTCAATAATTCACCTTCTAAGAAGGTTGGTCCATTTGTTAGGCTGAAAGGAGAATGCAAAGTTGGGGTCAGGGTTGAATTGCTTGGGATGGCAATACTTTAAGAGAAGTGATTTTATTTCCCAATTCTTCCCTCATGCAGTGTTTTAACCCCTACTTTAAATGAATGTCAGACAAATATTTGGAAGCTATTGATTTATTTAAATGCCAGAAATATTAGCCAATTTTCAGTGTCCATATATTTTGGTGACATCTTAGATTTACAGCCAGGGAAAGAAAAAGAAAATGTGTACAGCAGAAATAGTTTCAGATAGTTGATTACAGAGGCAGGCTTTTCCTGTTTAGGTGGCAGTTTCTGACTCTTCTTATTCTCCTATCTTTATTTCTCCATTTGATTTTAATTTATCACCTTTATTTTCACCACTGAGGAAATTAATTTGTATCAGTGAAGTCGTTGTGGAAATGTAAATGCCTTTGAGAATGTAAATAGCATCCTTCACACGTTAGTATAAACTGGGTCAATCAGCTTACCCCCTCTTAACACTTTTAGGTAAAGTCAATTACAGTGAGGGATTGGGTACCTGGAGATGGGTAGGTACCACATAACGTGCAGTACCTTTAGGAAAGCCAAGGGGTGGGTGGTCCAAGAGAAATCTGAGGGGGAAAGGAGTGCATTTTGATTCACAGTATATTCCTAGGATATAAAGGGCGATGCCATATGTAAGAAAATTCCTACTCGAAAATTTAATTAGGGCCATACCAAAGGTGCACAAGGTCTCTTTCATTCCTCTTTTTTCTACAGTGTTCTTAGTATTCGGTGTTACTACTGGTATTGCAATTTGACAAACAGCATAGGTTAAAATGGACTTTTAGGTAGTTTTATGAGCTTAACCATTGTTAACACTCTGGAAAAATAGAAATATTCTCAGGGCAAAATAATTCACTGAAACTTACTCTCACATGTTTTAGAAAATAACAATTACAATAAAGACATGTTTGTGTGCGTATATATACACATAGGTTTATTTATATGTGTATGTATATATGTGTTTGTGTGTGTATATATATAAAGAGAGAGAGGCAGAGAAGAGACAGAGAGAGAGAATAAATGATGTATCAAATTATTAAAGTTGATGAATCTCAGTGAAGGGTATAGAGTAGTTCTTTATACTATGCTTGCAAATATTCTACAAGCTTGAAAAATGTTCGAAGTAAACAAATTTTTAAAAAGCATGGATTATTAAAGAATACGTGGCACATATACACGATGGAATACTATGCAGCTATAAAAAAGAATGAGACCATGTCCTTTGCAGGGACACGTATGAAGCTGGAGGCCATTATCCTTAGCAAACTAATGCAGGAACAGAAAACCAAATACCGCATGTTCTCACTTATAAGTGGGAGCTAAATGATGGAAACATACGGACACATAGAGGGAAACAACACACACTGGGGCCTTTCATAGGATGGAGGGTGGGAGGAGGGAGAGGATCAGGAAAAATAACTAATGGGTACTAGGCTTAATACCTGGGTGATGAAATAATCTGTACAACACACCCACATGACACAAGTTTACCTATGTCACAAGCCTGCACGTGAACCCCTGAACTTAAAATAAAAATAAAAAATGAAGTATGGAGCATGTAAGTGTTGTACCATAGATCCATGCTATAAGAAAAATCAAGTATGAAAGGCCATGTTTACCAAGCTTAGGTTGATGAACAGGTGTGTTGTGCTAGGATGATTGTTATCAAATTTTACCAGGAAGACGGGGGAGGTCAAACACCTGTTTTCAGGCTAAGTTGAGATATAATAGTGAGTCTGGTAAATTTTATGTTTCCTGGAATGATACTGTCAAGGCCCCAACAGGAGCTGATCCTAATGTCTGGGTAAAATCTATATTTTTTTTTGGCTGAACACAATGTGTTGCCTTTTACTTCCCCTTTCAGTGTGTGTAAAATTTATAACAAGCAAATTAAGAAGAGAATCTACCTTCTGCATCCACCTTCACAAAAATCAACCTTGTTATGTTCTCTTTTCTTCTAAAAATTATTTTTTGTATCTTGTGCAGCCTCATCCTTTCTGTGCAAATTATGTTGTTTTGGAAGAATATTTATATATGCAGACCCTAGTTCAATTCAGGACAGTAGTAGAGAAAATTGACAGATGTGGTGACGTTAGAATAATTCAGTAATGAGATAAGAGTCTAGACATGTAATTTGACCTCGCTTCCCCTTTCCCACTAATAATGAAGCACAAAGGAAACACCTTTAAATGGTCTATTAAATCAAACTGTGTGAAGTTCTAGCTGTTCGCTCTTTTTTACCTGCCAATCAGAGGCTGTTCTGGGCATCATTGTAGCCTCTTAGGGTTCCCTGTAATACTATCTCTACAAGAGGCTGCATTCTCAAATACTAACAGGGTCCAGGTGGGTATCTACAAGAGCAAGGCTGGCCTGGTGTTATAAATGGGGTAGTCGTTACCATGCTTTAGTGACTATAACCAAATAAGATGTGAGAATTTGGGCCCGAGGTTTCCAAATCTAGAGAAATTGGAAATCAAATCTGTTTGGCTGAAAGATACTGATGTCTTAATGTTCAAAATTAATTTACAGAGTTCAAAACTCTATGCGTGGGCCAACATTATGCAGACATACAAATCTCATTTTTGACTTGGATCTGACTGTGGGCTCCTTGTGAACCATCTCTGCTGAGTGGTCTTCTTATGGGCTGAATTTTGTTTCCCCTAAATTCTTATTTTGAAGCCACAACCCCCAATGTGATTGTATCTGCAGGTAGAGCCTTTAAGGAGATGACTAAGGTTAAATGAGGTCCAGGGTGCAGCCCTAACCCTATAGGATTGGTGTCCTTATGAGAAGAGGAAGAGGCCGGGTGTGGTGGCTCATGCCTGTAATCCCAGAACTTTGGGAGGCCGAGGCAGGCGGATCATTTGAGGTCAGGAGATCGAGACTAGCCTGGACAACATGGTGAAACCCCTACTCTAGTAAAAATGCAAAAATTAGCTGGGCGTGGTGGTGGGCATGGTGGTGCATGACTGTAGTCCCAGCTAGTTGGAAGGCTGAGGCAGGAGAATCGGTTGAACCCAGGAGGCGGAGATTGAAGTGAGCCGAGGTTGCGCCACTGCACTCCAGCCTGAGCAATAGAGCGAGACTCAGTCTCAAAAAAAAATAAAAAAATTAAAAAAAAGGAAGAGAGTATGCACATAGAGGAAAAGCATGTGAGCACACAGCAAGAAAGTAGCCGTCTGTAAGCCAGGAAGAGAGTCCCCACCAGACATCAACCTTGATGGCACCTTGACTTTCCAGCCTCCAGAACTGTGCGAAAATAATTTTCTGTAGTTTCAGCTGCCTAGTCTGTGGTATTCAGTTATAGCAGCTTGAGGAGACTAATAAAGGTCCTTTGTCTTTTTTTTTTTCTTCTTCTTTGGAGTGAATATCTGAATAGATGGATATTCTGTCATAAATTATCTATATCTGAAACATTGGCTATGAGAGACTTTGTCATGGCTTTATTGCTGTCTGTGTCCAAACAGGGATTCTTAACCTGGGGTTCACACCTTTCCAATTTCATGGATATAATCCAGTGCCCATGAACTTGGATGGGCAAACTCGGTATTGCTCTTTGCACTAACTTCTAACTGAAATGCAGCATTTTTTTGTAGTTGTTGGAAACAAGCCACAGTAGGATAAACAGTAACTGTGACTTTGTCACTAATGAAAATTGCAATATTGCCAAATCATATTACAATTGTTGCAGATATCTCAATCATTTACGCTTACTATTTTGAAATTAGAATTATTGGATTCATAGCTAGTTCTTATTATTCATTATAAGGAAGGATATATTATATCACAAACATCTTTGATATTTTGATAACTGTATTTTACTATAATTGGCTTCCTCTGCTATCTTATTCATTTTGAAACAGTATACTAATGGGGATTCATAGGCCTCACCATGCTGCAAAGCACCCATGGCACAGAAAATTTTAAGAAATTTCTGACCTAAACTAGTATTTCCAGATTACTGTGAATAGCCTGGCCTCTGTCACAGAGTAAACTGAACTCCATCCTCTAAGCAAAGGTCTCATAATAAATAAATGGAGCATGAGCTCAAGCTGTGTAAGAAAGTTTATTGGACACACTTGTGTTGCCAATACTAGTTTCTAGTACAGGGCTCCCAAAAGGACATGGGTCCAGCCAGGAGGGCCACCAAGCTACCGCATTTTCCATTCAAGTAGCCCAACGTGCCCTTAAGCTACCCCCTTTCTGTCATATACAAAATTCTCTCAGCTAAGCCAGTCTTCTCTTTTTCCATCATTGCTTATTCAACTTTTCCCAGCTGGATCATCAGCTCCAAGGACTAAGGCAAAAACGGGTCTGTCTTGTTTTCAGCTGAGCCTACAATATGCAGCAGAGTTCTGGAACTCAGCATTACTTGGGATGCACAGATGAAAGCCCAGCAAAGCACAGGGCGACTGAGCCATCTTATAACACAGCAGAGCAGAGCATGTTGCTTTTCTGAGCCCTGCTCATCCTGTGTTCATGACCTCATCCCTATTTCCTCATCTAACGTCATGATTATCTTCTTTTCCCTGACCCTCTAGTCTGATTACACTTAATATTTAGTCCTAAGCCACATCTTGCTTCTCATCAGAATAATGCTGTATTTTTTATTTTGCCAAAATTCATTGCTTACTATTTGCCAAATATTATGCTAACATTATATAAGGCTATAATATCTCATTGAATCCTCCTAACAAACCTATGAAGTCGGATTATGACTATATTCATTTTCCAGAGGAGAAAACTGAGACTTAAGAGACTATCTAATTTGCTCAAAAAATACACGTTGCAAGTAGCAGAAAGAGGACTGTCATCTAGCTCTCTCCAACTTCAGAGAGAAGTTGGGTATGTCTCCTCACATGCCACTGGGCAAGTATACAACTTCTTTGAGTCATGAATTAATCACCTATTACATGACGAATGAATGATTTATTAGGTCTTCATCAACAGTCTATAGCTTTCCAATGGGAAGGGAGAGCACATTTGGTAATGGCTTCCATGTGTAAGCAATTTTAGAGTTTGTTGTTGTTTACAAAAAATCTGGATAAGTTGTAAATTAGATGAGGAAAATGAATTCAGAAAGATCAAGTGACTTGCCCAAGGTTATACAACTTGCAAGCAAAAGAATTTGAATCCTAACCTGGCTTTGTGAACTTTAATCTACCACACATGGGTTCCTCTATGATCCCATCACGCTCCTCAGGCCAGACTGGGCACAGGATTAACACAAATAAGAAACGGAACCAAAAGCTGTAGATGTTCATGATCAGCAACTGACTTGAGTTGCCATACCATACATGATTACTCATGTTATCCTGAGTAAAGTGTGGCTAAAGCAACTCATGAATGCATACCTTCTAAGTTTGTCCCCGGGCTGGGTCTCTTGACTTTTATCTCATTGTCCCAGTTCCTGGACACTGACCACCACATGGATGGGTTGGAGACAACTCCTGCACCGTAGCCTCCAAGTCTCCTTTAGCAAGGCCTTGAGTTTATTAACAATGTCCATCTAGCAAAACAACAGAGAAATGACAACATTTTGATTGTGCTGTTTATTAAGGGATCTTTGAAAAGCCAGAGTAATCATCACTTTTTAAAGGTATCTAATTTTAGCGGGATTTTATCCATCACATCTTAACTGGCATCAGAATAGAAGTTAAATCATGACAATCCTTATTTCTAGAGGAAGAGGAGGGTGAGAAAATGCTTTCTTTTCTTGTGGTTGGCAGGCTTTTGGGGGAAGTATTTCTCTCTCATCTGTCACTCCTGGAAAGAAAAAATCTATACAAATCTTGTCAGGGAGAGCATTTCACATCCTTTTTGGCAATACACGTGGTTTGAAGTTGAGGGTAGGGCTTTAGATATAAAATTTCCCCTGATTTTAAGGCAAGTTGTTTTTGTGATGCTGTGAGAATCGTTTATAAAACCTGGTGTTGGGTACCTGTGAAATAAATGGCATTGTTTTTCAATGTCATTCTCTCTTGTCACTTTAATTAAAACAAATAACAAATGTGTTCAAAAAAATGAAAAGCAATTGACAGCCTAACCCATTTTGTGTGCTTCTCAATTTCTCAAGGGTTTTGAAAGAAAAGAAAGTATAAAGTAACATTCTGTGATCTAGGTTCTCGGCTTTTTGTGGACTTCTCCTCATTCTCATGAGATCCTTGGGACACAAAAACAACTCACCCATCCCTGATTTCTCGAACAGTTTAGCCTGGAGTGATGTGAAAACAAGTGAGCAGAAAGTTTGGAACCAAAAATAACCTTAGTCCTCAGGGAGGTATCACAGCTGTGTTCTTGGGCCTGTTTATGTTCACTTGATGGGATAGAGGAAGATCTTTCTGGGAACTGGAAAGGGTCCTGTGTGCCCTAGGCAGCCTCACTCTAGCTACCCGAGGCTGGGTGTGTGACTAGAAGGTACACACTTAGTGCAGCAGGGTAACAAGCTACATGACCCTGGGCAAAGCCCCAGATGACTCTACTCTCAGTGTCTTCATCTGTTTTGCCAAGATTAAAGCCCGTCCCTCATGATGTTGTGCAGAATGTAAGCCCCATAACATCAGGAAATATCAATTTTGTTCACTGAAATATCCTGGTTCCTAGCTTAGGGCATTGGCACATAGTTAGTGCTCAATAAATAATTGTGAATAAATAAACGATGATAAAGTTCTTACTATAGTTGCCAGTCTAATAAAGCACAATAAATAATAGTGCTATTATTATAATTTTCCCTACATGTCTTCAAATGGGTCTCATAAAGACTAAACAGGTCAGATGATTGACAGTGCTTACCTTCTGTTACCTGGAGCTTTATTCTTTTAAACATTTTCAAGTCAGTGAACATTTCAGTGACAAATTCTAAATACTTGTTGAATGCAATCATTATGTTCAATGTCAGCAGTTAAGTAAAAAAATTATGAAAAAGGTATATTTGTATTTTAATTGGAAAAAATGCATGCTGACACTTTTCACCTTGCAAAGCTTAACAAGCCAAGCCACCTCTTTCATTGGGTTTTAACAGCTAAAATGATGGGGGGCTTTAAGAATTTCTTCAATAATTTTCTTACTCTAATTTTGGCCAAGCTTCCTAATATTATTTCATTTAGCTTCCATTTACCTTACTTATATAAGGCTTGTTAAACTTTGTTAGAATTAAAGGGATGTTTCCCCCTGTTTATTAGCTATTTTGTGTCTTTACAATGTTTTCATATGTGTCTTAGTCTGTTTTGCTATAAAGGAATACCTGAGGCTGAATAATTTATAAAGAAAAGAGGCTTATTTGGCTCATGGTTCAGCAGGCTGTGCAAGAAGCCTGGCACCAGCATCTGTTCGGTTTTTTGTGAGGGCCTCAGGCTGCTTCCACTCATGGTGGAAAGGGAAGCGTACCCAGAGTGTGCAGAGATCCCATATCAAGGGAGGGAGCAAGAGAGAGATGGAGGAGGTGCCAGGCTCTTTTTATAATAACAACCACCTTTTGTGAAAACTCATTCCCTCCCTCCTTGCTGGGAGACCATTAATCTATTCATGAGGAATCATCATCTAAGCACCTACTAAGCATCTAAGCATCAACTAAGCACCTACCATAAGGTCCCATTTCCAACCTTGGGATCAAATTTCAACATGAGGTTTGGAGGAACAAATATCCAAACCATAGCAAAATTGTCTGATCATCTTCTGTGTTTTAAGTACTGCTTTCAGCTCACAAAGAGAGGACTCTATACTAAAGTAGGAGCCTTCATTTAACTACTGGTGGCTAGAAGTGAATTGAGGCCAAGACTAGGGTTGACAGAAGTGAGGAGGATTGGGAATGGATGGGAGCAAAGAGAGACAAGTTGAGAGGCAGTTTGGTATTCTCTGGAGAGGTGCAATAGCATTGGGTAAGGTTTAAGATACTAGGGCACAATTTTTTAAAGTATATTAGAAAGTGTCCCCACCTGAAGTATTTATGAAAACTGCAGATCCCTGGGCCACAAAACAGAAGTTTTAGGATAGAAGACAAAAATCTACAAACAGGCATCCATGTGGAAATTCTTGGCACTAAAGCACACAAACCCAGGACCAACCTAGACGAACAATGAGACTTGTTGGATACAGTCATTAGACCCAAGGACCACCCCAATTCCTTTTTTTTTTAAAAGTGAATATACAATTTATTGAACATTTAAACTTTATTAAGACATTTACAAAATGGCAATGTAGTGGAGATTTAACCCTATCTAGCATATGATTGTTTGAGGGGACACAGTAACAGGGTCCAATTTATGCTTAGCACTAATTAAATTCTTCATGGAATTGGCCAGGCATGGTGGCTCACACCTGTAATCCCAGCACTTTGGGAGGCTGAGGCAGGTGGATCACTTGAGGTCAGGAGTTTAAGACCAGCCTGGCCAACACGGTGAGACCCCATCTCTTTGAAAATACAAAAATTAGCTGGATGTGGTGGAGTGCACCTGTACTCCGAGCTACTTAGGAGGCTGAGGCAGGAGAATCGCTTGAACTTGGGAGGCGGAGGTTGCAGTGAGCCAAGATTGTGTCACTGCACTCCAGCCCGGGGGACAGAGTGAGACTCTGTCTCAAAAAAAAATTATTTATAGAATAAATAGAATAACAAACGAAATGCATTCAAATGGTTTCTAAAATATTAATTTTAAAGGACTTTCTATTCAGGATAATGATAAACACAATAACGGCAAATATGCTAGTTAAACATAATTGGCTGCTTTTACACAGCACTTATATCTTTTAGTTCACACGTATATTATTAAATGATAGAGAACATCTAAGGCAACAATTTCTACAGAACTGGGAAATCAATTTGTAAGAAAGATTTTAGAAGCCCAATCTTAGCCGTCTGACTCTTTTTTTTTATATGTAGTATTTTGTAACACTTCCTCAAATATCTTAGATAATTTCTAGATAATGTAACCTACCTATGCACATAGTGCTAAAAAATCAATATGCATTCCTTAATGTAATAAAAAAGAAACATAAAACAAAAGTAATGTATAATAAATATGCATTTTGATATGTAAATGTTCAGCTACAACTAAACCGGCATACAGAGAAGCAGTTCACTTGTGCACTGAGATGTGATATCACCATGAATGCAATAGCTGTAAAAAGGATAAGTCCAGGTGTTTTATGTTGGCAATTCAAAAGTGAGGCACCAATGCTATTAGCAACATAATTTTCCCAAATGTTAAAGGTGCTCAGTAAAGTTTTGAACAAAAGACAATCTTCCTTGACATTGTATTGTGATTGCATTATTGGCAATTACCTATAAAAATCAACTCATCAATTACATACAAAATCAATCACATATAAAAGGAGTGTTAAAAATACTTTGTCTTTATAGATAAGATGGAGTTAGCTTCTTAACTCAAATAATTACAATCAGGTTTTCAGCTGCAAAAATGCCCAGGAAGACATTCAAACCTCATGCCAAAAGCAGGATGCAGAACAATTCATTGTGTGCTTTCTCCTATGCAGGAAATCCAACCTCCCAATTCCCTTCTACTAAATGTGAGTAGTATTCCCTTCATACACCAATTGCCTTGGCAACTAAAAGAACCTTAGTTCCCCCAATTTCTACTCTGCTGCCATTTAGAACTGTTAAACTAGAGAGTTAAGAACCTGTGAGAGACATCTGAGAGCAGAACCTGATGAAGACCTGTTAGATTATCAAACCATAATGAACAGTCTCAGCTCACTTTCTGAGGGACCACCAGTGATGTGTGTGGTAAGTTCTTCATATCCGGTAGATAATTTCATTGTCAAAAACTCTTTGGAATAGGTATAAAGCCCCCACTTTACCGATGAAAACACTGATGTTTAGGGTTAAGTAGCTTGTCCAAGGTCACCGAGTGGTGCATGGTCAATGTATAAACCTAGGGGTGTCTGATGTCAAAGCGTAACTTTTCCACTGCACCCTGTTGCCTCCCAGAACAAGAGGACAATGCTGACCATCAGCAGTGCTAGTCTATGATGAAAAAGGGAACATAGGAAAAGAGACAAGTTTGAGTTTTGAGTATAAGGTGTAGCAAATGAGGTATATAATATTTAAGCCTGGAAATGGGTATACTTTTTTTTATTCCTAGGACTTTAGTTTGCAGGATTGAATCAAGTTAGCCTGGAGTGGAACTGGATTTGGGTTTTGCTTTTGTTATGGTTATTCTCTAACACCCAAGTGTCCAAACTCCTCTAAGTATTGCTTTGTGTTTAGGGGGCAGTTAGTTTGACACAAGGCTTTCTTAATACCTGCTCTGCCCTCAGCTTTAGATGTTTCCTATGCCCTTGTGTCTCAGAGAAGACGGCTTTCTCCCAGGCTCTTGATCTTGTTCCAGCTGTGGACAACCACCTGTTACTGGACAGTTGCTAGCCTGATGGTAGAGGTAGGGGGCTGTATCCTGTCTTCCTGGTTCAGCCTCAGATGTAAGTGAATGTTGTGTCTCTGGACCATGATGTGGGGCTTTGTTAGTAATGCTGCCCACCTTTCCCATATTCAGGGAGATCTAATCATCTGGGCTTCAAATGTACTCCTGCCTCCTCCCCTGGGATTCAGTAGGACTTCACCTATTTGTTGACAAGTTTTGTTGCCGTTCCCTCAGTGGCTTAAGACTTTTGTTCCATAGGGAGACAGGGAAGAAGGACCTGGGTGGGGCCTCATGCTTCCTACACAGGCTGGGTTCCCCTATCCCATGCCTGCACCAGGAGGGAGGCTTATTTCAGGCTCTTTCCCTGACTTCAATCTTTCTTATGAACAAATTGTGACATATCCATTCAAGGGGGCTGTGAATTCTCATGTGGCTTCCAGGGTTTCTGTAATTTCTTGCCATCCCACGGTTGGCCTTTGTTGATTTCTTTTTTTTTTCTTTTTTTAGAGATGAAGGGGGTCTCACTATGCTGCCCAGGCTGGCCTCAAACTCCTGGGTTCAAGTGATCCTCCTACCTCTGCCTCCTGAGTAGCTGGGACTACAGGTGCACAACTGCTTGTTGAATTCTTAATGTCTTATTTGGCTTCCAGCATCTGCCGTAGCTAAGTAAGTACTCAGATCCAATCACTTCTTGAATATGCCTGCCTTTCTTTAGATTTCAGATTAGTTGCAGCTTTCTGATACGTTCAAGAAAGGTTACGAATTGGTAGATTGTCTAGTGTTTTTGTTGTAGTAAATGCGGAAGGGACATTCTTTTTAGTTTTTTACAACTTAAATGGAAGCTCAAAATTGCTTTATAAAAACAAATATTTCATAGTAATACAAGTACATGATATAGAGCACAAACTAGTGCCTAAGAATTTAGAACAAAAGGAAACCATCCATTGGGCCACCCCTTGTCATTCACATGCTATAACTCACAGGGAATGATTGGTATTTATTTTATCTAGTTTTATTTCTTTTATTGCTTAATCAGTTTTATCTATCTATCTATCTATCTATCTATCTATCTATCTATCTATCTACTTCACCCAGTCTACTGGAAGCTTAATTAGTTTTATTGCTGAATATGTGTGTGTATATATATATATGAGAGATAGCATGAGAGCTATTTATTGATTGACCAATTTTAGACACTATTCATTGATTCCCTGATAAGAAGAAGAGGACTTAGCTCTAAAATACATTATATGACTGTATTATGATACAATGTTCTATCTCCCTTCTCTAGAATATAATTACATTTTTATTTTTAGTTTCTACATTTGTAGAATATGTAAGCTTAACAATTATATTCTCACCTCTCCATTATTTATCATTCTGTTTACCACAAATTGCATTTGATTTCCCTGTTTACATAAAAGGTCATTGCTATGGTTTCGATATTTGATCCCTCCAAATCTCCTCTTGAAATTTTACCCACAAGTGGGAGGTGTTGGGTCATAGGAATGGATCCCTCACTAATAGATTAATGCCTTCTCTGGAGAAGGGAGTGTGTGTGTTCTTGCTCTATTAGTTCCCTGGAAAGCTGGTTGTTAAAATGAGCCTGGAACCTACTCCCCGTCTCTTGCTTCCCCTCTCACCATGTGATCTGTGTACACGTAGGCTTCCCTTCACCTTCTGCCATGAGTGGAAGCAGCCTGAGATCCTCACCAGAAGCAGATGCTGGCACCATGCTTCCTGGATAGCCTGCAGAACTGTGAGCCAAATAAACCTCTTTTCTTTATAAATTACCCAGCCTCAGATATTCCTTTATAGCAATACAAAATGTATTAAGATAGTCATGATCACTTCCATTATTTCTTTCTACTTTCCTCCAATCCCTTCTATTTGCTTAATTTATTACGTGTCCCTGCCCCAACTTGTAGTTTGTGTTCAGAAAGTTAATTAATACTTCCTTGCTTTACTGATAGCTTGAATCTAATCATTGCATATTGTAAATCTAGATTTAAAATGTAAGCCAATAAACAGTAATTGCATTGTTACAATGCTATAAATATTCACTACATAGCCTAGTAGTATACTATGATTATATTTTATTTCTTTTACAGGTTTTGGTATTTTCTGTTTTATATTTTTCTTCAATTTTTTTTCTTCTATCAACTGCCTTTAATGTATTCTTATGGTTTTGCAATGTCTCATGGGTAATGTCAAGTTAATGAATGCCTTTCTCCTGGAGTTATTGATTCTTTTGCTTTACTGCTTGATTTCTAGGCCTGTTGCTCATTGTCATCCTGAATTTCCATTTTTACTCTTCTGGGTTGAAACCAATCTTGCCTGGATTCTACCTTTTCCTCTTTCATGATTTATTCTCCCATTTTGCTAGAACACATACTCAAATAATACCCCAAGTGTTTGGGTTGAGGAATATTAGTTTCCTGTGGCTGATGCAAAAAAAAAATCAGCACAAACTGGTGGTTTAAAACAGCACACATTTACTCTCTCACAGTTCTCAAGGCCAGAGGTCCAAAATCCAAGTGTTAGCAGGGCTGTGCTCCTTCTGGAGAGCTGACAGGAGAATCCTTTACTGCCTCTGCCAGCTTCTGATGGCTTCAGGTGGTCCTTGGCTTCCTTGGCTGTATCACTCCAATCTGCCTTTGCCATTTATGTCTTTTTCTCCCTGTGTCTTCTTTTTTTTTTTTTTTTTTTTTTTTTTTTTTGAGACGGAGTCTCGCTCTGTCGCCCAGGCTGGAATGCAGTGGCGGGATCTCGGCTCACTGCAAGCTCCGCCTCCCGGGTTCACGCCATTCTCCTGCCTCAGCCTCCCAAGTAGCTGGGACTACAGGCGCCCGCCACTACGCCCGGCTAATTTTTTGTATTTTTAGTAGAGACGGGGTTTCACCGTTTTAGCCGGGATGGTCTCGATCTCCTGACCTCGTGATCCGCCCGCCTCGGCCTCCCAAAGTGCTGGGATTACAGGCGTGAGCCACCGCGCCCGGCCTTCTCCCTGTGTCTTCTAAGGACACTTGTCATTGGATGTAGGGCCCACTCAGATAATTGAGGATGATCTCATCTCAGAATCTTTAACTTAATTACATCTGCAGAGATATATTTTTTCAAATAAGATCACATTCACAATTTATGGGGTTAGGACATGGATATATCTTTCTGAGGTTGACCATGCAACCTATTGAGGAAGGAAATGGGATCCTATATGCCTAAAAATATTTTTTTCTACTTTTGTTGGATAGTTTTTCAAGGTACAGATTTTATTTATTATTATTATTATTACTATTATTATTATTATTATTATTATTATTATTATTTTGAGACAGAGTCTTGCTCTGTTGCCTAGGCTGGAGTACAGTGGCGCTATCTTGGCTCACTTCAACATCCACCTCCTGGGTTCAAGTGATTCTCATACCTCAGCCTTCTGAGTAGCTGAGAGTACAGGTGCGTGCCACCAAGCCTAGCTAATTTTTTGTATTTTTAGTAGAGACGGGGTTTTGTCATGGTGACCTTGGCTGGTCTTGAACACCTGGCCTCAAGTGATCTGCTTGCCTTAGCCTCCCAAAGTGCTGGGATTACAGGCATAAGCCACTGCACCTGGCCAGGGTACAGAATTTCAGATTTAAAATAATTTTCCAGTTGAATATTGAAGGCACTGTTTATGTCTTCCAGTAATGTTGATAAGGACTGTCATGACAGAATGAAACATGCTCCTTAAAAGCAATGTATTTTTTATTCCTTCACACTATTGAGATTTTCCTCTTACCTGTGCTATTCTTACGTTTCACAGCCATGTGTCTAGTTAGGCTCCTTTTTGTTCATTGTGGTGGGCATTTGTGAGCTCTTTTTTTTTTATCTTCACATTTTCCAGTCCTCTGGTGAATTATCTTAAGCTTTGGCAATTATTTTTAATTTGCAAGATTTCCTTCTTATTCCCTGACTGTTCCTTCTCAGTCATACTCTGTTCTTGTTTTGTGATTGCAATAGCCTCATGGATCTCCTTGATAGCAATAATGGAGATTGTCTAAGCTTCTTCTTTTTTTGTTTTTGTATTATCCCAGTTTCCTCTATTTATCTTGGTTTTTCCTTTCAGGTTGCAAGTTTTCATCTAATGTCTAAAGTTTCATTGTTTATTTCTACTTAAAGATGAGGCAGTTAAACAGCCAATGGGATAGCACACTCGCTGATTGGCAGACTTTCGTATGAACTGAGTAAAGAGCCAAACTCCTGCTGTGCAATTCCTAAATACCAGAAAGCAGAAGTATTTACTCCAAGACATCAACATCCATATTGATGGACCTACTTCTCAGATTTTCTAAGAGTAATATTCCAGTTCCTACAAGTAAAATGAATCCCTTACTAAATAGACTTTCTCGTGCAGGGTTGAAGGTAGGGTAGTTTGGCTCACTTTCTTTTTGGCCTCTGATTCTTATTTCTGTGATCTTCTAACTACCAATTCTGAGTTTCCAAATTATCCAGCATTTTACAGATTAATCTTGAACAAGTTAACCTATTATTGGGTATCTAATTGCCTTTCTGTGAAATGGTGATAAAATACTACCTACTTAATTGATAAATAAATTAAATAAATTAATGCATATGAAATGCTTAGCAAAGTGTTTTAAATGAGTAAATGCTTGACAAATTTTATTATTAAGATTAACCAAGATATTTTATCTGTCCCTAGGGATTGCATTCGTCCATTTTAACACTGCTGTAAAGAACTAACTGAGACTGGGTAATTCATGAAGAAAAGAGGTTTAATTGACTGACAGTCGCACAGGTTTAACAGGAAGCATGACTGGGAGGCCTCAGGAAACTTACAATCATGGCAGAAGGTGAAAGGGAATCAAGGACCTTTTCCAAATGGTGGTAGGAGAGAGAGAGAGACGGGGGAAGTGCCACACACTTTTAATCCATCAGATCTCATGAGAACTTGCTCACTATCATGAGAGCAGCAAGGGGAAATACACCCCCATGATCCAATCACCTCCTACCAGATCCCTCTCTCAACACTGGGGATTACAACTTGAGATTTGGTTGGGGACACAGAGCCAAACCATATCAAAAATATTAAGTAGGAAAGAGAGAACATGTAAATTAATATTGACATTAAAATATAATAGACATTAGGAACATTAGAAAAGTTGAGTTAATTAGGAAGTAATATCAACATTGTAGATAGCCCAAATATGCCAACAGTTAAACATAAATAGATAAAATATTACAGTTAAAAGATAGATTGTCCAACTTACTGAAATGGGAACTCAGGTATATATGCTTATAACAGAAAATCTTAAATATAAAGACACCAAAAAGTTACAAATAAATGCAAAAAAGCATACCATGAAAACACTAATACAAAGAAAGTTCGTGGGATTACACAAGAGGATTTTTTTTTCTCATATAATTTTACAAAGGTGAATGCTAAGGAGCTACTAGAATGGTTCTGCTGCCATACCCCCTGTTCCAAATTGGATTTTCCAGGCATTGCCACTTCCAAGCCATGGCAAAGGAGAAGAAAGAGTATGAGATGTGCACACCCAGTATTTCTAATTCAAGGGTAAGAATTGGACTGATTACTTCAGCTCACATCTCACTGGCCACAACTAAATCTCATGGCCACAGGTAATTGCTAGAAAGGCCACAGAATATAATCACTCTCTCAACAGCCATGGGCCAGGCTGAACTTGTGGTGCAGGGCAGTTTTTTATTTGGTTATTGTTGTTGTTGTTTTTTTTAGTGAAAGAAGCCTTTTTAAAAAATACAGGAAGATAGAGAATGACATATTTTATAGGAGAAGAATTTGGGTGTGAAAGAAGTGTGTTATCAACAAATTTATCCACAGTCACATTGCTAATAGTTGGAAGGCCTCACATCCTTGGCTGTTCGATCCCAGAGCCCCTGCTCTTCAGCAGTTTGTTACATGGTCCCCAAAACTCCTTTCCATACCCACAGAAGCCTGGAGTATATTCATCTCTCACTGGGTTTGGGAGCAGCCTTAAAAGGCCAGGAGAAAAACAGAGCAGCAGGAAAGCCCACCAGCCTATGAAAGGGCCACCATATATCACTGGCCACCAAGTACAATGCAGATAGTCACATTCTGAAAGGCCATAGGCATCCCACATGGATTGCAAGTTGGACAACACTCTTTTGCAGAATGCAAATCCAGAGCAGAGAGTAATGTGCATACTAAACTTTCCATTTGTTAACAAGGTGGGCAGGATTGTGGAGAAAGTCAGCCAGGAGTCCAATAGGAAATTTTCATTTCTTATTAACACACCAAATTTTGCTAAAATTCTATATATTTTTCATAAAGATTTTCAAAAGATCATTTTGAAAATGTGGGGGAAAAGAATCTGTTCAACCAGAAAAAGTAGGTAGAATGCACCCAAGGGTAGAGATAGCCCCCAAGTTAAAAAAAAACCCAGAAACCACAAATCCATAGTAACTAGCAAAAGTAAAGGAAAGAGGCAGGAGAAGAGAAAGGAAAAAAAAGAGGGGGAGAGAAGGCAGAAAGTGAGCAAATTCCTGATTTTAAATTATCTTGACTTGGTGTGCCTTATTAGTTTCCATCTAGAGTTTTGTCATAGGGATGTTTTTATTTCAGCTCTCTAAAAATGTCCCTAGGCCTGAAAAGACCCCACAGTTCATTTTTGGTTGCCAGGGAAACTGCCTGGATTTGCATCGACTTTCGCTGATTCCTGAGGGCAATCCTTGACAGATGTGAGGGCCCAAAAGGGTACCGGCCTCCAAAGGCTACCTCCTTGACAGCATCAGCCCTCATTCCATTTCCAGGTGCAGTTGACTTGCCTCTTATATCCTCTAAATTCTGAGCTGTCCCTGAGGGGGAACAGACCCACAGTCTGCTTTTATGGTGTGTTAATTTTAGTAATACAAGGGCCTTACTTGCACACTAAAGAATCTTGTGTCACCTTTTTTATTTTTTATTTTTGGTTGGATTTATTTTGTACTTCATAAGTCGTATCAATACAAACTTATAACTGGGAGATAATCTGACAGAATAAAATTAGGGTGATGATTGGAGTGGTAATTATTTTTTCTTGCTCTATGGCCTCTAGGAATGACATATCTGTATTCATTATTTTTCCTATATTTATTTTAATCGTTTTCAAGCTAGTTCTTAAAATTAGCCACAAAATACAATACATTAACTTAAGAGGAAATGAAGAAATGATGAAGTGACTAAATGCAGATGGAAATGGTTACTGATCTGCAGGTTTAGTTGATTAAAAACAAAGCCAATATCCACTAAGGCCCTCTTGGGGAAAAAAATCAAAACTCTGATGGTACATACTAAGATTTAAATTCTACTTAAGTTCTCCAGATGGTGGTTTTGAAGGAACAAAGAAGAGACAGCGGAACATTCTCTTTCTTTTAGTCTGTTCTATAAATTCCAAGATAGAAAATGTTAAAAATATATTGAATTAAATCAGGTAAAGGCAATGTGGCTCCCAATATTTTACCTCTTCAGGGAGTCAATTTCCTCATCTGTGAAAGATGGAAGACAGATTGACTTTCCAAGCCTTTTTTCTCTGAAATACTATGATTTTACTCAGTTATTAGAGAAAATGGCATTCTGGAAGCCATCATTAGATCCAAACATGGTTGCTATCCTTTGCTCTGAAACATAACATAGGGAACATGTGTTAATTTTGCTGCTGATCATCTACTAAACCTTCTTCTTTGAACCATACCCTTTTACACTGTAGGGGACCATCCCGTTGTAATTCACATTCAAGCTGCTTCTGGTGGATCTTCCTGGACCTCCGCTATGGCCTGGAGTGAGATGTAGCTCAGTACAACCAGTCAGAACATCACAGGTTTCTCCCTACGGTAATTGGTTCAGAAAAGGTCACGTGATCTAATCACAGTGAATAAGAAGCATAGAAAATTCACAGGTAGTGCTTTTAGGAGCCATAACATAGCTTCCCTTTTCATTATAAGGAAAGATCCTAGAGCTGCATGGGCCTTCATATAGAAAATGAGAATAGAACATGGAGAGATGACTTGTTTGGGGCTCTGATTCCACATGTGTGGAGTGAGTTCTACCCTAGAACTTTCTGGTTATATGAACCAACAAATTCCCTTTGGGTTTAAACCAAGTTGGGTCAATTTTCAAATTATTGCATCAGAAAGAATCTTGGATGATGTATATAGAACGCATCAAACTAAGCAATATATTTGATGTTCAAAAGTTTAGTAGAAATCCATTCAGTACAAGTATGCCAAGGGAATGCTTAGTTTGATGTATTTGGAAATGAAGCTGAACACAGTTGAAGGCAGAGTTCCCTCCTAGATATTCTTTTTCTCAGTCACTTCCCTGTGAAAATATAATTATTGACGTAGCTAGATGCTTAGCCCATTCTTGTCTTAGTTTCTGTGATGAATCAAGCTTCTCCATGTAGAAACCGAAGGCCCCCCATTGATATGCCAAGCTTCATATCCTGGTGACAATAACCCAGTTGTCACTTTTAAATGTGACCACTAGAAAGAACCTAAGGGATCACCAAATCCTTGTTCTCAGACTTTAATTTAGGGAATCTTAAACCCAAAAACATTAAGGGACTTCCTCAGGAACACACAACTAGAAAGGACCAAGGTCTGGACTAGAACTTGGTCCTTTGGCTGCCTAATCAGTAAAGCACATCCTGATAAGCAGTTCATAGGATTCCAGGATCAGTTTGTTCGTAAGTCAGCTTTGCCACTTTTCTGTACTCATCAAGTGTTAGTGCTGATTTCAACGGGCAAGAGAAGTTCAAAATGTCAAAAATAACTCTAAATAATTTCAAGTGAATATCTTACCACGAATGCTGATCTTAACTCTTCAGTCTCTAAATATTAAATCATAATAGCAATATGCTTATTTTAATTTATTTAAGATTTAGTTTTTTTATTTGTGAATTAGCATAATAGTACATTTCTCCTCGGACTGTTTTGAAAACAATGAGTTAATACAAGTCAGCTGCTTAGCACAGATCTTATACAAAATCAGCACTTCAATACAATGATCACCAATATTACTACTATTTCTGATGCTGTTATTACACTGCAACCAAATTTAAGAAATGCCCTTAAATACACAATAATGCTTGGATACATATTCTTTACTTTAAAATAACTAAAATATGTTTTTGCTTCAAGTCAGTTCAGCTAGTTAAACTCCTGATCAGAATGCCCTTAAGTAAATGTAAAGATGCTCAAAACATTTGTTGAATTGTATCGTTTCGTTAGTCAGGAAGCTTGATTTAACCACCTGTGTGAATTAACTTACTACGCTAATCTAACCCCCTTTTCTTAGAGTTGCATGAAAAAAAAATTGGGATTTGCACAGAATTTCTGTATCTTTACCATTCAAAAAGTTTATTCTATTGACTTTTTTTAATAAAAATATTTTCTTATACAGTTTCTAGTCACTAAGCAAAGAAAATAAATAAAACTGAAATCATTTCCTAATGAGCTTGAAAGAAGTACGTGTCTAAAAAACCTCAGAGTCCCAGTATCAATGCAATCAATGCAGAGTCCCAAGTATCAATGCAAAACACTTCTGGTGATAAAAACACTCAGTTATTTTTGAAAAACAAGAGGATTGTACAACTTAATTCAAATAGGTAGAATGCATTCAGTCAACAGGTCAAGTGCAATATTCTTGGCTGTTAGACACTATAAAGCATCAGAATAGTCCCTCTTGACTCAGGTAGGAAGAATGAGTTAGCAAATAGGACATTCTCTTCAGCGTAAGAACAATAGATAATGTCTTTACTTGTGTCCTCGAGAGAGTATCCCAACACACCACGCAATGTTCACTTACTATTAGTTTAGCCAGCTCTTACAATATGACCTTGGCAGGAAGAGTCTTAGTTCTTAACCAATGAAAGTGTCTTTGGAAAAACCAACTGTAATGTGTTTTCCTCTGTATTCTGAAGGGAAAGAAGAGAAAACTATTCTCTGAAAGGAAATGGAGCCCAGATCTGGAGTAATGCAAAACCCCAGAGACATATCCAAGATGGTAATGTTCTGGTAATGAGAATTCAGTGGCTTGGTCCTTTGGTTTCTGAGACTCGAAATTATGATATTTCCTCTACCCTTGATTGAAAAATAATGCAGAAGTTTCCTCTACCCTTGATTGGAAAACTCAAAAAGTTGCACAGGCACAGCTGCACGCCAGTAATCCCAGCAGTTTGGGAGGCCGAGGCAGACGGATCACCTGAGGTCAGGAGTTTGAAACCAGCCTTGGCCAACAGGGAGAAACCCTGTCTCTACTAAAAATACAAAAATTAGCTGGGCATGGTGGCAGGCCCCTGTAATCCCAGCTACTCAGGAGGCTGAGGCACGAAAATCACTTGAACCTGGGAGGCAGAAGTTGCAGTGAGCTGAGATCATATCACTGCACTCCAGCCTGGGCAACAGAGCAAGACTTGGTCTAAAAAGAAAAAGAAAACTCAAAAAGTTTAAGCCAGCACCAACCAGCCAAGATAACCGGTGTGATTATTTGGGAATATGTTCTTAAACTAATTTTTCCCAGGTTTACAAAATCATGACAAGTAGTCATAAGGTATTTGTTTGTTTGTTTTGCTTGCATTTAAATTATCATAAGAATTCTACAACATGGTTTTTAATGGCTTGTCACCAACCCCACTGCTATCGTATTGATTTAAAGCACCATCATCTTTCACCTGGAAGATGGCAAAGCCATAATCATGAGGTTATATATATATATCATATATATATATGTATAGATATCACACAGACACAGACATACGTACATATATGTATACTTAAAATAAATAAAACTTCAGTGAACCTCTGTGAACATAAGATTTTGCCCACATTTTAAATTACTTCCTTGTGATCAATTCCCAGAAGTGAAATTGCTGTGTTAAAACCAATTTACAATTCCACATCAATATATGCCAGACAATATTTGCAATATTTGCTTCTTCACACCCCTTCTGACATTGGATATAATCATTCTTCTTGCCTATCTGATAGGTTAAAAAAGTGGTATCTTACTGTACTTTTAATTTGCATATTTTTGCAAGTCCCATTGCTTTTTGGAAAATGTTTGCTGTAGGACTATTTTATATAGTTCTCTAACATGGATGGGAAGAAGTGATTACTAAAAGAGCCACACTGACTGAATTTGGTCCTCTTTTGGTCTCTAATCAGTTGTAATCAAAATATGACTATAGCAAACTGTCCTACTGGGAGATGATGGTGTGCATTGATGATTGCTAATGTCATGTTTGCAAAGGGCAGCATCCCGTCTTGGTTACATACCCAACTGAATGTAAAAATCTTTTAGCAAGCTACCCGAAGATGGAGCAGTTCCAGAGGAAGTTTCTACTTTGGACCTGGTTAGAGTTTTTCAGCACCCCCAGTATTGGGTCATCTGCTTTTTATCTCAGAAAGCTGCTTAGAACCCTTGTTACCTGTGAAATGCTCCATCATTCAATATTAACAAGCAAACAAAGAGATCAGCATTCCAAGGCATTATATGCTTTTCTCGTCTTCCTTTCTACTCTTTTTTGAATCCAAAGTAAATACAGGCAGACAAAATGAGAATTGTTAAACCAACTTTAAAGAAGTCTCTATGCTTTTTGTAAACTTTGACTCAAATTGAGTGTACATGGATAGCTAAGACATCAGCTTGGGGTTTTGAAATTCAAGCCCACCACATAGACCAATCTCATTCTATAAGAATCAATACCTCCAGGCATTATGACTAGATAGTGGATCCCCCGACATGCTATTCATGCCTAACACAGCCCTCATTGGCCCCAGTGTGTGTTTTCAATGAATCACATCAGAATTCTGGCTGCAGAAACCCAGGGCTGATACTCATTTTGGGAAACCAAATTTCTCTTTCCAGTTTAAAAATTTATTAGCAAAAGAATATCATCAAAGGCACTACTGCTATGATATCTACTAGCTTAAGGAATGTGTAAGAGAGAAATTTTTCTTTAATGTTTTCTCAGAATTTCTCCCCTTTATGAATTTGCCCGAAAAGGTATGCTAAATTCAAAAGTTTTCTTTTAAAGAAACTTATTTTACCTTCCTTATGTTGTGAGCTTTAAAAATAGACCCTTAATTAATTTTAAAATAGACCCTTTTAATTTTCAGATATTTGTTGAAGTACTGGTTCTCACTTGAGGCAAAGGGATAAAATCTCTTCTTTCAATTTCTAGATTAGCTAAATTTTGAGTTTGGGTCTCATCAAAGCGATCTGCATAGAAACAGAGAAGTGTCTCTGTTCTCTGTGCCAAACCCATTGTGCTTCACCGCGGTCAAAGCTCATGAGAATCACAGGTCCCAAAGGAATGCCACACCATTGCTGAACTATGTTCCTTCTGCATTTAAAATGACATTTAAATAAAACTTGCAGCTGTTTAAAATTTGACTAGGAAGATTTCCTACAGACATTTTTTTCAGACCTCTGAGACACTTAAAATGTGAGGTCCAGATTGAAGTTTCAGGGGAAAAGAGATCAAACCACATGAACCTCAACATTTGCCTGGAAGAGAGAAATGGTCAGCATGTAACTGCAACATGGACCTTAGATCAATGAGCATTCATGGCTTTGAGCACTTTGCTTTATTCCTCGATTCCTTCATTAAATGAATACTTGCTTTGATACATACAATGTTTCAGGTATGGACCTAGGTGCCCAGGAGAACATGGCTAATATACTACTGAGGGAGATGCCCAAAATGGAAATAAGCAGAACACTTTAAAATTAGCATTTCATGGAAGAGATATGGAAGGAAATGAAGACAGTGTCTTGATGGAGAATAGCCAAGATGGATGCACTTTAATCACAGCGGTCAGAGAGGGCTTCTGGGAACAAGAGGTATTTGAGAAGAGGTCTTAAGAATGAGAGGGTGGTGATCATTCAAATTGCTTTTTATTCATAGTTGCATAACAACTCAGAACCTCCAGGACTTACTTGAGAGGGTCAATATTCTCCCTTGTCTAAATGGGACATGCTGCTGTTCAGTTTCCTTGGTAACTTTAGAGGACCAGATGTTCCCTGTCACCGGCCATTCTAAGGGATTGGAAGGCAATCATGGGCAAAGGGTTAATAAAACCCTTTCCTACTCTGCATAAGAATTTAACCTTTTGGTTAATTCTGGAGCTCTGTTCCCCTGGTAACCTGATAAGGATAATATGTCAACTGTTGCTAGGCAACATTGCTAAGGATAAAATGACTTCACATTGGAAGATTACATTTAGACAGGGAGAACTACATATATCTAATAGGAAGCCATAGCTATGGGCTTCCCTGAGTGCAGTGAGTGCTCTTGTAACCGGGCATATGCCTTGCATGCACCCTAAGAACTCTGCCTATGTTGTTGTTACAAGAGCTATTTGCTCCTGTGGGGCCAGGGCTGCTCATACACCTGCCTGATATGGATCTGGTTCCCCTAGCACTTGAACTGTCACCTCGAGGGAGATGCTCTGATGACCATTATACTTGTTCCAGGGGCTGCTGCAAGGATTTCCACAGAATGCCTGCTGCTGCCCTCCTGGGAACTGTACATTCTGAATCTCAACCTTTTTAGCAGACTGAAGTCACATGTGACCTATGATGGATTTTTGAGTCTGAATGTGTGCTCGAACCTAAGAAAACCCCTGGCAGGCTCTACAGAGCAATGCATAGTGCAAGTGGGAGCCTTAGAGCATTGAGAGGTTTTGGTGCAAAAGCCGAATACAGTGTGATGGCCCCGAGTTAAGAGGAAAGTAACAAAATCAGTCACCACCTAAAACTTACTTCCTCTTCCTGGTGTCTTCACAGCCTTCTTTTCTCATTGATTCCATCAGCCATTTGGTGCAACTGACTTAGAAGACATTGAAATATTGCTGTAATCTGTTTAGGTCTGTCATTCCTAGTCTCTTCAATTTCATAGCACAATGATCATTAAAAAATATTGAGGGAGGGCCAGGCACGGTGGTTCACGCCTGTAATCCCAGCACTTTGGGAGTCTGAGGTGGGCAAATCACAAGGTTAGGAGATTGAGACCATCCTGGCTAACATGGTGAAACCCCGTCTCTACTAAAAATACAAAAAGAAATTAGCCTGGTGTGGTGGCGGGTGCCTGTAGTCCCAGCTACTTGGGAGGCTGAGGCAGGAGAATGGTGTGAACCCGGGAGGCAGAGCTTGCAGCGAGCCGAGATCGCGCCACTGCACTCTAGCCTGGGAAATAGAGCGAGACTCTGTCTCAAAATAAAATAAAATAAAATAAAATAAAATAAAATAAAATAAAATAAAAATATTAAGGGAGAAAATACAAAGTGGCCAAATTTTTTTCTACGAAGTAAGGGTACAAATAATTGCAGAAACAGCACATACTATCTACTCTCAATGTCATTTCAAAAAAGGAAAAAAAAAGGAAATCTCAATACAAACATAGGAAGGAGATAATTCTTAGGTTGAGTAAATTTAGCTTTATAAATTTAAATTTTGTCTCCTCATACAAGGAGACACAATCCACATTGGGCAGATATAGAAAAAGCCCTGCCTTTAAGTCTTCAGCCATATTATTATTATTATTATTTCCTTTTTGTTGGTAATATTTAGGGGAAACCCCATCACAGACCAACACTAACCTATGGCCTAGATTTTGGGAACCTCTGGATCAGATGTCTTCAAAGTTGCTTTCCAGCTCTGAAATTTTTTGATTCAAATCCTGTTCACTCTACAAAGTTCATTTCCATCACTGAACTTTCTGCAATGTTGCCAACTGACGCTCGTCTCTGAATTATTTATATAAATGCAATCAATACTGCACGAATTTGACATTTCTTAAATTCTATCTTATTAACTAAAATCTCCTCTGTGATCAGCCTCTCAATTCAATAAGATGACATGCTTTTTAAGAGAAATAAACAATACTCTCCCCATTATTTTACTGTAGTACTCACCTAGAGAAGTCCTAGGCTAGCTGGTGGCAAGCTTTATCTGCAAAAGGCCAGATAGTATTTTCAGTTTTATAGGTCATGTGGTCCCTGTTGAAATGACTCAACTCTGCTGATATAGTGCAAGAGAAGTCATTGACAATAGGCAAACAGCTAGGTATGGCTGTGTTTCAATAAAATTGTATACAAAAACAAGAGGCAAGTTGGATTTGGACTTCAGGCTGTAGTTTGTTCTAGGCAAAAAGGACAGGCACTCATTGCCTAATTGCAGCTGGACTAATGATTCCAACAAAACTATTGACAGCCCACTGTTTCTGCTTAGTACATCATTGATTTATAAGCTCTTCACTTTTATACGAGAAAGCTATTTTTCTAGGAGCAGAGTTGCAGATGTTGGAAAGAGGGAGACAGAAAACACCCACCTAGGTAATGAGATTGACAAAATTAATGTCAGGTTAAGATGTCATGGATATCTTCCTTTCATATTAATTTTCAGCTTTGCTTTGAAGAGCCTTTTCATAGATACCGAGGGTTATAGAGGTAAACATAGTTCTTTATACTACTGATGATGGAGGAGATGAATAGGAGATAGGGGTAGAAAGAAAAAGAGAAAATGATGAAAAGGAAGAAAAAGAGGAGAAAATGGAAAAGTAAAAGCAGAAGGGTCCAATTTATTATTCAGGGGGATGATTTTAAGCTGTATTATTTTTATCACTTTAATCTCTAATACATTATTGACTATAATGAGAGAATGTTTTAGATGAGAAGGTCTTATAATTTCTTCCCCTGAAATTAAACTGATTCCTTACCAGAAGAGACTCGTATTAATACTAGGGTTGATTTGGGGTTTGGCCTTCACAGAGTTTATTGTGTTTTGTAAAGCACTCTAGACAGTTGTTCCCTAGGGATGCTATGTAAATTCCATGATAGATTGATTGATGGATGGATTGATCTGGGGGCTGTCCTACTGTTTTTAAAACATTTTAAACTGCCAGCAGAGGTTCTGACCCACTGTGCAGAAATAAGGAGGCAGCTACCAATTTCTATTTTTAAATGACAGCCCAATGCAAGCCTATTGTTTTAAGCTACTGTGTTCCCATGGGGATTGGATGAGAATTGATGGCCAAACAACTGGTAAGAGTCAACTCTATTTACCTGTGTGGGAGTTACAAGGGAGCACACCTTTGCAGTTCATCTCCAAAGAAATGGCATGCAATCAGCCTGTTACCAAATTCATTTGACATAATATATTCCACAGCAAGGTGTTTATTAATAGAACAACAAAAGGGGCATTTTGTTCTTGCTGTTGGCCACAATACCAGTGCAAATTCCTATCCCTTAACCATTATGTCCTCGTGTTAAAGGCAGTGTGGCTACAACTTACAGAATATTTGTTCCTTTTAAGGCAATGGCTCAGACTGTCTTAGCAATTCTCAGCAAGTAGTCTCCAATTAGGTATAAATTCTATCTCCAAATTAATGATTATTTGGCAATACATTAATAAACCAGCAACCACCCCTGCACACTATAAAATAAGCTGGATGAAATGAAATAATAAAATGTATTGAATGGGCATTTATATTTGAGGCTGTCCAACACGCATGACTCCTTTTGGAGAATTACAACCCTCCTCTAACATATCTCCATTGTAGTCTTCTTGAGGGGGAGCCCTTCAAGAGCCCCTGCCCTCCTTTTGCCAAAAGGCAACCTAAGGTAGTCCAAAGGAAATTTCTTTTCTGGTATTTAAATCTGTGGGAAGTTGCACAAAGACGAACAATCCATGGAAGTTCCTTCATTGCAGAGCTCAAGCTTTGAAATGTTATCAAAGCATTCTTGGGGTCATTCTTGTGGTCACCCTGGCTCCTGTCCTCACCTAAGGTTTCTAGCTTTCCTTGGATTCTGCAAGCTGTGCCTCATACTTCAAGTACATTCCTTCTCTGCCCAGGTTTGCCAGAACCAGTTTCTTTTGCTTGCAAACAAAGGACACTAATTGAGTCAATGAGGGAGTAAGAACTTAAAGGAAAACAACAAATAAAGTTTAGACCCCTCAATTCTTTCTTTGCATGCCAGAAAGGTTCATAAGGACAACATTACAGTGACCTTTTTAAGTGTAAAAAGAAAAATGAAAATGTTATAGCCTAAAAAATGTTTAGGAATCAAAAATCTTTTAAAAAATGAACAATTGTTCTTCTAATAATCAAAGTACACTTATATACATTGCATGTGGTCATGTGTTTGGCCATTTGCAAGAAATTCCCATTTGCTTTAAAATAGAGTGCAACAACTGTAAAATCCACAAAAGATCAGGATTGATATGGTTCTATGGTTCTGTTTTACAGGGGAGTTAGACAGGAAGTTGAGTGACTTTCCTTCAAAAGAAATCTTCAGTGGATGTGGGAAGAGAAATTAGGTTTCCTAACTTCATTTTCAGGCATCTTCCTTAAAATACTTGACTTCTGAGATTAAGTCAGTTGTGAGTGATTTATTATCAATTTTGTGTGTGATTGCTTTGCTTAACTGTAACATTTTACTTCCAAGTTCCCATCTAATTTTGTGTTTCTTCAAACTATTATTTCAACTACCTGGAGTATGTACCTTTTCTTTAGTTTTTTTTTGTTCAGTATGATTTAATGTAGGCAAATGAATTTTCTAAAAATATCTCTCTGGTTCAATAGTTTCTACATTGAATATGGTAATGTGACTCTTAATGAAAGCATTTCTCTCTCTCATTCTAGTGAATCCTTATCTCTGTTTAAAAATGATTAAATAACTGAATCATGATGCCTTCTCTTTAGGTGAAAATGAGCTCTGCATTCGTAATTTAAATACATGGGCCTGGAAATGTACTTCTCTGCTTTCTGCGCACTGCATTCTATGAAGAGTAATTATATGCTTTCACTGTTCAACAGCAATGAACTTGTAATGCATAATACTCTAATCAATGCCTTATGCTTATATGCAGCCAGACTATCACTCCCTTTAATTTTCAGTACACTGACTTCTCAGAGGAGCATAAAAGAGTGAAAGCCTGTTTTCTTTCTTAACTATAATTGTGTGTTTACCTTTAACCCTAGGATTTGATCATAACAAAGGTTGAATTGCTCATTGTCCATCAATGGAGCTTTGTGTTCATGGATAAGAAGCCTAATTGAGGGTATATTTGGCCACCTGAACTCACAAAGATTAAGCAATTTAGAATGAAAAGCAGCCACAGTGGTACTTTATGGGGGCAATTATCCTTGTAGCAGTTTAGATTTTCTGAACCAGAAACCCAATTTTAACACAATCTTCGTCTAACACATTTTTAAAGAGAGCCAAAGAAGACAGGAAGCATTCTTGTATAGTGGAATAAACACGTAGCAAAACATTACAAGAGCTGAATTCTAGTTCTGCCACTAACTGGTCGGTGATCTCAGGCAATTTTTTTAATCATTTTGGGCCTAAAATTTATCTGTAAAGTCTGATAAAATAAGTACCATACAGTCTAAAAAATTTTAGTGGACTCCTATATAATAAATTATATAGTTATAAAATCTTAGGGCATTATAAAGCATTGAAAAAATATAAGGCATTCTTATTAAGAACTAGGCTGTCATGGGACCAGAAACTAGTCTAATCTATCCCTGGAGTCTGACATGGATGTCACTTCCTACCCCATTCACCCTGTAGAAGACATTCTTCCTCATCCCACTGAGCATCAGCCACACCATTTGGGTGGGATTGACCAGTTTCCAAGTTGTAATAAAACAATCAGCACAAGCTCATCTCTCTTGCCGTATTAGTTCAGGGATGAATACCCAAGCACGAGGTACTCTTGAGTAATAGTGATTAGTTCAGGAGTGAGCCCAGGATTTAACTGATCCAATGAGAGTGGAGCACAAAACTTCTTGTATAAGGGAGAAAGGAAGAGAATAGCACTTCTGCTCTAGAGGATGTGTTGTGCAGATGTGCTAGCTGTTGTGCTACCATAGGAGAAATCAGCCAGAGAAGGGCAAAAGTTAGAGTTGCAGGGAAGTAGACTGCAAGCCCTCATTCAACTATTTCTAAAGCCTGTCCTACCTCTGGACTATTTCAATCATGGGAGCCAAAAACTTTCTTTTATTGTTTGAACTGAGCTTTTTGATGTTTCAAGTAAAATCACCCTGAATTATATAAGGGGTCTTTGAAAAATACATGGAAATTGTGTATCATAAAAAAACTATTCATGGACGTCAACATTTTCTTTGCACCAAATAAACTCATACTGACTTGTAACATGTCTGAAATAGGATCTAGTTTGAGGCACTAAAAAAGGCTAAGACATCAGTTTGAAAAGAGCCCCTATTAGAGCAACATGAATTCTACTAAAATTGAAGCAAGAACGAACATCAAATTAATGGTGAAGCTTGGGTGGAAGAATGGCAAAATCACTGATGCTTTACCAAAAGTTTAGGGGGACAATGCCCCAAAGACATCAGCAGTTTACAAATGAATAACTCATTTTAAGAAAGGATGGACAATGTTGAGGATGAAGCCCACAGCAGCAGACCATCCACATCAATTTGCAAGGAAATGTTAATCTTGTTCATGCCCTAATTGAAGAGGACTGACAAATAACAGCACAAACAATAGCCAACACCAAAGACATCTCAAATGGTTCAGCTTACACAATTCTGCCTGAAAAATTAAAACTGAGTAAACTTTCCACCTCATGTGTAAAATGCACAAAAACATCATGCCCAGATCACCTGCAATGAGAGCAGAGCTTTTGATGGAAATTTTAAACAAGTCGGATCATGATCCTGAAGCGTTTAATAAAATAAATCATAATAGGAAATGAAACATGGCTTTAGCAGGACAATCCTGAAGACAAAGCACAATCAAAGCAATGGCTACCAAGGGGTAGAAGTGGTCCAGTCAAAGCAAAAGTGAGCTGGTCAAGAGAAAAGTCTACGGCAATAGTTTTTTTTTTTGTTGTTGTTATGCTCAAGGCATTTTGTTTGCTGACTTTCTGAAGGGTCAAAGAATGATAACATCTGCTTATTAAGAGAGTGTTTTGAGAAAGTTAGCCAAAGCTTTAACAGAAAAATGCCCAGAAAAGCTTCACCAGAGAGTCTTTTACCAGGACAATTCTCCTGCTCATTTCTTTCATTAAACAAGGGCAATTTTGTGAGAGTTTTGATGGGAACTCATTAGGGATCCACTTTACAATCCTGATTTTGCTCCTTCTGACTTCCTTTTGTTCTTAATATTTAAAAAAAATCTTTAAAGAGCACCCATATTTCTTCAGTTAATAATGTAAAAAAATACTGCATTGACATAGTTACATTCCCACGACCCTCATTTCTTTAGGGAGGAACTCAATTACAAAAGTACGTTGAACCTGATAGAGCTTATGTTGAGAAATAAAGTTTATATACATTTTTAATCTTATTTTTGAGACAGAGTCTTGCTTTGTTGTCCAGGATGTAGTGCACTGGTGCAATCTTGACTCAGTGCAACCTTTGCCTCCTAGATTCAGGTGATCCTCCCACCTCAGCCTCCTGAGTAGCTGGGACTACGGACATATCCCACCACACCCAGCTAATTTTTGCTTTTTTCTTTTTTTTTGTAGAGACATGGTTTGCCATGTTTCCTAGGCTGGTCTTGAAGTCCAACCTGGAGTTTAATTTATTTCTTCTGTGAACTTTTTGAAGTCCCTTCAAACATAGCCTCACGAACATAATATGGAGTAAGGAATGTAGTGACAGGTAAGACTCCATCAAAGAAATACAAATAAGTCAAAGAAAGAAAACAACTTGAGAAGAGAGGAGACAGATATTCCCTTATCTTCCTCTCTCCTTTCCTTTTGCCAGGATTGATGGTTGAATTTCCTGGGATAAATAGTGTAGAGATGAATGAAGAGAAAATTACATCTTGGATCAATTAAGGTAATTCTTCAAATATTGAAGACTTAACACATGCTAATTTAGAATGCAATTTTCTGTGGGAGAGACGGGTGTGGAAAAGTCTGTTCCTGGCAGTCATGCAAGAACACAGGTTGATGGAATCATTGCATTTTGCATGTGTAGCTTCCAAGATCACACCAGGTTGTTGATATCTAGCCATTAGATATGGGAAGATAAAGAAAAGGACATCAAACTTATCTTCTATTAGATAGAATTCAATTGCATGGTCAAACCTAATTGTAGAAGAAGCTGAAAAAGTACTTGAGCTGTGTGCTCAGAAGGAGAGAGTCAACTGATGTGGTGAACAATGATCGGTTCTCTTCCTCATACCTGTAGTGCCATGGTTTGGGCTTGTGGGTTTTGGTCAGAAATAGCTTATGCTATAAATGTAAATGTGCATCAGAGCCAGGCAGATAATATAGAGTCATAAAACCAGCAAGCCAGAAGATAATAAAGAATGGCAGAGATTTGGTCAAACCAAAGAGCCCATTTTAAGTAAAAGAGAGAGTCACTGATCACTCAACCAATTACTTTCACACAGGATTCTGAATTGTGTTTCCAAGTCTTCTTATTTCTCAAGAACAATTAGACATCTAGATCTCATGTAGATCTTTTGTTTCTGAGATGTTGAAAAATATTTCACTTTTTAAGCACCAAGAAAATAAAAACAGACCCGTTTCTGCTACCCAGCTTCATTTGCTGGTCACCAGCTTGTAACATACATGGTAGATCTATTACTCTACTAGTAATTTTTTGAGCACATGGTACCAGTACAAATGCATTATATTTATTAAAATTATATAAATATATTATTAGTAAATGTTAATTTTTAATCAATCAAATACTAAATGTTAACTTTTAATAATTTAGATATAAAATTAAGGTGACCTTTTCAACATTTCCTCCTCACACTCTAGGGGATCATAATATATGTGAATAATTATTATTTTGATCCACCTGCGAGTTTTGACCTGCTCCATTTCCACCCAGGGTGAGTTCACACCCTCTTAAGCAATCTAGTGGTCCCTGGCTCCCAGGAGGTCATCATATTGATGCAGAATTTAGTGTAGAATTCCAGTCAGCATAGCACACTATAATTCAGAACTCCTTGGCTCAAGCTATCCTCCCTCCTTAGCCTCCTGAGTAGCTGGGACTACAGTCACACACCACCGTGCCTGGCCATAATTATTACTTTGAGGCAATACTTCTATTGGTCCATTATTCTTTTGACTTTTAAATTTTTCTCTAGCAATTTCTGTTTTTCCAAAACTGTGTTTTGTATATCCAGCCATATAAAATTAGATATGCAATTAAGTTAGTCTAAAGTGATTAGACCTCCTATGTTGTCCATTAATAGTTTTTCTGCTAGTAATTTCAGGCAAACTATGACACTATGACACTGACAGTCTTTTGTTTTTTTTTGAGATGGAGTCTTGCTCTGTAGTCCAGGTTGGAATGCAGTGGCATGATCTCAGATCACTGCACCCTCTGCCTCATGGGTTCAAGCAATTCTTGTGCCTCAGCCTTCTGATTAGGTGGGATTACAGACGTGCACCACCACGCCTAGCTAATTTTTGTATTTTTAGTAGAGGTGGGGTTTCAGCATGTTGGCCAGGCTGGTCTTGAACTCCTGGCCTCGAGTATCAGCCTGCCTTGGCCTCTCAAAGCGCTGGGATTACAAACATGAGCCACCACGTGAAGCCGACAGTCTCGTAGTATTGTCTGGGGCCCATTTCTTCTCTATATGGAATAGCTAGGGTTCAATCCCAAGTTTTGAAATGACAAATACTCTAAGAATTTTTTCTTATTTCTTTTCTTTTTTACCTCAAAAGCTACATACGTACTTTTATTATTTATAGAAAACCACTTCTGACTGTGAAAATAGTATGAATTCCTGTGATGGTAGGTTTTATAAACTGAAGAACTATAGAAATATATGTCCAAAGAAGAATCTTCATAAAATATACTCAGTAAATAAATATCGTATAATACCCATTCAAACATAATATTCAGGTCTGGATAGATATTTGTTAATATATTTTATATATAACCTAAAAAATTTTACATATTTTTCACAATTATTTAATGAGTATTTTTCATTGGGTAGATTCTTTTCTTAGTTTCCTGAGTTCAGTATAATCTAGAATTATTTAAGAGAACCAAATGCTCAGCAACAGGCAGAGGCTGTAATTAAGTGTAATCCCTTGGGCCATCATAGGCTAGATTGTAAAAAGAAGTTTAAGAGGAAATGTCTAAGAAAATGCTTTCATGTCAACTAGTCTTTGAATTAAAGAGCTTACAGAAATGCATGCATGTGCTCAGGTTAAAAACAAGTCTAGGTGTTTTCAGGTCATGGAGATCAATGTAAACATTGAATAATACAGACCCACTACCAACAATTGCTCGAAGCACTAAAGCACCAATACAGACGCAGTGCTAACAAAGCTCAAAGCATGGCTTCTATTTCACTGTGTTTTTTTTTTTTTTCTTTTCATTTCACTTTTACCTGGCCAAGGAGATGTCCTTAAACCTTAAGGTTGTGCCTGTTTTGATTTTTATTTTTATAACAGCTTTATGGGGGTATAATTCATATACCATACAATTGATCTATTTTAAGTGTGTAATTCAGTGGTTTTTAGCATATTCAGAGTTGTGTGACCATCACAATTTTAGAACATTTTTATCATCCAGAAAAGAAGCCCCCTCCATAATTAGCAATCACTGTGCATTTCTCTTCAACCCCCTCCCCTCAGCCCTAAGCAACCAATAACCCACTTGATGTCTCTATAGATTTGCCTATTCTGTGGATTTCATACAAGTCACATCATACAATATGTGGTCTTTTATGACGGGCTTCTTTCACTTATTATAATGTTTTCAAGTTTCGTCCATATTGTGGCATGTATCAGTACTTCATTCATCATTATTGCTGAATAATTTTCCATTGCGTGGCTATACCACATTATATGTATCTATTAATCAGTTAATGGACATTTGAGTGGTTTCTACCATTTGAGTATTATGAATAATGATGCTATGAACACTTGTGTGCAAGTTTTAATGTAAACATATGTTTTAAGTTCTCCTGGGCATATACTTAGGAGTGGAATGGCTGGTCACATAATAACTATGTGCAATCTTTGAGAAACTGCTGGACTGACTTCCTACACTATTTGATATTCCTACCAGCAATGTGTGAGTATTCCCGTTTCTTCACACTTGTCATTGTCTTTTAGATTACAGCCACCCTAGTGAGTGAGAAGTGGTATCCCATTGTGGTTTTGATCTTTATTTCACTAATGACTAGATAATTGATTTTAAGGTTTTATATCTGATCCCTAAAAAGTAGGAAAAATTAAATACTTTTATTATTTTATAAAGTCCACAAACTTTATAGGCAGATTTGGGTTAGCAATATGAACCAGAAAAAAAGAGATGAACCCAAGGGAACACATTATTCTATTTCATTGGACTCAAAGATCAAATTTCTTAATATAATGGCATATTTATTCTATATGTTTTTAATGTGTAAGAGAAATTGGCAGTAGTTACTCTTTTGACTGTACTCTTGATAAGAATAGAAGGACACTCTTAAAATACATAACTCTAAGATACAAAAACAAAAAGCGGTAGACCAATTAGAAAGCTATAGCAGGAGTCTGGGCAAGAGAAGATGGTGGCTTGGATCAGGTGGTAGCAGGAAGGAGAGTTTTTATAAGCATTCAGCACATACTTTATGAATTGTACACCCTATAGAAAGATGAACTGGAGGGAGGGAACTTGAAGAATGTGCAGAATGTCAACAGGTAGAGAGAGTGCGAGAAAAAGAAAAAAAAGCAGAGCAGTAGACTTTTCTTGGAAGAATAAAGGGCATATAGAAGGAAAGAGGAAGCAGCTGATTTATAATCAAGCAGTAGCTCTCAAAGTACAGTTCCCTCAGCAGTAGCATCAACAACATCTGGGAACTTCCTGGAAATCCAGGTTCTCAAGCCTCATCCAGATCTACAGAATCAGAAACTCGGTGGGGATTAGAAAGGAGGAGAAATCTGTGCAGAAGCCCTCAGATGATTCTGATACATGCCAATTTTGGGAACTGCCTTTTAGCATGTAGACTGGGAACATTAATAGGTAGGGCTCCAAAGGTAAGTGGGTACCAGTGGGAATGAGGCTCTCTAGTAAATTTGGTAGCTCATAGAAAAGTCATGAGAGTTTTATGAGCAGGAAGGTGCTTGATTAAAGTGGCAATTCAGGAGTTTTAAATTGACAGCAGTGAAAGGAGAAACTGCCTAGATGGAATTGGAGGCTAGAATGAAAGGAGAGATTATCACAATGATCTAGCTGAGATAATGTCAGATGCATCTGAGAGCCATTATTGAGGGACATGGCAAATCATTTGATTCCAGGAAGGAATAAGAAAGAGGAGTTAAATATGTCTTTAATTTTTCTTTCTCAGATTTCATGGAGAGTAGAGATTCCATTAACAATGTGGAGAAGAGAGAAGTAGAGTGATTGCAGAGCAAGAAAAACAAACCATTGTCTGGGAGTATAAGTCTGGGTTTCACTTGAGTAGGGCCACCTTCCTATTATGTTATTTTTTGCCTATCAAATGGTAAGCTTCACATGAAAGCAGAGATAGTCACAATCTTGTTTAAGCCGGTCCACGATGTCTAACACATAGAAGGATCCAATTTCTTAAACTGAGTGAGTGAATGAATGGATGGAATAATCAGTTATTTTCCCAGGCATTCAGGTGTATGTATCTGCTGGGAAGCTTGGAAAGCTGATTAAGCAGTTGGACAGTGGTTGGAACTGGGGTATCAACCGGGAAGTCACCCACTTGGTGACTTGCTGAAGGAGGCGATGAAGATCTTTGAGTAATGAAGTATAGTTGAGGGAAAAAAAAAGCATGTTTAAGAAGTGAAGAGGTGTGCTTTCATAGGGAGAGAGAAGGAGGAGATAATCTGGTGAAGGAAATAGAAGAGGAGTGGGCAGAAAGAGAAGATGAAAACTAGAATAAAGCTGTGCTAAGGGATGAACAAGACTTTCAAAATGGGAATTGCTCTCAGGCTGGAGATGATTTAATTAGGATGAGAAATGAAGACAGGCTCCTGAGTTTTGATAATTAGGTATCTCTAGTGATCTTTGGTGACAAGGTTTCAGAAGAAAATGACGTTGCAGGGGATTAAAGAGGACAAACGTAGTAAAACGAGGAAGGGAATTAATAAGTGATAGGACTAGAAGATGTATCATAGGAGCCTGATGAAAGATGGAGTTTTAAAGATAAATGAATCCTGAGCCTATTTGCTGGCAGAAAGGAAGAAGCACTCAGTACAGAAGGAAAATTTATTTAAAGATTCTATTGGCAGCAGTCCTTTGTTGAGAGTATGTCTGACTGGGATAGGTAACTTCAATTTGGAAACAGTTTGAAACTTCCAACTAAAATGTGACATTTGGAAATAGTTTTTCACAGTCAAAGGTGTTTAAAGTTACCAGTGTCAAGCCAGATCTACCAAAAACTGAATCTACATTTTAGAATAAGTATAAAGTATTTTATGAACATTAAAAATTTCTTCATCAGATGAGTACACCAGGGATAAACACATTTGATTATTTTATGAACTTACTATCTACACCTAAAATTTCTGCCCAATATTGTCTTCAATTTTTCTTGGATGAATTTGTGATATCTTTGAACTTACCACTTTATCAAGTAATCAAAACCATACAATATTACAAATAAGACAAGGGCAGTTAACCTGATCATCTCCCTTTACTTTGATTCCCCCAATATCTAGTACAATGAATGAATGCATGATGAATTAATGAAATTTTGTAAAATAACCATCATTGATGTCAAGATTTTATAGGTAGAGTTTACAGTGTAAATATCTAACTATATTTCTGATTTGAGCACAAACCATGAGATAAAGAATAAAAATTTTATTTTCTCCAATTTTAATTAAAATAAAAATTTTAAAGTAAGCATTTTACAAGTTCTTATAAATGGAAAGTAATTAAATTGTAAGAATGCCTTGGCAAGCCTTAAAGAGGAAGGAATGGATGGAGCTTGAAGACATTATGCTAATGAAACAAGCAACACAGAATTGGACAAATGCTGTGTGATTCCACTTATATTAGAGACCTAGTCAAATTCATAGAGACAAAAAGTAGAATGGTGGTAGCCAGGGACTGGGAGGAGGGAAAATGGGGAGTTTTTAAAAGGATATAAAGTTTAGCTTTGCAAGATAAAAAATTCTGTAGATCAGTTGCGCAACAATCTAAATATACTTAACACTACTGAACAGTACAATTACAAATGATTAAGATGGTAAATTTTGTTCTATGTCTTTTTTTACTACAATTAAAGATAATAAAAATTGAGTCTGTGAATGTTTTAGTAGATCAACCAAGTTTATCAGTAATATCATAACTACTGTCAACTATATTGTTGCTAGAAAGTTACAGAATTCTTACTCTATTCTACGACAAGCTGCTTTACAAATCTGGCTGCAACCTTCAGCTCTGAGTCCCTGCTACAGCAAGAGTAAACAAAGTCTTCCCTTTCCGTCTGGAGCCATTGGGCTAATTATCTCTAATTGCTTGGACTACTGCAAATTTCGTGCATAAAATATGATTCATTTCTCATTTTTTCTCTTATAAATTTATAATGTTGTTACAATGAGTTGTCATGATTTTAAAAAGAATTCCTATTTTATAGATTTTTGTAGTTAAGGAAGGAATTTGTTCTGCCTCTTTTAAGAACACTTTCGTATCACACTGCCTCCTTTTAAAAGAAGTATGTAATTTCTTATTTCTAAAGTTAAATGAGCTCAGTTCAGAAAAGAAGAAAGTATTATGCATAATGCACCTAATACCGCTTTTTGTTTATCCTTACTGTTCTTTTATTGATGCATAGATTTTTTAAAAACTCTGTATTCTAGAGCTAACCTGCTTTTTTTCTAGTAAAAATTATTGTGCATCCTTATACATAACATTGCATTGAAAATGCTGTTTGCTAAATCACAGCACCCAGCCTTGAAATTTCCTTAGTATATATTCCCATAAGTGAAATTATTGTGCTAAATAATTTGAATGTTTTCAGAGTTTAACCATAAATTGGCAAATTATCTTGCTCTTTAGAACCTTATTATGAAAGTGCTTATCTTATAGTTTTGCTAAGACTGTGTACAAGTGCTATTTTCAATATTGTAGAAGTTGATGATCAGCTTATCCATATTGTATCATTGATTTAATGTGATTTACTTGATTACTAGAGAAAAGGGATAAATTTTAAAAATATAATTTTATGGGTCATTTTATTTCTTCTTTTTATTATCTATTAGTTTTTCTTTACTTATATGTTAAATGCCTTTCTTATTAAGATGTGAAGAGTTCTTTACATGCTAAAGTTAATCTTTCATCATACATATTTTTGATGTTTTTCTTACTTGTTACTTGCCTTTGAATTTTATTTATGATGCTTTGAGGGAACTACAGTAGCTTTAATATTTATAGCATTAAATCTATCAGGGTTTCCTTTTCTAGGGAAGTCCTTTAAAACAGTTTACACTGACCTTGTTTCAGACTTTGTCAGTGTTGGGAAAAGATGCATTTTCAGCATAGGACAGAAGTTTTGCCTTAGATCGGGAAATTAGACAGGTCTAAGTTTAATACAGAGATTGACTTTTCATGTGTTTTCGGGTAAGTTATTCAATCTCCTTTACTAAAGTTGCCTTTTGTATAATATGGGGTTGCTGTGAATATCAAGTGAAATGACAGCTTGGTGGATGCCTTATAGTAAACATTCAGCAGCTTGAAGGTGATGATGACGATGAGGTGAAGATGATGATATTAATGGTGATGGTGATATATTCTGATTCTTAGCTTCACAACTCACTCAGCTCTCTCATACTGAATCGACATACACATCTTCATCAGGGATTTAGCCTTGCTCCACTCCTCAATTTTGTTTTAAAGCTAAGAACATCTATTCCAGGTTATTCCACAACCCAGTTTCTAGAACTGGCTGATGAATATAGTATATATGACTTCTCATTAATGACAAGTGTTTTTGGTTTAAAGTATTTGCTACAAATTCCTAAGGAAAAACAAAAACGGCTGCCAAAAGGCGTGGAGATATTGCAAAAACCTTGCCAAAAGGCATGGGGATGTTGCAAAATTTAACAAACATAACTCTCTCCATCGTGGTTATGGGTGAGAAACCACAGCTCCCTCCTGCTTTCATCTATTCTGACAGTGGAACTGATTAAACTATCCTTCTCTAAACCTCGTTTTTCCTTGGCTCATAAGACTTCCTTTCTCCTTTTCAAAAAAGGCTTCTCTCCCCAGAATATAAGACTGACCCACAGGTGAGGCAAAACCATGCCAGATGATTTGCATATCAGATAATTTGACACAGGCACTCATCAGTGAGCCTTCAGTCCCCTTAAGGGACATTTTCTTTGGGCATAATCATTTAAGTGAAGTTTGTTATATATCTCTCAAACTCCTGGGCTTAAGCAATCCTCCCACCTCAGCCTCCTGAGTAGCTGGGACTACAGGTGTGCACCACCACGCCTGGCTATTTTCTTTTTTTTTTAATTTTCACTATGTTGCCCAAATAGATCTTGAACCCCTGGCCTCAAGCTATTCTCCCACCTTGGCCTCCCACAGCACTGGGATGATAGGCGTGAGCCATCATGCCCAACCTGTTGTATATCTCTTGAAGTGAATCCTTCTTACATTGTGGTAAGTGGATCCAGTGTCCTGAGGGCAAGGTCTCTGCCTCTAAGTTTCTTCCTTTAAGAGGAGCCACTTACAGATGTAAGAGGACCTCACGTCTGTGTTGTACCTTTTTGCATTTCAGAGCACTCTTGAACATGATAACTGACTTATTCTTCACAGAAAACCCAGCAGGTTCACTTTATAAATGATAAAATGGGGGTTCAGAAGACTGGCTTGGCTAAGGTACTACTTTCATCAGTGGAGTTAACTTGCAGAATTCATTACAACTGTGTAACCTCTATTGCCATTCAGGATAGCCAAAAAAAAGAAAAAAAAAAAAAGACAAAAACCTGTGCATCCTGTCTTCTTTGTAACCTTCCTCGTTGTACTATATTCCAGGGAACTAAAACTCTGGTCAGACAGACACATGTTCAAATCCAGACACACACCTTTACTTACTGGGTGATTCTGAGCAAGTACTCTCCTTACTCCAGCCTCAGTTGAATAATCTCTAAAATAGGGTAGTAATTATAACCAAACCTACTTCATAGGATGGTTGTGTGGATTAAATGAGATAGGGCACATGAAGAGATCAATATATCAGCTATTATAACTGGAACCACAGGTATGGCAGCAAATGGATTATTTCACAGTCTTCAGTCTGCCCAAAGCAATGTTTGAAGCATAAGACCCACTGTGCCACTGTGATAGGAAAATTCCTGCACCATTTGATGTCTGAATCTCATTTCAAGGCATTTTTTCCCCTGAATTCTATGAATTTTTTTTCCTGAGTCTGAATTCCGAATTCTAGACTCCCAAGAGAAACCGCCAAGGCAGGGGATATTTTACTTCCTATTTCTTACCCATAACCCCCCAAAATATACAAGATAATCTTTAGCCATATATAGTTCCCTGCAAACATACCTTGGAAGCATTTTAATCTACATTGGCTTTTTGAGCTTTATAGCACCAAACCTGAATTTACACAGAGCCTCATATGTAAAAGCTGTCAGACAATCTCAAGCGGTGGGTTGCTGATGATTTCCTTCTATCCTTCTCTGGTGATGTTCTTCTGTTAATACTTATTTTAGAACTGTCAATAGGTATGCCAAGACACCCTGGGGAGGAAGCCTCTGTGGTTACACTTTTGGTATCATGAATGAATTATTTATATATGTCATTGCTGTTCATAAAAAAGTAAAAGCATTGGCTCAGAACATTCTTACAAGTGTAGTTTTAACATGCATAGTACAGGCCCTCCTTATATACACCTCAATGCTTTACAGCCTCTGATGACTCAAAATTAAGGAACATATTTTGAGCAGCTGAAATGCCTTGGAGAGGAGTGAGAGTTCTGTGTTATATAAATCTGTGCGTATATTGAGATATGCTTTGGAAAACTTTTCACTAACTCTTTAGTGAAATAAAAGTATAAAAACATGTTATACCTCAATATACTTCTTTACTAATTAGACCTCTTGGAAGTCCTTAGGTGCTTTTTCCAAAGGCTACCTGTGTGCCAGTGTGACCACTCTGAATATGTTCAAATACTCAACAGGCCCAGAATATGTTTCTAATAGAAGTACTTCCACAGACGAAAGAGCTTAGCTGAAATCTCATGCAGTTCTTCCAAGGGTTTATGTCTCAGTTTCAAATGCGCAACTAACAAGCCAAATCAAGCATAGTCAAAAAGAAGAGGTAACCGAAGAGAAAGTTAATGGCCCTTCTGGTCATTACTTGACTACAAATTTAGTTCCCAATAGACTACTAGGTTCTGGAACATCTGTCACACTTAGCAAGAAAGTAAAATTTCTAAGGTGTCTGTCGTCACATAAAGTTGAGGAACTGAACTAAAGAAAGGCATGGAAATTGCTGCTCAATGTAGAGTTTTCTCCAAGAAGCATCAGAAAGAAATCACAATTCCAAGGTAGCAATTTCTATTGGGACAGAAGAGTCATGGAACCTGAATTTCATGCCTAAGGTAAGATGTCACCCTGGTATGGCCAGCAACCTCTCTGGACTTCCATTTTCCAGCTGAAAACTGAGAATATTGGACATCCCACAGTTTGAAAGAATTTTGCCTACCAAAGAAAATGACTTTACTAAATAACATTAATGACTTTTTTCATTACTGAGCATGTTATTATGTGCTAGATACCTTCTAAGTCTTTCACATAGTTTTCTCATTTAGTCCTCAAAACAATCTGAGAATAGGATTTATTAGAATTCACTTTTACAAATGAAGAAACTGAGGCTTCAGGAAGCAATATAGTAAGAGGCATAGCCATAATGCAAACTCACTTATCTAAAGTGAAAGTCAGTTCCCCTTAACCACTCTGTGAATCATCGCTAGTATCTAATGATTTTCAATATTTTAAAACAAGGACATATGTAATAACCAACTTTGGCACACAGTGTTGATAAAATTCTAGGTAAAAACAAAATAAAGTTTTGGTCAATCTACAAAGTAGATTGTTATTTTGTAATATAAGATTTACTTGGCTATATTCTGAAATATTAAAAATAGATGGCCCCCCCTTTACTCCTAGCTGCTCCTTTATTATTGCCTTTCCAAATCCTTAACACGTTAAAGAGTCCAATTGGAGAGCAGATTATTTAAGGTGGATGTTAAGAGTTTTTCCAACTCTTAAAAAAAAGAACAAAAAACACATTATACTTCAATACAAAATGTTTTAAATGTTGCTGCTTATTAAATCTGGATATTGATATAGCTTTATCTATTACTGATAAGAAGGTACATAGGAGTTCTCAAATTTCAGTGTGTCCCCAAATTTCCTTGGGATTTTCAGTTTCCCTTTTAAAAGATTTGGATGCTTAATTTAGGAATCTATGTTTTTAGGACCTAGAAACCTACATTCTTAACCCACCGACAGAGGGCCTACACTAATCTGGCCTCCACATATTTCTTGAGTTTACCTCTTGTCTCTCTCCTCAAGTTTACTCAACTTTGACATCTTTGGCTTCTTTCATTGCCCCAACAGGCCTGACTTAATCTGTTCCTAGGGCCTGGGCACTCACTGCTCTGACCTCTGTACAAGGCTGGCTCCTTATCACACAGGACTTACTACAATGTCATCTCTTTCCAGGGGCCTTCTCTGACCCCTCCTCCAGTTCCCTTACTCCAGACCTCTTTGCACTATCTCCCTCAGGTTTGGTCCTGTAATTCATAGGGCTGGGGAAAGAGTTCAAATGGAGGACCCTTGCTTCTCTACTCAATACTGGTTCTGCCTCTTTCCAACTGATAGACCCTCAAGCATGTGCAAATGGACAATTCACCCAACCCGCATGTATCTAAGACCTCAATTTAAAACAACAACTGCTCCTTGGATATCCCTCAAATCTAGGGGGTTCCTACATACCTACACTGTCCCACAGGGTGAGAAAAAGGCCCTGGTTTGTTTTCTAAGTGGCTAGGGATCAATATTTGGACATGGAATTTTGGGGCTCTGTGTCCCTGGAGCATTAGCTCTTGGTGACACATTCTCTTGGCCCACAGAGTCCTTAATCTGGGAAAGAGGTGTGAGCAGAGGATGGTAAGAGCAAGGTCTTCTGAAGCACAGAGGAAGGAAGAAAGTTAGGGAGGCTATGATATGATGACCAATCTAATCTGTCACTTCTATAATCAGAAACATCTGACTTCTTTACTTATATGTTTTCAAGCCATACTTCATAAAACATAAATTTCATTAAAGCAGATCTTGTCTATCTTGTCGGCTGCTGCATCCTTAACATGTACGGCAATGCCTGGCACAGACAATTTGCTAAGTTAAAATCTGTTGAATGGATGGATGAATGAATGAATGAATCAGAACATCTTATGCAAAGCTTGAAATGTGCTGGGAGCCCTTCTTGGTGCTTTGCATATGAGATCCCCTTCACTTCTTACAACCATCCTACAAGGAAGGTAGGAAGTTTTCCACTTTACAATGGTGCAGAAAGGTTAAGCAATTGGCCAATGCTTAAAGAAGAGGCTAAAAGGCATCTTCTTTTTTATGATGAAACACTGAATGAGCGAGCATATGAATATATAAATAACTATACAAGGGAGTAAATGAATGAATGAATGAATGGTCAAGGCAGTATAGTGGAATGAAAAATAAAATCTCTCCTTTATTTAGGTTTAAGAAAATAAGGCAAAATGTACAATTCAAATGCAGTCCAAAAGTGTGTCATGTGGAAATGTTAATGTGGAAGAACTCACAAACAAACAGCTTTTTTTTTTATCAGCAGAATAAACTTTTTAGAAAATTTCCGAGGAAGTTTGGAAATTGACTGCATGGCAAGATAGCAGAAGAATGTGCAGCATTTTGCTATCACATACAGTGAGGTACAAATAAGGGCCATTCAGATGGGCTCCAAACAAGCATCTCTCCAGCTGTGAAAAGAAGGCGCTGCTTTGGGAGACTATGCAGGCTTTGGAAATTAAGTAGAAGAAAAATCTGAACACATGGGAGAAGATCCCTAGCAGCCATCTCCTCTGGCTTCCCCGGTCCACACAATACCTAGAATCAAGCTCCAGGAGATCAGTATGCTGACTGGTGACTTTTAAATAAAAATAAAATCAAACACCTGTGCATCAGGCAACATGAACTGCTGGAGTTTCCACACGGATCCTGCTACAGGTCCAGCTTGCTCATAAAGATGGGTTCATTTCTCAAGTGAAATATAGAGGAGACTTATTAGAGTAGCAGCGACATGATAAGTGAATATTCTGCCAGCTTTTTTTTCCTCCTTTTATATAAGTTGAATGCTGTCTCTAGTCTCTTCAAGTAGAATTCTGATTTAAAAGAAAGAAGAAAAGAGGAGAGAAGAAGATGGGAAGAAAAAAAAAGAAGGATTGTTATCTCTGGCTGGAAACAAGAAATCTCTAGACATGCACTTCCTAGAGCCCACTAATGTCTTTACCTCTGACTTGACTAATTTTCATTGGAATTTTAGTTTGGTTGCTTCCCTGTGATCTCATTAGGACATCATGATTTATGTGCCTCCATTACAAGAGCACCAGTTGTTAGTCTTATTCTCACCCAGCCTCACCTCACCTCCCAAAAAACAGTTAAAAAATTTTTAAATAACTTCATGTAAAGTTTATATACACACACACACACACACACACACACACACATACATACAATACACATACACATTATGTATATATATATATATATGTATGTATTTGGTTGCTTTTTATTTGTAATTATTGTTTTTATTTTTCTATGTCGTAACTCCATGCAGCCATTTGAGATAATTAAGATAATTCAGTGGCAAACTATGTGAAGGTGGTCAATGTTCAATACTCTTGTTTGCAGTCTGTTAGCATTCTAATCTCCAGAATTATTTTATTACTACTACTATGACTACCACTGCAATCATCATCCTTATAGTTATTATTAATCACAATGATTATTAATGATGATGATAACAATCCTTACTTCTTTTTTGATTTCATCTTCCTCTCCTTGCACATTTATTTTCGTGGTTGCCTGTTTCTTCTGCACTAGTTTTTGTTCTTCAGAGTGTTTGCTTAACTGCCATTCCATTTTAATAGCGAGTTTTCTCTTATTACATTATGTGATGGAGCACTGATATACGGTTTTTTCATGAAATAGGCAATGAACAAATACCATATGACCCCCAACCTCAACTCTCCATCTCCTTCCAACTCACTTCAGTTTCATTCTCCAGAAAAGTAGAAACCTTGAAGTGTTTCATATGTTTCATTCAAATTATTTTATATACACACACACACAAATATTTTTACGCAGAGGGGCATATATTATGCATCATATTCTGAAAATATCTTGTTTCATCGAACTCTACAATGTATGTCTTTCCATGTCATGAGTACTTCATTCTTTTTACCAATTTTTCCTTTCTGATGTAAGGTAGCATCAACTTATAGTCAACAATTTTAAAATCAGATTTTTGTTCTTGGATTTTGAAACTACAAATGAACACATACTCATTTTAGAAGTAAAAATTATATAGAAATATATTGACTGCCCCCTCCTCCAATTTTATCCCTTTGTAATACCCATGTTATTCGTAGGTTAATGGGTTAGCAAGGAATGAGAATGCCCATTTTTATAAAGACTTATCATCACTGACGGTTATCAATCTTTGATTTTTCTAACTGGATGAGTGAAAAGATGTTCTCATTTTTCCCTAAAGTCATCTTTAATTAGTCATTTACATTTCCTATTCCATAATTTTTCTTTTGATTACTTTTGTCTACTTAATGTTGAATTGCTTTTTTTCAATTTATATGTGCATGTTTTACATGAGCAATATTATTCCTTTTTTGCATTTAGATGGTTACTCACTGTCCATTGTTTGTCTTTTAAGTTATGTTGGGTATCTTTGTCATGCTGAAATTCTTAATTTTCTGTATATACAGAGAAAATATCTGAAATTTTAATTTAAATGTTATATAAAGTAACATTTTAATGTCATATAAAATTCAGGCACCAATTTTATGTTTCCTTAACTTCATCTCAATGTATTCTTTATTTGCTCCTTTTCAGATTCTTGGGAAGTGAAGCTCCTCCTATTTGCAAAGAAAAACTCCTTCCCTTGAAATTCAGACACACAACATCCCTACCTTGCATCCTTTTGAACCTATAGTTGCTTGACATAAAGTTTTTTTTTAATGTCCATGTTGTAGAAATATTTTTGTGATTCTATACTTAAATTCTACTTACATTCATTGTAACCAGAAACAACTCTAATTATACATTTTGGAAAGTATTGAGATTGTGAGCTATTCTAAGAACATTTACATGACTGTTCTATGGAAACTTTTAAAGCAAATATGCTCTCCTTTTACATCATACAGAATTATGTACATATCTATCTATATATACATAACTATCTTTATTTATATCAGACACCTATAGAATCTATTTCTGTCATTGTTACATGTGTCTTTCTTTACTTCTCCTGTTGTAGACTTAGGTAAGTGAATAACATTGTCTACTTATTTCTCCTATTGTTTTGCTTTATAAATGTTGACTGCATGCTACTTGGTACATAGACCTTTATAAATGTAAAATATTTATTGTGAATTTTACCTCTTCATATTTTTTATGAATGCCGACTTCTTCAAACATAAGTTTACCTACTTTTGTAGGGGGTGTGTGTGTGTGTGTCTGTGTGTGTTGGTATTGAACATTATTTCTGTTTAGCCATTTGACTAAAACCAAAACAAATGAGATATTATGGTTATAGTAAGTGTGTATGTGTGTGTGTATGTGTGTGCATGTGCATGCATGTGTGACCATCTCCTGATCATTCAACTTTGCACTTTAATTGTACTATATTGTTATTTGACTTAACAAAACTTTAGTAAAAATAATATGACATTTAACTTGCCTCATCTTTTTTATTTCTAAAGAATTCTAAATATTTAACACTGTATTAAAATATTCATGCAAATGTAATTTGTAACATAATGTCAATTAATAAATTAATAGCAATCATGAGCTTATAAAAAGGTAAATTTGTCACTGGTGGTTCATAAGTCATTATATTCATGTCTTATGGACTCACCCAAGGGCGGGGTTGACTTTCTTGGTGGGTAAATTGGATGACGTCTGCATGTATTCTACTGCATACCCTTTCTAAAAAAAAGAAGTCTAGCCTAATTGGAGTATTCTTTCATTCTCTAATAGATAGATCATATGAACTGGTATAAAATCTAACGTATTGCATAAGTAAGCATAGTCAGTTTAAAATGAACTATACAAAATTAAAAATTTTTAACATCTTTATATTTTATCACATGGGCTTCTACTTTTTTCAAGTTTTGTTACTACTTTGGTTTGATTTTGACGTCTTCTTTCACATCAAATCTAAGATAAATGTTTTTTGACCTATTCAAATACTTGGATTTATGTTGACTTTTAAACTTTGAACTGAAATTTAGATACATCATTAGTGATTGCTCCTATTTTCACTGCCATTTTTCTTTCTGAATTATATTTGGCATTTATCATACTAATTTTGATCTTTCTTTAGATCCGTATGGACAGTTGTTACAAAAGTTTCATTATATAATCTACCTTATTACAATAATTTGTCTTTGAATTCTTACTCTCAATAGATTATGAAGTTCTTCTTTGTAATTTAGTTTTGTTTTTTTGTTTTTCACATTCCCTTTCATTTGGTTTTATTTTCATAGCAAATATCATATTAAAATCTCTGTAAAATGTGCACACTGAAATCCCTGTGTTTGTATCTTGCTAATTTTGAGACATATAGATATACTCAAGTCAATTAGACAACAATTTCAGGGAGAAAAACTGTCATTCCAGGTCACAGGTTTTATATTCCTTCTAAAGTCTAATCGGTATAAGAATGACCAGCCTGATGACAGGACTTCAGGGAATGATCTTAATTATTGCCTTCTTACTTTTTCTTAGCAATCCATTTTTGAGGTTCTTAGTTGCTGAGTCAGTTAGTTATTAAGGCTTTTAGATATAGCATTTAGTGGTATTTCCAAGGTTAATAAAACATGAAATATGAACAAGAAGGAAAGGAGTTCTTACTCAAGACTACTTTTGGAATGCCATGAGGTTCTAAGCTTAGGAGTCTATCTCCTTCAAAAAGTTGAGTAGCTGATTATATGTTTGGCTATAGGCTTCTGCTGTCTCCCAAGGTGAATAATCAGCTACAGATTTACCTCTTTTTTATACATACTGCCAGCTACTTCATCTCAGCCCTTTAGCTTGGTGTCAGTAGAAAGCCTTCCCAATGTTTTCCTAAAAATTTTCCAACATGGAACACATTTCATTTCCGTTTCTTTTGTTTAGGGACTACAAATTCTGGAGATACTTTAAAACAGACAAGATAAAGTTTTAGAGCACTTCAAAGAAGGAGAAACATAATTGCCTCTATTTTATAGGTTGAACAATTGGAGCCCAGAGGGGCCACTTCACTTGCTAATCAATGATATGATTGACATAGCACTTAGATCTTTAATTCTTATTGAATATTTGGCACTCAAATAGAAAACAAAAAATATCAGAACCTACTACCGCTAAAGATAATATTTTTTTAAAAAAATCTGTGAGTGATGATATCATTTGTAATCTCTCAGCAAATTGTATTTAGCTCAAGACATAGCTACTGGTCAGGTTTTACTTTTTTTTTTTTTTTTGAGATGGAGTCTCACTCTGTCATCCAAGCTGGAGTGCGATGGCATGATCTCAGCTCACTGCAACCTCTGCCTCCCAGGTTCAAGTGATTCTCCTGCCTCAGCCTCCTGAATAGCTGGGATTACAGGCACACGCCACCATGCCTGGCTAATTTTTGTATTTTTAGTAGAGTTGGGGTTTCACCATGTTGGCCAGGCTGGTCTTGAACTCCTGACCTCGTGATCCGTCAACCTTGGCCGCCCAAAGTGCTGGGATTACAGGCATGAGCCACTGCACCTGGCCAGGTTTTACTTTCAGTTAGTAGCTTTTATTATTCTTTATTACTGCCATATTAGAAAATTCCAAATCACAATTAGTTCTGTTACAAATGATACCAACATTTTGTGCATCTGGTTGATAGTTCCAGATAATCATGTGAAATATAAACACAGAATGAAAGCAGTTCTCAATGAAGACTACTTTTGGAATGCCATGCAACTCAAAGTTGATGAGCCTATTTCCTCAAAAAGCTGCATAGCTGATTATTTACCTTCAGAGTTAGCAGAAGACGGATTCTTAATTCACCACTAAATTATACTTACATATTAAAATAATTCAGTTATGCTTTCCATTTGAATATCATTTAAAAATATTTTTTAAAATATACTATTAACTTATTTTCGTGATCTGTGAAGAAAATAACCTAAGTTGGGAAGAGTCAAACTCTTTGTAGTTGAGCTGTTTACACTACGGTTTTGTCCTCTTAATATATTTAAGTTCCTACATAAAGAAAAAGCAAGACAATAACAACAACAGCAACACAAAACCCAGAGATGCTAGTTTTGGCCCTAAAGTAATAGGTTCAATGTATTCATAATATTGAATATATTTCTGACATATGCCACTAGAGCAAGTGACTTAAAATCATAGACAGATCCCATTCTTATTAGTACCACAAAAGCATGTTTTTATATCATCTCTCATTTCAAAATTGCTTTCTGAACAACTTTCTCTTGAAAGCCATCATACTTCAGAGTAGAAGATGAGAATCTTATGTTCATTCTTCCAACCTCATATCATCATTTGTGTAATTTTTTAAAAATTTGAAGTCAGTAAAATTACTTTTTATTCACCAAAAAAATTGGTAAATAAAGCATGAATTGACATGGCACAAATCCTTTTCTTTGTAAATCAAAACTCATCCTTGCTGCACATAGATGGTTGGACTCCATCAGGACAGATCTGAATGCATATTTTCTGGATGTTGCTCATAGATGACAAAAAAGAATTGTGAACCAATAGACACATCTCTTCTCCTATAGCTTGGATAAACAGAATAAAAATTGTCAAGCACTTCTCCCTCATTTATGTACTACATTTATGCCAAGAGCAACTAATTCATACCCTCTCCATCAGCAGCATCACCTAAGTCTAAAGTGAAATATCTACAAGCAGATGCACCAGAGTGTAATTGCTCTTCCACAATGTATGCCATTGACATTTTGGAACATCCATCAGTATTATTTGATAAGGGAATTTTGCCAATAGCTCATTCTGCTTTCCTTGTGATCATACTATTTGTCATTAACATGGCAGCTTCTTTCATTAGCTTCTTGGCACTAGTGTGACTTGTACCTGTGTTTTGCCAAGATGAATGCAGCCTTGAAAGATGTCTCTGCAGTTCTGGTCTTTTTTCCAGCACTGACAACAAAAGTCACCAATTTTGCATCAGAAAGCATGAATTTGAGCTTATTCAGGAAAAACAGAGAGGTTACTCAGCTTTGAAGATAATGTGAACAGTTCTATGGCTTTGCTTCAACACTGGATAAAGTTTTATAACAAAGTTTTATACTGTTTCCTGGTGTTATTACATGCAATTTTAAAGATATTTATCTTTACACTTGCTATCTACATTTTAATTTTTTCAGTGTAGATAAAATTATTGCTTAAGATTCATCTTTTTTCCAGCACAATATCCATTCATATTATAGATTTGCACTGTAGCACCAGTTACTGTTTATATTGGTAATGCTTTGTGAGTTGTAGTATTCATGTTCCAATTTCAGTATTACTGTTATATATCAATGAACCCTTTTTTTGACTTGAAAATATTTGTGGAATAAGAATATAACATATACAATAGGAATAAAATGCAAACTTAACAGTTAGCCGCATGTTAGCTGAGATGAACTGATCATCAATCTTGGTGAAACATACAAAACCCTACAATATAATGGGAAGTCTGGGACTAATACAATAAGGCTTACATCCTGTATCTGTGAAATGTACATAAAAATAAATTTGTTTACCTCTCCCAAAAATCTCTGAACCATCTGCAATAGGAGTTACACAAAGACCACTAGATCAGAACCTAGTGGAGAACTCTACTTTGAGAAACACTATTGCTAAGCAACGATAAGTTCATTCCACAGACCTGTTCTCACCCTAAGAGTCTTGCCATCTTTGAGGGAATATAAGATGAATATATGAGGGAATGAGCATATCAAATCTGCAAGGTGATTGCAGGCTCTATTCTTTTGCTCTCTCTGATTCCAATCTTTTCATCTTTACCTGTGTTTCACCATTCTAACAAGAAGTTCTCTAAAGCATCATTTATTGCATATTCACTGGATGCTTCATTCTGAATGTATATAAAAGTATATGTTATTCATAGTAACCTTAAGTTTGTATTAAGCCCATTTTAGAGATAAGAAAACTGAGGTTTAGAATGTTTTAATAACTTGCCCCCATAATCACTTGCTAGTAAGTGTCAGGATTGAGCCCAAACCCAGGTTTTTTGAGTTCTAAAAGCTGTGTCATTGGCCTACATGCTTACTGCTTTGTGAGAATACAAATAAAAACTCATTTTCCTTTCTTGCTCCATAATCTTCAATGATTCACCATTGCCTACAAAAACAGGGCATTCAGATCCTTGGCCAATCTGGCCTTTATCTGCTTTTCTAACCCTATCTCCCACATGGACTGACCTCTTTGCCCAAAAGCACCACATCCTTCCTTGCTCTCATGCTTAAGCCCAGGGACTTCTCTCTCACTAGGCCTACATTCCTGGTTTTGTCTACCTACCAAAATCCAACCCACTTTGCCTACCTCTGCACTCAGGTTTTTTAAAAACCCTGTACTTAACAAATCAATAAGTATTTACTGAGTGGTATACATCTGGGATATAAATTTGGGGACTATATGATAATTGAGATATAAATTGTATCCTTAAATAATATATAGTCCAATAGGAGAAATAAGACTTATAAAGTATATAATATCATAGATAAGAGAGAATGGTATTTTATAGAAAATGAAAGAAAGGAGTAATTTTATCCTGCTGAGGCATCTAAAAAGACTGTGTGGAGAAATTAGCCTTTGAGCTGGCTGTAGAATGGGTGGGGTTCTGGCAAGAGCAGGGAGAATACATAGGGAGTGAAGTAGTGGCCAAGAAAACATGCCAGCGCATATAGGAAACAGGTAGCCTAAAGTGTAAAGTGGGAAATAAGATTGGGAAGGTAGAAATAATGGGAATGTGGTCCTTAATGCCAGGCTAAGGATTTCATATGTGAATTAAGTTAATGACAATTGACTTTAAAGAGGTAAATAACAAGAACAAAAACAGCCATAATTTAGCACCAACAGCAAGTACTTGTTAAGTCTTTAATGTGTGCCAGGCACTATGCAAGTTATTGCATTGATATTTTCCACTTCAATACTTACCTCAACCCTATGATGTAGATGTTTTGTCCTTATTTTTTAGTAAAGAGAGATTAAGTATATTACTCCATATCAGTAAGACACAAAGATGGGGTTTAAATTTAAGTGTGTTAGACACCATAAGTGGTATGGAAGGAAGGAAGGAAGGAAAAAGGGAGGGGAGAGAGGAAAGAAAGAAAAGAGGATAAAAGGAAAGAAAAGGAAATGAAGAAAAGAAAAGAATTAATTTGGAAGCAAAAGGGTATAGAAATTGTGCAGAGGCAGAGTCATTTGTGTAGTTTACTTAAAATGCAGACCCTCAAACTATACCCAAGAAAGGGTTTTAAGCAGGAAATGGCCTTATTTGATACACTTTTTTAAAAAAAGATCACTCTGGCAGCTGTGTGAAGGAGCCAATTTAGATGCAGGGAGACCTGTAAGATGGTGATATTCAAGAAATCCGTGACATGAGTTTGTACTAGAAAGGTGTCAGGGCCAATGGCAATAAGTAGGTGGATTCAACAGTTATTCTGATTAAAAGCAAAAGGGACACAGAAGAAAAAGCAGGTTAAGGGAGAAGATGACCTGAGTTTTGAGTGCCTATAAAATAGTTTTAGAGATGGGTTCATGTGAGGTTTAAAAAAATTTGGAGCATGGGATATAGAGGGAGCTAGAAATAATTCTCAGAAAATCATGCATATTTTGAGAGGTAGGGTTAACTATCACTTTTGATGAGAGTTTTCAAAGCAGATGATTGTGAAAAGAGAAGAAAAAATATCTAGAGGCAGATGCTGGCGAAGTACTTGTTATCCTTGTAACTAACATTAATGCACACTTACTATGTTACTACGTCACAGACACAATGCCAAGCATGTTTTAATGTTAGAAAATATTTCAAACGTCCAGAAACTACAGAAAATACACCACCAATCCAATATGAATTTAGCAAATATTTATGTTTTGCCATGGCTGTTTCAAATTACTTTAAATAAGAGAGTTCAGAGTAAGCATTTTACATGCATTGTTTCATATGTTCCTCTAGACCATTCAATGTGGTAGGTGTATGTGTTATCTCCTATAAACAGTTTGACCTTCCAGGGGCATTCTGCTTCCTGCTCTGGGTCCCAAAATATCCACCTGTATGGACCACACTGAGGTTTCTCTTGTCTTCTATCCCCTAGCTGAGTTCCGGCATCTGTAGGAAATTGGAAGCAGAAAGGAGAGCTAAGTCAGAGTCTGTTTCTCTCACTCTGAGATCAATATGGCATCCACAGCCATCTGCCATGTACTCACGATGGTGTCCACAGACATATATCATGTATTCACAATGGTAGTCACCAGCCCCATGTCACATACCCATGATGGTATTCATAGCTACTTCACTGCTTCTCTCAAAATAGCTCCTGTTCTTTCTCTTTTTTGGGTTCCATTCACATCTCTCTACCTTGTCGTTTAGAACCTAAAGGTAATGACAGCTCTGCTGCTACTTACCCTGAGTTCTGGTACAACTCCTCATGCTTCCTCTACACCCTATTCACACCTTTGTAATGATCTCCTTTGCAAATAAGCCTCCTCAAATTAACCTAATTTAGATATACCATATGTTTCTTGTTGAAACTCTGATTAATACAATCCTGATTTACAGTTAAGGAAACTGAGGCTCACAGAACAGGAAGTAGCAGAATTCACACTCAATCCCAATTCATCAGATTCCAGATCCCAAGATCTTATCCACTCTGTAACATTGCCTCCTTGTGTTATGGAAGGAAGGTTAATATCAGGATGTACAGAGAGCCAGACTGGCCATTGTAGATTGGAACTTTTCAGTTTCATGAACAAGGCAAGCTTATGCTCATTCCTGGGTATTGGTTTTACTCTTCAATTTGCCTGAAATTGCAAACATGATACTACATTTTCAGAGCAGCTTAAGTTCCTAATTGATGGCACTTACCCATTGCTCCCCAGCCCATTTATCACATCACTGTGTTTCATATTCTTTATAGCACTTATAGTCCCTGGAATTATCCTCTTTACTTATTTGTTCATTTTGTTGTTGTTGTTGTTGTGTCTTCTTGCCTCTCATCCTCCAACAGCTGTAAGGTCTGAGAGGGCAGGTTCACCGGGATCCATTTATACTTACATTCCCAGGAACTAGGATGCTGTCTGATACACATGAGAATGTGCTCAACAGTAATCAATGAATGCATGAATGAACCATAAGGAAGGAATGAACAAATAAATACAATTATATAACTCTAACTCTAAGGTAAACTCAGATAACAAATGGCTAAGAAACAAGGGGCAGCCAGCTATGAAAGAGAGAAGACACAGATTTTTCTTTCTAGATGGTCAACATTGAAGAGTGGAAAAAAAAGTATGAATTCTTTCTATCCTACCTGAATATATGGCTTAAAGAAAAAAAAATTCATGCTCCTAAAATTATTTTATTTTGAAGAACCATCTTACTGTGATTATATGCTGTTTTAACACTTGTAATTATAGAGCCAAAACAAATGGCTTAAAGTAAGACTCAAAAGAAACTGGATTTAATTCTACTGGCTTCCAAATTGTATTGCTGTATCTCCCAGTTGGGAAGATATTTCCTCTCATTTTTCTTATTGTGAACTGGCAGAGTGTTGCACTTCTGTTGCCACTTCAAGAGAACACAGAGACACAAATTAAATGGTTATGTTGGAATGAGTATCCTTGTAAATCTTTGTCCTTTGAAATTCAAAGGTCAATGTTACTTTCTATATGCAAATGTAGTTGTTAAATGCATTGCACATGACTAGTCCTGGCAGAGGAAAAAAACTACAAATTTATCATAGTGATGGGTCAGGGACATGGTGGGTTATTATGCACACAGTATGACAACTAATGACAGTCTTTTTAATTCTCTCCTTTCAGAGGCTTCTTCTACATACACAGACACATAAAGCCAAAATTTACTTTACCCATGTGTAAAAATCAAATTCAATATCTTTTTTGGACATTGTAATGGGTTGCAATCCTTCATTCTGCTGAAGATTAAGCTGAACTTCTGCCCTTTAATAAAAACTTTAATAAAAACCCTCCTGGAAAATTTCATGTGGTCAAGTCTTATTTTCAGTTTTGATTTGGATGCTTTATATTGAAACTAGACAATTTGAAAAGAACAGGAACCACTGTTATTGTAGTATCTGAAATCTGATAAAATTCTTTTCTTTAAGGATCTTAAATGCTTTCATATATAGTCTTTTATTCTTCAAAATATCAGTGAAATAGGTAGATGTTGATTTCTATATTACATTCTTCCATGCTCAAAAAATGTTTAGATTGCTCACACAAAAAAGTATTAATTTGTCACACCACACAAAAAGAGAGATGGCAGCATCGTGGATTACTGAAGTTTGAGCATAGAAGTTAGATAATTCCTCATCCTGAGTTGCATAGTGAAGATGTGAAAAGTTATTTTAAGCTATTGAAATTCAGGGGCTATTTGCTACTGCAGCATGGTCTTACCTATCCTGACCATACAGTATAAATATAGTTACCTACATTTAAAAATCCCTCTATATCACCTACCAAAATTATAACTTTAATAAAAATTCCAGATCTAAATTCTATTTCTGATATCTACCCACTGTATTGAGTAAAACATAGAACCTTTCTGAGTCTCAATATCCACTTCTATATAATGAAGCTAGTAATACATCTCTCATATAATTGTTATAAGAATTAATAGAAAACTTTGCCTGGTGCTTGCAATTTATTAAGAATGTATTAAATGGAAGCTATAAATATAGAATCCACAGTTTCAACTGTAATGAGATATTGACCATCACTAAAATAGATCTGATCAGCAAGTCATGTTCTCTGCTGTCTTCCCCAATTTTGCTTCCTTCTAAAACTCTAAAGTCTTCAATTATGAGGGCCTCTGGTAGGCCCTTATTTGTTTTGTCATGTTAGTTTTAAAATTTGCTAACTATATTTAGTGGCAACTAGGAACTATACTATTATTTTATCTCAATCTGGACTTTCCCAAACAAGTTTCTGGTTCTCTTTGTGGAGGCAGCAGGCAAACCTATTCTCTTATCATATCTCTAGGTGGTTATCTAACTTTAAGTAATCAAAGGTCGCGGGCCTCATTCTATCCAAGTGATTGTTTACTCTTAGTCTTTCTTTCCCCTTTAGAAAGATGTGTCTAGTTATCCCTTTATGACCATGTGTGCCTTCCTCTCTAATTTCTTGAGCTTTCCTTTCAGTATTCATCTGTCCTCTTTCATAATAGAGGCCAATGTTGGCTTTGTATTTTATTATTATTATTATTGTTTTTTGAGACAGTCTCGCTCTGTCACCCAGGCTGGACTCCAGTGGCGCAATCTCAGCTCACTGCAAGCTCTGCCTCCAGGTTTCACGCCATTCTCCTGCTTCAGCCTCCAGAGTAGCTGGGACTACAGGTATCCACCACCACGCCCAGCTAATTTTTTTGTATTTTTTAGTGGAGTTGGGGTTTCACCATGTTAGCCAGGATGGTCTCGATCTCCTGACCTCGTGATCTGCCTGCCTCGGCCTTCCAAAGTGCTGGGATTACAGGAGAGAGCCACCGCGCCCAGACATAGTGGCTTTGTATTTCAAGAAAAACTTCTTAAATGGGTTTTGCCCTCATTTTATTAGATGTCTAAAAAATTATGTGGTTTCTTGTGTTTAAAATAAAATGCTGATGCAATGATAAAGATGGAAAGTTTTTCCCCTGTGATCAAGAACAAGGCAAGAAAGCCTACTTTGTCACAGCTATTCAACTCTTTAGCAGAAGTTCTAGTTAAAGCAATGAGGTAGTTAAAAAAAAAAAAAGGAGACAAAGGCATCCAAATTGGCAAGAAAAACTCTCTCTACTCACAGATTACATGATTCTATGTAGAGAAAATCCTAAAGAATTCACACACAGAAAATAACACTATTAGAGATGGTAAATGAATTCAGCACAGTTGCAAGGTACAGGGTCAATACATAAAAATTAGTTGTATTTCTATACACTAGCAATAAAAATATGAAAAGGAAATTAAGAACATAATTCCATTACAATAATATCAAAAACAATAAAATGCTTAGGAATAAATTTAACCAAGGTGGTGTGAGACTTGTACACTGAAAACTGCATAGCATTGCTGAAAGAAATTAAAGAAGGTATAAATAAATGGAAACTTCACCTATCACATAGTTTCACTGTTACCAGTTTGATGTATGTTATTTTAGATTTTTTTCCTATTCAATATTAATTATCGTTCTTGGTTAGAAGCAGTGGAAACTGTTGTACTGTGTGACATTTGGCGTGTAACTTTAACTCTTTGAATTTCACTTTAGTGAACTGCAAAATGGAGATAATATCAGGACTTACTGCAATGGTTTTGATGATTAAAGGAGATATGTGATAAAATACATAGCACAGTGCCTATTGTAGAGAAAGAGCTTAATACATGTTTGCTGTTGTATTAGTCTGTTTTCATGCTGCTGATAAAGACATACCCGAGACTGGGCAATTTACAAAAGAAAGAGATTTAACTGGACTTACAGTTCCATGTGGCTAGGGAAGCCTCACAATCAGGGAAGGAGGCAAAGAGGAGCAAGTCATGTCTTACATGGATGGCAGCAGGCAAAACGAGAATGAGGAAGACACAAAAGCAGAAATCCCTGATAAAACCATCAGATCTCATGAGACTTATTCACTACCATGAAAACAGTATGGTGGAAACTTCCCCCATGATTCAGTTATCTCCACTGGGTCCCTCTCAGAACACATGGGATTTATAGGAGTACAAGTCAAGATGAGATTTGGGTGGGGACACAGAGCCAAACCATATCAGCTATTAATGTCATTTTCATATTTTAATCAGTGTCTTTTAATTGATTTTCAAAATCAACTTTAGCTTGTCATTCACAATTCTCCAATATACTTCATCTCACATTAACTACACTCTAACTTACCACTCCCAAGTAAAAAAATTATTTCCCTCTCTTAATAAAAGCACTTTATTTTTTATCCAACCTGATTTGTTAATTTTCTTTCTGTATACATTAACTTACAATGAATGTTTTTCTTAATGCTATTTCCTTGTATCAGCAAATTCACCCCAGAAATTTGTAGTAGAACCTATTCAAATCTCCCCGCTTCTACTACATACATTCTATTGCCATGGCCCCAGACGCACATTTAGTGTGGGCAATAATATGTAATTGAATTGTATTATTCTTCAAAATATTTGCCTTTCAATATGAGACCCCTCCCTATAGAAGTCTTGTCTATCCAAGGCTCTGTGACTTGCTTGAGCCAGTAGAATGTGAGTGGAAGAAGCAACATGTATTTTAGGCCCAAATATTTCAATGTAGAGAGGCCTCAGGGAGGATATAATTAATGCTCATGAATTACAGCATTTCTGGGATATTCATTCCATACTCTCCAGGTGACACAATTACTACTACATTGATTAGCAACATAATAGTATCCATTTAAGTTCATCCACAAGTGATTGAAATCTACAAATAGTAGCTTAAATATTATTGAAACATATAACTCTCTGATGTGAATGTAGGTAGTCCAGGAAAGGTAAGGTGGTACAAAGAGCAACAGGAATCCAGATCCCTTTTAATTAGTTCTGCCATCCTTAAGTCTTATTTCCCACCTCATGGTAAAAGATGGCTGGTCCCCATCCAGCCGTCATACACAGATTTTGACCCCAAGGAAAGAAAAAAAGGTCAAGAGAAGGATATGCTTCCTTCTTTAATGATCCAAGATCTACACATACCTCTTCCACTTAATCACACCACCATACCAAACTGAAAGGGATACTTGGAGTCAATATTTGGTTCTGCAAGGAGTCTACCTCACATTAGGGGTTTTATTCCAAAGAAACAAGGGAAGAATTCATTTGGTCACTGCCCAAACAACTGAAAGGCAGAATGCCTGGTACTGCTCCACAAAAAACTTCATTATTTTCTTGGGCAAAGGATATTTACAGGCTTTCTGCTCTCTATATCAGACAGCTCTCTATATTCTAAATGCTTCATGTACATTATTGCATCTCACTTAGGGAGAATGAGTAGCCTAAAGCAGAGTCACAAACAGAATGGCAAACAGGTGGAAAAATTAAGAGTTACTGTGCTGGATGACTCTGAATTCAGTGTAGGGAAGGCAAGTGGAACAGTTGGGGCCTGTGGTGAGTTGACAAACACTGCCCTGCTCAAACTGACAACTGGTTCTCAGTTTCCAGTTATTGTAACATGTGGAGTTGTGAATCTTCTGTTCAAAGATATTTCAAACATTTAGAGAAGCCAGAAATCTGAATTTTTACTGAAATTTGGAATTTATGGGAAATCTCTTTTTTTTTAATGTTGGTTCTAATGTTTTAAAACCATTTGCAATTTGCCTGTGGACCAGCAATGTGAGACATCTGTTTGAGAAAAGTAGGACAATATATCAGCTGCTTAAAATGGATGGCTCATCAAACTCTGAAAATAACCGTTACATTGGAAATCATTATGAAGAGTGGTAAAAAATGAGGCAGGACTTATTATCATAATTACAGATTTATTGAGTATGAGACTGTTACCTTTACTGAATATTTCCTGTTGCCAGGTGTTGTGTTTGACCCTTTTTAAATCCATCATCATATCTGATCCTCACAAAAGCCTTGCATTATTTTCTTTTTAACGGGGGAGCAGCTGGAAATTGAGGGCCAGAGAGCTTAAGTAACATGTCCAGGGTCACACAGCTGGTAAATGACCAAGCTTGGATTTAAATCGGTCCTGTTTGATGTTCAAGCCCATGTTCTTAATCCTTATGCAAGCCTGTGCACAATTTCTATGCCTTTTCCAGAATAACATACGGTGGGTTTGCCATGATATGAAAATAAGGATATGATCAGTTGGTATGCAGAATCTCAATGTTCATCTTTAAACACAGCGTCACCGCTATCAGAGTCACAGCATGGAGGATGCAAGCAGGAGGATTCACCAACATCTGAGAAGCCTCCGGAGGATCTCACTGCTCTCAATATCATACATTATACTTAACCAACATCTGGAGGGCCCTCACACCATTCAACCCATTCAGTAAAAAAAAGGACTGTGACTGTTACCGTTTCATGGCTTTAAATTCGCAGTGGAGCTGCACCACTTATTTAGCACAGGTGTTTAATTGTAATAAATTGGAGAAATTCCCAGTATCCAATGGTCCTCAAACTAACACTACCATCTGGGTAGAGTGGGGTAGTGGCTGTCTGACAACAAACTTGCTTATAAATATTTCAAGGGTAGTGGCCTATTTGGAGATCTATGTGGGCAGATCAGGAGGTTGGGTGTGCATAGAAGAGAAAGAAATTTTAAATTATATTGTAGAGGATGAACAAGAATGTTTGTGCTTTTTTAACTTTTTGATAATTTGTTTCCTTTTCAATGCATATTAAATATTAAAAACACAGGTATCTTTGTAAATGAGATATTACATTGCTATTTTGTGTATTAAGGGAAAGTTCTGTTGGCTGCTTTTGGCAAATCATTCTGTCTATGAAGAGTGCACAAATGTTTCTATGGTCTGCCACTAGAAATCAATGCATGTTTTAGTTAATCAAAAAATGCATTAAGAGAAGGAAAGACTTCTTCTAGTCAATGTGACATAACAGAGACTGGATTTATCTTTTCACCTGAAGCAAGAGAAATTTGTCACATTTCACCAGACAAAATACATGAAACAATGGCTTTTAAGACACTGAACATCAAGCAATGAAAGATAATGATGCCTAAAAGACAAGAAAAAACTATGCGATGAGCCCTACAACTGAATCAGCTAAGTGATGAGAGAGTTTTTAAGCCACAATATAAGGAAGAGGCAGCTCCTTGAGTTGAAGAAAGAGAACTGAAAGTTTGGGGAGACCAAAGCTATTAGAGTTAACAGAGTACCAAGGAGAGAGCTGCACACAGAGTGTTCCAGAGAACTATAGAATCTCTCTCAGATTTTCAGTAGAGGATTGAGGTATGCATGTATGTGAGGAACCTAACAGAAACCCAGGAAAGAACAATCTGAAAGAAGTAGAAAAAAACAGTATGCAGCACCCAGACAGAGCCAAGAATAGCCCCAGACAGGACTGAGAATACTCTGTTCTCTCTAGCCAGATTGGAAAAAAAAAAAAAAAAAAACTAATAATCCACAGAGCATGGGGTAGAGTACTCAGAAAGGTCTTGCCTTAATAGTGGATAATAATTAGCCCTTACTAAACACTGCTCTCGTCCTGCCTAACAAATCTTAAAAAGAGAAAAGTGAAAAAAATAAAAAAAAACTATTTCCAAGTAATTGAACTACATACCAAAACAAGGATAAAGAATTTTTATAGAAATATAAAAATATCCAGCACCCAACAAGATAAAATTTACAACGCCTGGCATCTGATCAAAAATTACCAGGCGTGCAAAGATGCAGGAAAAAAAGGACCATAATGAGGGTGAAAAAAATAAAATGATCAAAGCTGAACCAGAATTGACATTGGTATTGGAATTAGCAGACAAGGACATTAAAACATTCACAACTGTATTTCATAAATTCAAAAAGTTAAGTAGGTCTATAGTAGCAGATTTCAATACCATTCTCTCAATAATTGAAAATCCAATCAAAATTCAAGCAGGCTGTTTTATTCCAAATTGACAAAATTATTCTAAAATATATATGGGTATGCAAATAACCTAGAATAGCCAAAACAACTTTGAAAAAGAAAACAAAGTTAAAGGACTAACACTGCCTGATCTATTTAAAAGTTACAGTAATTTATTTTAAAGTAACTTATTTTTTATTTAAAAGTAACTGATTTAAAAGCTACAATAATTGAGGTATTGGGGCATTAGCATTAATTAGGTAAATAAATAGATCAATGGAACAGAATAGATATTTCAAAAATACATCCATCATGCATATAAGGACAACTGATTTTTTCCAAAAGTGCAATGCAACTCAGTGGAGGAAGAATAGTTTTTTTTTCCAAAAAATAATGCTGGAACACTTGATATTCATATACAAATTTTTAAAAGTTTTGTACCATACATACATATTAACTCAAAATGAATCATAGAAATAAATGCTAAACCTAAAACTTCTGGAAGAAAACATAAAAGAAAATCTTTGTGTACCTGCATGAGGCAAACATTTCTTTGATATAAAACCAAGAGCATGATTCACTAAGAACAAACTGATCAAGTGATATCATCAAAATTAAAAAATATTTTCAAAAGACAATGCAATGACAAACCACAGACTGGGAGAAAATATTTGCATAGCACATATCTGATAAAGGACTTCCATCCAGAATATATAAAAAATTTTCAAAAACACCAAATAAGAAAACAAACAACCTGATTTGAAATATGTGGTGCAGCCAAGATGGCCGAATAGGAATAGCTCCGGTCCACAGCTCCCAGTGTGAGCGACGCAGAAGATGGGTGATTTCTGCATTTCCAACAGAGGTACTGGGTTCATCTCACTGGGGAGTGCCGGAAAGTGGGTGCAGGACAGTGGGTGCAGCGCACCGTGCGTGAGCCGAAGCAGGGCGAGGCGTCGCCCCACCCGGGAAGTGCAAGGGGTCAGGGAATTCCCTTTGCTAGTCAAAGAAAGGGGTGACAGACGGCACCTGGAAAATCCAGTCACTCCCACCCTAATACTGCACTTTTCCAATGGGCTTAACAAACGGCACACCAGGAGATTATATCCCGCACATGGCTCGGAGGGTCCTACGCCCACGGAGCCTTGCTCACTGCTAGCACAGCAGTCTGAGATCAAACTGCAAGGTGGCAGCGAGGCTAGGGGAGGGACACCCGCCATTGCCCAGGCTTGAGTAGGTAAACGAAGCGGCCAGGAAGCTCGAACTGGGTGGAGCCCACCACAGCTCAAGGAGGCCTGCCTGCCTCTGTAGGCTCCACCTCTGGGGGCAGGGTACAGACAAACAAAAGATAGCAATGACCCTGCAGAATTAAATGTCCCTGTCTGACAGCTTTGAAGAGAGTAGTGGTTCTCCCAGCATGCAGCTTGAGCTCTGAGAACAGACAGACTGCCTCCTCAAGTGGGTCCCTGACCCCCGAGTAGCCTAACTGGGGGGCACCCCCCAGTAGAGGCGGACTGACACCTCACACGGCAGGGTATTCCTCTGAGACAAAACTTCCAGAGGAACGATCAGGCAGCAGCATTTGCAGTTCACCAACATCCGCTGTTCTGCAGCCACTGCTGCTGATACCCAGGCAAACAGGGTCTGGACTGGACCTCCAGTAAACTCCAACAGACCTGCAGCTGAGGGTCCTGTCTGTTAGAAAGAAAACTGACAAACAGACAGGACATCCACACCAAAAACCCATCTGTACATCACCATCATCAAAGACCAAAGGTAGATAAAACCACAAAGATGGGGAAAAAACAGAGCAGAAAAACTGGAAACTCTAAAAATCAGAGCACCTCTTCTCCTCCAAAGGAACGCAGCTCCTCAACAGCAACGGAACAAAGCTGGACGGAGAATGACTTTGACAAGTTGAGAGAGGAAGGCTTCAGAAGATCAAACTACTCCGAGCTAAAAGAGGAAGTTCGAACCAACGGCAAAGAAGTTAAAAACTTTGAAAAAAAAATTAGATGAATGGATAACTAGAACAACCAATGCAGAGAAGTCCTTAAAGGACCTGATGGAGCTGAAAACCACGGCATGAGAACTATGTGATGAATGCACAAGCCTCAGTAACCGATGCAATCAACTGGAAGAAAGGGAATCAGCGACGGAAGATGAAATGAATGAAATGAAGCATGAAGAGAAGTTTAGAGAAAAAAGAATAAAAAGAAACGAACAAAACCTCTAAGAAATATGGGACTATGTGAAAAGATCAAATCTACGTCTAATTGGTGTACCTGAAAGTGACGGAGAGAATGGAATCAAGGTGGAAAACACTCTGCAGGATATTATCCAAGAGAACTTCCCCAATCTAGCAATGCAAGCCAACATTCAAATTCAGGAAATACAGAGAACACCACAAAGATACTCTTCAAGAAGAGCAACTCCAAGACACATAATTGTCAGATTCACCAAAGTTGAAATGAAGGAAAAAATGTTAAGGGCAGCCAGAGAGAAAGGTCGGGTTACCCACAAAGGGAAGCCAATCAGACTAACAGCTGATCTCTTGGCAGAAACTCTACAATCCAGAAGAGAGTGGGGGCCGATATTCAACATTCTTAAAGAAAAGAATTTTCAACCCAGAATTTCATATCCAACCAAACTAAGCTTCATAAGCAAAGAAGAAATAAAATACTTTACAGACAAGCAAATGCTGAGAGATTTTGTCACCACCAGGCCTGCCCTAAAAGAGCTCCTGAAGGAAGCACTAAACATGGAAAGGAACAACCGGTACCAGCCACTGAAAAACATGCCAAATTGTAAAGACCATCAAGGCTAGGAAGAAACTGCATCAACTAACGAGCAAAATAACCAGCTAACATCATAATGACAGGATCAAGTTCACACATAGCTATATTAACCTTAAATGTAAATGGGCTAAATGCTCCAATTAAAAGGCATAGACTGGCACATTGGATAAAGAGTCAAGACCCATCATTGTGCTGTATTCAGGAAACCCATCTCACATGCAGAGACACACATAGTCTCAAAATAAAGGGATGGAGGAAGATCTACCAAGCAAATGGAAAAAAAAAAAAAAAGGCAAGGGTTGCAATCCTAGTCTCGGATTAAACAGACTTTAAACAAACAAAGAACAAAAGAGACAAAGAAGGCCATTACAAAATGGTAAAGGGATCAATTCAACAAGAAGAGCTAATTATCCTAAATATATATGCACCCAATACAGGAGCACCCAGATTCATAAAGCAAGTCCTTAGTGACCTACAAAGAGACTTAGACTTCCACACAGTAATAATGGGAGACTTTAACACCCCACTGTCAACATTAGACAGATCAACGAGACATAAAGTTAACAAGGATACCCAGGAATTGAACTCAGCTCTGAACCAAGCGGACCTAATAGACATCTACAGAACTCTACACACCAAATCAACAGAATATACATTCTTTGCAGCACCACACCACACCTACTCCAAAATTGACTGCATAGTTGGAAGTCAAGCCCTCCTCAGCAAATGTAAAAGAACAGAAAGTATAACAAACTGTCTCTCAGACCACAGTGCAATCAAACTAGAACTCAGGATTCAGAAACTCACTCAAAACTGCTCAACTACATGGAAACTGAACAACCTGCTCCTGAATGACTACTGGGTACATAACTAAATGAAGGCAGAAATAAAGATGTTCTTTGAAACCTATGAGAACAAAGACATAACATACCAGAATCTCTGGGACACATTCAAAGCAGTGTGTAGAGGGAAATTTATAGAACTAAATGCCCACAAGAGAAAGCAGGAAAGTTCTAAAACTGACACCCTACATCACAATGAAAAGAACTAGGGAAGCAAGAGCAAACACATTCAAAAGCTAGCAGAAGGCAAGAAATAACTAAGATCAGAGCAGAACTGAAGGAAATAGAGACAGAAAAAACCCTTCAAAAAATCAAGGAATCCAGGAGTTGGTTTTTTGAAAGGATCAACAAAATTGATAGACCGCTAGCAAGACTAATAAAGAAGAAAAGAGAGAAGAATCAAATAGACGCAATAAAAAAGACAAAGGGGATATCACCACTGATCCCACAGAAATACAAACTACCATCAGAGAATACTATAAACCCCTCTATGCAAATAAACTAGAAAATCTAGAAGAAATGGATAAATTCCTCGACACATACAGTCTCCCAAGATTAAACCAGGAAGAAGTTGAATCTCTCAATAGACCAATAACAGGCTCTGAAATTGAGGCAATAATTAATAGCTTACCAACCAAAAAAAGTCCAGGACCAGATGGATTCACAGCCGAATTCTACTGGAGGTAAAAGGAGGTGCTGGTACCATTGCTTCTGAAACTATTCCAATCAATAGAAAAAGAGGGAATCCTCCCTAACTCATTTTATGAGGCCAGCATCATCCTGATACCAAAGCCAGGCAGAGACACGACAAAAAAAGAGAATTTTGTACCAATATCCTTGATGAATATTGATGCAAAAATCCTCAATAAAATACTGGCAAACCGAATCCGGCAACACATCAGAAAGCTTATCCACCATGATCAAGTGGGCTTCACCCCTGGGATGCAAGGCTGGTTCAACATATGAAAATCAATAAACGCAATCCATCATATAAACAGAACCAACGACAAAAACCACATGATTATCTCAATAGATGCAGAAAAGGCCTTTGACAAAACTCAACAACCCTTCATGCTAAAAACTCTCAATAAATAAGGTATTGATGGGATGTATCTCAAAATAATAAGAGCTATCTATGACAAACCTACAGCCAATATCATACTGAATGGGCAAAAACTGGAAGCATTCCCTTTGAAAACTGGCACAAGACAGGGATGCCCTCTCTCACCACTCCTATTCAACATAGTGTTGGAAGTTCTGGCCAGGGCAATCAGGTAGGAGAAGGAAATAAAGGGCATTCAATTAGGAAAAGAGGAAGTCAAATTGTCCCTGTTAGCAGATGACATGATTGTATATCTAGAAAAGCCCATCGTCTCAGCCCAAAATCTCCTTAAGCTGATAAGAAACTTCAGCAAAGTCTCAGGATACAAAATCAGTGTGCAAAAATCACAAGCATTCTTATACACCATTAACAGACAATCAGAGAGCCAAATCATGAGTGAACTCCCATTCACAATTGCATCAAAGAGAATAAAATGCCTAGGAATCCAACTTACAAGTGATGTGAAGGACCTCTTCAAGGAGAACTACAAACCACTGCTCAATGAAATAAAAGAGGATACAAACAAATGGAAGAACATTTCATGCTCATGGGCAGGAAGAATCAATATCGTGAAAATGGCCATACTGCCCAAGGTAATTTATAGATTCAATGCCATCCCCATCAAGCTACCAATGACTTTCTTCACAGAATTGGAAAAAACTACTTTGAAGTTCATATGGAACCAAAAAAGAGCCCACATTGCCAAGTCAATCCTAAGCCAAAGAACAAAGCTGGAGGCATCACGCTACCTGACTTCAAACTATACTACAAGGCTACAGTAACCAAAATAGCATGATACTGGTACCAAAACAGAGATATAGACCAAGGGAACAGAACAGAGCCCTCAGAAATAATGCCACGTATCTACAACTATCTGATCTTTGACAAACCTGAGAAAAACAAGCAATGGGGAAAGGATTCCCTATTTAATAAATGGTGCTAGGAAAACTGGCTAGCCATATGTAGAAAGCTGAAACTGGATCCTTTCCTTACACCTTATATAAAAATTAATTCAAGATGGATTAAAGACTTACATGTTAGACCTAAAACCATAAAAACCCTAGAAGAAAACCTAGGCAATACCATTCAGGACATAGGCATGGGCAAGGACCTCATGTCTAAAACACCAAAAGCAATGGCAACAAAAACCAAAATTGACAAATGGGATCTAATTAAACTAAAGAGCTTCTGCACAGCAAAAGAAACCACGATCAGAGTGAATAGGCAACCTACAGAATGGGAGAAAATTTTTGCAACCTACTCATTGGACAAAGGGCTAATATCCAGAATCTACAATGAACTCAAAGAAATTTACAAGAAAAAAACAAATGACCCCATCAAAAAGTGGGCAAAGGATATGAACAGACACTTCTCAAAAGAAGACATTTACGCAGCCAAAAAACACATGAAAAAATGCTCACCATCACTGGCCATCAGAGAAATGCAAATCAAAACCACAATGAGATACCATCTCACACCAGTTAGAATGGCGATCATTAAAAAGTCAGGAAACAACAGGTCCTGGAGAGGATGTGGAGAAATGGGAACACTTTGACACTGTTGGTGGGACTGTAAACTAGTTCAACCATTGTGGAAGTCGGTGTGGTGATTCCTCAGGGATCTAGAACTAGACATAGCATTTGACCCAGCCATCCCATTACTGGGTATATACCCAGAGGACTATAAATCATGCTGCTATAAAGACACATGCACACATGTTTATTGCGGCACTATTCACAAGAGCAAAGACTTGGAACCACCCCAAATGTCCAACAAGGATAGACTGGATTAAGAAAATGTGGCACATATACACCATGGAATACTATGCAGCCATAAAAAAGGATGAGTTCATGTCCTTTGTAGGGACATGGATGAAGTTGGAAACCATCCAAGGACGGAAAACTAAACACCGCATGTTCTCACTCATAGGTGGGAATTGAAGAATGAGAACACATGGACACAGGAAGGGGAACATCACACACCGGGGACTGTTGTGGGGTGGGGGGAGGGGGGAGGGATAGCATTAGGAGACATACCTAATGCTAAATGACGAGTTAATGGGTGCAGCACACCAACACGGCACATGTATACATATGTAACAAACCTGCACGTTGTGCACATGTACCCTAAAACTTAAAGTATAATAATAATAATAATAAAGAAATATGTGCAAAAAATTATGAACAGACTCATTACAAAAGAAAATATACAGATGCCAAAGAAGAACATATGGTTATATTCAACATCGTTAGTCATTAGAGCAATGCAAACTAAAACCATAGTGATATACTAATACACACCTTTTAGTAGGGCTAAAATTAAAAGTTTTACAATACCAAGTGGATATAAAACAACTGGAATTCTCATCCACTGCTGGTGAGAATGTAAAACCAGGCAACCTCATTGGAAATGGTTTGGCAGTGTCTTAAAAAGTTAAAAGCACACCTACCAGATGATCCAACTATTTCACTCTTATGTATTTACTCAAGAGACATAAAAGCATATGTTCATACATAATATTCCCAGCAACTTTCTTTGTAATAGCCCAAGACTAGAACAGTACAAATGTCCATCAACAGGAGAATAAATAAATAAATTGTTATATGTTCATATAATAAAATATAACTCAGCAATAACAGGAAATGAACTAGTAATAAACACAATAGTATGGGTGAATCTCAAATAATTATGCTGAATGAAAGACAAATAAAAGGACACATACTCTTTTCAACAAAGAGTATTGGGAAAATGATACCCACAAGCAAAAGAATAAATTATCTTAAACCATATAAACTGAATCAAAATGGATCAAAGATCTAAATAAATGTAATAGCTACAACTATTCAACTCTTAGAAGAAAACATAGGAGAAAAGCTTCATGATATTCAATTTGACAGTGATTTCCTATATATGACACCAAAATCATAGGCAACAAAACAAAAAAATTGACAAATGGAACTTCATCGGAATAAAAATGCTGTGTATCAAAAGACCCTATCAAGTCCAAAAACCCCACTGAATGAGAGAAAATGTTTGCAAATCCTATATCTGATGAAGAAGTAATTTCAAAATAAACAAAGAAGTTTTACAACTCAACAACAAAAAGCCAACAAGCCCACTTTTAAAATAGACAAAGGACTTGAATAGGTGTTTCTCTAGGAAGATAGACAAATGACCAATAAGATGCTGGACATCATTAGTCATCAGAAAAATGCAAATCAAAACTACAATGAGATACCACCTCGTACCTACTAGGATGGCTAGAATCAAAAAGTCAGAGAAGTGCTGATAAGAATATGAAGTCAGGACTCTCATACACGCCTGGTGCACATGTAAAATGGTGCTGTAAATCTAAAGTGGTGGGAATGTTAAATGGTGCAGCTACTTCAGAAAGCATACTGACAGTTTTGAAAATGAATAAACAGAGCTACCGTATGACCCAGCCAATTTCACTCCCAGGTATACACTCAAGAAAAATTAAAAACATACATCCAGAAAAATAAAAACCTACGTTCACATGAAAACTTTTACATGAATGTGTATATCATCATTATATATAATAGCCAAAATGTGGAAACAGCACAAATGTCCATCAGTAGATTAATGGAAAAAAATGGGGTAAACCATGTTATGTGACGTTATTCAGCCATAACAAGTAATGATGTATTGACACATGGTACAATATGAATGAATCTTGAAAACATGCTAAATGAAAAAAGCCAGTCACAAATTACCAGATATTATATGAGTCCATTAATAAAAAATACCCAGAACATGGAAATCTGTAGATACAGCAAGCAGACTCATGGTCACTTAGTGCTCGGTGGGAATGTCGGGGTGTTGGGGGGATTGGGCGGTGATAACTGAAGGGTGTCCTTCAAGGTGATGAAAATGGTCTAAAATTGATTGTGTATTGCACACATGAGACACTGAATTGTACACTTTAAATGGATGAATTGTATAATACATGAGTTACATCTCAATGACGGCATATTTTAAAAAAATAGGTAGACTTGTATGCCGACATATTTGTGATAAAGTTTGGTTCTGTCTCTTTCTCTCTCACTGTCTAATAGATGATCATAACTATAGTTTCATCAGCCAGGATGTGCTAGTTTATGCTGGTAACAAACAACTCTCACATCTCAAATGGCTTATAAAGGTTTTTTTTTTTGCTCACATATTCGTCATTTGGTGGTTGGGACCTCACTTGGCTCTGTCAGCCTCACTACAGGATCCATGCTGCTATAGCTGCCACTAAAATGGAACATTACCTGTCCAGAAGGAAAAAGAAAATTGAAGTCTGAATGGTTCACTGTAGCAACTCAAGGCTTTACATGAAAGTTTGGCTAGTCTCTTCTGTTCCCAGCTCATTGGCCTAGAATAATCACATGACCTCTCCCAACCACAGGGACCAAAGAATTCAACTGGACTTTGTTGAGGAGGCAGAGATCTAGAAATATTTCAGGAACAGCCCTAATATCTGCCATATAGCTAATATTCATTACGTGTTGACTATGTTTCAGGAGCTGTTCTAAACCCTTGTATGTATTATCTCACTTAATACTCAGAAAAAAGTATTTTGAGGTTGATGCCATTATTATCATCAAACTCAATATTTTACAAATAGAAAATTGAGGCATAGGAGTAAAATAACTTTCCCAGGCTTAGTAAAATAGCTAATTGTTGGAATTTGAATCCAGACATGAACACCAAAGCCCATGTTTTTGACTTCCAGACAATATTGTCACCCAGCAATCCCATATTTTCTTATCCTTACTCAAACACAAATCTATCACAAAGTCCAAACAGGAAACAGGTACAAGAAAGCTGCACTAGCATATATTAGTAAATGAAAACAGGTTAGCAGTCAGACCTTTAGTATTGTCTAGTGTGTTTCTAGTGCACCGATGATTTTCCCATGGTCCTTGGCAGAGCCCTGGTTTCTCAGGCTTGCCTTTGGGCATGCTGAAAGACCTGGCAGCTTCAAACAGAGCAGCTCTGCTTCATCCTTTAGGCTTCCACTTGACTTCACTTATTTCTTGGCTGACAAAAAGAAAAGCTGGGAAAACTGCACTGCCTCACTCACACATCTCCATCCACACTAAGCTCAGAGACACATTCTAAGCAAAGCTTAAACCAAATGGATGAATCAGGCTCCTCTTCTGTTTCTGTGGTTAAGAATACCTACTTCTATGTCATGGTAATGGTAAGTGTTTTGATAAACACTGCGATTATGTGAAACATTGAGTAAAATAAATTCTAGCTTGGAAGAAAATAAGAATACCTAATTCATACAAGGGTATCATTACTTATAGGAGTTAGTACCAGTAAAGTATGCTACTAACAAAGACCTAATTCAAGAGTCAGCGCTTCGAGGTTGGCAAATGGTGAATTGAATCCTTCTACCCTTCCATAATCTGTTATTCAAATTTGGTCTTTATTGAATTCATGCTACCTGGTCTTCCACAAGACCCAGCACAGTGCGTGCCACATGGAAGATGTTTAGTAATACTTCTTGAATGTTTGAGTGAATGAGTGAATGTTGGGGAATGATTGGAAGCATTCCAATGTCACCAGGAATGGGAATTAAGTGGATAGGTAGAGACACAAAGCAAGCATAATACTAAAGATACAAGGCAATCAGTGATAGTTTGTTCTTCCTGACAATATGGATCTTGTTAATTATTGCAAGTCATAGCAGACATTTTTACAGGTTAATATCAAAGAAGAAATTTGGACTGCATTACTGGCATAAATTGGTCGAGTGAGAGCCCATTGGGAGAAAAGGGGAACTTCCCAAAACCCATGCAAAAGAGAAGCATCTTTTTCAAGCTGATACTCCCAAGCCTCCCCTTAGCAGTAGGAACTAGTCTAATGTGATAATAACCTCTCTCTGGGGTGGCATCTTAAAAAGAAACAAGCTTTCCAGTTCTATGACCTTTCAGAAGAAGAATCCCAGCAGGAATCCCGAGTCTTGGCGAACACCCTCCAGCACCACGAAATCTTTGAAGAGACCCAACTTTGAAGAGTGCCTTCCTACCATTATTGTGTGCATGCATACATAATTAGGAAGAAAACCATGCCACTCTGATTTCTAAAACCCATCTGAACTTTCCCCTAGTTCTCTCCTTTGATAGAAACTGCCCAAACCCCTTTGGAAATTTTTCGGAGGCAGTGAGGAGCCACTGGAGGAAGCATATTTTCATCAGGCTGTTATTATAGGAATGCTGCCAATGGGGAAAATAATGGGCAAAGAATGAAAATTCTGATTGCCCAATCAAGAAACTTGAACCCTCTGAGACTTAAGGCCAAGAGATGGAAGGGAAATTAAATGACAAAATAAATCAAAGACATTTTTACCTCTCAATATATTTGAAGGGGGAGAATGTAGCCTGCTTGTGCTATCCCAAGGTTTTCCTCAAGTAATATATTTAGAGTTGATTTTTAGCTCATTATTGCAATTTTCCTTCAAGTGGTTTAACACAGCCACAATTCAACTCAACCTCTTTTTTTTTTTTTTTTGGCCAGTAGTAAATCAAGCATTCTGTATGGGTTCTGTCTATGGTTTTCAGATATCTTGGGGGCTTCTCCCTTGACTAAGATAAAAAGGATGACTTCAAAAGATTTTAGGATCCAAGAAATGTCACCTTTCATATAGAGAAGGAGGAGAAGTTCAAAGAGGGGTTAGTACAGTGCTTCTAACAGTCACTAATGCAGAGCACATGGGAAAACAATAATAATTTTGTGAATACTACTAATATTTGTTAAATATTACTCTGTTCCAGGCACTGTGTTTCGAGTTTTATATTAATAATATCATTTAATTTGGATAAGAAACATGGTGGTCTGCTTGAAAAGGATTCCATTAAATTAAAATGGCTTTCCAAAGAGGATGCAATTTGGAAATTATTTTATGGCTCACAGATGTTAGCTATTATTGTGATGTGCATATTGTGGAGTTATATTTTAATGTATCAGCCCATGTGTTTTTCATTCCTAGGAGCTCCTTTCTGTCCTCTGACTGTTCCTTCTACAGGCAAGACTGGGGATTATCCATTGCCTCAGAGAATAGTTAGTACAACAGAAAAGCAGAAAAATAAGTTTCTGAGCTTCAAAAGCCCTGCGGAGCTGATAACAGAAATAGTAGACGTGAGAGATAATAATGGTGAGAGGAACCTACTCCACCTCCAGGCTGGAAGCTTCTCTCTTTGTGACCCTGAGATGTGGCCCTGGACTTAATCCCTGCGTAGATTGCAATAGAAACCTCAAATGGGTTTGGAGGGATCTAAGAACTTAGAAGACCTGTGCTTCTTTCCCTAATTGACCCTGGGGGAATGGCAGGTCACACACAGCATCCTCACATTCAGCATCTTTTGGGAGTTTCAAAGAATATAGAGTTTGCTGCAGGGATTATCCAGGCAGATGGGCCTGAGGCATCGTCGTAAGAGAAACATCAAACATTTTTCTTATCTCTGAGTAGTCATGGAAATAGCTGAAAGGACCAGGGTTAGGATAGAAAAGGAAGAGCAGCCATGAACTGACAACTCCCAGTAAAGCAGACACTCTGCACATGCCAGTGCAGGTGGGTGGCACCAACACTTTGCTCAATTACCTGAACGTTCTACTCCATCCCTCCCTGACATAGAGACACAACTCACAGGCTGGGGCTTAGGCAACAAACTGATTGAAATGACCCTCAGTTGATTGAAATTAATTCTCTGCTTCCTAGAAGAGTGGAATTTCGAAACAGCAATTGAACTGAGTTGTACAATAAGGAAAGGTGGATTTCTGCACACCTAAATTCTGCACACCTGTACCTATTCCTGGTTTCCCACATTGTCTCAGTGCTCAGACGCCACATGGGAAAGGAATTTAACCCCTGTGAGCCTTTGGGCAAGTCATGTTACCTTTCTAAGTTCCAGTGCTTATACCTGTTGAATGAGAGAATTGGGCTGAAAACAATGGTGTGGAATCACTTCAGGGGCCAACCAGAAGAATAAGGGAAGCCAGTTTGTGTGACCTCCCTCAAGATTCCCCTGCCCCAACTTTCAAATGGAGCAGCTCTGTTTGAGTCTGATTAGGTTATATTTACTTTTTTCTTTATCTATTGCAACTGAAGTATTGAGAGCAGCATTTATCATTCTCCTCATTTCATGGCATATTTTCACCACGGGATCATTCCTGACATTTTCTTATTTCGCTTTTTCTTTTTTTCTTTTTTTTTTTTTGAGATAGAGCCTTGCACTGTCACCTGGGCTGGAGTGCAGTGGCGCAACCTTGGCTTACTGCAACCTCCACCTCCCTGGTTCACGCAATTCTCCTGCCTCAGTCTCCCAAGTAGCTGGGACTACAGGCACCCGCCACCACACCCAGCTAATTTTTTTTTTTGTTTTTTTGTTTTTTTGTATTTTTAGCAGACAAGTCATGAACTCCTGACCTCGTGATCCGCCCTCCTCGGCCTCCCAAAGTACTGGCATTACAGTGAGCCACCATGCCCGGCCCACTTTTTCTTTTTATCACTAGTCTCCACTCCTATTCTTGATAGTAATACTAACAATCTCACGTACCTCCAGATGTCCCCACTTTTAGTACATTTACATTGAGTATTTATGAAAGGTTAAAAAAAAAGATTAACTCTGGTTCTATATAAAGAAGTTTACAAACTGCTTGGTTAGTTAATAACTTCTAAGGTCCTCTTTACTTTCTATATGCTAGGAAGGTGTTACAGGGTGAATTATGCCCCCTTTCCCACAAAAAAGACACGTTGACTGGGTGTGGTGGCTCACGCCTGTAATCCCAGCACTTTGGGAGGCTGAGGCGGGCAGATCACGAGGTCAGGAGATCGAGACCATCCTGGCTAACAGGGTGAAACCCCGTCTCTACTAAAAATACAAAAAATTAGCCAGGGATGGTGGTGGGCGCCTGTAGTCCCAGCTACTCAGGAGGCTGAGGCAGGAGAATCGCTTGAACCCGGGAGGTGGAGCTTGCAGTGAGCCAAGATCACGCCATTGCACTCCCGCCTGGGCGACAGAGAGACTCTGTCTCAAAAAAAAAAAAAAAAAGACACGTTGGAAGTCCTAAACACCAGTACTTCTAAACACAAATTTCTTTGAAATTAGGGCCATTGCAGACATAATTACGTAAGATGAGGTCATATTGGAGTATGACCGGCCCTTAATCCAATACACCTGGTGTCCTTATAAAAAGATGGCCACGTGAAGACAGACACATGGGGAGAATGCAGTGTGATGACACAGGCAGAGATTAGAGTTGTGCAGCTGTAAGCCAAGGAACACCAAAAACATTCAGCCAACTCCGAGAAGCTAAGAAAAGGCAAAAGGATTCCCCTATAGGTTTCAAAGGGAGTATGGCCCTGCTGACACCTTAATTGCAGACTTCTCCCCTCCAGAACTGTGAAACAATGCATGTCTGTTGTTTAAGCCACCTAATTTGTGGTCCTTTGTTATGGCAGCCCTAGCAAATCAATACAGAAGGAAAACAGAAAATAGTAACTTGCAGATATAATAGCTTTGTTCTCTGTTCCTGAGTGGATAGGAAGTGTTCCAACATGCCCCTCACTCCTTTTTTGCTTTTGCTATATTTACTTCATCACTTTTCTTTCTTCCTGATTTTTTTCCAGCCCACACTACAAGATGGATTGCCAGAAGACAGAAGAAGCCATTTCAGTGTTTTGTTTCTTTTTAAACTTTTCTCCTCGGCACAAGACAATCTCACTAGAGAACTGCGTCTATAAATGTGCACATTCCCCGACACAACCAGAGTTGCCTCATCCTCAAGGTCTATTTTTCAGTTTGGCCTTGGAGCAGGGTTCCAGAATTTGTTCAACTCCTGCTAATTTAGCAACTGTTTCTTGATGATTTCTGCTTTGGTGACAGGCACACTTGATGACTGTCCCATAGAGATACACAAGCATAAATTCTGTACTGGAAGGCTCCAGTCTGGAAAGTGTGAGTACTGCACAGAAAACATAGCAATGGAACAAAAGCACCATGGCTCTGGGCTGTTGCCATGGCCTGTTCTCATGTGTGGATAATTTATATGACAGGGCAGATGGAGACCCTGTTTTCAGAATGTGTGTAACTCCACTCTTGGTTTGCTAAGAGAATGCTTATCTAGTCCCAGCATGCAAGTGGGTTAAGATATTTTACTTAGATTTATTTATGCATTTACACATCCATACATGCAGTCAAAAATATTTATTGAACACCTGCAATGTGTGAGGCTCTATGTGCCAAAGATAGAGCAGTAAATAAAACAGAAAAATCCCCATCCTCATGAATTACACATTGATGGAAGACGTGGGGACAATACGCAAAATAAATGAAAATATATAGATATTTAAATAATGGCTATGAGAAAATATAATGCAGAAAAGGGGAATGGCAAGTACCCCTAAGGAAGTGTGTAATTTGTGATTTTAAGCAAGGTGGTCAGGGAAGACCTTACTGATTAGGTAATATTTTGACTTGCTATCCCTATGGTGCTATGGAAGTAGTAATGAACTTGGAATTGGAAAATCTGGATTCAACTCTTGTTATGGACTGAATTATGACCTCCAACCCCCTAGAATTCATATTTTGTAGCCTTAACCCCCAGTACCTTGATATGTGACTGTATTTGGAGGCAGGGGCTTTAAAGAGATAATTAAGGTAAATTATCTTGTTAGGGCCCTCAGGGTCGGTCCCTAATCCAATATGATTGGTAACATATGGGAAGAATGACAAAAATAATAAGAGGCTTCAGGAATGCGGGTGCACAGAGAAAAGGCCATGTGAGGACACAGCAAGAAGGTGGCCATCTGCAAGGCAAGAAGCGGCCTCAGGAGAAACCAGGACTGCTGACATCTGCATCTTGAACTTCCAGCCTCCACAACTGGGCGAAAATAAATGTTGTTTAAGCAACCTAGTCTGTAGTATTTTTCATGGCAGCCCAAGCCGACTAAGACAACTCTGATGTCTCGGCAGGCTTGTGATCTTGCAAGGAACTGACCTCAGTATCCTCATGTACCAGAGGGAAGCAAGACAGTCAAGGTCAAGAGTGAAGTATCTCTCAGGTTCTGTTCCTTACATGACCTCCTAACAGGAGGGAAGAGTTCCTGTTCTTTCAGACTTCAACAGACTTAAATCTCTCAGAAACCTTCACTTCTATAATCCATGGCCTTAAATCTAAACATGTCTCAAATCTAAATATATCCAAAACTGAGTTCTTCCTCTTCATCCCACCAATCCTGTTTCACCCACAGCCTTTCCCATCTCCACCGATTTTACCTCCAACCTTCCAGTTTCTTACACCAAAAACCTCACAGACATCTTTGGCTTCAGTCCTTCTGTCAAAACCCAAATCCAATATGTCAGGAAATCCTGTTGGCCCTACCTTATGGGCGTATTCAGACCCCAGTGACATCTCATCATCTCTGCTAGTATCATGCTAGTCATATCCCCAACATCTCTGAGCTGGGTTTCTTCAGGAGCCTCCCAGTGAATTGCCCTGCTAGCATCCACCCCTCTGTCTGGTCTACTTTAACAATAGCAGAGTGATCTTTTCAGCCTGCCTACATGTCCCCACGCCAAGAGTCTCCAGTCAGGGCTCACCCGAAGCCTTCTTTTTTTTTCCACTATAAAGTCTTCTCTCTCCTCTACCCTCCTTTGAGTCTCTATCAAACACAAGTGAAGGTAGTGGCTAAGTCTCTCACTATAGCAAACTGACTAAATGGCCTTTGCTTGCTCTCATTTGGGTGGCCTTCACTTATTTCCACAGACGTCATGTTTAAAATATTTGATAATGACCCAGTCTGGGTTTATGGACCACCGTGAATATTTTTTAACTTCATCTTTGCTCCATGAAGTGCTGATTTGGAAGATTGGATTTTTCTGGATCGAAATAGAACATTAAGTCTAGATAACTAAGCAATTATTGGACTAGATGGAATCTTTTGAGTGTCTCTTGGGTAGTTTTCTACCATACCATCACACTTAAACCATCTCTGACATACTGTAAAAATCTGAGCTGTGCTTAAGCACATTAACCTTTTCAGCATTTCACTCTGCTGATATCCTCTTTTTTTCTATAACAATTTCTATTTTGTTTGTCCTCAAACTTATTTATGTTGTTCTCTCCTCAGCAGAAATCAAATCAGTGTATTCTATGTTATAAGCCCTGCAGATGCTTCCACTTTATAAGCCCTTCAGATACATTATAACTCTGTTAAATTGGTCATGATTTTCTTAATTTCAGAAAACATGTTTCTTTTTTTATTTAAGTATTATTTCCTAATACAAAGTTCCCATGAAATGTGTTTTGTTATTTTTGCTGCATGTGATTTTATCTACTCACTTATACAGAGCATCCCACAGTTAAACAAGTATAAGTGTAATTGCAGGACATCTCAGAGTCTAATATGCTAATATACATAGTGAATTCTTGAGAATGGAGATGTTTACGTGATACCAAAGGATTCCTTTGCTTGTGGAGCATCTTTATATTAATATTTCGCATGGTTTAGCCCTTACATGTTGTCATGGCTCTTGTAAACTTTCCCAAGTTCTTCTCATTACACAAGCCTTATCACAGAACGGTATTTGGTTTGTTTGTTAGCATTGAATAGCTGAAGGCAAAAATCTGACCATTCTCTTGTAAAGTAGCAACACATTACAAGTAATCATGTATTAATCTGAGCATTTTTGGTCTTATATACAAATCAATAAATTTTATCTTTCAAGCCTTTAAAAACATACCACATCTTGGTTGGGTGTTAAGAGGAAAGGTCTCAGTGCTCAAAATAACTGCTGACATAACTTCTATATTTCATTTTCCTACTAAATAAGACCTGCTATGTCTAACACATTTTAATTAATGCCGAGCCCCAGATGTTACTATGCACAGAGAAGCTTAATATTATGAAACTCTAATAAAACCTTGATCCAATCAATTTCAGGTACTTCAATTGTATGGGTGGTTTTTGCTTATTTGAAATGCACATTGTTAATTTCTTAAGTTTCCTTTCTGCCTATTCTCTAGGTTCTCTTTTTTTTTAATTTTTCTTCCTGGGTAATGGAATTTGAGGCAATATGCTCATGCTAAACAAATAGATATATTTTTGTGTACTTTTTCAATTTAGGAAAACCAGAATGAAGTGGGTCTTCTACTGTTTGGTAAAAATCCAATCTAGTTTATGTAAAATAATAATCTCTTATCTTTGTATGGTATTGTATAATTTTCAAAGCACACTCACATGTATTAATCTGTTTGGGTGTAATAATTGAGGTTAGAACCTCAGCCTCAGGGTTCAGGCAGACTTGGAGATTAAATCTAGGAACATCATTTACTATAGTCTGGCTCTGGGGAAGTTACTTAAGTTTTCTCCACTTCAGCTTCTTTACTTGTAAAATCGAGCTAATAATTTAGTACCTAAAATGGTTGTTGTGAAGATTAAATAACATAATACAGAAAGTTTTTAGCTCAGTATTTAGTTCATACTAAGTATTCAGATATTTTAGGTAGTAGTGGGGATGGGGGTAGGGGCTTAACCACCTTGAAGTAAAATGCAAAAATTACCTCCATTTCAAAAGTAGGAGCATTAATGACCAGATGGTCTCAGTGAGTTACTCAAGCCTACTGAGTAGACCCAGTCTACTGAGGGTCCAAATAAAACAAAAAATCAGAGAAGGGGCAAATCTCTCTTTTTGTTGAGCTGGAACATCCATCTTCTTCTGCCCTTGAACATTAGAGCTCCTGGTTTTTGAACCTTCAGACTCAGGGGCTTACATCAACACCCCACCTCTCCCACTTTCCTCACCTCCAGTTCTCAGGCCTTTGACCTGGGAGTCGGAGTTAAACCATTGGCTCCCTGGGTTCTCAGGGTTTTGGAATTGGACAGAATTATACCACTGGCCTTCCTGATTCTCCAGCTTACAGACAGCATAGTGAGGACTTCTTGGTTTCCATAATCACGTGAGACAATTCCCATGAAAACTGTCTTCTGAAAAATATATGTATGTATGTATATATACAACACATATCCTATTGGTGTTGTTTCCCTAGAGAATCCTGCTAGTGGAAGATTTCCTTGCAAAATATTGTGAGGTCACTGTAGTTGTTATCTGTGTGTGCTCAAGGTCTGCTTTCTCTTCAGAAAGTTCCAGCTCCTTTTTTCTTTGGGGATCTAGGTCTCCCCTGGAGATTACCATTAAAGTATACACCCATTCAGTAGCCAAGGAATAAAAGGGTGACATGTGACTGAATTGAACCAATCTCTATCTCCCTGAATCTTGCAAATAACCCAAATAATGAAATCTATTGGCCTTTATTTGTCCTGACCTTGGTGCTTTGTAGAGGCTTACCATTAGTTGCTGCTGCCTAGATCTTTGGGGATGCTTTGTCTTTATTCTTTCTGAAGCTAGGTTCTTTCACTTTGCCTTTTATTCTGGGGGCTATTCTTTATCTTTCTCTTATAATTTTTTTAAAAATTAGCTTATTCAGAGTCAGTTTTTTTGTACAAAAACTCCAACGCACAGTAGTCAGCTATTGCCACAAAACTGCCGCAAAACAAACCACTCCAAAACTCAGTGGCATATGGAACGTATTTAATTCCCATTCACAAATTTGCAATTCTGCTAAGGGTCACCTGATGTAGGGGCACTCAGCCTCAAGCTATAACTTGGTTCCAGGGCAGTTCCATGTGTCTCTCATCCTCCCTGGACCAGTTGTATGTTCTTGTCATTGCAAAAGAAACTCAGCAGGTCAAGCTTAATCATGCAAGCACATTTTAAACCACTGCTTCCATCTTGTCTGCTAATATTTCATTGACTAAAGTATGCCAAATGGCCAAGTCCAAAGTCAAAGTGTGAAAGCTCTCTCTACTCATGAAGATGGTAAAAAATGAGACAGGAATAATAGAGGGTGGTCACAGGAGAACAGAGGGTGGTCACAGGAGAATAGAAAATTCCAGGCATCAGTTTTACGTGGTTAGCAAATGGAAACTGTTGAAGTAGCTGCATAAGCTAGGGACCCATAAGACCCTGAAAACCAGGATGTGGGCCAAACTGGCGAAGACTGACTGGACCAAACATGGCACTGGCTTTGACCTAAGTTTCACCTAGGATCTCATTATACACTCATCAACACGCTCAATCACACACGCCCCAGCACCTTGAGAGTTCCAGGAACACCTCTATTTGGTGGAAAAATGGGTGACACTGCAGTTCTGAGAAATCTTTATCTTTTTCTAAGAATCTTCATAAATATTCCATCCCTTGGCTAAAGAAACCCATAGTACCCCAAACTCCCAAACCCAATGGCGTGACTCACTCTCTTGAGTACACCTGCACTTCTGTTTCATGAGTGTGCACTTTTCACTTTGCAATAAATCTCTGTACTTTCCCAGTTTTTTCTGACTCACTATTGACTTCCTTCCCGTGAAGGTGTCAAGAACCTGGATGCTGGCCAGAGGCAGGGTCCCACGGGAATTTGGGGACCTCCCCTAGCCCACTGGTATCAGAAGTAGCACTGAATAGTTGCTGAGTATCAAATGCAGACAGACTAATTTGCATTAAAAAGTAATTTCTTTACTCTGTAGGGGAAGAGGATTTTTTTATTTAACCCCCATAGGTTCCTAGTTGGAATAAACCCCTGCAACAAAAGATAGATTGACAAGAGAAAAACAAACAGAAATGTATTCACATGTATATTTCATATATATGAAAGACATCCAGGGAATGAGTAGTTCTCAAAGAGATGGCTTTGAATTCTAGCTTATGTGGCATCTTCAACAAAGAAAACAGTACATTTTTATAGCAGTGACAAGACAAAGGAAAAGAACTTTAAGTCTCTAGGGCAGCAACTTGCGAGAAGGCAAATACATGGCAGATAAAGATGGGTTAGTAAAGCTCATTAATGTAGATTCCTCTGGTACCATCTCCAGGGTAACAGGGGTCTAAAGTTGTCTTAGTGGCTAACCACTGTTCTCCCTGGTAGGGGGTGGGAGGTGGAATACCTTTTGTCTTTGTAAATCTGTGTCCTTCTTTTAGGCAAATACAGAGAGGGCAGAGAGCTTTCCTGCACAGGCTTCTTCTTAACTGCCTTCAACTCAATGATTCTTTATATTTGGGGGCAGCATATTCTGCTCTTCCACACCTCTAAGATTTCCTCTTAAAACACAAATAGGATTGGAGAAGAAAAACATGAAGCCTTTCCATTAACAACCTACCTTAACTTGGGTTTTTCAGTTGGCTAGTATGCAGTGTCCACAGATAGCTAAGAAGAATCTCTGAAATAAGACACAGACAGATCTATATTACTAAAGGACATCAGGATTCAGGAGAAAAGGAGACCCAGGCTCATATCAGGGTGTTTAGAAGCATGTGGAAATTCAGGTGAACAAGATTTGTAGCAGCTAACAGGAAAGGTAAATTTTACTGGATATATGCATCCCTTTCCTATCATAAGTGAGATGGAAATGAAATAAAAGTGTACTGATTTCTTAGGTTTGCAAGATTTGGATCTTCAATTTGGGGCTTACACAGAATGGCTCACATATTATTATTTCCCTGTACTTTGTCATTGCTACACTGTAAATTTGGAGCCCATTGTTATACAAAAACTAGCATACAGTCTTGTCTGTGGAAGAGCTGAGTAAATTGTTTTTTGATTCTGACTCTAGGAGAACATATTCCTTTCAGCCTCTTTGCTTTTCCTCTACTGTGTTTTAGTTGAGGTCATCAGACCTGCCAGACTAGGTCATTTCATGAAATACATATAACTTACATGGCTCTGAGGCCTAAGGAAGCTTCTGTGGAGTGTTAATTATTGCAATACTTGGGCTTTAAAGGAATGGAAGAAGTTGAGAGGCCATGCCCATATCTGAAGTCTAAACTTATCTACAAATGTTAAAATGTGAACATGTGTGAGAGTTTCTATGAGTGTGAAAGCGGGGGAGTGGCTCCTATATAATTCTGTTTAGATATTTGGAAGGATATAATTGGAATATAAAATAGCCACATTTGGACAGAGCACAATTCCACTCCCAAATGTGTCAACGTCCTTTAACTACACTCTCATGCAAATTAGGTAGATACATGGCTTAAAAACCAACTGCTCTCAGAATAAAGGATATTTTCCCTAAGCCCGTTTTAAACAAACTGAATGGCACACACTCTCATAAAGACAGATGATTGACATTACATAGCCTATGAAACTTTCCTATTCAAAATCATGACATTTCTTAACATAAAGAGGTAGTGATTATATTATGTACTCCCCAAACTTAAAAATTAAAAAAAAAAAAACACCAGTGGGAAAACAAAAATAATATGCCCTACAAAGAATGTAATTAGGCAGAGCTAGACTAGAGAATCCACAGAGAATAAGCCACAGGGCTGATTATCTTAAATTTAATTTGTGCTTTTGGTATTTTTTTCTCCTGCATTCTAGTGATTCCATAGAGATCAACTTGCAACAGCTTCATTTTTCAATTGGTCTATTTAATTTTTTTTTTTGCATCAGGCATAATAAAATATAACTACCAGACCTATTATCAGTCTTCCAGCAGCCTTGTCATTTCCAGCAAGAAAGTGGTAATATGGTACTTGACATCTAAATCTCCTTTGCAGTAGGTGCAGATTGAATTTCTTTTAAATGGGTGCACATGAAATTAAGTTTTATAAATACTGGAATTTGTTGAGAATTAACCCAATCCTGGTAAGTGGAATAAAACATCTCCGTGTGCCTTCTCTGCCTCTTGAAATTCTAGCATTTCAAATAAAGTGCCAAGAAGCTGCAAATAATCAAAGAGGAGGTGTTGTTTGTTCACAGAACAGCCACGATTTACTATAAGGGTCAGCAGTTGTATGTTTATAATTGTTTAATTCTGTATATAACCAAATGAATCCACTGTTCCCTCATCTACATGGGTTGACTCTGCCCCATGCTCAATAGCAGGCAGATGTTAGTTCTCTCCATATTTTTCTTAATAAACTTGATAACATTAAAAATATCATGAACAGCTTGTTGCCCTTACCAAAAATTTAGCAGGGAAGATGGAGGGATTCTCCCAAATGAAACTCTACTCTCATGCAACTCCCTAAATTCTCAGGAATTTGCATTTCTCCAAAGTACAAGTGGTTTTTCCTCTCCCCTTTTATTCTACATTATTCAGTCTGGCTTCTTTGTTAAAACAATTGAGATCTGAACCCTTACAAATTGCAGCATTCAATTAGGTGTATTTCTGTTTTACTGAATTATAAGTTTAGTAACTACCCCTTGTTACCGCAGCAAGCCCTTTTGGGTCTCTCTATCCCACCACCTCCAATACCACAAATTTTTCCCTCTAAACACAGATAGTTATGCCCTGAGAAATAATCTGGTAATATACATATCACCTAACTTCTACAAAGTACTTTTCTTCTGAATTTTGGCTTGGAAAAGCGTTTGAAGTAATGAACTATTTGGAGAGACGGAGGCTTGGAGTTTAGTGAGCAAGATGGTAATTTTAGATGCTGGTAGCCAGGGTATTTTTTATTTTGAATATCAAAAATTGTAGAACTTTAAGGAAGCCCCAGGAAAAAAGAACAAGAAAGTCTGGTTTGGATTGTCCTGTTTGTGATATTTTTCTTACGATATCATATCCCATGTGGAAAGAAATTAAGACTTCCAATGGAAGTTCAGAAGATTAATTCAACACCACCAATTCTTAAATCTGAAGGAAATAAAATGTATTTTTTACTATGCTCACCTGCTTTTAGCCCAAATATAAACTACAAAGGTAATTTAGAAAATAAAGTTGACTCTGTTATAGCTAGATATCACAGATAAGGCCATCCTCAGCAAAAAGTAAGATCACTTTTTCTAATGATATGCTTATTTTTTTAAAGTTCTGAAATATTTTTCTAACGATATGCTTTTTTTAAATTTTAAATTACATTATATCTGAACTATTTGTCTACCTATGATTTTTAAATTACATTATAAGTATATTAAATTTAAATATATACATATTTGAATTACTTAGATATTATGTTTTAATTTTAAATTATTGCGATTATACTCTCATGTTTTCTAAAACAAGTTTACTCAATCTCTTCCTACTGATCTTTGACACCAATGCCTTTGTCATCACTAGAGCTACTTTGTGAGTCACCTGAAGCAGGCTTCTGACCTCTTTATTTCTCAAAGTTGTTCAAGACTTTTAAAATTTGAGTATGAGGCCATCTCTGGAAATTTTATCCCAAGGCACATTTATCCCAAATACTCATTCATGTAACCTGAGGAAAGTAGTTTATTTTATTCATCCTGTAGGTGTAAAGTCATGCTTTCCAATTACTGTGGCCTTTTAAGTGATCTTAAAAACCTTGTTTACAACAGGCATCCAATGCTTGCCATTGCGAGGTCACACCTGCAGGAAAAATTACTAAACCCGTGTTAAATGTCCCTTGTTAACAATTCCATCTTATGACCTCTGTGCGCATTTCCAACTAGCATCAGTTGAGGTCATTTCTAGAGAAAGTGAATCTTCAAACAGGTTTTTTTAAATTTGTTTGATAAAATAAAGTCATTGGGAGATGTGGTAAGAAAAATAATGCCCCCCTTAAGATGTCCATGTCCTAATCCCCAAAACTGGAAATATGTTACTTTCTATGGAAAAAGGAATTAAGCTTACAGATAGAATTAAGGTTATTAATCAATCAGCTGACCTTAAAATATAAATATGATCCTGGATTACACAGGCAGGCCCAAAATTATCACAAGCATCCTTAGAGTAGAAGAGTGAGGCTGAAGAGTTAGTCAAAGAGAGGAAATATGTAAGAAGAGGCTGGAGGAATTTGAAGCCCAAGAGGTACTCTGAACTGCCACTACTGGCTCTGAATATGGAGGAAGAAGCCCAAGAGCTATTGGGTTGGGTGGCTTCTGGAAGCTGGGAATGGCTCTCAGCTGACCGGCAGCCAAAAAACATGGGCCTCAATTCTATAACTACAGGGAAATGAATTCTAATCACCTCAATGAGCAAGGAAATAATTTTCCCAGAAAGGAATGAAGCCCTGCGGACACCTTGAGACTGGACTTTTGATCTACAGTGCTATAAGGAGAAATCACACCTTACTTTTAGCATCTATGGTATCTCATATGATAAGTGATTCTATTATCCAATTATCACTTTAATAATATATAGAGAGCAAATGGTCAGCTGATGAAGAAGCATGACTCATTTTCTTCTTTCTAAAATGACGATACTCAGTATCCTTGAGAAATAGTCACTTAGTTCCTTACATGCCAAAAAAAGAGGAATCTTTAAAGTTACAGAGTAGATGCTCCTACAGACAACAAAAGGTGACTATTTGCAGCAACAAACAAGCTTTGAAAGAGAGGAAGATAGGTTCCGTTTTCTAGGGCTCATTGTTCTACTGCAGGTTGAGCATCCCTAATCTGAAAATTAGAAATCCAAAACTTTTTGAGCACTGACATGATACCACAAATAGAAAATTCCACACCTGACCTCATGTCACAGATTGCAGTCCAAACGCAATCCAAACTTTGTTTCATGTACAAAGTTATTTAAAATGTTATATAAAATTGCCTTCAGGCTAATTCTATGTGTATAAAGTGTGTATAAAACATAAATAAGTTTCCTGTTTACACTTGGGTCTCTTCCCAATATATGGCATTATGTATATGCAAATATTTCCAAATCCAAAAATAAGTTCAAAATCTGAAACTTCTCTGGTCCCAAACATTTTGGATAAGGGATACCTTATCTGCACCAAGGGTCTTAAGGCCAAGTTGCTCAATTTCAAATTTTTCTTGACTGGGTATCCCTTTCTGTCAAAATACTGTCTTTACCTAATTATAAAATAATCTTCATGCCATAGGTAAGAGTACTTTAAAGTTTTCAAAGTGAAGAAAATGCCAAGTGTGTTGAGGAGAGGCCTGTGGTTGTGCCTGGCCCAAGTTAGTGTAGGAAAAAGAGACTGGAATAGGCAGTGAGGTCTGGGTCATGGTGATCCTGGGTGTCATTCTTGGGGAAGAGGGACTTTTCCTGAAAGGATCTATGGGCTTTGTTCAGGTGAAGGACATGATGAGATGTAAATTTAGAAATATCATTCTGGAAGACATGATCAGGTTGGAAGCTATTGCTATGGTCTAGCTCCCACTCTTTCCAAGAAAGCCATAAACCTGGTGGGAGTGGGGATGGAGGAGCAATAATAACAACATCAATATATCAACATGTAATATTTTATCTCCTTGGATTCTCACAATGATATCTAATTTATCCCAAGGAAATGGAGGCTCTGAGAGGTAATATGACTTCCCCCAGGTCATGAAGTAAAGGGTCAAGATGACAACACCAGCCCTTTTGAAACAAATTAGTGCTCTTTCTGCCTTCATAGAATTCGGTTTGTGCTTCCATTTTGAACTCATCTATAAAAGAGTCAACGATAATCTCTAACCCTGAAGGTTACAAGAGATTAGAACCACGTATGAGTCTGAGACTCATTTATTAATACAAGTAGGGCATTTTAGGAACTCAAAGTAATAAAGCTCTCTCATTATTTTAATTAAAATTCATAAAAATGAAAAGAAAGGATTCAACTTTGCAAGTAAAGGAAATAGTAATCAAGTCCATTTTACTCTTTGGAAATAATGAAATGAGTTCCCATATACTGAATGCTTGGCTCTACCAGGCTCAGTGCCACTCTTAATATTGACATCATAAGATGACATTGTTACCCCATTTTACTGGAGAAAAACAGGCCAGAGAAGTTAAGTCATGTGCCCAGTGTCACTGGGTAAGTAAGGACAGGATCAGGATTTAAGTCTAGGAATTTCTGTCTTCAATGTTTTCAGCCTCCTTGTCATGTTACCTCAAGTCTGATAAAGAAGTAGGTAAAGGAAACATGAAAGAAGATAAAATGTAAAGATAACTTTTTTGGTGACTTACATGAAGATTTAACAAATGAAAGCAGCTCTTAAACTTCCATCACGAACTTGAGTTCATTGCTCTCTACAAGCATACTCAAGGGAGTTACATGAATCCAGGAAATTGTGTATTTTTCTAGAGAAAGATTCTATAATTTTCATCAGACTCTGAAAGAAGCATATGACCCTCAGCATGTAAAAGCCATTGCATCGAAAGAAGGGATTCACTCTGAGCCTTATTATACTACCGGCCTCAGGGTCTGAGTGATAGGAGCACAACATTATCCTTGGGTGATATTACATAATTGCTTGTAAACCAGGATCAAGGTAGATCTGCTCGCCCTTCAGGCAAAAGGAAAGCCCCCAAATCAATGCTCCTATTTGTAAGGCTTGGATCCTCCTTCCTCCAGCATCTTCTCACTTCCTTATTCCTCCCTGATCTGGGAGATTCTTTGGCAAAACAAGAAAAAAAGAGTGACTTTGTTAGCAGTCAAACAAACCAAAGTTATGCTATGAAATATGGTCAATATTTGTAGAAGTGCATTAGTGTTGTAGATGCTTCATGCCAAAGTATCGTAAAAGACCTAACTCTGCTGAGTGACAGACATTGAGAATCTATACCATCACCAGGAAGTGGTAGAGGACAGGATGAAGAGATAAGGGGCCCATAGATAGCTACCTATAATGGACATTGAAGTGACCAAATATGACCTAAAGGGAAAGGAAATCAATATTTGTCTCATCTTCTGGACTCTGTGCCTGCTTAGGAGTTAAGATGGCCACTACTGGCTCTGAATATGGAGGAAGAAGCCCAAGAGCTATTGGGTTGGGTGGCTTCTGGAAGCTGGGAACTGCTCTCAGCTGACAGGCAGCCAAAAAACGTGGGCCTCAATTCTATAACTACAGGGAAATGAATTCTAATAACCTCAATGAGCAAGGAAACAATTTTCCTAGAAAGGAATGAAGCCCTGAGGACACCTTGAGACTGGACTTTTGATCTACAGTGCTATAAGGAGGAATCACACCTTACTTTTAGCATCTATAGTATCTCATATGATAAGTGATTCTATCATTCAATTATCACTTTAATAATATATAGAGAGCAATGGTCAGCTGATAAAGAAGCATGACTCATTTGCTTCTTTCTAAAATGACGATACTCAGTATCCTTGAGTATCCTGACATGGACTTGCCCCTTGCAACACTGTGGGAGGATAAAGAGTATTTAAGATTCCAGGAATCAATGAATGTTCATTCTAGAGAATAGCATCGCTGGTTCAAAGGGACACAGAGTTCAAAAACAGAAAGTTTCTCTCTGCCTTTGGAAACTCCCAATAAAACGAATTCTACACCTTGTTAAGGTACAACAAAAATGTTTTTTTTCTCTCTCTCTCTTGCTCATTTTAATTACTTCAAAAGGCCACCAACTTACAGAGAGCCCTTAAACTTGATCTATTAACTTTCTCTGGGAACATAACAGTTGGTAAGCAGAGCCTCTGACAGCCTGCTTTCCTCCCTGAGTACTGTGTGGCTGGTCAAAATGGGCCCTGGGGGCTGGGGATTCACACCAGCAAGAAAGAATGATAAGCTGCCCACAGCCACTCTGGAAAGACAATAAGGAAAATGTCAGATGCTGAATTACATTTGTGTATCAATCATTTCATTAAAAGGCTGTATTATTTCTGATCTTTTGATGACTCTTTCTTTAGTGGTCACTACTTTTTAACAACATTATATGCAATTTCTTTTACCACCATGCAGAGACATTTTGATTTTTAAGCCCCAGTCTACTCCCAGTTTCATATATATGGCTTCATGATCTGACAAAAACAATTATAGTAGTTTTACTCTATTAACTCTAGAGCCAGCTTGCCTAGGTTAGAAGGTTTACAAAAATCAAAAGTTCTCTGGGAATGCATTTGTAAAATTTCTGGCTCATCTAAAATGGAGAATTACTCACCAGTTGCTAATTGGTTATCTTCAAGAGTCTAACTTAGATATTTAGTTTTGGAAATAAAATGAATCTTAGCGATGATCTTGTCCATAAGGGTCAAATATGTTTCATTTTAAGGGCCAGCTGTCGTTGATTGGGCCTTGTTACCTGAAATTTTGTGTTGAGTAGGATACTGAGGCTCAGCCTAGGTTCCATAGCAAAATGAGCCATGGTGAATTTCTACTCTCTCTGCCATCAGTGCAGATGTCGAGTAGAACTACACTCCTGCAGATAGTTGCCATTCTGGTTCTAGCCCAACCCACTCATTTACAGAGGACAAAACTAACTCCCAGCAAGGTGAAATGACTTAATCGAGGTCACTCCAGGACTTAATAGGAGAATGGGAGATAAATCTTAAGTGTGGATTGAGTTCTTTACACCAACCAAGCACTTAGGATAGGATGAACCTAAGGGTATTTTTGATTAACCAATTCCAATCTCCCATCTTTGCTAATTTCAGCTTGTCCAGCATTAGATATTTCTTATTTTGATGTATAACTTTTGTCAAAAGTATATATTTTGAGGGAAGGAACACTTCACACTTTCTTTATATTTTTATACTACTCTCTTAGATAATTTGCTATAACTGCATAAAAGAGATTGAAAGCAAAAGCTGGCAATCTATCTCTAGCTATTAGGAGAAGGTCTGGAAGAGGGTAAGGAGGGTTTACCTTTGTGACTTAACAATTTTACCTCCAGTAGCATATAGAAGGGCAGTAGAGAAATGGACAGCTTTGGGAGGAGGAGGGTTGGGGGTTGCTATATTATTTGGTATCATTTTTAAAATCAGCCTATGTCTATATATTATTTGCTATGTTTCTTGTCCTCCCTTGATGCCCCTTGAACACCCTGGAATGCCTCAGCCTCCTGAATTAGAACTTCTGCCTGGAGAATTCTTTCTTTATGGCCCACTCCTTTACTTCTTTCATGTGTTCATGCTTGTATATCCCCTTATCAGAGCAATCCTCTCTCATGGCCTATTTGAAACAGCACATTTCATCCTGTCTCTCTGTATTCCCTGACCCTGCCTTGTTTCTTCATAGCAGGTAGCACCTGACCATTACAAATCGTTTACGGCTATATTTATATAACATACCATCTGATACAGAGTGTACTATACCTTTGCAATAAATTATGTACTTGCTTTTCTCTTTCACTGCTAGATTATAAGTTGAGCATGTTCTTTGTTCATCTTTTGTTTCTTAGCCATAGAACAGTCTCTGCTGCATAGGAAAACAGCAATAAATATTTGTTGACTTTAGTAATTTGAAGTGATATTCACATTTGAATCAATCTAGCTTAACATTTCTGACACTATTGAGTAGGGCTTGGAAATTACAGACTGTGGACCACTTCCAGCCCAAAGCTTGTTTATGTAAATAAACTTTTATTGGAACACATTCATTCCCAGTTGCTTATGAATTGTCCATAGCTGTTTTCATGTTACAATGGTAGAGCCAAGTAGTTGCAACAAAGACCATACAGCCTGTGAAACCTAAAACATTTCCCATCTGACCCTTTATTAAAAAGGTTTGCTGACTTCTGCTCTAGAACATTAACAGGGATGAAAGTTATCAATGGTGGACATAGCTCTCTTACTATAATTGTCCAAGATGATCTGCCAAAGAGGTGGGTGGACGGTACAATGAATTCCCGCTCAGAGTCAACTCCCCATTCCTTTACAGAGCCTCAGGATGCAAAGTTCTGAGCAAATTCTGCATTTATTCCACAAATATTTTTTGAGTACCTACTATGTGCCAGCTGCATTCAAAGGCCCACTGATATATGATTGGACAAAAACAAAAGTTCTTTCCTCTCGAAAATATACATTCTAGCAACAGAGACAATAACCAATGAAAATATGAAGTAATTTCCATAGAAGTGCTACAGAAGAAGAAAAAGGGAGGAAAATAAGGGGTATGTTCCAAGAATGTTGGGAGGAAAAAGGGGTATATAATATTGTATAGCACGTAGGACACATTGAAAGGATAACTTTAAGCAAATACTTGAAAGGATGATTAAGGGGCCTTGGCGATCACTTGGGAAGAATATTCAAGGCAAATGGAATAGCCAGTGCAAAAAGCCCAGAGCAGAAGTGTATAGTTAGCTGGTTTTGAGGAACAGCCAGGAAGGCCCTGTGAATGAAGAGGATGGAATTAATGGGTGGGGCATTCACACTGAGAGTGTTCTGTTTTAATCAGAAACTCTAATTGGGAGGGAAATACAATTTAACAGATATTAGAGAAACTCCCTTGGGGCATTTAATTTTGACAAATAAGATACTGTAGAATATTGTTAAATTGATTACATTTTATTGGCCCAAATTAATTTGATTGCTCTTTTCACATTTTCAAATCCCAGTCCTTACCTCATTTATTTGAAATCTCAGAATTGGAAACACTTTTGATCATTTGACTTCCTATGTCTCTGATCCTTAACTTTGCTCAAGAGGCTTTCTGCTGGAGAAGAAAACCTCCGTCGTGAGGAGTAGAAATGGGCTCTGCAGTCAAACTTCGTGAGGCTAAATCCTGGTTCCCCCAAATCATTGAACCTTTCCGAGCCTCAGTTTCCTTATCAATGAAATGGACAGAATAACAGTGACCATCACAGGGTTTTTGGGAACACTGCATGACATAATGTGAGGTAGCACCGAGCACAATGTTTGTAAGCATTTCTTTACATGTTAGCTCCTATTATTCCATATTTTGCTTGTTTTCTACTTGAAAACAAGAATTTTTTTCACATTCCCAGTGATGGGGATTTATTCTCTTCTGAGGCAGCTCCTTGCTTCTTTGGGCAGGTCTGGCTGTTAAGTATTGAGCCCAAATCCCCCTCCCTGTAATTTGCATTTACTGGCACTGGTTTTACACCTTAAGTCAAATAGATTTCATCCATCTCCCACCTGAAAGCCCTTCAATGATTAGAGGTAATCACTATATCCCTGTCTAGTCTGTCTGTTTCCTCAGCCATGCCTCATTTCACTCTATTTTCCTTTCTCTCACCACACTAGGTTTCTCCTTTGACCTTGCTCCATATCACCTTACGTCTATCTTAAATTATGTTTACGCTTCTTCCCAACATCACTCTCCTTGTCCACCTTCCAGTTTAATTAATTACATTGTTTTTTCTACATGTCCAAGTTTATAAGTTGTGCATTCCATCCAGCAATGGTAATTTCTACAGTTGGTTAGCCTTAATGCTTTTTTCCTTTTTTTTTTTTTCCCACTATACCTGCACTCTGGTTTGACCATTGTGAGGGTTGTGGATGGGATTCAGGATTCCCCTCTTTTGATCTTCACAAGTTAATAGCTCAGTTTTTGTCCATACTCTTAACTCACATTGAATTGAAGGTTAACATTTTTTCCAACAATTTGCTTCACACATAAAGCTACTAAGTTACATGTGCCAGATTTTGCCTTTGTATGAGCTTGTCTTGTGATTTCAATACTAGACCTTCTTATTGTCTCCTCTGCTAAAATTTACCACATCAGCTTTATCTTTCTTCAACTCATGATCTTTCATTATTGCTGTTACCTTAGATCCACATGACAATTTCAATGGCACAGTTTCTAGGTCCTTAATCAAGTTATTGATTTAAAATACTGAGCATCTCATGACTAAAGACAAAGCCTTGTGTTGCACCCTTAGACAGCTCCCCAAGATTTAATAAGATCCCATTGGTAAGATAACGGAACCAATTTTATCTCACACAGGTTACATAGTATCTTTATTTGTCCTTCTGATCAGGAGTGTATTTTTAGGAATCTTTTCCAATTCTTCACTCTACTCCAGATGCGCACTATCTGTAGCATTTTATGATTTATTAGCCAGATATTAACCTGGTCTGAAAGGAAAATAACATTGTACTGATCAGGCTTGTTGTTTACCTAGCAATCATTTAGAAACTCAGGTGATGTCTGTCCCTTGCTTATAACCAGTCATTGCTTTCTCTGGCTGAGACAGTAATGCCCATCAAACATTTCATTTCTTCCCCTGCATTTTGGGGACCTCTTGCAGTTAGACAGGGCCATGTACCTAAATCTGGCAAAGAATATGCATGGAAGTGGCATGTGTCACTCTCTGGCTGAAATGGTGAAAATCTCATATATAATCCTGCACTCTCCCTTTTCCCCTGCCTTGGTGGCTAAGGATAATTAGTGGTCCAGATAAGGTGTAGCTGCAAAATGACAGAGCCTTCACTGCCTGGGTCTTTGAAAAACTGTGTAGTTGATACTCCCTGCATATGGATCATGCATACAGTGTGAGTAATGAATGCAATATTTTCTTCTGTCTAATTACAAAGATTTAAGAGATGGTAGTTGGCTACTGCAGCATAACCTCACCTATTCTGACTCTTTCTTTTCTTTTGCTCTGAGATTAAAGCCCAAACTCCATGATGCAATAGGATCTGTGGGATTTAATGTCTCTCTCTCCAGCCCTCTTTTGTGCCATTTCTAACTCATTTCCCCTTCTCTAGCTATTCCAACCTTGTCATTGTTCCACATTCTTTCTAGATGAGTGAGCCCCCATTATACATTTTCACAGCATCCTGTACCTCTCCTTCAAAGCACTTTGCACCCATGCAATGATAACATGTGCAACATTTTAATGTAATATCTATTTTCTTCACTAGAATATAAGCTCCTGGAAGTAGGGACTTTATTTAATTCACAACTATAACCTCAGCATCTCATATAGTGACTGCCACAAAGCCCTCCAATTTCTGACCATGGCTGGGTATTCCCGTGACATGAAGAAGAAATGAAAAAAAAAAAAAAAAAAGACCCAACAGATTTTACACTTATGCTTGAATTCCTCTAGTCCAGTTATCTGATTTCTTTTGATCGCAGAAGGCCAAGCCACATAATATTATGCTTGAAATAGAATTACCTGCTCTTTATAGATGTCGCTTATCAGCTCTCCACATGGTGTGTCAAACAGAAGCAGAAAATGGGTGAAAAGGGCAAAGATAATGAAACTTAGCACCCAGCTGAGCAACACAGTCATGAGAAGAGTGACAATTCCAGGTGAGCTGTGGAGTCATGTGGCTACTGGGGATGGGATGACTCTAGGCTGAGCTGCTGAGAGGAGAAGATGATATTTAAAAACAATTGCACAGCCCATGGACAGTTACAGCCTTTCCTGTGGCCAGGGACAAATTACATATCACAAATTAGCCTTCCATCCACATCCATAAGGAGGCCCATGCTTGGTGCAAGCATATATATCATTTTTGAAAAATAATAGCTGCTCTGACAGCACCTAGTTTGGTGCTGGGGGAATAAAGCTTGTAAGGAATCTTGACTGAATTATTGATTCTGCTCTTTAGAGTCAATAAAACTAGTTTTCTGAATCTTTTGGTGTAGCTATTATCCTAATTTGAAATCTCTCACTCAAATCTAACTTAAGCATCTTCGGAATGGACAAGTTTCAAGGCTAAAGGTGGCTTTTGTAGATGAAATTAAAACTCAGTGCCTGCCTGAACTTCCACAGCTACCTCCGTCAGGAACGGGGACCCTATTTGCTTGTATTATCAGTGCCACACACTGGAAGGCACATGATATTGGATGTAATGCAGTTTTATGTATGTTTTCAGCATCTGAATACCATCACTTTTTAAAATACTTCTTAAGCATTTTTAAGAACTGGGCAATATTCTAAACGCTAACTTTCCAAAATGGAAAAAAAAAAAAGAGGCTAATTGGTGTCTATGCAACATTATAACCAAAATGTTCTAGAATAAAATCTATTAATTGCTGCTCTTCTTTCTTGACATTCTCTAGTCAAGACTATCAGTGTTTCAAAGACATGGGAAGAGGCAGCAGCTGAGGACTTGCAGGTGGGTAGGAGGAAGTGAGAAGTCAGACCTAAGGGTCAGGTGGCCCCATCTTCACTCTAACCATAGTCTCCTTTATCTAATTTTATTGGAGGCAAGGGCTTCTACTATTATTCATTTCACTCATTTATTCCTCAGCATTTACCAAGTATTTACTATGTGCACAGCATTTATTGCAAAAAAAAAAAAAAGTTGTGGATGGGTAAACTCTGATATGGACTGCATATTCATCTTCTCCAAATCTCATGTGGAAAAATAATCCCTAATATGGCAGTATTGAGAGGTGGGCCTTTAAGAGTGGATTGGAGCATGAGGGATCTGCTCTTATGAATGGATTAATCCATTAATGAATTAATGGATTAATGAGTTAACAGAGTAATAGGTTATCATGGGAGATGAACTGGTGGCTTTATAAGAAGAGAAAGAGGGCTCTGTGGTCCGGAGCAAGCATGTTAGCATACTCAGCCTCCTCATCATGTGAGGATACCCTGTACCACATTGGGACTCTGCAAAGTCCCCACCAGGAAGAAGGCCCTCACTAGATGCCAGTCTATGCCCTTAGACTCTTCAGCCTCCATAAGTGTAAGAAATAAATGTATTTGCTTTATAAATTACTCCATTTCAGGTGTTCTGTTATAAGAAAATGGACTACGACAAAACCCTGATGACCTTTGTGGCTGTATAATTGCCTCCCTGTTGAGTGGGTTGGAACCTGTGAATCTGATAAGATTCTAATCTGATGAGACATCACTCCAAGAACCAAATTCTACCATAACTTGAATGAACTTGGATGCAGATCTTTCCCCAGAGCTTCCAGATAAGAGCATGACCTAGACACCACTTGGATTTTGGTCTTATGAGAGCCTAAGCAGAGATTCCAGTCTAGCTTACCAGGGTTGCTGACCTACAGAACTGTGAAATCATAACTGGGTGTTGTTTTAAACTGACAAGTTGTAATTTGTTATGCAGCAATAGCAAACTAACACAGAAATAAAGTAAAATTAGAACATTGATATGGATTTCAGAAGCTCACCCTCCAATGGGGTAAACAGATTTTGTATAGCCTATATGATGGCACTCCTCCCCATATAAAGCAAAGTACGTTTGTATTTTTTGAAGTGTCAAGTCTGTGTTGCATTCACTTCATTCATGTTTGGTAGGTTCTAGCCATGTGCCCTACACAGGGTGGGCTGTAGGATCGAGAAACAGATTTGGTTTCTGCCCTCAGGAGGGCTCTGGTAGGAGAACATGACAACCTCCACAGGATAGGTGCATAGCTCTGCGTCATGAGGAACCACAGGTGACGCTGGAATAGGGAGGACTGGCTTCTACAGGCTGTAGGCAAGAAAAGCTTCTTGAAGGAAATAACAACAGAAATTAATCCTGAATTTCAAAAGCATATTAGGTCAACATGTTTTACGATATTTTCAGACAATTTCATCCAATGATTGTTCTTAAAATTTTGTATTGTTCAATGGACACAGTGATGCATTTAACTGCCTTTTTTGAAATTGTGGGGACACTTATGCCAAAAAAAGGTCCATATTACCCATGATTGCCCCTGCAGTCATTTAACTTGATTCCTTAGAAGGCAAAATTTCAGCAGTTGAGCAGCTTGACAAGTTTCACATTGATAAAAATTAAGATGCATTTCCCTACTTTCCTCTTAAATACATTTGCACTGGGTTTGAGGAAATAGGCCTTTGAAGAGAGAGGAAGTGATTACATTTTCAAAAGTGTAACTTTAAAGTGAGGTGGATAATGAGGATCACAGAGAAACTCAGCATTACAATCCTTCTCAATCATTCTTAGGAGGGTCAAGAGAAACAGCGGAGTATCTGTGTATGTATAAATGGAGGGACAATTCAAATTCTCATTTGTAACCTTTGTACTTTGGAAGAAAGTGAAACAATTGCATTTGCTCACTAATTTTCCGTATTTTAAAATCTCTTCCATATTTCTCTTTCTTGTGAATTACATATTGCCTTTCAATTTTATGAGATTTTCAGAATTACAGCACAAGGTCAAGCTTATGAAAGAGAATTATTATACAAGGTCACTTATGTGCAAAATAGAGGTATATACACACATACATGCACATACATTTCCTCATTTATATCAATTGATTTATGTCAGTGCTAATTTAGAATTAAATAAACTGGAATTTTGACAGATTACATCTTTCCAGATTTCTTATGTCTAAGACCCAAGAATAATGACTATGGATCTTTATCCTACATTAAAACACACACACACACACACACACACACTCACACACACACAGTCCATTGGTTCATGATTAATAGCTCTCGCATAATAATAAGCAGTATAAAGTGTAAATTGATATTAAAAGGGCAAGAATTTTAAAAAAAGCCATAAAATGTAATTATAACAATAGAAAGGACCAAAAGCACACCTCCTGGCAGGCAAAGAGAAAGGAGAAGAGAATTGCTTTTTATATGTGGGACTTTTTGATAAATACAGCAAGGAAAGCTTTACTGAAGAGATGGAATAACTTCAGTAGAACTACGAAGGAAGGGTGGAAATTAAAATGATCATGCTACTTGTATGTTACTTAGCTACTCTTCATAAGCCAGTTCAAGTAGCTGGGAAACACAGAGCAGTCAAACGGCTCACTTAACGCACACATATCCAATAAAGTCAACAACCCCAATCTGTATTCCTATTTGAAATTCTCATCATTAGTGTTAAATGCAGTAAGACATTCTTCTTTAAGTTTCCTTGTCCTTTGTTCTCTGCTTTCAAGGCCAGACTCCCTTACTCTCTGTATGCCCTTGCCCTGAGAAACAACCTTCCTCCCAGTCTTTATCTATAGAGTCCACATTCCACATCTGCTACTCACTCTGTAAATCACCAACCCCGCCACCCACTGCCAGCCAAAACCGTTTTCTCGCCAGTGTAACTGCATCCCTGCACTTTTCAAATTAGCTAACCAGGTTCAGCTTAGATTGTGTGGTCCAACTCTAGCCAACGGAGACTGGACACAGCAGTAGGAGCCAATGCGTTAGGATAAAGCCGCTGCTTTCCTTTGTTCAGTGTGCTCTCGTGGTGACCAAACTAATGAGCAGCATGCTTCTGCAAAAGTAAACTTTGCCTTGCTGAAAAATCAACTATCGTAGTGTTCATTTCATTTGTGAACTCGAGCTTTATTTCTAACAATTCGCATTGCTCTTCAGGTGGACGTTTTGATGTCATTTACTTTTTAATCTGGTTAAGGATTAAGGTGTTAATTTTCTTGACAACCACCCAATTTAACTAGACAATAGAATAGCAAAGGCAAGTTTACTGAAATGGCTTCAGCACTTTCAGATATCTAGCAGACGACAGGTATCCAAGGAAATGAGATGTGGAATATGGCAGTATTGTTGGGTTAGAACAAAAGAATGGATTGAGTTAGCTCAAATGTATGATACCTGGCAGTGGATAAACAGGCACAAACAGAGAGGAATCTGAAGGCCCTGAGGTGCTGAAAGCCAGAGAGAGGATCAGGGGTGAGGAAGAGCAGCAGCAGTAATGGCACTATTTGCCACACATTTTTCTTGATATACCAACTCACTGAGTCTCTCAAACAAACCTATGCTGTAGGAGATCTTATCCCATTTTACCTATGAGGGCACTGAAGGTTGCCCAAAGTCATCTCCAAAAAGCGGCACCACTGGGATTCCACTCCAAGAGTCTGGTTCCACATTTCACGCCCTGATCCACTGCTTCTCAGGGAAGAAATTGCTTAGGCAGTGACTGAGAATACTTAGATGTTCCTGGGTTCAAATCCCAGATTTGCCACTAATTAATTACGTGACTTTAGTCACTTATTGACCTTGCTCAACCTCAATTTTCTCATCTATAAATTGGGAATAATAACACAGCTTACAGCATAGTTAGAAAGATAAAGTAAGATCTTCCATGTAAAATGCTATTTGGAACAGACTCCTAAATAGGACATGCTCAGTAAATCCCTGATGATATGAACAATATGAAGAGCAAAGAGGTCATGTGTCAGTCATGATGTGGTCCAGGAAACACAACTGCTGGGAGAGCTATGGAATAAGGGATTTATTACGGAGTTAGCTCTTGTAGAATCATGGGCACTAATGGGGATATCCATGCAGGCTGCTGTCTCTGTGTGTAGTGTTGAGCACAGCATCCCTAGAGGGAAGGTGGACTGGTACTCAGGAAGGAGAGCTGGCTGTGGATGAGCAAGAAGATGATGCTGAATCCAGGCAGACAAGTAGAACTCATGATCACCTCTTAGTGCCTCCAACCTCCTTTCAGTGGTTGGCCTGCAGAGGAAGCTGGCTGCCTCCACATGTGGCTGCATCCACACTTGGTCTAGGACTCAGAGAATCGGCAGGAGGAGCTCTGGTGTGGGTGCTGCCTCGGGCCAACAGTGGACCCGGTAACAATGCACACCACCTCCACCACATCTGGTACGCAGCTCCAACTTTCAAAGTGTAAAGACGTAGCTGCTCCTTCACTTCTGTGTTCTGAATATTGGGTAAGATTTCTTTTGCAGCTAACACTGAGGTTCACAATATAGGAAAGGAAATTCTAGGAAATTCATTCTAGATTAGCTTACTTGATACAGTACAAAGCCAATGCAATCAGAGATACACACCTTATGTGCTCAGTATTGGCTAGTTCCTTTATAGTTTGAAATAATGATTCTAGGCCAGTTGTGGTGGCTCATGCCTGTAATCCCAAAATTTTGGCAGGCTGAGGCAGGTGGAATGCTTGAGCCCAGGAGTTCAAGACCAGCCTGGGCAATATGGAAAACCCCAGTTTCTATAAAAATAAAAATAAAATAAAACAGCCTGACATGGTGGTGCACTCCTGTAGCTCCAGATATTCAGGAGGCTGAGGCAAGAGGATCACTTGAGACCTGGAAGTCAAGGCTGAGGTGAGCCATGATCATGCCACTACACACTACACTCCAGCCTGGGTGATGGAGCAAGATCCTGTCCCAAAATAATAATAATAACAATGCTAACTCTAAAAAACAGTTTGACTTTCACTTGGAGCCACTTTCTGAAGAACAACAATAAATTTGGACCTGTTCATCTCCTCATCTGGACTTCCCATAGTCTAAGACCATGACAAGCACCATATTTCTTAACAGCTTCTGGGCACTAACTCTTACCCCTCTGCCACATTCTGCAGTGCTGAGCATATTCTGTTTCTAACACACCAGGTTTATTGACTACTTCTCTGTTTGAAAGCTCTGTTGACTCCTATTACAAGATGATCACATCCAAACTCCTTGGGTTGTCTTTCCTGTCTAGGCCTAAGTTGTTTATCCAGCTTTATATTTTCCTAGCTTTTTGCCCCCTCATTATTCTGCTTATACTTTCAATGTAGCTCCTACCAGATTATGTCATAATTGCCACCAGGCAGGTTTATCTCTCCCCTTGGGCAATGAACTACTTGTGGGTAAGATCTGGCTCTACCCACAATGGTGGAATAGTGGAAGGTATGAAAGATAAAAATAACGAAAATTGCATGTGTCTATTTTTCATTCATTTATTCATTCAGTTGTTGTACACATTTATATATATGACCTTCTATGTGCCAAGTACTGTATCCAATGTATGTAAAAGGAAACAAAACAACCATGACCACAGCCCTTGTGGAGCTAACATTCTAGTCAGGGTATCAGATATTAAATAAAAGGACATGTGAATAAATGCAGAATCAGTTATTGTGAAAATGGCTGGAAATAAAAAAAAGATTGTTATTCTTATTAAATAAATTCAGTTTCAAAATGATGAGTTAGGTCAAGGAATTTAATTTGTGAACATAAGAGAGCAACTGTTAGCCCAGCAGAGAATGGACGTATAAATAAATGTGGGCTTATCAGCACAAAGCTCAAAATAATTGAAGGACCCAATTCAGTTCCCCATTTAGTAGTTGCAAAGCATTACCATAGGCACTGAGCGAGTGGGCGCTTCAAAAGTTACCAGTTAACTTTGAGAAAATACAAGCAAAGGCTCTGAAAACAGCTGTGTATGCTGCCTAGAGTATGCTACCGTTAGAGAGTGTTAATCCCTGGAGAGAAAAATCAGTTCCTGAAGACTGGGACCAAGTTGTAAGATTTTGTCAGCGTTCTTATCAAAACAAAGGCTCTCAACAAGCATACAAGGTATCGGCATCCACAGACAACAATTTGGTAAAACAACAGTTGAGTTTAGAGCATTGAATTTTAATAATGGGATGTTAATCATTTATTTTGGATCCAACATGTAAAATTCCCAGATGCCAACTCTGGCGCCAAAAAATGGACATGTGGAGAACAGCAGGTTATGAAATGATAAATCTTGTGATTTATATGCTTTGCTTGCTGCAAGTCTCTAATGATTCATTTCATCACCATGGACCAATTTCCTCAACAAAAATATGTCTTCCCTATCCCTTAATCCAAGCAACTCATTTACTATTCACTTTGTTTCTCTTTTGGTATGGTCTTTGTCAAAACACTTCCCTCTTAAGAATTACCTCCTTATGAACACGACACCTTTGATCACCGGCAAAACCTGAACGATTGCTCCAGGTAAGAACAAAGGGAGCTATTTAAAACCTTCCCAACCAACTGATCTTTTTGTTGATTACACCTGTTTGGGAATATTTTTCATGTCATATTTTTACTTCAGCTTGTCACAAGCTAGGCAAGATATTAAAATTGCATGTGAAGATTCACTAAACAGAAGTTTTTTTAATATACTATGCCATGTTTAGTAACAATTGGTTTCAATTAATTTAATGGAGAGTACGGTTTAAATTCAAAAAATCTTTGTTTATGCATCCATTCATTCTTTCATCCATACATTTACTCTATAAACATAGTCAGTACATGTTAGGTACCAGATATTACCAATCAAGTAGTGAGGAAGATAGGCATGGTGTATGCTGTCAAGGAGATAAGGTAATGAAGAAATTAGCACAGGTTAATACAATAGACTATGTGCCTCTGCGAGTGTGCGTGTGTGTGCACGCGCGTGCACGTGCGCATGCATGCACACGTGAGTGCTCATACATATGTGTGTTTTGGGGGCGCAATGAAGTCACAATGAATTTCTAATGTCAAGCTTCTGAGAGTGTGACATTAGAACTGAGACTTAAATAATAAGGAGCCTGCTGTGCATAGATCTGAGGAAAGATTGTTCCAATTTGGAGGAGAAACAAGTAACAAGGTCTGGAACAAAAATGAGTTCGGCATGTTAAAGAACCAAGGAATTGCAAGGTAGCTGAAGTAGAGACAGCATTGTAAAATTTGGTACAAAATGAAGGTGGAGACATGGGAAGGGACTAGATCAGGTGAGGGTGTAGTTCTATCAAGAGTTCTTTATTCCAGGTACTAAAGGTCTAAAGATTCCAAAGATCCACAAAACTCTTAATATTTGGAGTAAAATTGTCTATGTTTGTATGTCTGTGCATTTTCACAGTAGTCCGTGACCCCCCAAAAAGTAGAGGAATTAAGATCTGGTCTATTGCAGTTTTAATTAAGTCTAAACACTGGTTTAATATGGTGTTAATAAAAATATTGAGTAGACCTATCATAAATTCATGATTAGCTTCTTTCAAAATGTTTTGATTCCTTAGATCAGTGTTTTCTAAAATCTCACTACTTACACATTTCAATCCTAAAGCATTCATCTAGAGAAACCTACCTGCTGTTTGAGTTTTGTTCTTTTCAGGTAGGAAAATGAAAGTTTCATGAAATCATGCAAAGGTTCATAGAGTTAAACTTTTTTGAGATGAAGAATACTGAATTAAGAGTGGTTTTATTCTTCTTGAACTTTACATTAAGTAAACACTGCCTGAAATGGATAAGATAGGTAATTTTGAGCCCTTGATAATAACTAAAAAAAATGTAAACCCTTTCCCTCATCATTTTTCACCAGTGTTTGATAACTATTGTGTGAGAACAATGGAAGCAGATATATGATAGTGTATTCAATACCCCAAAAAGATGATGAATGATAACATTTACAATTTAAAAGAAAAATGGCCCAATTTCAAGTGTCCTTTCTGGAAGTTCTATGGCTGTTTTGGGAAAACTTGCTTAAAATACTCAGGTAGCAGAGACAAGAATGAAAAAAGTGAAATATAGTCTTCATCCTTTTTTTGTCTGTTCTTAAGGATACTGTTTAACATACACCATTTTGACAAACCTGACTTATTTATTAAATGAGACTTATGATCACTATATGGGTTTTCAGGTGCTGTGTTCATGACTAGTGAATTCTGAAAAGTTCATTATGTGAATCAAAACATTAAAAACATAATTTTAGATGTAATACATGTCTCTGTTTGCTTCACCTCATAACTTGGACTGAAATGACCTGACACATGAATAAATATTTATATCAGCTTTTATACAATTTTATATTCTTTAACAAAAAGGAAAGCCTGCTTGAAAATGTTGTGTTGTGACCACTCATGGGTATTTGCCTGATGGTTACCTGTTTGTTTCTAGTATAGAGCATAATTCTAAAATAAGCAGAATCTGCATAGACCTAGTGTAGAATATATTGATACATCGGTCAGCTCACAACAGATTGAAAAAGAACAAGTTCAGACAAACCTCTTTAGTCTGCATGGCTCCAGATAATTGGTTTGATTTTCCCACTGCAGTGGCTAGTTTAGTTTTGTAAAGTTTCAATCATTATGGCTGTGACAAGGAAAAGTGTCTTCCTCTGTGTTGAATTTTGGAAGGTTATCCTAAGTGTTGTCTCCAGTTTGTAGAATCAGGAATAATTTTGGTATGTTTAGGGAGGTGGAGGAGGACTGTATTAGTCCATTTTGTGTTGCTATAAAGGAGTACCTGAGGCTGGGTAATTTCTAAAGAAAAGAGGTTTGTTTGGCTTATGGTTCTACAGGCTGTACAAGCATGGCACCAGCATCATCTTGGCTTCTGGTGAGGTTTCAGGAAGCTTTCACTCATGGCAGAAGCTTTTACTCATTTCACATGGTGATTGAGGGGAAAAGAGAGGTGCCAGACTCTTTTTAAATAACCAGCTTTCACATGAACTAATAGAGCAAGCAAGAATTCACTCATTACGTAGGGAAGGAAAACAAGCCGTTCATGAGGGATCCACCCCCATGACCCAAACATCTCTCACTAGGCTCCACTTGCAACACTGAGGATCATATTTCAACATGAGATTTGGTGTGGACAAACATTGAAACCTTATCAAACACCTAGAAAGAAGAGAGATGGTGAAGTAGCAGTGACAAGGTAGAGACAGATTTAAAAAAAAAACCCTAAATGTCAGAGAGTGGAGTTAGAACTTCATCTGTATGCAATGAACAACCCCTGTAGATTTTTAATCATAGAAATAACTTAATGAAATTGACTTTTCAGAATGATTTATCCAACCAGAGTCAGCAAGATAGGTCTGTAAAAGGATATGCGTTTCCTTTGGCAGTGCAAATATGACCTCCAGAAATTCCTTCCAGCAAGAAGTGGAGTCAATTTTCTCTCCCCTTGACTCTGGGTTGGCAGTGTGAGTTTCTAAGACCAGTAGGATACAGTAGGATATAGCAGAAGTGCTGCTATTTGAGAAGCCTGTAAGTTTTCTCTGATAGAGCCCAGCTGCCATGTACATACTATCCTTTACCATGAAGGAGGCCCCCGTGGAGAGAAAGGCTGAGGAGTACACTGACACACAGGGTAGAATTGAGGTGCCCCACACCACAGCAATGCAAGGCTCAAGATATGTGACAAAAGCACTCTTTGGCCCCTCATCTGAGCCCTCTTGCTAGGTGAACACAGCTGCACAAGTGGCCCCAGAGTACCAGAGGATGAATCCCTCAGTCTACCCACAGAATCTTGAGAAATGATACATCTTTGCTGTTTTGAGCCATTATATTTAGAGGGAGTTTATTATATAGCAATAAAAAACCAAAATAGCATCTGGCAAAGTGTTTTTCTCACCATCAAACTCAGGGGAGATTCAATGAGCTGCAGGCACGGAAGTCAATTAGAATGATATTTTGGGAAAGTTAGCCTGAGATAATGAGAACGTGGCCTGGGTGAAAAGGTTGGGACTTACTTATATGCTCAATTTCCTCCTCTCATCAGGAAGGAAGTGGGTAGTATAACATTGGGCTAAAATGTTGAGTTTAGAAGTCACACAAAACTGGGCTTCTAGCTGGGTTCCATCACTTAAATATTTCCTTCCCTAAGACAAGGCTTTCTTACCAAAAATACAGCACTAATAATAGTCCCCACATAGGGAAGGCATTATGAGCATTAAATGAGAGTATGAAATTACTTAGCACCGAGATTCACATATGCAAGTTACACAATGAGGTGCCAAGACAGTATTTAGAAATACTGCCAGTTGTTCCCCATTCCCTATATTTCTTCTTTACCCGATTGCATTTTGTCTTCTGTATCTCCAGAGCAGGCGTCAGAGGAGAAATGTGGAGAAAATAGAAAACAATTCTTGACTTGAGCTTTAAAAGCTTAGGGAATTCGTGTTTCAAAAGGCTCTGCCCTGAGGCCAGGCTCTGGAAGCTGAGATAAAGGGTCAGAAGGAGTCGCCTCACTTTCTCCCACCCCTTGGCTAAGACAGGAGAAAGAGCTTAGATGTCAGATTCTGGAGAACAGTCCCTAAGAAGGGGTCCTATCCTCTGTCCTCAGCATCCCCCCATTCCAGGGGAGGCAAATCCTAAGACTGGAAGAGCTATGGAAACCCCAGATGAATCTGAGACAATTCAAAGCAGAAGAGAGTAGGCTCCCCTTCATCATTTTAAGGAAAAACAGTAGGATCTCAAGGCCCCTCTGGGCCTGGAGCTTTGTTCTATTAGTAAAAATGGGAAATATTTTGAATGGGCAATGCAAGATAACCAGGTATCCTGTCTTGCAAATCTTTCTGGACTATCTCTGGCTTTCATTGTCTTTGAGCTATTTCATAGCTCTACGAGTTGCAGGATACTGGTAGTAAGGCAAGTAATTCTTATCCGTAGAAACAGAAACGGCAATTGTATCCAGTCAGATGAGTTGCCTATTGCCCCATGAATACTGATCAATTTGATATACATTTGTAAATTTACTTCAGCATTCTTGCTTGCCTAGAAGTGTTTCTGTCTTTTTAAATTCTCCATACAACCGGCTATAACATGTCTTCATTTTACATTTCTATGGAAGTCATGATTATTCATCTGTATTAGTTTGCCAGGGCTGCCAAAATAAAGTCACAGACTGGATGATTTAAGCAAAAAAAATTCACTTTCCTATGATTCTGAAAACTGGAACTCCTAGAACAAGGTGTTGACAGGGTTGGTTTCTTCTGAGGCCTCTCTGTTTGGCTTGTAGATAGCTGTCTTCTCCTCTTTGCCTTCACATGGTCTTCCCTTTGTGCATAACTGTATCCTAATCTCCCCTTCTTATAAAGACACCAGTCACGTGGAATAGGGCCCATTATGAGTATATGAGCTCATTTTACCTTGGTCATCTCTTTGAGAGCCCTGTCTCCAAATACAGACACATTCTAAGGTACTGAGGGTTAGGATTTCAATGTATGAATTTTGAGGGGACATAATTCAGTTACAACAACCTCTTCTTAAAAAAATTATTCTTTAACACTTCTTAAGTGATGACTTATGACTTCTCAAAACAGACCCATACAGCTATATTTAAAATATCCTAACTGGGCTGATATTTCGACAGTACATGATGGACTCCCTTTCCACCACATGTACCAGTGCATATATTCACTATCATTCATGAGTACTTTAGAGTGAAAGCCTTCTTTTATTATTAGCATGCTTTTATAACTCTGTTTTCAAATCCAATCAAATCACTACTGCACTCCCAGGGAAGGGTTTTGAAACTCTCTTCGCACTTCCTCATCCCTGGACTATTATGTGCATATGCATTTTCAAGGGTATGCAAAATCAAGAAAATTGTGCTGAATAAAATTAAAGATAAGGCAAGCTGAGGATTTCAAAGAGTGTTATGAAAGTAATAAAGGGTGAAAGTTCCAGAAACCCAATATCAAGCCTTATCCAGGGCAAGTCACACGTGACTTCTACTATCTAGTTTTTCCAGCACTGTGCTGTGGATGAAATGACATTGAAAGCAATGTCAAGCGCCACCAGAAAATATAAGAAAAGTGAAGATGCAAGCCACCAATCAACTCTTCTAAATTCCTTTGGTAAACTCTTCTGGTATTCCAAAATGAGTCTGGCTTTAGAGTCTGAGAAGTTTCTGGCAGTGTGGAAAACTGACATGGGAAATCTGTTGTAAAATTATGCCCCAGTCCATGGAAGCATGCAAATGCAGAGGGCTCTCATTTGTTGAGTTTTCTTCATGTTTACTGCCTGCTCCCCACCCACACTTAGAATGTGCGCTCTAAGAAGACAGAGACCTGGTCTCTGTTGCTCATGGCTGCATTCCTAGAACAAAGGAAAAGGATGGAACATGGTAGGTGTTCCATCCATATTGCTGAATCAAATTAATGAAAATCACTTAACCTCTATGGCTCTCACTCTCCTTGTAATTAAAACAAAGAAGGAAATAAAATTCACTGCATAGTGTTCTTATGACAAATAAATACGAGAGAATGCATGAAGTGTCTAGACATAGCAGGAATTTAGCAGGACTTTTCTGTCAGAATGCCCTCAGTCCCTCTTTAAATTGACTTCAGGCTTTGGCCATGTAGGGGCCAAGAAAAGTCTTCCCCTTCGCCATCTGCAGGTTCACTGAAAATCAAATGACAAAAGGCAGATTAATAGGAGAAAAGGTGGCTGGGTGCAGTGGCTCACACTTGTAATCCTAGCACTTTGGGAGGCAGAGGCGGGTGGATCACTTGAGGTCAGGAGTTCGAGACCAGCCTGGCCAACATGGTGAAACCTCGTCTCTACGAAAAATACAAAAATTAACCTGGCATGGTGGTGTGTCCTGTAATCCCAGCTACTTGGGAGGCTGAGGCAGGAGAATCACTTGAATCCGGGAGGTAGAGGTTGCAGTGAGCTGAGATCACACCACTGTACTCCAGCCTGGGCAAAGAAGTGAGACTCTGTACAAAAAAAAAAAAAAAAAAAAAATGGAGAAACGGCATACAAATGTATTAACGTGCACACAGGGAAAATCACAGAGTGACTGCCCCACCATGAAATGGTATACAGATGATTATATACCCTTCTTCTTAGGGAAAAATGAGATGGGAAAATGTGGATGATTTTAGGCAAGTAGTAAATGATTTTTAGGCAAATTCAGTGGACTTGAAGAACATACAATCGCCTGGGACACAGTATGCTGGGCCAGCAGAGCAGGCAGTGGTTTCTGACAAAAGTCTGTCCAGGTGTGTTGACAGAATTCAGTCTCTCTTCCTGCAATATGAGTTCAGTTAATGAAAACTCAAAGAAGGGACAAGAGGTAATTGGTTTTTTTCTTTGGCAGGTCCAGACCTCAGGCAGATAAAAGAATTTCAGAGGACAACTTCATCCCGTGCTTTGGGTGGGGGAGGGAAAGGCATAATAAGTCAGAGAAACCTTGAGACTTCTGCAGTTCAAGGTGTCATCAAAGCACTGTATTTGGGGTATTGGTTTCTGAGCCCCAAAAGCCAGCAGTCTGCCAAACATGCCCATATACTTGGTTCCCAGTTTGGGCTTGTAGTTTTAGCCTCACTACAGCTACACGCATGTACAATCAGTCTATATTCCTCTTGCTAATGAAGAGCCAGACAACATCATCTGAAATTGTTCTTCTTTCAAAGGCACAGCTTTTAGTGTTTCTCATGGTATTTATCTTTAATCTCTATTCAATAAATATTTTTGAAGGAATGAATCACTGGCTTTCACTCACAAAGCCTTTACACTCCTCCCTCTGTCACAGTTCTAAGACTTCCTTTTTTATGGATTTTTTTTTCCAGATATTAATTCCATTTTGAACCTGGCTGAGGGATGATTCTAGATTTTGAAAAAAAGCTTGGTGACCACATGGAACTTTTAGATGTGTAGCAATTTAGCAAAAGCCTAACAGCTCCAGGAAAATTCTCCTAAGACAGACCTGAGAGCAAACTCTGAAAAGTGATAGTATTAGATCTAATAGCTGCTGTCTGGTTCACTTTAGAGACAGTGTCTGGAGGGAGAGCCAAGGACTTCTTTCTTACTCGCCTGAAGAATTCAGAAAGCTTTCACCTGATCATTTTGGCTGCAGAATTCTGCAGGAGGGTACAACAATGAACAGAAAATGGAAAGCCACCTAGAGCAATAAATAACCATTTGGGGGTACAAACTTCTTTCTCTTTTAGGTGTCTCACTGGTAGAAGGACTCAGAGGCAGCAGCCTCAATGTTGCATATTCATAAGAAACTGGACTATGGTCATTTTGAGACTGATTGCTGTTCCTCTGCCTCTGCTATCCCATACACACACGTAGGGAATCAGAATATATGCACTCAAACTGGAGAGGGAGGGAGGGAGAGAGAGAGAGAGAGAGAGACAGAGACCCAGACAGAGACGGAGACGGAGACGGAGACGGAGACGGAGACACTGACTCCGAAAATCTCCACCCTTCCAACCCAAAGCATCTTCACAAAATTCAAGGTCCTTTTTGTTTTAATTAACTATTTCTTCTGCTTTAGAATCACCCTCAGGAGGAACTTAAAAACCTCAAACTTCAGAATGTGCAGATTCCCCTCAAGCCCTTTATGTCATTTTTCATTTGGCACCCTACCTGATCACACTCCCTAAAATGTGTAGCAGGAATTTTTTAAAGTAAGAGAATCCCTAAAAGGCAACCCGTGCACACACAGATACAGCTTTTGTCTCTTTAAAAGCATTAGGAATTGAACCAATTGCCAAAGAGACTACTAGGCCTGAACTGTTCCCTGGGAACAAGCTGAGAATATCTGGGAATGGCATTAACCCTTTTGGACAAGACTCAAACACTGGGCTTTGTGCTGCTGTGTTAGCTTAATCAGATGTTGGTGTTTGTAGATAGTATTCAGGTTTGAAAAGGTCACAAGGATATTTAAGGTTTTTGTTTTACTCTCAGAGGCATTTGAGACACAGCTCATTATTTTTCTTCTAAAATTATTTCTCTACTTTAAGAGAAAGTCTCTTTCCTAAAGGAGCTGAGGAAGGGCTTTTGCTTTTGGATTGGAGGTTGGTGTTAGATAACAAAGTGGGGAAGCAGGGAGGATATTTTGAAATCATGTGAGCTACGTGAAATCAAGTTGTCAAGTCAGCAGGGGGAATGCACATAGAATTCCGTCAAAATTACTCTTGCAGAATTCTAGGAAGAGACCACACCAGAGAGTCTCACCTACCACCATCTCTTGAACAGTTCAAATTAGCTTTGGAACAATAACTGACTTGTCTCCTGAGCACCAGAGGAAGTAGTAGGCTTGCATTTGGGGGACTTGTTGCATCAATGCTCGTGTACGTGTGTGCACACAGTATTTGTTTTAATTGGGTATGATTTAGTAAGACACATAAGTGACATTGTGAAAAGAGAGGTTAACTCCCAGTTCCCTAGAAACAGGAAGCAGGCCACCACCACACAGAACCACACAGAGCCACAGCTAGGGAAGCACCAGGGTGTTCAGGAGGCAGAAGAAGAGGCAGAGCCTTCTGGGCAAGAGACTTCACTGAGGCTTCCATAGGAAGAAATAGATGAGACTGGGTAAGCAGACTTAGGATTGGCTAGTTTGAATGATTCAGCAAGCTCTAGGACATAGGGGCTGTCCCTAATTGTCTGGTACCTGGTCCTGGGATGATTAAGCCAGGTGGACAGTGGCTTAATCACCCTGTCACTTTAGGCTTCATCACCTAGATTGAGACCCCAATTAAGGAGGTGGTTGGGGGTATGGGCTCTGGACTGGATGGTTGGTATAGGAAAGACACACTTTCAGGAAAATAAGTTTAATATCTTTAGGAATTAGCTAATCCTGGGAAGGGTAGTCCCTCCAGAGTCAGCAAGGTCATAAGATGTCAAAGAATTCAAAAATAACAACATAAAGGCTACGAAATATATATACATATATACATACATGTATATGTGTATGAATATATATATATATGCGTGTGTGCGTGGGTGGGTGGGTGTGTCTTCCTTTTCTGATTCCCTGTCTATCAAACAACCTTGAGAGTTTCTTGTCAGTGCATTTGTGTTTCGGTCTACCCAGAGTTCAGACTCTAATTCCACTGCATGCTGTATTTGTGGGACTACCAAGATTCTCTGTTCTTCCCTGACCAAGGGGTGGGCATTTGATCCAAGCTATGGTAAACTTTCTCTGCCAGAAAGCTGAATCTTGCATGGAATAATAAAAGAAAGGAATATTATTGGAGTGATTCGTCATGACAAGAGTACCCTACACATCAACCCATTAGTTTGCAACCTGGTTTCTGTAGCTGCTTTGGATTTTGTTTTCTTCCAAAATCCAGCTCTTCAGTATTTCCTTCAACTGAGCTTTCCCATATCCTTTTATTAATTTTATCCTTAATATAAAGTAGTTAGAGTTGATTTTTGTTCTTTACAGCCAAAGAAACTGCAATGAAGTAGTCTGCCCATAGGTAAAAAAAGTGCTGGTTATTTGGGCTTTTTAATACTTACTCTCTATTTACAGTGATTCAACAAGTTTTCTTTTGATTATGATTTTTGTGCCCTCTATCATAGGAGGAGAGTTAAATGATCATGTAAATACAGAGATTCAGCTTCCCATGGCAGTTATATTTTCCACTGCACACTAATAATTTGGCATTCTGCTTTCTACCTCAGTCTTCTGCATTGCAGTTAGCATGATTACTCACGGTCACTTTCAGAGCTCTCAGAGGTTGTCTCTGAAACCTCAAAGTGGGAGGCCAAGCCTGGTCACCCACTTTTAGATTCCATCACTCACTGAAGATCAAATACCATATACTACCTCTCATCATCCTCCACTAATTTTTAGAGGTCTCAATGACGCTTCAGGTACTGAGGTGGAAAGGTTAACACAAAATTACTTCCTGAAGCTTGTGACCACAGCAACGGGAAGAGGGCTGCATCAGCAGCTGCTCCGGCAGCTGCCGAGACAATCTACTTCCGCTTCATGACATTAGAGCAGTTCAGCCTTTCTTAACCAGACCCACTTGGCCTGCCAGCCTGTGTGGATTAATTCTCACTGGTCTTTGGCTAGGTGTGTTCATGCTCTGTACATTCACACAAAGACCATGTCCTCTGGTCAATGACTGACTTGGGTCTTGAAGCAGAAGGGTTTTGACAGCTTGAATATATCCCAAAATAATGTCAAGGCAAGTAAGGATTTGGGAAGATACATTTAGTTGTGCTGAACTCTTCTCTTTTATTACTTCTTGAAATAGGGAACATTTTCTCCTACAGAGGGTCATCCAAGAGCAGGTGGGAAGGGTGACAAACATCTTGCCTCTTGAAGAAATAACAGATAATTTTAAATTTAAGCTGAGAGATGATCTTTTTTGAAACACAGATTGTTGAAAGATGAGCGCAGATATGCTGGAAACATATCATCAGAAGGATTTTGGTCTTAGAAAAGGAGAGAATTATTTGATTTTTCCCCCTTTAACTCCCAACGTAGTGTATATCATTTCTGAAAGAAATGTTTATTGAAAATATACCATAGAAATGAGAGCATGAATCCTGATATTTCATGTTTTCCTTATTTCGGGAAAGATAAGCAAGGAATCTCCAGTGATGACAACACAATAGTATCATTAGCTGGTGCCAACTGTGTGGTACTGGCTTATTGCCTGAAAACAGACTTCAGAGTACTTTTTATACCAATCAGGAAGGTTTCATTAAAGGATAATTAGTATCAGACAACATTGGGAAAGCCTTTCATCTGATTTCTCAAGTTCATAAACAAGATAGTCCCAGCATGCCATAGCTCCATGAAATGAAAAGACATTTGTTATCCTGAATTATGGTCAACAGCTATCCAACATCAACCTCTGTGGGCTGGAGGGCCCAGAGTGCTTGTGGTGTTGTTTGCCAAGGTCCATTTGATTAACCTTTTGTTCCATTTTCTTTCACATAGGAGAGGCAAAGGTGTCTGCTGGCTAAATAATAGCAGCCAAAACTTTTGAATCTACAAGTTATCAAGGAGTTCAAATGTTCCAGAGACTCTGCTGAGCAGCTTACATACATTACTCCATCTGAGTTTCCACCACGAGCAATGCCATCCTGTGTTTTAGGTAGGAAAATTGAGATCATACAGTCTTCCTGTTGAAAATATAGCAATAGCCTCCCAGTGTGCTTACAATAAAACCTCAACCCTGGTGGCTGGCAAGGTCCTGCATGATCTGGCCCCTGCCTATAGTTCTGACTTTATCTCATGGTATGCTCTTACTCAGACACTTCACTCATTATATTTCTTCAACTCTCCAGGTATATTCCTGTTTCATGGCCTTTTCACTGGCTGTTCCCTTTGCCTACAATGCTCTTTGGTCAGCCCTCCATAAGTGGCTTCTTGTCCAGGTCTTGCACCTAATGTCATTTACATGGAGAGTCCTTTCCCTACCACCATTCAAAATGACTTATCCTCATCTATTCCTTAAATTTGTCTTTCTTTAATAGTATCCATCACCAAATGAAATTTTTTGTGAATGTATTTTTATATAATATTTGTCCCATTAGAATGCAAGCTTTGGGTCAAGTACCTCAGTATTGTTCATTACTCTTTATTCACTTACTGCGGTATTTAGGGTTTGTGCATGATAATTTCCTGTTGAACAAATTCACATGTGAATGAATGAGTGAGCTTTGGGTAGTATAGCTGACTCACTAAAGGTCATATGGCTATTAAGTGACAGAGATAGAACTCAAACCCAGGTCATCAAAATTCCAGAACTCAAATTCTTAATCACCATCCTTCATTGTTTGTCTGTGGAGCTTCAAATATACCAACTCTTATTCATCATTGCATTTGTGCTGAGAGAAATGGGGCTCCAATGAATAGGGGCATGAAGATCACAACTAACCATGTGAAAACACCCAGGGCTGACATTCAACTGGTGTGCTATTGAATGGCCATATTGGTGTTGAAATATTAAAATGGTACTGTAGTGACTGGTGAGGAGCCATTGTTATGAATTCCTTGAGGGTGCAGATGCTTTCTGGTTCCCCTCCATGAGACTTCCCCAAGACCTAGAATGTCCACCAGGACCTCTACTTGATCCAGTAACTAAAAGGTTTACACCAAGCACACCAGCAGTCTTCTAGGAGCACTTCCATTTATGCCGATGGATCATACCCACTGATCATCATTTTCTCTGCTCCTGGAAAAACTCTGAAGACAGACATTGCAAAAACCAACTCTCAACTTGTTCTATTCTTTCTCAAGATATACAACCTAAGCACTATCAGCTCAGCTGCAGCATGATAAAGGAGGAAGTCCTCTTTCCTTTTATCTCATCAAATGCTTATTATAAATTTCAACTTAATAAGAAAAAGAAAAGGGCAGGCAATAGTGGCAGGTAATTGTGACTAGTAATTGAACTGGCAAACCTGAAATGTCCTAAAGAAGATTTAGGGTTCTATAAGGAACCATAATAATCATTTTCCTTTCAACTTTAGCTTTTAATTCTTTTTTTTTTTTATTTTTTGTCCCAGGCCTCCCATTGTATTGAATGTTTAAGAGTAATCTGATGAATAAGCCAATGTGGAAACTATGTTCTGGAAGCAGTAATGGTTGACATTTACTGGATACTTACTATGTTTGAGAATTATGTTAAATATACTATATGTGTATTATTCCATTATTCGAATTCTAAGTTAACACATGTAACCCTCCTCAGAGCACAATTCTATAATGTAGATACTACTATTCTCTAACAGATGAGGAAACTGAGCATTGTACATATTTGTAACTTGTCCAAGGTTGTGTAACTATTAAGTGTTGGTGTTCAGATTTGAACCCTGGTCTTGCAGATTACAGAGAAAGATCTCTTAACCACTTTGCAAAACTGCCCTTAAAAAAAAAAGACAAATTTGACTGGTCTTCCAAGTTTCTAGTTACATCTCAACCAAGAGAACACAAGCAAAATTTTTTGTTTGTCCAGAAGTTCCTGTTAAAATGAAATGATTAACACTTATGAGTTTAAGCAAATAATGCGGCAATGTTTATATGTTATTGCTAAAAAACTTGTCCATATGTTTCTCTTTCACTGACATACAGTAACACTAAATTTAAGAGCATGCTGAAGTCCCCACAGAAAAGAAATTAAACCTCTAGATGAATCTAAACTCTAACACATGCCTGCAAGTCCATTTCACTAAGAAGCTATTCCTGGTGCATTTGTCAGTCTAAAACCTTAAAGGCCACATCAATTGCTTCTGGGGCTCTGAGTTAATCCCTTTGCCTGCTCTGAATTACGACTACCATTAATAGACTTAATGTGGTAGTAGCATGGGCAGTCAAAATCCTGCCTAATTAAAAAAACACAAAATTAAGTCATAGGAGGAACTGTGGTGGGGGAAGAAAGTCCCTTAAGTATTACTGATTAATTAATTAGCCAATGTTTATAAAGAGCCTTAACAATTAGTCTCACTATATATATTTTAAGGATTGTTTATTGATAGCTGGACAGTATAGAATGGACTGCTTGTCTTTTGGATAGTGGAGGAGAGTAATGGATGGAATGGGAAATAGGCACTGAATGACGAAAGCCTGGTGATAAAGTACAGTATTACCTGATTATCCATCCATCTTTCTATATTTAAGACACTTCAAATTCTCAATCTGTCAAGAAAAATAATCAAATCCATCTGTTTTCAATTTATCCAGAGAGAAATAATCCAGGCAGGGGATGACCCAGGTCTTCTATCCTCTTTAATAAACTTAATTGGCTTCTACACTTTTCACCACTCTGTCGCAAGTTATGAGAATGTAGATGGGACAGTGGCAGTGACATGAAATTCCACATCTTTTCTTTCTTTAAATCCAATCCCTTTGCCTTTTTACCTGACACACAATTTTTGTTTGTCTTCTGTGTGTGGTAGTTTTTTTTTTTTTCTTTTGCTTTGCATGCTTTTAGAAGTCAGCTTGGAAGCCAAAGTAAATTGTGGTTATTGCTTCAACCAATCTTTCTCTCTCTCTCTTCCTCTCTCTCTCTCTCTCTCTCTCACACACACACACACACACACACACACACACACACACACAATTATAAAGCAAACCAAACTGATAAGTACAACAACAGCAGCACACACACAGGACAACTGTATGAGTAGGGGCAGTATGGAAAAGCAGGGAACTAAGGATTACTAAGCACCTAGAATATGCCAGACTGTGGTAGACATTTAACATAAGCAATTTAAATTAATCTTTGGGAAAACTGTTGGAGAAGGGTACTATGTTATAGCCACTCTGAGGCTCAGAGAGGTTAACTGACTTGCTTGGAGGCCCATGTCTAGTAAGTGGCCATATCAGAACAAGAGCCCAAGTCTTTGGTGCCAGTGCCCATCATCTTCTTACTCTAGGACAAGCTACCCAAAGACAGGTTTCCTTCTCTTAAGGCCTGAGGAGGCTTCAGGAAGAAGGTGAAAATTGCCCGAGTCCTTGAAGTGTGGGTTGGACTTAAACAGGCAAAGAAAGTGTGTGTTTGTTTCAAGATAAATAGTGTGTTCGAGAGATGAAGCCTGTAAAGAGGGTATGAAATAGAGCTAAAAAGGTCAATAGGCTCAGATCCTGAAAGGCATCGAATGAGTGTTTTTGATGTCTAGAGTGACGTGTTCTATATGACCTCAGGAAAGATAAAGCTTATACACTGAGGCAGTGTTGAAAAAGAATTGCAGGCAGGAGAAGAATTGCTGCCTAGAGATTTGATATGGGGAGTGTTATGGGCTGAATGGTGTCCAAAAATTCATGTGGGTGGTCCTTAAACCAATATGATGGGTAACCTTATAGGAAAGAGAAATTTGGACACTGACATGCATCTGTGGAATAACAGAAGGAAGACTATGTGAAGGCACAGGGAGAAGACAGCCATCTACAAACCCAGAAGAGAGGCCTAGAACAGATCCCTTCCTTCCCCCACACCCCTCAGGAGTAACCAACCCTACCAACAACTTGATCTTGGACTTCTAACCTCCAGAACTGTGAGAAAATAAATTTTTGTTGTTAAATATACCCAGTCTGAGACATTTTATTATGGTAGCCTGAGCAGACTAATACAAAGGCAGATGCCTGACTCTTCCTAGGTCTTAATAAAGCAAAACAGTACCTTCCCACTTGAGCTCAACACAACAGTGCCTTGTTGCTATATCCTAGTTACCTACCCTCACCATTCAGACTTGATACTTTAAAACTCTTTCCTATAGCCCTCATATCAAAACCCACATTATACCAAAAATGAAATGAATCAAGGCACCTCACTAGGTCTCTTCAATCTTTTATATATAACTAATCACTTTTCCCCACTTCCTCCCTCCTTTCATATCAACCCCAACTGTACTCCTTGAACCCCTTCATGACAAATTTAGGGTGATATGTTTAAGACAGTTAACTCCAAGGAGAATATACAAAGATGATTCAAACATAGCCCATGAGTTCATAAGCAACAGTGAAAACATTTATTTTGCACATCTAGAGTCACTGGGATTCATTTCTCTCATTAATATCACTGACAAGAATGTTCCCATTATAAATGTTGGCCTACAGAACTATACAATTAAAATATATAGAACTATCACTTTAGTTCTTTTCAAAAGTACAGAGATCAGGGAATATATCACGACTACAAATCGGGGTCATATTTATACACTTCAACAATTAAGTTTATTTTTTATTAATTCGTGTCATTAAGTTCAGCTTGTTTTGTTTTTACACTGCTCTATTTAAAATGAAATGGTTTTATTGTCTGTCTTCCTCCCCTATAATGGAAGCTGCATAAAGGTAGTGGCCTTATCATTGTTGTTCACTATGGTATTCCTAGCTCCTAAAATAATTATATTAGGAGATAGTAATAATAATAGTAGATAATCTATAAATATCTGTTGAATGAATAAAAAGATTCTCTATTTCTTTGAATAATGGAAAGTTGATGATACTGCTTCAAAGAAACAGATTAATTGGCTGGAATTTTGGCTTACATTTGGGGATGTATTTATTAATAAAGTGCTTTTAAGCACACTCATTTGTCTAGATTAGAACGAAGTTAATCATTGGAGGTAGGAGTCAATGCCAGGGTCTTAGACATCAGAATCAAAATATGCAAAAATACTAAGTGCAAGCCTCAAAAAAGACCAATTTTGACTCATTAGAAGAACAACATATTTTACTAATGCATATCTAAATTAAAATGTAATAGCCTCTTCTCCTTGGAAGCCAGGTTGGGTGAAGAGAGTGAGTATTCACACATTAATATTTTTGCCCCCTTTACACTACAGCTGGGATTTAAAACAAATAGTTTTCATTGAATCATGGAGTTGATACAAATTTAACATATGTTTCTCAAGAAAACAATGGGAACAGTCAAAATACAGAAATGTCTTAGAACATTCACAAGGCAGGGAAATCATATATGTATCAGCAGAGATGGCAGGTGGGGTACTGGAGCCTGCTTAGTACCTCCTGGAAGGGATACTGCTTAGCCCACAGCCCCAGCTGCTGAAACAGCCATATTTTGAATCACACTCACCAACCTGTCATAGTGAAGTGGGCTAAGAGTGAGAACAAGAGCCAAAGGAATCCTCAATTTAGTTTGGCACGAGAAAGACATGAAAAAATGCGTTTCCCTCTTTTGAGAACGTAATCTGGAAAACACTAAGAGAATGAGGCAGATTGTACAGTAAGACCAAGGCTGAGAAATTTAGACTGAGACACCATGAGAGAGCAGGTATGAGCTGAACATATCTTATCAGAAAGCAAAAACTCTGAGATGGAGAAAAGATAATTGCAGGCTATTAACCAAGATTGGCCTCTCTTGAGACTTTAGCTTACGGTGGTCTATGTATTTTGACTTTCTAAGACTTCGGCATTTACTCAGCTCTAGTAAGCACAAGCTAGGTTCTTAGTAGAGGACGCTGAGATCTCTGGGGTCCTGATATTGTTCAGCTCCAGACTTTACCTCAGTCTATGCTCACAGTAAACTCCATTATCCTTTGAGGAGCACGGATGAGTCTCTTTTAGCAATCAATGAAACCAAAGGAGAACAGAGTGTGGGGTCTAAGTGGCTTCCTTCTCTCAAATACTCAGCTATTTGAATAACTATGTCTCTGTGACAAAACAAAACTTATTTTTGAGCAGGATTTGTCAAAGTATTTGCTATTCTTTAGCCCTGCCTTGGATAAGAACCCCAGTTTGTGTCTTCAAGTGTCATATCACTTTTCTGTTTTCCTATTCATGGCATAATTTTACTCATGCTCTTGATCAGTAGGTTGTTTATTTCTTTCATGTCTTAGGCAGACAGGATACACACCCAGACACAAAAAGCCCTAACCTAATATAAGGATTTATAGCCAGATGAAGAATGCTACAGGGATGCCAAAATAAATAATACCCAGAGAACTCACTTGACTGTTTTGGAAATGCAATGCTTTATTTATTCTCAATGGTTTCTTTGTTTGGGCAGATAAGGTATTTTCTATCTTTTCCCCAGTCTCCTTAGTAAACAGCCCTATGAGTGCAATATGTGGGTTGGGGATGGAATAAATACATGAGAGAAATAGAAAGAGTAAAAATTTTCACTGTTCTTATTTCTGCCCTTAATTGTTGTCTGTCACTGCTGAATGGCTTGTGGATTATGCTATGGATATTTATCCCATGGCAAAAATAAAGGAAATAGGATGGATTCTTTTAAATGGGAGGACTCATGGCCTTTTCCTATTAATTCAGCTACAGCATCCATCATTGCATTCTAAGTATAAAAGACAGGAAGTGGGAAGAGAGGACTGCCATTTCATAGAAAATATTAATCCTATTGTTTATATAGGTTTTATTATTGTTTATAAAGTTGACAATTTAAAATAAAAAATATTTATATGTGCAATTCCTAGAGAAAGAAAACCAGACCACTTAAATTACATTCCTACTTGAGAGAGGAAATCTAAATGAGAATTTGGACTCTTTCTACAGTTAGATCATTGATTTTCTGTGCTTGGAGGCATAAATTACAGCAGCTTACAATTATTATTCCGGCTTTGAAAAACCTTAGACAGGACTTCATGAAAAGTGCCACAATCACATTTGTCACATACCTTGTTCTGACCGGACCAACCCTAGTTCTATGCATGCCCGGACTTTGGATTTAATCAATGCCTAGCACTCAATGCTGTCCTGCCCCCAGAGCACACACCGTATTTCTATAGGTTGCAATGTATATTTTGTTGTTTGTGTCAGGTATTTTTGAGTAAACAGAAGAAAGAAAATATTTTTGATTTTGTCTTGTTTTGTTTGGATTACGCTTTTGAAGGCATAAATGGTGATAAGAACAATATTGTAAACTGGTTGTTTGTCATTTCCTTGCCCTCCTAATGGACAGGTTTTGAGTCAGAAGCTCCAGCAGGCAAGTTCATGGAAGCCTTTGTGAGACTTGAAGCACCTTCGCGATCCAGGTGATTAAGGCCACTGGAGTGGGAAGATGGCCATTTCCCCTATTTCCATGTGAGTGCCCAGAGGTAGCCCCCACAGGCACTGTGCAGTGGCAGGACAGTAGCCTCCACCCGCTGAGCCAGGCAGAGTGGCCAGAACCCCTGTGTGTTCAGCTCACCTGTCCTAGTAGCTTCCCCAAATTCCTCTAGCCAGCTAGCTTGCCTGGAGTGGAAGAACATTAGTGGATTTACTAAGTATGTCAGACAATCCTAAGGCCCTCCCTCAATATGGTTCATGGTGATAGGGCCCAGAGGGAAGTTGCATGAGAAGCTGAGGTCCTCCAGTCAAATGAGCAGGAACTTAGATAGGGTGATATTTAGGGTAGATGTAGAAGATGTTGATGTGGCCACAGTTGTACTTAAAAGGTTGCTGATGCCTTTCAGTTACTTATGCCTACAGAGAACCTCAAAACAGAAAAACAAACAAACCAACAAACTTGCAACTAGCCTTAGAAAAAAACTGTAGGATCGGAAGGCTGTTTCCAGGATTCCTCCTCCTTCTCTTGAATTTCCATTTTGATGTCTTTTTCCCTTCTTTCATTAGTTCGCCACCCTTTAGTTCTCAGTATTCTCAGTATGTAATATTATAACTAGCCCCTTTACCTGGTGATCCATCAAGCTCTGCTGCCAGTTAGGCTGGACCTTTCTGATCTCTTCTTCCTCCTTCAAAACTTAACTGGCTTAGTTCAACAGAACAGAAGAAAGAGTCCAGAATAAGACGAAAATACATATGGTAAATTGGCGTTAGTACGATAAAGTGGCGGTAGCATGCCTGTGAAGGGAAATGAATCTTTTTCTTGGAAATAATAATTGTATCACTCAGTTATTTCCTGTAACAAAATAAATTCTGAAAAGATAAAAATTAAACATAAAAAGATGTGAGAATTTTCTAGACTAAAACATGGAGAAATATTTAGTAAAAAAATTGATTACATTTGACTTCAAAGTAATAATATTCTCTGTGGGGAAAATCTTGTATAAAGTCAAAAGAAAATATTTGTTAAACGTTATTTGCAATTAAAATTATTAAACAAAATTCAAATTTTTCTTAATATAAAAATATCAACTGCAACTCAAAAGAAAAACGTTAGTAACCCAATAGAAAAAGTTCTAAGAGACATGAAGATGTAACTCACAAGTGGCATTTAAACATATTTTTTAAAACACTTTGGGAGGCCAAGGTGGGCGGATCGCGAGGTCAAGAGATTGAGAACATCCCGGCCAACATGGTGAAACCCCGTCTCTACTAAAAACACAAAAATTAGCTGCACGTGGTGGCACACACCTGTAGTCCCAGCTACTCGGGAGGCTGAGGCAGGAGAATTGCTTGAGCTCAGGAGGCTGAGGTTGCAGTGAGCCGAGATCGTGCCACTGCACTCCAGCGTGGCGACAGTGAGACTCTGTCTCAAAACAAACAAACAAACAAACAAAAAAACCCCTCAACTTCACTCATAGAAAAAATGTAAATGAAAAATTTTAAATCTCCCCTATCCCAAATTAGACTGGCAAAGATATAGTAAATAACATGATCTACTAGTGAGTGTGTAGACAAAGAGTTTTGTGAAGTATTGGGAGTATAAATTGACATAATTGGTATTGAGGACAATTTAGTAATATCTTTCAAAATTACAAATGTTTATATCCTTTAACCCAACAATTCCACTTCAAAGAATTTATTTTCCAGATAGTCACAAATGTGTTAAAAGACAACTATGTAAGAAAACTCCTTGCAGAAGTCATAATAGCATAAGTTTGGAAACAACCTACCCATCTTTCAATATGGCACTTGTTAAATAAGTTATAGCACAATCAAATAAAAGGTGATTATAACATCATGGAAAAGGTCCAGTTATACATGTATAATATGAATAATGTCTATTTTTTAATTAAAAGAAAACAAACTGCAGAAGGGAATGTACAGTATGCCTTCATTTGTGAAACACCCTTCCTTCCACCAGCGTACACGGTACACACTCTTGTGGATGTCTGCAGCCTCTCTTGAAGAACACACAGGAAATGGGTAACAGTGGCTGTTTTTACAGGAGGGAACTGAGTTGCTGGGGAACAAGATAAGGAGATTTACTTTTCACTGTTGATCTATTGTGCCTTTTGAATATTATACCTTGTGTCTTTATAACCTAGTCAAAGTAAGTAAATGACTATGTAGTATCTTACTAGTTCCATTTCTATACTCAGAAAGCCCTGTGTCTTTTACAAAGCAATTGACTTTACCATGTGCCACACAGCACTGAGTACGTTGTCACTATTGACTGAAGGAAAGAATGAATAGCTAGCCTTCTCCCAGCAGTTTTTGTGAATGACCAGCCTCACCCAAAGGAGGCATGCATTGTCAGAGGCATGCATTGTCAGGGCCATGCACGTGCATGGGACCCCACTCACATTACCCTAGTCTAGGCATTTTCAGAAATATGCCTTCCCATGACCATATTTACTTTCATCACAGCACTTATCTCTATACCTGTTAACATGTTTACTTATGTAATACCTGCCTCCAACACTAGAATTATATACCCTATAAGAACAGAAACCTCACCTACTTTTATCTGTCCTATACCTCCCACTTCCATTTGTCTGGCAGATAGAAAGCATCAAACAATAAAAGAACTACTAGGTAATAACACTATAAATTGAGTTAACAAATTTTCATCATGGTATGGTTGACTTTAGATAGAGTGAATAAGAACCATTTTTTTCCTCTCTATATGCTCTGGATCTTCTAATATAAGCAGTGAAAAGCGTGCACCATGACAGGGGTTTTCAACCAAAGGACACATCAGACTCAACTGCTCATAAAAATCAAGGATTTTGATGCCTATGCTCCACCTCAAACCTATTGAAAAAGAATCCCTAGAAGCAGGGACTCAATATCTTTGTTTTTTTTTTTTTTTTAACATGTAGGTATTGTGGATGAATTGCTAGGTTGGAGGACTACTGATCTATGAATAGACAATCACACCACACATCCCTACACCACATCATCCAAAAGGAAATAATGTGCCCACAGAACCACAAACTAATGAGAAAAAGACAAATAGTTGGGAGATAAATAAGGTACTTGAACACAAACTGAATGAAGAGTTCTTTCTTTTTTTTTTTTTTTTTTTTTTTTTTGAGACGGAGTCTCGCTCTGTCGCCCAGGCCGGACTGCGGACTGCGGTGGCGCAATCTCGGCTCACTGCAAGCTCCGCTTCCCGGGTTCACGCCATTCTCCTGCCTCAGCCTCCCGAGTAGCTGGGACTACAGGCGCCCACCACCGCGCCCGGCTAATTTTTTGTATTTTTAGTAGAGACGGGGTTTCACCTTGTTAGCCAGGATGGTCTCGATCTCCTGACCTCATGATCCACCCGCCTCGGCCTCCCAAAGTGCTGGGATTACAGGCGTGAGAAGAGTTCTTTCTTACTGATGGTAATATTTGCTTGCAACCTGGAGTCATAGAGAGAAAATGGTAAAATGCAGAATGGACAGATGCCTCACTGACAAATCTTTCGGTTACAAGTGGCAGTGAGTCCTATCAAACTGGCATAAATAATGAAAGGCATTTAATAATTCAGAGCTGGAAAAGTAGTATTGGTTTCAGGCAAGACTTGATCCAGTCACTCGATGATGTTACTAAGGGTGCATTTTTTTTTTTTCTGCCTCTTTTCCTTCCTCCATGGTGGCAATCCAGGGCTTGAGCTTCATTCAGTGAGTGCCCCTGCAGAAGCATTCAGGCTCTCCCATCATGGTAGCAAATGGCTGCCACTGTGCAAACATCACATTCATACTCCCATATTAACCAAGGCTGCTCTTGGGGAGTATGGACAACTCTTGGTTGTCTTTGTTGCTCTTGAGGAATATGGACAAATTTATTTTCCAGAAGCCCCACTAAATATAAATATTCCTGTGAATCTCTGCATTGGATCATTTCTCTATCTCTTAAACCAATAAAAAAATTTTCAGAGATTTTAGATATACTGATTGGCCTCAGTCAGTAAGTGATCACCCCTGCAGAAGGTAGATTCAGTGTGAGTGGAGCTGACTTGTACAGGTTCACAAGAGCTGATTGTTAAACTATCAGGAATTTTGCAAGCTGGTTATTCAACACAGATGTCATTGAAGATTAAAGTATATAAACTTAACAATTCAATTATATTAAAAACAGATGTAACTAGTCAAAACTCATCACACTTTACCTATTTTACTATTATCTGTGCCAGAGGTCAGGAAACCACAGCCCTCAGACTAAATCCAGGCTGCTGCCTATTTTTGTAAATGAAGTCTTACTGGAATACAGCCATGCCCATTCATTTATGTATTGTCCATGGCTGCTTTCAAGTACAATAGTGGAGTTGAATAACTGTGACTGAGGATTTATGGCCTGCAAAGCCTAAAATATTAACTCTCTGGTCCTTAATAGAAAAACATGTCCTGACCCCTGATAGATGCTCTTAGGGTTATTCATGTCTATTGTGTCTGTCTGGTAGAAATATTGTAAAATGGCATGTGACTGCACATCACTTTCTGACCCTACATTCAATGACCTCTCCAACCTGAAATTGCCATGGGGAAAGGCAAATGATATAGGCAAATGTTGTGCACTATTGGGCTTTTATTCTTTTCCTATGCCTGGAAGTTTTTTTTTTTTTTTAACTCCTGGAATCATTTATCTCTACATCACTGCATACCACTAACCTCATCCAAAAGGTATGGCTATGAATGGGAAAGGAGTGTCTTCCTAGAGAGGGAATGAATGCTGAGTGGTGGAATTAGCTGCAATTAGCATCTCCAGCCTTCTAGATCAGTGCTTTTAACTAAATGACCCTACAAGTTGCAGAAAAAAAAATGATACTCCAGGATTTTTCAGGCCAAAGGAAGTTAAAAGAGCATGGATAGAGAAGATAGAAATTGAGCAAGGGAGCAGGAAAGGTGAACTCTAATAATGAGTTATGAGACAAGCTGACATGATCTGAGAAAGTCTAAGATGAGAAGAAAGAAAAGGAACACAAACAAACGAACAAAGAAACCAAGAGGATATGCTGTATGCTGCAAATAGCCTCAGAACAAAATATATTTCAAAGCTGAACATGAGGAAAAATTGAAAGAGCTTAAGACAAGATTGTGACAGAAAACAGAGGGAAGGGCAGCATCTGAAATGAGGCTCAAACGTTTCCACGGGCAAACTGTGTGAGGTATTGGTAGTAGAGTTACCCCAATGGAGCATCCAGGGATACAGATATCAACACATCAAAGGGGTAGTCTTAATGATCCATTCAAACAAAACAGAGCCGTGCTTAATGGCCTCCTGTGATACTTATGTTCTTTAGAAATAAGCTATGGATATAATGTTCTTAAAAAGGGGTTCAGGATGTGATTTTAGTGGAGTGAAATGAAAGAAATAATTCTGGCATATGAGTGGGAAGGATTTATATTATCTCAATAAGCTAGAAAATATTGATATTACTGAAATTGCAATTAAAAAGAGAAGTAAAAATTTCTTTTTAAAGGCCTCTTTTGTGTTAAGAGTTTGTTACCAGGCAAAATCAGCAGTTATTATGAGCTAGGTTTACTTACTTTCCCTTTTTGCACTGTTTGCTTTGTCCTCTGACATCTGAATGGCCATGGATTTTAAAGTGTTTATTGTTTTTATGTGCATCCGCCTTGGATTTAGGGAGTCACCTGTGCTTTGCAGCACCGTCTTTTATAATTAGTAGCACTGTGATTCCAATACCCATTCATGCTCAGGACATCCCTAGACTGCATTTGTTTCATTATGTAGCTACGTAGTCAATTTGCCAAAGAATGGATCAATTCATTTAAAAAAGAAAAACAGATACTAGAAGTTGGTACACAGATTTCTTTCGATCAAATAAATTTAATCAATCAACAAATATTTACTGAGCTCTCACTTTGTGACTTGCTAAGCCTAGAGATACAATTGAGAACTTACTGTCTAGTGTGGGAGAGAGACAAGAAAAAAATGGTTCAATAACAACTAATTACAATTATTTTAAAAACGTTATAAAATAAACAGGGTGCTAGAGAATAATAGAAAGGTAATTCATAAATTCATTCAGTTGTAAATGACTGGCATTGGGACTAACAATAGTTCCCACTGATGTTGGGTTTTAATTGGGCCAAAAGCCTTAATGTGAAGAAATGGCATTTTCATAGTTCAATGGTTCCTAAAGTTGTTCAAGTATTGAACCACCTGGAAGTTGTAGTGTTCCCTTCAGAACATAATGAAATAGCATTACGTGTAATGATATTATGAAGGTAGTTAGCACAAACTTAAATAAGTTGGTTAAGTTTATGGTACTTAGGGATACTCAATTTAATGAAATATTCATGCAGCAAAACAAAGTCTGAAAAAATCACGATGGTAAGCAAACACTTCCCTAAAAACTAAACCACTGTACATTAGATCCACTGATTTGCAATTCTTCTGTCAGTACTGATGCACTGCAATCAAATCATAAGCGGATGTAAAAGATTTAAGAAAACTTTATGGGAGGGGGGAAAATCCTTAAAATTGAGAAAATTTTATTCATTGTCTTGTCTGTTCCTGCTGTGCTTCCCCACAACCAATTGAGAATATTTCCTACCCAACACTAACTTTTAGAACACTGACTCTTATTGCAGAATCTCAGTTATCAAACATGGTTTCTTTATAATCCTGAAATCATACCAATAGATAACTCATACTAATCACTAAATACCGTCACTGTGCAAACAGTTCTGTAGCATAGTATTACTTAGATGTGTACACCTTTACTGTAGGGTGTTAAGGAAGGACTATCATCAGACTTTGGATTCAAACAAGTTTTAAGAAAGATGGCAGTTTTTGTGTTTGAGCTCCAAAATGTCACATACATTTGGAAATGTATTTCAGAGTCTCAGAGGTTGATTTACAGAGTATTTAGCAAAATGATACTGAGTTCCTTGAACATAGTTTGTTTTCCTTCTTTTACAGAGACTGAAATGTTTTTATGTAGAGCTGCCATTTTTTTTTTTAAATAGGTACCCTTGTTTAACTTGGTAATGCTGCCTAAATATAGTGGCATATTTTAGTCGTACTTACAGGACCAAGAACTATTGAATTATCATCATTATAAATATATATGTGAAATTTGCATTTGTTCTTTTTTGTGGGCATACATTATCTGCCAATAAAGCTTTACAAAGACCTTCTCAACTTTTGTGGAGTGCCAGGTATTAAGAATTTTAATGAAAAAGAAAATCAATTATTGTGGGGTAGCACAGAAAGCTTTTAGTTTGCAAATGATAATCTCCCTCTTAACATCTTAACAGTAACAGATATGAGCTGATAATGAAATTCTCAGGACTGCTTGGAAACAGAAGCACGTCTTCCTGCTCCTTCTGACAATTTTCCTCATGTATCTGCCCTGGAATCTGATGGCTTTTGCAGTCTCTGGTTCATTGGTGATTAGCTCCAGATAACAGAAAGCCCTGCACATAAAATTTCTGAAGCAGCTCATTTTTATGTCACTCTTCAGTAAACCAACTCTTCTATATCCACATTTAAATATCTTAGCTGGAGCTTCTTGATCATCCTTAGGGAATCACCTTTATCCTTTATAGAAATGTCTATGATTTTTGTGAGCACTGTCAAACCAATAAGGACGATCTTTGCACAGTAAAACACAATACCTTGGTTATAATCAATCATAACACTATGTAAACAGCCTCATCAAGTCTATTTATAAACATTTAAATTGTAGGGCAATTAGTAAGATTATTTGTTTATATTTGTTCATTCATGTTTAGCTTTTTAAAATATAGATTTTTCAGGTTTGTGAGTTTTCATAATGAGTGAAACATTCTAATCCTGGAAAAATAATAAGTTAATCAGAATCCTAGTGCTATGTATGTAAATTATATTATATATGGCATCATAAATTTCAAGACTAGACATCACTGATTGTCAAATATACAACCATAAAATCCATGTTAAAAAGTATATATAAAATAAATATCCAATGGCAGGTATATTTCAGAAAGTATATAATACTGCTTTCCTGGTGGTAATTTAAATATCCCACATTTTATAAAAAGTAAATCTTTTGGTGCATTTTTAAAGTAGTTTTAAGTATACACTTTTTAAAAAAAAAGTGTTTCAGTTTCCAAACTTAGAGTATTAACTTCAGTTCAAAAGTAAACATGTGCTATGCTAAAGTTTTAAAATTTGAATATTAATTAATTCATTTATTTAGGATGTTTAAAAATATAATCTAAGCCAGGGACTTTTTCAGGTGCTTTAAATATAACACTTGTGGGGGAAAACAAACTTAGATAAAATAATGAAGAACATTCTGTATTCTTATTTTAAACAAACATACAAATTAAAAAAAAAAAGATGAACCATGCCATTAGATTCAACAAATAAAGATTAGTTTAACAAATCCTTAACTTTGGAAAGCAAATCTAGGTAATGCTTTTTAAAAATCTACTGAGCAACAGTATCTGAACTAATTATTTTCATAATATCTTTGAAAAGTAGGTATTAACTCTACAGAATGGAGAGTTAGAATAACATACTTATTTAAAATTACAAAACAGCATTTGGAAAGACTTTTGATTTTTCTACCTCTAGTGTTTTAAGTAAAACACTCAGAGGTCACACTACCAATGAAAAAATGGAATGTTACCAGCAACCTATAAGTCCCATGTGCTCCTTTCTATTCTTGTTTCTCACTCACCCAACTAGAGGTAAGCACTACCTTGAGCTGGGTTTATCCAATAGTTTTACCATTTACATATTAATTCCTAAATTTAATTTGTTTCATTTTGTACAGCTAAATTACAAGCATAAAACTATCCATGTTCAAGGAATGGTAATATTACCATTATTCAATAAAGGATTCCTGGAAAATACAAGGTGAAGAGAGATTTGGGGTAAGTGTCTTCTTTCAGCTTTCCTGAGTTTAGAAGAGCTCAGTTGGGGCAATCAGTGGGTGAAGTAAGGGGTGGTTCTGGCAGATGTAATGGTTACCGTTGCTGAACCGCAGGACTGTCCAGGAACTGGATATTTAGAAGACATATCATTCAGGAACAGTTATCTCTATGTGATGTTTTTCTGTTTTCAGAATGTTCCTTTTTGACTTGATTCTCTTCTTGTTTCATGGATGCATATCCCCTTTTATCTTAACATTAAACAAAAATTTTCTATGTTGTCTGTTTTCTCCAAACTGCTTTATTTCATTTGCTTGTTGTTCTGGTTCTATTGCCAATTTGAGATTTTCCTCAAATATCTGAAATATTTGACATCTATTCTAGGTTGAGATTTAGAACATAAGAAGCTGTTTGGAGAAACAGCTCATGCCCTGCCAGAGAAACAGCCCTGCCAGATCATGTCAACTTCTTTGTTATGTATCCACTACACATAAAGATCTCTGCGAGGTGTGGTGATCAGCACTAAAATGTGTAAGGCATTTCTCTCTTCTCTGTCCTCAAGGGGTTTATGACACAGTTAAGGAAGAATGGCTTTCACACACAGGATGAGACAATACACTATTAAAATTCAGATGTTGTGTAAGCAATATCTTAATCCATTATTTGTTTACTTTGGAATATGGTGTGAGATAAGGAGAGTCAAGGAATTGCTGCATATTTTTGATTTGGGAACTGAGCAGATGTAGAGCAAAGTGAGGTCAGATAGAATGTGCAGATCAGCTCTGCCTAAGACACTTGGCAAGTTACCTAAACACTGAGCCTGTACCCTGACCTAAAAATGACCCGGAAAATAACATCCTTTGGACATACTATGGGTCAGTAATGGAGAAAATGATTTAAAGTTCCTAGATATAGCACTTGATTCAATAAACGTTAACCACACTCTGGATTACTATAGATAGCTAATCAAGGAAACAAAGAAGGAAGCAGGATACAGAAGAGAAGGGGAAAGGTGGGAAGGAGAAGGAAAAATGTGGTGAAGAAGTAAAGGGTTTATATCTGACTCCCTATGCTTTTCTTTAATGAAACTTCATTTTAAAAGTCACATCTTGCCACTCTCAAAGACAAGCAAAGAACCAATATTGCATTTTAATGGCCCATTACTGAAAAAGGAAATCAAGCCCTGGATATGATCTTTTTTGGCACAAGATCCTGGGAGAGCAAAGAGATGTAAGTCAACATTTATGAGCTGGGAAAAAATTGGAAATATTCTGTCCCTTGGAGCAAAGCAGTCGTATGCTATTACTAATCCTTATTTACCCTCGAGGAGCAACAAGCGTTCATATGCAAAAGAGAAAAGAAATTTTTGAAAATCACTATCTTCTTTCATTTAAATTTCAGGACTTTATCCATTATCCTGGCCTCTTGTAATACTATTTTAAAAAGTAATTCCCTCAAAGACCTCTTCATATGAATGAGAGATTAGTACCAGGGAGTAAAAATCCTCAGCATTCTTGCATCAAAATACTTTTTTCTACAAGAAGTTACTGCCTAGGTAATTTTTTCACAGTAATTATTGTTTCAAGAAGCAGCAGTGTGGAAGTTTTCCCTGTGAATATGGGTAAGACTGCTTCTAAATGCTTAGTGCCTGAAATGGTTGGTTGTTCCCTCTAGGGCAGAGTGGGGATGGAGGGGCATTTAGATTGGATGGTGGTTGGAATTTGAATAGTAGTTTTAATATCTCACACACAAAATATACAGCCTAGCTTTATTATTCCTAGTGGTGGCAGTTTTGCACAAGCTAAGAAAAGCTGAATTTGGTCCCACGGTCTCCACCAATTGGCTGAAAGAAATTAATAAACTACTCTTTGATATGGCTCTGAGTCCACAGAGGTGTGTATTTGAATTTCTTAGGTCCCTTGCTTTGTATGACATGGTTTTTCCAGAATGAATTAGAAGTTATTTCTTCCAGCCAATGGGTTTGCTTGACATTTTGCAGCTTGAAGACGTAACATCAGATGACTTCATTGTTTTATCTTTCCTTCACTTTTCCCATAGGATTTATTTTTCTTAGGTCTCGTCTTTCTTAAAACATGAAAGATCACATCCTTTTCTGATTATAACGTTTTCTCGATTTCTCAATAGAGGAGTGAAAGAGTCAAACCATAGAGGCCCCACAGGACAGCAACCAGAAATGGACATCGCAGACACCCAAAACTGGGGCCAGGCCACAAGGGAGCCACAGAGAAGCCTTGCCTTCATGATGGAGTTGGAGGAGCACCAGATGGGTACAAAACCAGTAGCCTGCCAAAAGAGCATTTCATTTCTCTGGAAATGTCAATACAGAACAAACTAGGTGAACAGAGCTAGAGATTTTAGAAATTATTGTGGGAGTTCTTGAAAGTTTATAAAAGGATCCTTAGCAACCTTGAAATTTTACTCTGAAGAGGACAGGAGAAGTCAGCAACATGATTTGCAAATATTTCCCCCCATTCTATGGGTTACTTTGCACTTTCTTCATGGTGTGCTTTGAAACACAAAAGTTTTTTATTTTTATGAAGTCCAGTGTATTTATTTATTATTTATTTTGGTAGCTTATGCTTTTGGTATCTAAGAAGACTTTGTCTATCCAATGTCGCAAAAATATACTGCTGTATTTTATTCTAAGGGTTTTATAATGTTAGCTTTTATATTTAGGTCTATGATTCATTTGGAGTTAATTTTTGTTTATGATATAAGAAAAGAGTTTAGTTCCCTAAATCTTATTTACTGAACTCCAGCTATGTGTCAGATATTGTACCAAAATTTTCCATACACTCCATTTACTCTCACAACAGTCCACTGTTGAAAGTTTTAAGATGAGGAGATAAGAAAAATCAGAATGTATTAAAATATTGAGAGGACAACAATTTTAGTCACTACCATTTCTTGAGAATATATAATGGACCAAAGTCTGTGCTAAAGGCTTTTTATGTGCTCACTAATGGAATTCCTAGACAACTCCAGCAGGTTAATAGTATTATTATCTCCACTTTACAGATGAGAAAACTGAGGCACAGGGAACTCGAAAATTGTGTGCAGGGACACATCTGATAAGTAGTCATACCAGGTTTGGAAGCCAGGCAGTTAGAGACAAGAGTTTGGCTCTTGTCTATAATTAGTTGTCAAGGATCACATAGCAAACAAAAAATAGGAGTAGAGAAACAACCCAAAGGTCCATCAGCTGAGAATGGATAAACAAAATGTGATGTATCCATACTACGGAATACTACTGAGCAATAAAAAGGAATGACTGACACATGCTGCAATATCTAAGTGAGAGAAGCCAGTCAGGGAAGACCACAAATTATATGAATCCATTTATATGAAATATTCAGAATAGGCATATCTGTAAAGACAGAAGGTACATTAGTGACTATCTAGGGCTGAAGTGGGAAAGAAATTGAAGGGAAATAAGGGATGACTACTAATGAGCATGGGATATTTTTGGGGATGTGTAATGAAAATGTTCTCAAACTGGTTATTATGATGGTTGCACAACTCTGTGATTATACTAAAAACCATAGAATTGTATGTTCTAAATGGGCAAATTGTGTGATATGTAAATTATATCTCAAAAAATTTATTTCAAAAATGGGGCTAGAATGTCAAATCTAGACTTTCGTATTTCAAGCCTGTGTGTTTTTCACTATGCCTTACTGACCATCACTCTTTTTTGGCATCGTGTATGTTACTACTCAACTTTCCTTATTGGTCCATCTTCTGTTCATAGTCTGTGGACTACTACAGGGCAAAAACTGTGTGGCAATTATCTTTGTTCCACCAAATCCCAAAAGGCCTGTTCTGGCGGTGTTAGTCCCAAAGTCATCTCAATACATTATCTGTTGAACGATTAAAATAAAATACTCCCAATTGAGGTACTTCTAGTCTAACAGAATATGCCTGTTCCTGAAAAGTTGAGTGAGACTTTAATTTTAAATTGAATATTTAAATATTACAGTGTGCTTAATATTTAGATGAATCTGTCAGCTTAATATTTAGATGAATCTGTCTTAGAGTGAGTGGCCATCTGCCACATCTTTATTTTTGGAGATCTGATTTTTTTTTCCTTTTTTGCATACACTCATTGAGATTTTCTTACATCAGAATAAATGTTAGATGTTCTTATCTATTGCAAGTAGATTTGGTACATTGGTACAGCACTGGAGACTCTATGTAGGAAAATGTGAACTTGTTAAAAGTGTTTTTGATATTCAGTGTCATAATACTCTAAGAGGGTTTCATTTCAACATTTCCATTAGCTGGTGGTAATAACTTGTAACTAAAAAAACAAATGATTTAAACATTAAAAAGGGAATAAGCAACTGTGTGTGTGTCTGTGTGTGTGTAATTCCACAGCAGTTTTCATGAATTTGTGCTATTAAATAATCATAAATAAAAATTTAGGAAAATAATATTTGTAAGTATTATTGTGTGTTCTCAGCTCCCTACTAACTACTAAATTCTCTCTGTTATAACACAAGGGTCTTCCTTACCTTCCTACTTTTCTTGATGGCAATCACTTACTGTGTTGCAAAGTGTCCTGAGGTATTCTTAGAGATGATGGTTGAGAGAAAGGGAGCTGGGGAAGAAGAAAAGGGAATAGAAAGACATAGCTCTGTTGGGAAAGGAGTGAAAGTGGTTCTACGAAGAAAACAAGGATATTTCCTGAGCCATCCCTCCTGCTGCTGCCCAAACAAGATCATCCACCAGCTCAACAAACACTGATTTGACAAAATGCTGGTCAAGTCAGTGTCCCCAGAGATTCTGCTCCATGCATTTCCCTGACTGTACCTCTCTTCCAGGGCAAGTGGACATCAACACCGTCACTGAAGAAGTCATTCTCCTGCTGTGTTGGTGTGCTAGGGCTGCTGCACCAAAGTGCCACAGACTGCATGGCTTAAACCAGAGTAATTTATGTCTCACAGCTCTGGAGGCTGGAAGTCCAAGATCAAGGTGTCAGCAGTGTTGGCTCCAAGAGGAAGAGATCTGTTCCAGTCCTCTCTGCTTGTCTTGTAAATTACCATCTTCTCTCCATGTCATTACATCATCTTCCCTTTATACCCCTCTGTATCCAATCTTCCTCTTCTTATAAGGACATCAGTCATACTGGATTAAGTCTCATCCTACTGACCTCATGTTAACTTGATTACCTCTATAAAGACCCTGTCTCCAAAAACGTCACATTCTGAAGTACTGGGGATCAGCACTTCAATTGATGAATTTGGAAGGGGGGCACAATTCAGCCCATAAAGCTGACAGAAAATGGTGATAATGTCAAAACCATTTTTTTTTGTTTGTGTGTAGCCTTTTCTAGATACAAATCACCTCATATAGTCTCATATCATATGGAGAATTTAACTTAGACAAATTCAAGTGTTTGCATTAAATTCACTTGTAAGGACACACACACACACACACACACACACACAGAGAGGGGAGACAGAGAAAGGAGGGACTGAGAGAGAGAGAGAGAAATAGAGGAGAGACAGAGAGAGAGAGAGTCAGTGAATGCAGTATCTGCGAACTCTCACATGTAGACCTCATGGTGTTTCTAAGATTCCCAATTCGCATGATTTTTTGTGCAAATATTATGCCACGTTAAGTGATACTGCAGCATTTAAGGACAAATATTTTGGTACAGAGTGGCCCCCAAAGGCAATTCCAGTTTATCTGAAACTGAACTAAAGAAAAAAAAAAAAACAATTCCAATGCTGGTGGGAAAATTTGACTGGGTTGAATACACCAGGAGACACTATATATAACGTTTTAAAGATTTGTTTAAGAATAATATTGTTAATGTGATAGTTGCATTCCACACTGACTATAGAATAAATACCTCCATCATATTGTACCTCACTCAACTGGGTTGGTCAATATATACTTTGTGCACTTGCTTTTTTAGTGGGTTTATGGCATGTATATCAATTATATAACTAAAATATAATTTTAAAACATTTGCAAATCATATATCTGATAAAGGACTTATATGTAAACATATAAAATGTGTCATGTTTATCTAAGGTCTTAATAATGGGAAACGCAGGTAAAGGGAATACAGGAAATTTCTTCGCTATCTTTTTATTTTTTTATTTTTATTTTTTCTTTGAGATGGAGTCTCGCTCTTTCGCCCAGGCTGGAGTGCAGTGGCGCGATCTCGGCTCACTGCAAGCTCCCCTCCCGGGTTCACGCCATTCTCCTGCCTCAGCCTCCTGAGTAGCTGGGACTACAGGTGCCCGCCACTATGCCCCGCTAATTTTTGTATTTTTCTGTAGAGACGGGGTTTCGCCGCGTTAGCCGGGATGGTCTCGATCTCCTGACCTCGTGATCCGCCCGCCTCAGCCTCCCAAAGTGCTGGGATTACAGGCGTGAGCCACTGCGCCCGGCCTCTTTGCTATCTTTGCAGCATTTTTTTGTAAATCGGAAATTGATCCAAAATAAAGTTTGTGTTTTTAAATGGGCAAAATATTTGAATAAATATTTCACCAAAGAAGATACACTAATGGCCTAAAATAGGAAACGATGCTCAACATCATTAGTCATTAAAGATGTACAAATTAAAACCACAATTAGATATCACCACAGAAATATCAAAAAAACTAAAATAAAAAATAGTGACACACCAAATGCTACTGAGGATGTGGAGAAGTTAGATCACGCATATAAAATGGTAATGCCACTGCAGAAAACAGTTCGATGGTTTCCTACAATCATAAATGTAAATTTACAATATGACTTAGTAACTCCACTTCTAGTTACTTACTCAAGGAAAATAAAAATATACGTTCAGAGCAGCATTGTTTATAATAGGCAAAGAACAGAAAGAACCCAAATGTTCATCAGCTGATGAACTGATATACAAGATGGGGGATATCCATACAATGGAATATTATCCAGCCACCAAAAAGAAAGTGGTACTGCATGTACATACCTTGAAAACATTATATTCAATAAAAGATGCCAGACACAAAAGACCACATATTGTGCAATTCAAGTTATGAACTACACAGAAAAGGCAAATATAGAGAGACAGAAAGGAAATCATTGGTCCCCAGCAGTTAGAGGTAGGAAGAGGGGTTGTTTGCAAATTGCACAAGGTTACTTTTTGGGATGATGGAAATGTTCTAAAGCAGATTGTGGGGATGATTATACAACTTTCTAAATTTACTAAAAAGCATTGCATTGTCTTCTTAAAACGAATGAATTTCATAGTGTATGATTTATCCCCAATAAAGCTGTTAAATGTGTTTTTGTATAAAATTTAAATTATGAAGAAAAATATAAAGAAATAACTGATCTTTTCATCACTTAAGAATACATTTCAGCATGTTTCCTTTGCAGCTTTATCATGTCCTATTGATTTTAATTTTAAAATTCAGGCAAGTCTTAAAGAAATCTACTTTCTTTGTTGATGTATATTAACTTGGAAAGTTGACTAGTTAGGATTTATTTCTTGAGAATTTTATTTGCAGAAATGACTGTCCTTTTGTAGTATCTACTACTTGTTCCCATCAATGTGACTGATAGGTAGCATTGCTAGCTGGTCAAAGCTGCCTGGAAAATCCCACTGTCTGTTTGCTTTCAAGCAAAGCAAAAGCCATAGCTATACTTCTAGCCCAATTAGAAACACAAAAGCTCTGTCTCCCAAAAAAAAACAACTCAGGAGATCAGGGAGGTCATACACTTGCATTTTGGCTTTTCAGGCCAGAACGCAGAGGGCACTTTTCCTGTCACGTGAACAGATGAGCACAGCAGACACTGTCTGTGACCTTTGGTGGCCACGCTGTGCAGGGAGCTACCTGCACAGTTGAGAAAGAATAGAGTTCAAAATGAGACACATAAGATTGTTGGTTGATTTTTCTTTAATCTTTCATTTTCTTTTTCTTTTTAATTGTTTTTTCCAGGCAGAAAGGGAAAGCGTCAGTATATAACTCAGACATTGCTAAAATTTGTACCAAGCTCCCCATCCCAAACTGAACAACCATCCAGAACTTTTTTAGCTGATCCTGAAAGAAATTCTGCAGCATTTTCTGAAGGCGCAACCTCATACTGTGTTTAGAAAATACATATAAAGATAAATTTGCAGAGCAAAAGAAATTGTAGCACAAAGGAAAAATTGTGGCTTAAATTATTTCATTTAAATAATCTACACTGTTTCTTTTCAGGCCGGTCAAAAGTATACACAAATCTTGTCTGTCATAATAGAAAAGATGAATAAAAGTAGAAATATATATATATTTCACTTTTGGTTGACCAAGTAAGAGGTACTCATAAAACTTCTTATGCTGTCTGGGACTTAACTTTCATTCAGCCTGCTGTGAAGTTATGGGAGGATATCTTTCTCTAAATAATTTATTTCCAAACCCCCTAATTAGAAGATGTGAGGCATCTTTAGAAACATGCCCACAAGCACTAGAGGGCAATGCTGGACAGATATTACTGAGATCCAAGCAAATACTAGTGAGTATGACTGGATACTCACTGGTTTCAAATGAACAATACTTCAGACGCAACTTTGAATATTCTGTGAGTAGAATGAAGTTTCCAGTGATTGCTTTCCAGCCTGATAACAGGAACAGACAAAGAGGGCAAGGTTTTCTTGGTAGCAATCAATTCTGCTTCCTGGCTTCATCAGGGCATTTTGCCCAGATTGAAGCTGGGCCAGTTTAAGAGCAGGTTGGCAGAGTGAGGAGATAATAGCCAATGTCAAAGCCAAGAAAAAGTTTTTGGAACAGGATTCAGAATCAAAATTTAGACTCTGTAGAAGAAAGAAATATCAAAGTTGCTCACTCAATTGTGTCTCCTGATCTCATATAATGTAATGGGCCCAGGGAGTTATATGAGGGTGAGAATTATTTCTACAAGTTAAAAAAATCAATTTGATTAAAATCTGATTGACAACTCATAAAACAATAAGACGCTATTTTGTTATGGGCATTATCACAGTGATTGCTGGTTGCTATGACAATAAAGGATGAAATTCTGCCTCATTTTTCATTTCTCTCTCTTACATAGTCTCATTGTACAGTGGGATCAAAGTGATGCTGAATACTAGGGTAAAATCCCCTAGTAAGGATTTGACTAGAACAGTGGTTCTCAAAGTGTGGTCTCTGAATCAGCAGCATCAGCATCATTCAGGCACTCCCTAGAAATTAAAATTCTTAAACCTCAGCTCAGACCTTCTGAATTAGAATTTCTAATGCAGAGGGGCCCAGCAATCTGCATTTTAGTAAAATATACACCAAAGTCTGAAAGCCACTGAAGTTTAGGAAACACAGAAGAAGTTGTATTTAGAAAATGATACCTACGAATTAGCCGGGCATGGTGGTGCATGTCTGTGGTCCCAGCTACTCTGGAGGCTAAGGTGGGAGGATGGCTTGAGCCTAGGAGGTGGAAGTTTCAGTGAGCCAAGGTTGCACTACTGCACTCTAACCTGGGTGACAGAGTGAGACTGTCTCAAAAAAAAAAAAAAAAGGAAAAAGAAAGAAAATGATACTTACTGTACAATGTTATCCAAGCAACAATCAAGTACGGTATAATCTACTATCTCTTTTATACTTGCTTTATATAATACACATAAGAAGTCTTCATATTGTAGCAATTATTTTTTATAATCTATAACTTATTTTTATGCAATTCAAGATGCATTTTATATTGCATTGATTTAAATAGTGATGTCTATATTTTAAAGCTAGCTCAGGGATTCTCATTACGTTTCTAATATTATTACTGATCATGAAAATAAAGCATACAAGTGTGTAACATTTTTGCGTACCAAATAGCTTCCAAATAGAAAATATAATGGACACAAGTATCTTGCCCAAGGTCATACAATTAGCATTAAGTAGAAAACTATGATTTGAATCCAGAACTTTTAACACTAAGATCAATATTTTTCCCCTGGCATCATGGCTACTAATACACTCAATGAAGAACTTTAAATATTCAACAATGAAAATCTAATGATTGTCACAATAATATTGACTAGGAAAAATAATATTTTTTCTTTTTTTATATTTTTGAGACATGGTCTCACTGTCACTCAGGCTGGAGTGCAGCAACATGATCATGGCTCACTGCAGCCTCAACCTCCCAAGGCTCAGGTGATCCTTCCACCTCAGCCTCCTGAGTAGCTGGGACTATAGGCACATGTTACCATACCCAGCTAATTTTTCTATTTTTTGTAGAGACAGGGTTTGGCTATGTAGTCCAGGCTGATCTAGAATTCCTGAGCTCAAGCAATCTGCCTGCCTTGGCATCTCAAAAGTGCTATGATTACAGGTGTGAGCTACCACACCTGGCCCCCAAAATGATATTTTCATAGAATGTTCTGTTATTTGACGAGAACTAGGTTTAATTAGAGGAAAAAAGAAGCAGATGGAGTTTTCTGGAGATTGGAAGAAATCTTCTGAACATTTTGCAAGAGTTAAAGATGGAATTCAAGTGTGGAAAAGAGATTCTGTAGGTGAAGCTAATTGAGCTCTAACCTGTAAAAATTATAAGACTAGGGTGGTATATTGAGTGCCAAGTCTTTCTGCAGGAGAAGAAAGTGAAGAGGAGGATATGTTTGGGTTAGGCAGCTAGTTGCTATTAGACCTGAGGGCTTGGAACATCTGAGGCTGAGCAAGAGATGGAAAAGTATGACTTGCTGATGATAAATCAACCATTTAGTGAGAACCTGGTATGTGCCAGACATTGTTCAAGGGCATGGAGTAAGGTGATGTGAGTGAGGTACCTGTCTCAGGTGGAAAGTTTAAGAAGACACCAAAAAAGGAAAAGAAAAACTCAATAATCAAGACAATATTTTAAAGCAATATATTTTTAAAATCACAATAAATGCAATAAATCCATGATGAAGAAGATAGTAATATTCAAATGTAAGTGGAATCTGTTTTATTCATTTTTTTCTTATTTCCGGTTCCAAAATTGTTCAGCATGGTACTGTTACTGAACTTGTCTTTATTAAAAATGTTGATATTTTGTTCATTGGGGGATTTTTCCATTAATTTTAACTTTGAAATATATCACATGAAAAAGTAACTTCTCAATGCAAATCAAAACCACAATGAAAAACCATCTCACATCAGTCAGAATGGCTGTTATTGAAAAGTCAAAAAGTATTATGTTGGTGCAAAAGTAAATGGTGGACTGGATAAAGAAAATGTGGTTCATATAAACCACAGAATACTACAAAGTCATAAAAATAATGAGATCATGTCCTTTTCATCCTTTGCAGCAACATAGATGGAGCTGGAAGTCCTTATCCTAAGATAATCAAAGCAGAATCAGAAAACCAAATATCGCATGTTCTCACAAGTGAGAGCTAAACGTTGAGTACACATGGACACAAAGAAGGGAACAATAGACCCGGGGGCCTACTTGGGAGTGGAGGGTGGGAGGAGGGAGAATATGGAAAAACTACCAATCGGGTACTATGTTCATTACCTGGGTGACAAAATAATCTGTACACCAAACCCCCATGACACACAATTTACCCATATAACAAACCTGCACATGTATCCTGAACCTAAAATAAAGTTGGAAAGAAACAAAATTACTTCTCTTGATCATTGAGGATTTTAGCATTTAAATTTTGTACACCCTTACCTCACCCAAGCCCCAGGTCTGCACAGTGCTAAAAGCTTTACGTTAATTATCTCAAAGAATCATCACAGTCCATAACGTACATAGTTTGTTTGGTAGGCAAACTGGATATTTTTAATGAAGGAAATAACTTTGTGTTTGAAAACATATAAATTTATAATAATATACATAGATGTGTAAATATCCTATTACATTTAGGGGATAGAAAATATCAACTAAAGCTCACATGCCAGTTTGTTTGTAACAGCAATAGTGCACAAAGGCACATTTCCATGTGTTTTGACTCATTCATTTATGTTTCCTTGTGGTATTTTCAAAGTTTTTTATGTGAAGCATGTTAAAATTATATTAGTCCTGTTAATTGTAAGAATAATTGGGCCACTGCTGAAAGAAATGCTTCTCACAATGTATACCACAAAATCCTAGCCATAGAATTGTTCTGGCTGCTTCCTGGGATGGAGAGACCATATGGGTGAGTGGGCAAGGAGAGGGGGACCAGGTAAAAGAAACATGAGAAGGAAGTGGTGGTAGAAGCTTTAGAAAGCAACAGATGTCCCCACAGGGTAGAAGTTGTTGAGTTTCCTCTCTTTGCATCAGAAAACATAGAGCCTGGTATCTACCACCATGAGCACTGAATTCAGTTCATCTGGGGTGCAGCCCTAACATACCAGATGATGCCACTGTGCAGCCAAGCTTGAGAACCACTATGCTATGGAGTCCAAGCACTCAGCTCCTGGGGTTGATTCAGTGTGAATGGGACTCCAAGGCCCTGCTCAAGGAGTGATAGACACTCAGTGCTGAGCATCTTCTGTGCTTTTGTTGGGCTGCTCGTGGATTTGTAAATAGGGAAAACCTATGGGTGAATGGGCAAGGAGAGTCAGGTTATAGCCATTCACGTTATAAAGGGAATTATTAAAAGGCACATGTGGTTGTAAAAGGGAAGGAGAGATGAGACAGTTGTCTCTTGGCAGAGAAGAGAATTTTCATTAAATTTACACTGTGTCATGTGGTATATCAATTCTCTTCTCCATTTGCCCGAGATCTTCAATAAATTATTTATTTCTCATTGATGGGCTTTGGCAACGACTGACTTTGGGGGCACATGTCACATTGTTGAGGACTTTTCAAGAATAGAGATATAAGAGCAGAGATCTTCTGTTACATAAAGTTTAATAAGGAAAGCACAAGCAAAGGATGCTGGCAGGAAAAGGCCAAAGGATCCCAGCTTCTGAAAGAGTAGGTGCCATGTGCTGCTGCCATCCTTTCTGAATAAACAGGAAACCTCATTGAAAGATGTCTGGGAGCCATTGCTTTCCCTAGACTCACAATCTGGATGGAATCTGTACTTACCAAGGTCCTCAGCATGAGGATGTTACCATTTATGACATCCTTTTTATAACTTTGTGTTGAGATATTTACCAGTCTGAAAGTGGTGGTGTGTCAGTGTGGAATATTTTTCAAGTTGATCCAAGTGATGTGAGTCACCACAAACCTGCTCACTCATGTATAGTTCAAATGAAGATTATACACATCTACTTTTGGTCATTTTTCTCATAAGCATGCTCAAAGGAAGGCTGTATACAAAAACATTGATGAAATGCCAGCATCATGAATGTGTTAAGGGTAAGAGCAGTAATTACTATTTTAAGATGGTGTAGCCCAGAAATTTGGAGGCAGAGCTGATACCTCAAAGCTGTATTAGCTTCACTTTTGTCCTTGGAGAAGAGGTCTAGGAGTCTGTGCTCAATTAAAGTTGATTTTCCTATTTTCCATATGAAGTAAAACAGAGAGATCCCGTGGCATTGTTTAAAAAGGCCACAGCAATATTTCTGTCCTGCATGCTGTTTCAGAGCCTTCTTAGGTTATTTCCTCTCCCTTTCAACCTGGGCACAATAGAGTGTGGCACAGGTGATGCTATGGGACTTCCTTGAGTAGGTCACAACTTCTCCCAGGACGACATACAAGATATTTGGTTACCATAAAGCCACCATGCTGGAAACATCCTGTAGAGAGACCCCATGGAGACGGAAAGAGACGCCTGAGGGGTCCTGGCTGTTCTTGTCACCAGGGGTTTCAGTCTTGCCAGCTCAGGCACTTTCAGCATTGGAATTAAAGAATGGGCTGGAATTAAAGAAGGACAGAGTTGACTATGAGACCGTAATCCACTGAAATATTGGAGAGGGCTTTATACTCTCATGGTGCAGGCATGAGGGTCAGATATATGAATCAGCGAGCTTGGGGTGACTCCAGCCTCAGCTTCCGCATCACCCCAGCTGGCACAAAGGGGAGTAGAGAGGAGCTGCCCCCACAATAGCCTATACAGATTGCAGATTCACGAGCAAAATCAGTATTGTTATCATTTTAAGACATTATGTTTTAGGAATGTTTGTTTCATAGCATTAGATAAGCAGAACAGAGGCAGAAAATCTATTAGTGACAATTATTAGCAATGAAAGGAACATTTTCTGACCATCTAATATGAAATAGCAACCCTCTCCTTCACCCTTTTGCCATATTTTACTTTCCTCCATAATAATTGCCACTACCTAGTATTATAGATTTTCTTGATTATTGATTTATTCCTGTTTCCCTACACTAATAGAACAAGCAATGCTTGGGCAGAAAAGGGCTTTGGTTGGCTATTGAGGATCTAGAACGTGCTCACACACCGTAGCGTAGAGTGGAATGAGTGAATGACACTTTACACAGTGCTCATTCTTATTGGGATAATGAGAAACTAAGTAACTTATCTGTATTTATTTCAGGCTGCTTATGTGATTTTAGTCAAATATTTGAGTAAAAAAAATAATATTCTTAAACAGCCTTATTTTTATGTTAGCAGAAGTGGCTTAAGTTTTTGTTTGATTAGTATTTTCTCCACCACTTAATCTCAAAACAATTTGGAAAGATTTTTCCTTTCTTAAAGAAGCTTGACCGAGTTTTGAAACGTAAACATGCCAAACTGCTTAAGAACCTAATGAATGAAGTCTTTGTGAACATATTAAATAAATTAAATGTAAGGTTGGATTTGTAAAATCTTTGTAGGAGTTCTATAATATGACAATTGATGCTACCAGAACACTAATCACAACAAATGGTTCAGGGCATTAAGTATGAAACAACAAACGGTTCAGGGCATTAAGTATGGGCCTAAGTTTGTATTATTGTAGAAAGACTCTGAAAATCAAAGTATTCAAATAGCATATAATCAAATTCACAAAGCCATTTCTGTTTGATTTTTTGTTCTGATTTCAAATTTTTCAATTTTAAGCTCAAAGTCCTCATGTACTTGCTGAAAATAACCTGCTAAACGAGATGATTAAACAGGAATGAAAAATTTATTTTTTGTGCATATGATCTCATGAATGACTTGTTTTTTAGCTCCTCTCAGAGAGAGCAAACAAAAGGGTCAGAGTTTGAAGTAAAGGGTCAAATTTATAACAGGTGGCTCTGAAAAAGATTAAAAGTTTGGGAATATTGTAATAGGAAAAGTTAGTACGCTGGAAGTCTGTGAGAGTTTGCCTTTGTGTGTGCGTGAGTAATACTATACATTTCCGTTTCTTATTTTTTAAAATATTTTTAAATTTAAATTTTATTTTATTTTTGTATGTATGTATGTATTTATTTATTTATTTGAGATGGCATTTTGCTCTTGTTGCCCAGGCTGGAGTACAGTGGCATGATCTCGGCTCACTGCAACCTCCACCTCCCAGGTTCAAGCAATTCTCCTGCCTCAGCCTCCCAAGGAGCTGGGATTACAGGCATGTGCCACCACGCCCAGCTAATTTTTTGTATTTAGCAGAGATGGGGTTTCACCAAGTTAGTCAGGCTGGTCTCTAACTCCAGACCTCAGGTTATCCACCTGCCTCAGCCTCCCAAAATGCTGGGATTACAGGCGTGTGCCATCGCACCTGGTCTATTTTATTTATTTTTTTTAGAGACAAGGTCTTACTTTGTCGCTCAGGCTGAAGGGCAGTAGGTCTTCACAGGTGCAATTATGAAGCGCCACAGCCTTTAATTCCTGGCCCCACACTATCTTCCCACTTTAGCTTCCCAAATAGCTGGGACTGCAGGTGTGTACCAGCACACCTGGCTTATTCCTTTCTTAATTTTTATCTCATGTTGCTGTAATATTAGAGTCATGTTGAAGAACTCTAAACATCCCTAACACCATACATGTAAACTCTGAGGCAAAATAGAATCTTTTACATATTTTGATATTCCAAACAAAGAACCAACTGAACGTTTTGACTATATAACCATGACCTTCCTGTGCCCTATTAGGAGGATTAGTAGCACAGAAAATCCATCTCCTTAAATGCTGACATAGCAAACCCAGCTACTTTGTGCAAGACATTAACAACACAATAAATAACTACAAAAACTTGAATGAAAAATTAATGCATAAGTCTTTGTCTTCAAACTTAAGTGAGATTGTTGAATTAAAAAATGAGTACTCTTCACTCTCATGACCTATATTGCCATATTTCTTTCCAGATATGCAATGTGCATTTGTATTTCATCAGCAGTGTGTTAGTTATCCAACTTTACTTTTTATTAGTGTTAAGCATGATAATTTAAAAAATCTTTGTCTACTTATTAATTAATTTCCATTTTTGCTTAATAGTACACTTCAACGGTTTTTAACCTACTACTGACCCATAATTGCTTTTTTTATTGCAGCACCATATACGTAACATAACATTTACCATTTTAACCATTTCAAGTGTACAAATAAGTGGCTTTAGTTACATTAACAATGTTGTGCAAGAAGCCCCATTATCTGTTTCCAGAACTTTTTCATCATCCTAAACAGAAACTATGCCCATTAAGCAATAACTTCTATTTCCCTAGTAACTTCTACATACAACATTTGTTGTTTTGTGTTTGGGTTACTTCACATAGCATGTTTTTAAGGTTCATCCATGTGGTAGCATGTGTGTCAGAATTTCACTCATTGAAAAAAAATGTATGTTTTGTTTATCCGTAAGCCAAGACACTAGAAGAGAAAGTCTAATCACATCTTATTAGAGGAGAGAGAAATTCTGCTTCTGAGAAGGAAGAAGAAAACAAAGCAAAGCAGGCAGGCTTAGAAACAGGGAAATGCAAGTGAGATGGAGGAAGGCTGGCACTGATTTGGTGGTGAGGGGCATGGGAAGTGCCTTGGTTGGAGGGTAACCAATGGGCATTTCATAGATGTAGACATCTAATGCTCACTTTTAAACCCCTCTCCCAAATCATTTCCACATCTTTAGTAAAATCACCCGTACTCACTTGTGCATAGTATGAGTAACTTTATTTCTTTACCTATCTTTCAGCATTGGAATTAAAGAATGGACTGAACTTTCTGTCAGATTCAGAAGAAGGACACAGTTGACTATGAGATGGTAATCCACTGAAATATTGGAGAGGGCTTTATACTCTCATGGTGCAGGCATGAGGGTCAGACCAATCATATCAATACTTCAAGGGGCCCAAAGATACTATCACATACAAGGTCTATGTATTTCTCACTGCATTTTGTAGGGGAGATTTGTGAAGAATTGCTTCACCAGCCAGACTCAAAAAACCACCACCAAATAATTCTTACGACAGGGTGTGCACCTCTTGAAAAGAACATGAGGGCCACTTGGGAAAATCTCCTTTGAAGCCCATTCAAATATACCAAGAACCGTAAGATCCAACTACACTAGAATTTCAGAGAAAATCTCCTGGCATTTCTTAAAAATAGTTGTTTTGTAAAGCCGCTCCAAGTTGTGTAATTTTGAGCAGGCAATTCTGGAACAGAGCTCTGCTGCACTTCCCACAAAAAATAGCCCAGCATGTGGATACATGTGCACTGTGTGGAGAAATAAAGAACGAGCCAGGTGTTTGCTTTAGAAATTACTAAAAATCCAGGGAAAAGACTCCTGCTTGGTTACCTTTATTTGCTTCGAGTTAACTATTTTAAAAGAGCTTTCACCTTAACTATCAGAAGATTTTCTCCTGGTTGGTATTCATAACCCTTGCATTGACACATCAGGCTTTCTATTCCACTTCCTTTTGTGCTTTTCAACACTCATTCCCAACCTCACCACACACACACACACACACACACACACACACACTTCATGATCATTCTCTTTTTTGCTGCCTTTTGCCATGAATACACTCACGTTATCTCATCTTTCTCATAACCTTCCTCTCTTTTGAAAAAACAAAAAAATTCTGTTAAGATATTGATTTGGACATCATTCACAAGCCGCAGCGGCTTCAGTGACTGACATGTTTGCGATAGGATGTGAATCCTTATCAGCAATCAGCCTGATGAAGGAAAAAGGCACCAAGACAAATAAATGAAGGGGCCTATGACATTATTAGGAAATGGGGTTTCAAGTGCTGTTCCCAGCAGCTTTGTTATGGGGCCATGTCACATATTATGTTTATCATTTGCTACTCTGAAATCACCGACTTGGGCTGATGGCAGTCCTGCCCTCTCAGGCATGGCTCTGAATTACAGGGAAGGTAAACGGATCAGAGAGAGTAATCAAACCCTGTCTAGTGTAATTACTTGAACTCATTTTATGGGTATCCTTTTTCATATGACCTTGTTTAACTCTCAGTACACAACTTGATGCTCCCCCTTTAATGACACGTACACCTGAAGAATTCCAGCACAGGGAACTGGAAATCGTGCATTCTGCATGATGCTGTGCCTTCTGCCAGCCTGTGGTACTTTCTGATCCTGTGTGAATAGATCTCAGAAACAAGAGAAGATGAATTTAGGAAGGCTGAAATTTAGATCGTACACACGTAAATCAAATTTCTAAAAATTAATAAACAACTTTCAATGTATTTATTTATTTTTCCCTTGTTCAACCAACCAATTAGCCTTTCTAGGAATTATCTGACACATTCCTTGCCTTGAGTTTCCTTTTGCAGGGAAAGATCCGTATTTATAAATGAATACTACTGTACAATATGCTTGGATAATTGTTATGATTAAAAAGTCTGCTTCCAAAGCTAGGAGTTGAATCTGGGGTGATAGGAAAAATTCTCAAGTGATAAGTTCATCCTGGATACCTTTTCACATCTCATTCCTATTCATACTATTCCTTTGGCATTCTTTATTGTATTCATGAATATGAATATAATGCTGAATGCAAAATACATGGCCCCTCTTTCTATGGAGTTTATAATCCAAAGACAAAGGCAACAGAATCATGTCTTGTGTTTATTAATAATTCCATCAACAACAAAATAGCAATCCTAGTAATAGTGTTGGCTAATATTTCTTAGGCAATTGACATGGGCTGTGGTACTGTTCGAAGCTAATAAATATATTTAATGCTCACAGCATTGTGATGTGGGTATTCTTATTATCCTACCTTTTTACACAGGAGAAAACTGAGGAACAAGAACATCATAATGTGCCCAAGGTCTCAGGGTGGAGGAGCCACTCTGTGAATCTGGGCTGTCTTACATCAGACAGTATTCCACCTCATCTCTCTTTCTTATTGTTGGCACTGGTGTTCCCCTTGAACCTGATTCTTCTCCAAGTTCCGTTCTGACAGAAGGGCAAGTGAAGCCAGCAGAAAATCTTCACATGGAGTGAACAAGAGGGGCCCAATGACGACTTAGGAGTGTTCAGTCGATAAACAGAATAGGAGAGGCAGGGAATAAAGTTGTAATTGGGAGACCCTGAATTTAGATAAAACTCTAAAAACATTCTATCTTTAAACAATTGATAAGAAGCATACGTAATCTAAATTTTTCTTGATAATTATGGGATACCATCATAAACAATGATTAGTTATCAATGATCATCTTAGTTATTTAAGGGCAGAAGACCCTTAATAACTTACATTAAACAAGTTGATATCTTGAATCCATTCAAAATATTTTTCTATCACTTCTTTTGATGTGAGGCTCCCTCTTATCAGTTTGTCCACCTTGCAGTAGCACTTCCTCTAGCATTCTTGAGCTTCTAAATTTTGGGAAGTTGGTAACTCAACCAGATTTCTAAAATTGTATTTAAAATGAGATAATCGGCTGTGGATAAGAACCTGTTCTCTGGTGACTTGCATTCTAATTTGGTCATCACTGATAACTGCATGACTAAAGAGACACACAGATTATGTATTGCAGAACTCCAGATGGTACAACTGAAGTAGAACAAGATGTGAACAGCTACCATTGGAAGAAACAATGCATCAACTCTGAAACTATTTCAAAACAATGATTTGATTTTGCCTGTGAGTGTGTTTCAAGATAGAAAGTTGATGTACTATTAAATATGGTTTATTGTCTTCCACTCCTGGGATGGTAGATTAGATTCTTTTTACATGCCTACTTTGACACATAGTTAGACTCTTTGTGGAGAGTGAGGTTGACAAGAAATACGAGGAAAGAATATGAAAGAAAAATGGGCAATATTTGTCATATTTTCTGGATGGGGTAGTTGCTACGGTCTGAATGTTTATGTGTCCCTGGAATTCACATATTGCGATCTTAATCCCCAAGGTGATGGTATTAGGGGGTGGAACCTTTGGAAAGTGATTAGGTCACCAGAGCAGAGCCCTCATGAATGGGAGTAGACCCCTTGTAAAAGAGGCCCCAGAGAGCTGCTTCACCTTTTCCACCAATGGAGGCACAGTGAAGAGCCTTTGTGTACGATCTTACCAGACACTGAATCTGCTGACAACATGATCTTAGACTTCCCAGTCTCCAGAACTGTTGTTTATAAGCCACCCAGCTTATGGTATTTTATTACAGCAGCCCAAACAGACTAAAACTGTAGTTGCGCTGTATCTATATCTATATCTATATCTATATAGATATATCTATGGGGTATTTGCTGAACCTATTTTGTATCACCCTTATAAAAAAGATGCCTGGACAAAAGATGTTTCTTTACAGAAAAGGCAAATACTGCATGCTCTGCCCTGCTTCTGTGTCATGGATATCAGGGTAGATGAAAATAATCTTTTCTCAAGGTGTTTGAGGACTTGGAAAATTCCAAAAATGGTCTCTTTCTGCCCTTTCTTAGCACTGGAGCTGAGTATACTTACAGTTCCTTGGTTACTTAGGTATGTGAGTCCCTGTGAAAGTGAAATTTAGCCTCATGTTGGTAAGCGACAGCTTCATCGATAACTAGGATCAATGAGCATTACAATTATTTTGTTTCTAGGTTTTTTAAAACTAAATGCATGTAAAAAGTTGTTTCATCATTGCATCGTCCCAAGGAGCTATGAAAACATAATGAAAGCATTACAATAACTAAAATTTTCCTAAGAAATCTCATATTACAAGTCCTATGAAAAGCCAAATAGCAATACCTGAAGAACTGAAAAGCAATGAAGGAATAGATTTGAATCCTGTTCTTCCTGCTGGAGTATTAATAAAAGGAAATAAAGATCAGCTTGATAATGTGACTTAAACTGTTTCCATCTTATATTACTTCTTTTTACTGACTAAAATAGCCCATTTGCTTGAGGATCCAAAAGGCTTAAAATATGCTGACTTAATGCCTATGCTGAGCGACTGTGGGTGTAATTGCGACATTTCTCCAGATCTTTGGCATTTTGTCCATTTATATATCATCACCATGGCTACTGTGATAACATTTAAAATAATTCCAATGTAAATCTGACAGCACCTCATTAGATTTTCTTAGAATCGTGTAATTAGGTAAGAAAAGACCGCTGATTGAGCAGGTTAGAACAGCCTGAGACAGGATTACATTTCACCACTAACAATCACAACATTCCTTCTTAAAAACCCTCCCTAATTTAGCCGATGCTCCTGTCAGCTGAGAATCAGGAGACCATGGTTTTAAAACTTAAGGCTTCAGTGGAGAAAACATTGAGATACCATTTCCTGCCTTTGAGGTATGGGTAACTAGAAAGAATTGTCACTGCTTTCCTTTTTCCCCAGCCAAGGGACTTGGAGATGCTTTGACGCTGGCTTCAGAAAAGCTTAGAATCCTATAAAGGTTAAGTCCCTGGATCTTAACACTGTCTCCTGATTGCTGGCTGACAGGAGCATCTGCTAAATTAGAGAAGGCTTTTGAGAAAGAAAGTTGTGATTGTTAATCGTGAAATGTAATCCTGTCTCAGGCTCAGATAATCTTAAAACTGTAATTTACCATCTTTATTTTTCTTAACAAATTGAATCTAATTAAGAAGATAAAAATGCCATTAAATCAAGGTTCTCTCAGGACAGAAAGCCATCTACCAACAGAAATGGGACAAACCTGATTCATTTTCTTAATAATCTTTAAATCTACGGCATGTTCTTGGGCCCAGAGGTGGAGTTAAGTTAAGCACAATTTTTAAACAAATGCATTCTGTATTCTGAAGAGGTGAGCTGCAGGAAAGCTATTTAAGCTGCCACCATGGCTGCATTGTTTGCAAAAAGGCACCATAAATGCTCAGTTTGATGATCTTTGGGGTTTTAACTGGGGGAGAATGTTTACACTCTTGAAATCTTCTATAATGAGGAAGAATTTAGACTAATTGGCAAATGTAATAGAGGAGCTGATGGGTTCATACAAATAAATCAACTCTATTATCTGACACAGATTTCACAACTGTGGCCTTTCTTAAGAGAGCTCTATTAGACTTTATGGCAGAGCAAAAAAAAATGCAGACAAAATCAATTCGTTATTGTTCTCAAAAGTGTTGCTCTCCACCGTGGAATTGACTTAAAAAATTTGTGCTTCGAATCAAATTATCCAGCCTGGGAGGGGAATCTATATAGATGCACCTACCATACCAAAAGAACAAGTAGAAGAGAGTCATCCAGAACCACACTGCATGCCTGCATGGTATTCGTTATGACTTGGTGCTTTGTATGAAATCGATGTTAAAATAGAATGGATTTCTCACTGATGCCAGTATGTTATTTGCTCTGCTTTTTCTCAAAATGGTGCATTCCTGATTATTCATGAATCAAATTTAGAGAAATAAAGGATGACCCTTTCAGCCCTTTACAACCCTGCCTGACTTGACATCAGTTGTAATCAAGGGGGTGGAGGGTGTGCAATTTGATTTATGAAGACAAATTTGATTGTCACAATGGGGCGTCAGGTAGGAGTAGGGACTGTAAATGAGTCCAAAGCTGGTACTGCTCTGCCCATGGCAGCCAGTACATCAAGAGACAAGGTGCTGGTGCAAGGAAAGTGACTTTATTTTGGAAAGCGAGCAAACCGAGAAGATGGCGTACTAGTGTCCTAAAGAACCATCTTAAATAAATAGAATTTTAGGCTCCTTTGATATTAGGGGAAGGGAGAAGAGGGAGAGGGTTGAGATCCAGAGGTGAGTGATGAGCACAGACATCTGGGTAGCAGCAAGGGTCAGAGTGGGTGGTGGGGAAGGTGAAGCTTCTTTGGCCTTGGTCAGGGCACAATACTCCTATAATCTTCAACATAACACTGTTACTTGTGTGTACATTCTTCTTATTTCCTGCAGGGTTAGTTGTCGGAAAGGGACTATTATCAATCTTTGCTTTAAAGTTAAACTATAAACTAAATTCCTCCCATAGTTAGCTCAACCTACATGCAGAGATAAGCAAAAGCAGTTAACCTAAAAGATATCATTGTGTGTATTTCAAGGGGGATGCATTAAGAGGAAAATGGAGCTAGTCATGCTAGGCCTCCTTTTCACTGCTGGAGGCTGGGGTGCTACTGGAATCTAGTAGGTGGAGGCCAGGGATGCTGCTATACATCCTGTAATGCACAGGATGATCCAAAATGTAGAGCCTAAAATACCAATAGTGGCAAGGTTGAAAAACTGCTTTAAATAGATGTACTGATTTTTTTTTTTCTGAACCAAGTAAATAACTGTTTTTAAAACTCATTCATTGCCTAGCCTTCCAAATTTGGTTCCTTATACTCTTCATGAAAGAGAAGATTCTAAGGAAGCTACAATTTATAAATAACTGTAATTCTTTTGAAAGCGGTTGACACCTTTTGTTCCAGAAACATAAAAGTTGATCCAATGGGAGCGTCTGAAATCACAGAGGAGGATCTCTTCACTGTAGTGTTTAGAACACATGCCCAAAGGTGGCCCTTCTAATCTGGAATCCCAGGAAGCACCCAGCAATCTAGAGAAGAATGCTTTTTAGAAAGGGCCATTTGTGCCTTGTTCAACTTTCCTGCCATCCCAAATAAAGACGTGAGCAATGCCAATTCTAGGCCAAAAGTTGAATCAGGTGAAAAGTTCTGATAATGACCCAAGATGGGCCCCTAAATGGCTTTAAAATGCCACCAGTGATGAGAGGAACATGGAAAAACAAATCAGAAAGGGTCCTTGTTTTTAGACCAAATTAAAACGTTGCTGAAAAAGCACACTGGAGCTGTCTGCACATCATTCCTTCTCCAAGACAGAGATGTATCTGATTTAAACCAAAAGCACTGAGGGAAATTGATGGTATACATTTCATGACAAACATTAAGTCAGAACAAATTTATTTTTTACATAGCAAGTTCTGTACTGGTGATTAAATATGTCTGCTACCACAGGTCACACCATTCAAATTAACACAAATAAGAAAGTATTAAATTATTTTAATAGCAAGGCAAAAGCTTTTCTGGAAACAGGCACTTGGATCATATATCCACCTATCCCACCTAACTCTGTGACAAAATGGTTTGAAGTCCACAGGAATTATTGCCCCATAGAGAGAAAGCTTATGAAGTAGGTATTTTAAATTCAAGACTGCAATTAACTTAGCTCAAGTTAATGTTTCAGGATTTATACCAACACAGGTTTTTGGAAAAAGCAGAGATCAGACCACAGACTGCATTTATTACTCTGCTATATGGGGCCAGTTATCCTGAAAAGACAAAGCATTCCTCTTCAGGTGGTAATCAAAAGGGGATGAATAGAATGGAACACATTGAATTTAGAGAGATAATTAGATGACATATTGCAAAATTGTAAATTCTGCAAAAGATCAAGTGACTTTGGAGCTAAAAACGTAGCAGACAGTTTCTGCCTACTATTAAAAAAGTAAATGGAAAGCCACAGCTTAGAGACTGGCAAAAATTTCAAAACTCTGCTCTCCATGAGATGTTTGATTGCTTTCTCAATTTACTTATTCTACTTGTTTCTCTTGTCACAGCTCCTACAAGCGATGACCTATCTCCTGGCAAATGGCTGTTATCTTATTGGAAAAGTTTTGCTTGATTAGAAGAATCAGGTCCTTGAAGATGCATGCAGTCGTATGTGCATTCCAATTTGCCATTCTTTTTAACATTTTAGGGGCCAAGGGAAAGTTTATCCTCTACCCAGTAAAGGTTTGCTGAAAATGAACTTACTTTAAGCTGATTGAAGAAAAAGGCATACAAATTTAACATACATATGGACACAGGAGCCATACATAAAGTGTGAGACTCAAAGAAGGGCCAGATGGTTGAAGCTTAAATACTCTCTTTATAGGGAGAAATGTATGGATCTAGGAAGCAAACATTATTTTGTAAATAATTCTCTTTGAAAACTGGGTAGGGCTTCAGAGGGAAGGTGAGGGGCAGAACTGCACAGGAACAGAGGTTGACTTATTATGCAGATAAGAGTCCCCTAGGTAATATCTCTCAATTGCTCTCAGAACTGATGAAAAATCTATCTGGGGATGGTGATGACTCCCAGTCTCCTCTTCTCCAGTGGTTAATCTTTCCTGGTTATTTGGTGAGATTTCTAGGGAGGGGATCTTAAGACAATTGCTTTTTTTGTTTGTTTTTTGGAAAGAAGTTGTCTTAGTCAGATAGGAAAATTCTGGAAAGTCTCTCCAGATGCTTCAGGAAAGAGGATCAGAGAGACCAAGAGCTGAAGAAAGGTCATAGGGAGACCTTGAGGCTGCTTCTTTAGCTCTGCATGTCAAAGTACCATATTTGGGGATATCTTTTTCTGATCTCCAACAACACAGTGTGGATAACACCTGTTTTTGTTACTCATTTATCTGACAGTTTCTACACCTGAAAGGCAGGTTCCAGCCTTTACATAAAGATGACAAAAGGAGGGATTTTAAAAAGGAGGGCAAGGAGGTTTTAAAAAGTTCTTGTAGGAACTCTGACCATCACTAAAACCAAGGCTTAGTCTTTGTTTCTCCATAGTATGTCAGAAATATAGAGGAGGCTTGGAAGCCAAATGCACATCAGATAGCTTATATTTGTGCTGTGCAGTAGTTGTTACTCATTTTCAATTGATTTCATTATTGTACGGGGGAAATGTGAAATACTTAGAAATTGACCAAAAGCATTACTGGATTTTTTTCTAACGGAAAATTAGGGATTGCCTGGGCTATTTGACTCTACAGGGTTTCAGTGCTTTTTGTCATCTTTGAGCTACTTTGCAACTCTGTATGCTGTGCAATATAATAATAACACAAACGATTCCTGTCCATAAAAATGCAAATCGTATCCAATGGAGATACAGTTATTAATGCTCTATGAATACTGACGAAATTTACATGTACTAAGCACATTTTTTTTTGAGATGGAATCTCGCTCTGTTGCCCAAGCTGGAGTGCAGTGGCACGATCTCAGCTCACTGCAACCTCTGCATCCTGGGTTCAAGCAATTCTCCTGCCTCAGCCTCCTGAGTAGCTGGGACTACAGGAGCATGCCGCCATGCCTGGCTAATTTTCTTGTATTTTTAGTAGAGACGAGGTTTCACTGCATTAACAAGCATGGTCTTGATCTCCTGACCTCGCGATCTGCCTGCTTCAGCCTGCCAAAGTGCTGGGATTACAAGCGTGAGTGAGCCACCATGCCCAGCCGAGCACATTTATTTCCGCGATCCTGTTTGCAGATATATATATATACATACACACATTTATCTATATGTTGTTATTTGGAATCTCCTATAAGCTAGTTATCACATCTTACTGCTTTCCTCATTAATTAAAATATTTGATGTGTACTCATTTTATGTTTATTTACATGTACTCATTTTATGTTTGTATGAGATTCATAGTTATACACTCTTTTAACAATTATACTTTAACATAACCAATGTTTTAAGATTGAAAGATAATACCTCAATATTAACATTTTTTTCTTGAAAAAATAGAAGTTCTGGCAATTGCAGGCTGGCATGTTCTAAAGGGATCAGAGTTCTAGCTGAGCAGTGGGTGCTTATTTTGAGGGAGTGTGCACTCATCTGTTTTCAATAGTCCCCATTGGCGTTTGAGTTGCAAACCTGTCTTTTTACACATAGTCAAGATGTTGCCCTGTTAAAAATTGTATTTACGTTTAAAGTACTCAGAATTTACGTGGCCCACACTTGTCAATTCATGACACAATGATCACTCTGCCTTCCCTTTTGTTTTATTTAATGTTTGCCTGTTTCTCCACTTCCAACTTCCTCTCCTTAATATAGGTATCCTCTCTAGTGCATTTTTAAAAAGTCCTTCCAATCCATATTTTACAGATGTATGTAGATCTATGGCTCCTTGGAAACATTTATTTAGATGTATGGATTCTTGAAAATGTATACTGTTTTCTGCATATTAAGTTATGTGAATAGTAATGAAAACAGTAAGAAACAAATCTCTTTTTTTGTACACAATATTGTTTTTACAATCAATGTGGTCATGCTTAAAATTCATTACTTATGACAGTTGAAGACCATTCTATTCTTGCGCAGAATATATTTCTTCATCCTTTCTCCTAATAGCAAAACTAAAGTTGCCTCCAATTCTCTGCTACCACAGAGTGCAGCAATGGACATCCTAGCATATATTTCCTGTGGATCTAGGAGCTAGACATGAATTTCTATGTCTAACAGCATTCACAGGCTTGATCAGACTTAGCACTGCCAGATGGATCTCCACTAAATGGAGACTATTCTCCCACCAGCTCTGCGTGACAGTTCCAGATCCCTCAGTACTTCTCAATATTACACTACTTTTAAATTCTTGCCAAATTTATAGATCGTGCAATGGTATATTTTTCTGTTTTAATTTGCATTTTCTTCTTATGATTTATTTTCTTCTTGAAGGTGCCATTGATGTTAAGGGAATAGCGGCCACAGAAGAAGATAACTAATCAATGAAGGAATCTAAAATCCTCCTCTTCAACTCCACAAGGAAAGAAATAAAGAATCAGTTCACCCTTGTTAGGATCAGATCCAAAAGATATGGGCTATTTATTTCTCTTATTAAAAAACAAACCCTATCCATACTCTAAAAAGGCAAGCAAATTTGTCAAATATTTAAGTAAGCTTTCTACTACTAGGAACTAATATTTAGATGTGGTTCTATTTTTCTTTTTTTTCAAGAGACAGGTTCTTGCTCTGTCACTCAAGTTGGAGAACAGTGGGGTGATCATAGCTCACTATAGCCTTGAACCCCAGGGCTCAAGCAATCCTCCTACCTCAGCTTCCCAAGTAGCTAGGACTACAGGTGCTCACCATTTTTCATTTAAAAATTAAAGTTTAAGGTTTTTGGTTTTATTTTATTTCTACAGACAGGGTCTTACTGCGTTACCCAGGCTGGGGGTTCTATTTTTCATATGTTGTATATTCTTATATAGGCTACCATTTATTTATGCCCATTTTATGCAGGGCTTACTTCTCCATTAGACACAGTAGGAACAGTGCTGAGGGCCCACAATACTTTTATAGGGGCTCATAAAAACATTTTAATTTCTTATGAAATTAAAAGAAAAACTTTAATGTCAAGGAAAACTTTTAAAATATGACTTTTATTTTTTTATGAAGGAAGGGGCCCATGAAGGCAAATATGGCTAGAGCCACATTTAATATAACATAATATAATCATATTATATTATTGGTCAGAATATAGCTGTGATTTTACAGGGCTATGCCATACTATTAACTGGGGTGACTACAGAGATACATCGCTTTATGTATTTACTTTTATGAGATCATGTTTATGATCAGAAAGGCAGATCAGAGTTATATAATCATTTTGATGGAAACAAGATCTCATCTAGAACCATAAGTCATAAACTTTTTCCAGGAATGTTTTGCAATGAAACATAGAATCTGATTTTCTTGAAGAATTGTTGATTTTGGAAGTAGCCATACCAGAAGGCCAGGGAAGTGACTCTTTAATGGATACAGGATTATTTTTTGTAAATGTTTGATTTTAATTTTGGGAGGTACTAGTAGGTATGTATGCTTATGAGGTACATGAGATGTTGTGATATAGGCATGCAATGCACGATAATCACATCATATAAAATGGGAGGCCCATCCCCTCAAGCATTTAGGATGGATAGAAGATTTTTTGACCCTATTATTCCAGCATTAGTTAATGTGTCTTACATGATTTCACAGTACAGATACTGTCCTGAACGTGCTGAAAAACCCCATGTTTGCACTTTGCAACTTTGAAGAGAATACACAGATAATCCTGTCTTTTGCTTTTTCTTCTTGGGCTATTACTACAAAAATAAATAATAAAATATAACAGCTCTTTGCAACTTAATGTGAAAATAAGGTCCTTACAAAACCTAGACAGCATACATGTGTTGCCAAGATGAAGTATTCAGTGGTCGCTCTGAGTAATACTATATCCATTCTAATTGCTATCTTGGGGCACAGATGAGGATGAGAGAGAATGTTACCACTCGCTCTTTGCCTTTTTCTTCTTCATTTCTACTCTGCTCTTTCACTCACTCTACACAATGCTCAAACCTCTTCCACCCCAAATAAAACCCAGCTTGGATCCTGCATCCTCATCTAATCCTGGTTCTTTTCTATGCTTTCCCTTCTTAGATAAACCTCTTAGAAGAATGGTCTGCTTTCATTGTTTTCCACTTCCCCACTGTCTGTCCTCTACTTCTTGTGTAACTTCTATCTGTGTTTTATCACTTTATTGACATTATGCAAAGTATGGTAAATAATTTAAGGATTCCTGAACTTGCAGACATTTAGATTATTTCCTATCTTTGGCCATATAAAAATAATGCTGCTATGAAGATGTTTGTAGATTCTCTCTGTCCATATACGGGGCTATGTTTCTGAGATGAATTCCTAGAAATTGGAATTAATGAGTCAAACAAAAAACAAAAATTATAGTAGATACTGTCAAAGTATCTTCCAAAAGGCCTGAAACAATTTATATCCCTCTAAAGAATTTATCTTTAAATTGGTATCAAACTATTCTTTTCTTTTGGAAATTTCATATCACACTGATGAGCATAATTTGGGGAGATGCTTAAAATGTTGATAGCTGGATCCTACTCTAGACCAGAACTTTTTTTTTTTTTTTTTTTTTTAAAGATGGAGTTTCACTCTTGCTGCTCAGGCTGGAGTGCAATGGTGCAATCTCGGCTCACTGAAACCTCTGCCTCCCAGGTTCAAGTGATTCTTGAACCTCCCAAGTAGCTGGGATTACAGGCATATTACAGCTGGGATTACAGGCCTCAGCCTCCCAAGTAGCTGGGATTACAGGCGTTTGTCACCACGCCTGGCTAATTTCGTATCTTTAGTAGAGACAGGGTTTCACCATGTTGGCCAGGCTGGTCTTGAACTCCTGGCCTCAAGTGATCCACCCGCTTCAGCCTCCCAAAGTGCTGGGATTACAGGTGTTAGCCTCCACATCTGGCCTAGACCAGAACTTTTAACAAGCTTCTTGGGTGAATCTGATGCATCAGACAAGACTTTACAGAAGCTACCCTCGCCCTCTTGGTCTTTCTCCTGTCTCTCTGTCTGCTCTGCCTTTGTCTAGGGCTCATCTCTTCTCACTCCACATAATACCCTGAGTGATATCAATCATTCACATGGCTTAACCTACCACTGATACGCAGATGAATTCAAAAAGAGTATCTCCAACTCGTACCTCTCTCAAGAACATCACACCCACATTTCCAATTTGTGGAAAGAGCACAGTAGAAATGAAGAAGCAAAAGGCAAAGAGAGAGTGGTAACATTCTCTCTCATCCTCATCTGTATCCCAAGATAACAATTACCACACATCCAATTTGTGAATGGCTATGACCATTTCTCAAATTCAAAATGGTCAAAGCTTGATGCATCATCTTTCCCCATACATCTACTCCTTCTGTATTTTCCAGCTCAGTTGGTTGTGAGGTGACCACAATGAAAACATCCTTACCTGGTACTTTTCATTCATCTTCCATCTGTTATTAAGTTCTGCTGATTATACCACCTAAATATTTCTCCATTTTTTTGCTACCCTAATACATATAATTACTGTCCTCATTCTTGTCATCATTGTGCCTCTCACCTAGACTCTTACAATAGCTTTATAACCGCTCTCAAGGTCTCCCTCCTCCCATCTGTCACCTACTGATTTATTCCTCTCAGACCCAGAGCTCTGAACTAACACCATGGTAGCGACACCAAATTACTCCCTTCTCTAAAACCTCCCCATGGCTCCAGGCCCACTATTAGAGAGGCATCCCATAGCTTTTCTGACTCCTCCTCTTTCTCCAGCCACCCCCTCCCACTCTTCTCCTCTTACACTTCACTTCATCATAATACCAAACTGCTTCTGTTTCCCAGAAGCAAGATGCTACTTCATGACTCTGTGCTTCTGGTATTTCCTTTGGAAACCCAGTTCCCTCTTAAATTTTATTTTGCCAAATTAATTTATATTTATGGTTTAAGACCCAATTGAGATATAATCCCTTCCAGGAAGCAGTCTGAATTCCAGTCTGGATAAAATGTACATTGTTTGTATTTCATGATCACATATTTGTGCTTCCAGTTTTCCTTCCTCCAACAAATGCTAACAAAGTGACAACTATACATGGGCATCATAATAAGCATTGGGAACTCAGTGGAGGCTATAATGGAATGGCCCTTGCCCTTACTGAAACTTCATAGGACTTCCTGTGTTACCATAAAATGTGGCTTTATATCTGCCTCCTTAAAGATGTTGAAGCTTCTTAAAGTTGCTATTGATGTTTATTAATCATGTTTGTATCTTCATTCTTTGGAATAGACTCTGAATATTATGGACAAAAGCATACAGTATTCACCCTAATGAGATGGCCATAACTATTGCAAATTTTCTAAAATTTTTATTGGTGCTTGAGGTGAGTCTTAAGATCTGTTAGAAAATTATTTCAATTTGAGGTTGGCATAAATTGTTTTTGTGGAGTCCTGTTAAGTAAGCAACAATGAGGAAGGGGCCCCACGTTGGGGGAAAAAATCGTTCTGAGAGGTAGGTCATCACAAACAACCCACTACCTCATTCTGCATATAGTCCCAGCAGCAGGACCTCATTACACTGGTAGTCCGCTCCAGCACAACCCTATAAAACTTCCCTCAAGCCCCTGCCTCTTGGCAGACAGCCCCTTCTCTGCTGTCCCGTCTGTTGCGCCCTTGCAATGTATCTTTGTATTTTCTCTAATAAATGTGCCTTTCTTTACCTTTCTTAGTAAATTCCTTTACTGCATGCGACTCTGGCCCCAGCCAGTCACAACTGTGGCATTTTTCAATAAAATTGCATTATAGATCAATGTTTGGATCACTTCTGGGGAAGCCAGAAACATCCTAACCTGAATGCCTTCAAGACCCTGGGAGACCTACTATAACTATACAAATCTACCTTTGAGAGGGATGGTTCACCTCCTCCTTTACCACATAGCTTAACAGACACTTGGATTTAAAAACTTCCTTGTAAAAGAGAAAGCATTTAATTAAAATTTACTAGAGGATATCTGTCATCTCTATCTGGTTTACTAGTTTGTAAAATATGGTAGCTTATCAGAGATATCCACAAATGTCCTGGGTAGATGTAAGGGGCAAGAATGAGCTATATTTAGGTGTCAGCAACTCTCTGGGACAACGGAAAGACTTGGTACTTTCACATGGTTTCATTTTGATGCTTCAGAAGGGTTTGTAAAGTCAGCACATAGGGTTATCAGAAATACCAGATGCTTGCTAACTATGAGAGTGTTCAGTGGGTGTGAAAGAATGTTTTGCTGAATTAGACTTCTATAACATGAGATTTTAGGAATATGACTTTGGGTTCAGAAAAGCAGCATTCAGTCCTCTTTAGGTTTACTTTAAACAAAATTGCACAGGTGTTCCCTAAAGTCTAAGTGCGACACAGCATTTTAAAGTTGCCTACATTCCATTTCAAGGAGATAGCAGAACATACATCATGTGAAAGAAACTGAACACTGCCTTGCAAGTTTTCAGTGGGGGAGTTTACAAGAGTTGTCCAGATAGTAAGAGTGATGTAGCAGATGTTAGCACAAAGGAAAGAGCAAATGAGATGTGAATTACAGGGTGACGAGGCTTGTATGAATCTCATTTGTTTAACCGTCTGAATGGTCCACTTCAGGTATTAAATGAGCTAGTTACTGTTGAACACAATTTTCTGAATAGCACAGAAAGGTGGTTTAATGAACTATGGCCACTTGAATGTCCTCATATCATCTCGCCTCTTCAGCCAGCCATGGCTTGCTTAGCTTTTCTCCCCAAGTCTTTTAAAGTAATGCTTTAGATAATTATGACCTTGTCATTTCATTTTCTAGGTAATGTAACATTAGGGATTATTGCCTGATTAGTAATTTAATTAGCAGGTATATGGGCAGAGATTCTTTTGCAAATTAAGAACTTCCTTTTTTAAGTCTTATTTTTAATTGACAGATTATAATTATATATATTTATGGGGTTCAAGGTGATGTTTTAATTGAGATATGTATACATTGTGGATGATCAAATCAGGCTAATTACCATGCCATCATCCCAAATATTTATCATCTTTCTTTGTAGTGAGAATATATAAAATGTTGATTTTTGGCTTGTATAGATAGACATTTCTCAAAAAAAAGACACATGAATTGTCAACAGATATATGAAAAAATACTCTATCTCTAATCATAAGAAAAATATAAATTAAAGCTACAATAAAATATCATCTCACAGCTGTTAGATTGGCTATTATCAAAAAGATGAAATAAGCATTGGGAAGATGTGGAGAAAAGGAAACCCTTATACAGCGTTGGTGGCATTGTAAATTATTACAGCTATTTTGAGAAACAGTATGTAAAGTCCTCAAAAAACAAACAAAAAATAGAATTCCCATATGATCCAGCAATCCCGCTCCTGGGTATAAACCCAAAGGAATTGAAATCAGTATGTTGAAGAGATGTCTGCACTTCCATGTTCATTGACGCATTATTCACGATAGCCAAGATATAAGGTGAAAATCTCTAAGAACTTACTGTTAATAATCATTCCACATTGAAGGAGCTGACAGTTTGAAGTGTGCAAATTTAAGCACTAAACTTCCTCATACCCAGTTTGGCTGCTAGAAACTCAGATATCCGTAACTTTATAAAATGTTACTTGTCTGAAAAACAACCCAGGGATTTTCAGAATGCTTTTCATGGTTTAATGACTTGATCTTATTAGCAAAGTGAAGGTATTAGTCCAGGAAGGATTTTCTCTTTTTTCTCTTTCTTGTCACTCTTACTGATCACTTCTGAAACCAGGTGAAACACCGATTCTCAAATAGAGAGTAGAGACTATAATTTAGTTTGCCAAGAATAATGGATAGTTCTGAAGTTCATTTCTCATTCACTGGATCTGTTTCCCTGTTCACAGATGAGAATTTCAGTGGTCTGATAGGATAAGTTAATTTTAAAGCTCACCCACAGGTCTGCTATCCTCCATCTACTTCTGGAAAATGATTGAATAAAAAAATAACACTTAAAACATATAATACTTTTGTGTATACAAAGCTAACAACTCCAGGAAACTTTTCTGACTTATAGACAATATGAATTTTTTTAATGTTTTGATTAAAAGCAGTTTGACTTATACTGTAAATGTCAGTGTGCTAAATCGAATATTCTGTTTCTCCACTTTGTTAGCAACTACATCTCTTTATGAATCTCTAATTCTAACAGAACTGATGTGCAGAATAAAAACTGGTGACTTTTTTTAAAGATTAATACTAAAACATGGGTGAACCTACATGCTATACTTTAAATATTCTATCCTGAGACCTCAAGACATCCCCTGCAGGCGTCTTATGTTTCTAATAACTGGGAAGCAAGGAAAGGCCAGAACGATCAAGGAAGCTCTTTAAAGAGAAGTTCAAGGGTCAAAAGAGGTGAAATGGGACTTGGATGATCCAGCACTGAAGGTCGGACACTCACTGAAAGAAGCTAATAAAATAGGAAATCCACTGGAAGCATTCACACTCATCTCATGCACCACTGGCTTGCTGGAGCCACTTCGCGAGAAGTGCTTGTGCGTATCTCATCCCGACTCCACATCAGTGGCGTCCCTTTGGTAGCATGAAATTGGCCGTGGTGGGAGTATTTACACCTTGGAAATTAGCAAAACCTATAGATCTACATTTTACTTTTTGCTTTTCCAGGCACACCACTGCATTACTCCTAATGGCAGTTAAGCCTCACAAAATATAAAACTTGGATCAGACAGTCCACCAGTTTGTTTTTTCTGTATCTCAGGGCATCAGAAGCTCTCATGACTCTTGATGTTTCTACTCTCCTTCTGCTGACTTTTCTGTGGTTTTATATGGCCTCTAAGTTCAAATAATCTATAAATAGGTAAAACCAAAGCCTGTGATATCAGCAGTGTACCTAGTATTGGCAGAGAGAAATAGACTGATCTATATTAGTATATTGAGTCTTTCTTAGTAATGTGGCTTCCACCCTTGCCCACAGATAGTCTAGTCAACACACAGCAGCCAGAGTGTCCATTTTTATATGTGAGTCAGTTCATACCATAGTCTGCTCAATCTTCTAATGAATTCTATCACATTTAAAGCAATCTCAAGGTTCCTGCCATGATCCAGAGGTTTGCTAGATCTGACTCCCTCCTTGTCTTGGGCCTCAGTGTCCATATCTTGTCCATCCCTCTTGCTCCCACTTCTTCTGGCCACACCCTCCTCCTATTGCTACTCTCGGACATGCCAGCATCCTACTGCCCCAGGGCCTTTGTCAATTTTACTCCTTCTGTGTTATATATGCACCAGGAGGACCAGTGGTGTTGACTATAGAGAACAACTGCACTAGGATAGGTATCAACCAAGCTTAGTATCATTACAAAACATATACCCCTAACAGGAGGCACAAGCAGTACCTGGAGAGTAAATGAAATACATAAAGAAATGAGATCAAAGGAAATCAAGGGAAAATGGAGAAATGCTAAGAACTAATACAACAACAACTTTGGTAGTTATGCCGCAAGGAGTCTTTCAAATAGGCACAAGCCAAATAGAGTCAAATTGACCGCTGTTAATGAACCTCTTTCCTCTAAACAGTGCATAGTATTTTGGAGGGGGCCAAACAATTGTGGCATAAATCAGCATGTACAATGTTGGCAAGTGCTCACAAATTTCAAAGTCAATAGGAGAATATACTATAAATTTTCCCTAATAAGGAATCACACTTTTTCATAGGTTACTATTAAATCACTTTGTAAATGGAGGCAAATATTTCCCAAAAAATGACATTGGAATGATTGTTACTGAGATACTTTGCTAATATCTATAATGAGCAAGGAGTAACCATTAGCTATGTGCCAGTTATAGTATTAAATGGTAGATATTTATATATGTATATAGATATAAATATATCATATATCATTATGTATAGTAAATTACAAATTATTTATATAGTATATAATATACATCGGTATCTATTTTATATATATGATATATACAAATCTTGGCCAGGTGCGGTGGCTCACGCCTGTAATCCCAACATTTTGGGAGGCCAGGGCGGGCCGATTACCTGAGGTCAGGAGTTCGAGACCAGCTGACCAACATGGAGAACCTCTGGAGAAACTCTATCTCTACTAAAAATACAAAATCAGCTGGGTGTGGTGGCGCATGCCTGTAATCCCAGCTACTCAGTAGGCTGAGGCAAGAGAATCACTTGAACCTGGGAGGCAGAGGTTGCAGAGAGCCGAGATGGTGCCATTGCACTCCAGCCTGGGCAACAAGAGTGAAATTCCGTCTCAAAAAAAACAAAAATCTCACTTTATATCACAACAACACTTTGGGATAGATAGTAGGAGAAGTGGCGTATTATTGATAAAGGAACTGAGACAGAGAGTGGTGAAAACATGCATTGGTCAAGTAACTCATAACAACTAGGGGTGTTTGGATTTGGGCATGGACAGTTTACTCACAACGAAAGCCCACTCTCTCACAGTCTACATTCTGCTTTTGTTTTATTATTTCTTAAATGTAATTCGTTTAGCTTTTAAGACCAGTGACTACAAAAGACTTCATTTAGTGAGAAACTTCAAGATGAGCTCTGTTTCCATTCCTTGATCTCTGTATTCGGTTCACTGGGATTTCCTTTCTTTGCTCACCTGTTCTCTGCCCATCCTTCATACCTCCCTCTTCTATTACCATCTATTCTCCTTGTTCTAGTCCTTTCCAATTGCAATCCATCATGCCAGAAAAAAGGTGCTTAGTCTGCCTCTTCCCTTTTCAGACTGTACAAACAGATCCTCATTCCTGCAGTGGTGTGGTCCTTATACCAGGACCCATCTCAAATGGGTTGCAACTGGTCCCCCGAAAGATAAGTATAGAAATTAAGAGTAAGCATTTTAGTAACCTTTATAGCCATTTGTTAATTTATATCTGTTGAATTTAATACGAAAGTGTGAGCTTGTATGCCTTTTTCCATTTCAATCTAGTGACTCATTTTAATGCATTTTATAAAAGTATTAGTCTTCAGTGGGTTAGGAAACAAAAATCAGTTTTCACAAGAGACAATTTGAGCATCACTTCTGTATTGTAAGGTGCCCAATTTGTTTGCCTGGACCTGAGGGAGTTTCAAGGACACAGGACTTTCACTTTTAAAACTGAGAGTCTTAAGCAAACCAGGACAAGTTGGTCACCATATTCTGCAGCCGTCAGTCCAAATTCTTCTGTGTGTTGTTTACAGTCTATCATTATCTGACCTTTCTTTACCAGCCACCCTTACATTTTCCTTTTCCCCAGGGCAATACTATTTTGTTTTTGTAAATACAGAATTGGCAATCATAAGGTTCAGAGGTGGACGACATAATTTATCCTGGATGCCAACCCTGATAACCTGCAGTTCCCACTCAAAGCACTGCATTGAAGCCTTGTCTGAGATCAGGCAATGCAGCATGGGGGGAGGGAGCATGGCTTTCAGACTAAGATGCAGGGTGCAGGTCCTGCTGCACTGCTTTCCCATGCCTGGTTCTACGAAGATAAAATTTCCTCTATCATCCCGTTTATTCTTTGTGATTGTTAATTTTGTGTGTCAACTTGACTGTATTATGGGGTATTCAGATATTTAGTCAAATATTATTCTGGCTATGTCGATGAGGGTGTTTCTGGATGAGATTAACATTTGAATCAGCAGGCAAAGTGAAGCAGATTGCTGTCCCCAGTGACATGGTCACCATCCAACCTGAGGAAGCTTGAACAGGATGAAAAGGAAGAGTAAGGAAGAATTTACTTTCTGCCTGTTTCCAAGCTGGACCTCAGTCTTCTCCTACATTCTGAATGGAACTTACAACACTGGCCCTCCTGGCTCTCAGGCCTTTGAACTCAGACTAGAACTACATCATCTGCTTTCCTGGGTCTCCAGCATGTAGATATCAGATTGTGGGAGTTCTCAGCCTCCATAATTGTGTCAGATAATTTCTAATTTATATATATATATATAAATTACATAAAGTGAGTTAGCAAAGCACTGGTCACATCACTCAAGTGCAGTAAAACTATTACTGCTATTTCAGTGGACAGCAATGATATTGGCCCCGTGGGTCCAAGGGCATGTGGGGCTGAGTGAGAAGGAAATGCATAGATGCAGTGTATTTATCTCTCTTGCTTCAATTTGACCAAAAACCCATGTTGATTATTATTTAAGAGTTCTGCAATTACTCTTTTGATAGATCTATGTTAATTCTGTGTGTCAAAAATCCACACTGTTGAAAACAGATGAATAATGTCTGAGGATATCTTTCTTCTACTGCATGCATTGTAATTATACTGCCTGCCTGGCATTGTGTTGAATATGGACCCTTGATTAATATCTTTTATAGAAATAAACAAAAAGACAACCCATTCTCATTGTTGCCCTAAGACATTATTGTGTTTTTTCACATACCAGACGTTACATTAAGTTTTATAATTTTGTTTTTAATTTATCTAGTTGATTTTGTTTTATTTTTTATTGCTAAATCTATTATACTCTAATTTACACTAGAATATTTACTAACACTAAGTAAATAGTTTTGGAAAGGAAAAACTATTTCAAACTGTGAAACTTTGCACTGTATGTAAAGTGCACGTTCAAAACCGAACTTTCATATACAATTTTATGCCATGACTTTCCTCTTGTTTTGTATCAACATTTCTTGCAGGTTGTTAGGACAGGAGCTGCAGTTGTCACCAGTCTAGTCAAGTGTAAATCTTACATGCGGCACTTTCTACTGTTGGATGTAAAATCCTGTAGAAAGTTGAAGGTCATTCTTTCCGTCTGCTCATTTTAAGCTGTAAGAAAATATTAACAGTCCCTTAGAAACAATGCTTGTGTTCTTTGGAAATTAAATATTGATATGCTGACAACCCACTATCTTAGATCAGATGTACCTAAGTTTTAACAATTTTAAAGCTTTACGTTATCAATTATAATATTCATTTAAAAAATAATCTTCTATGGAATTCTGACCAATTTGCTTAGACTACATATTTTTGTCCAAATCAACACTGAACTGGTTCATTTCCATTAAGTTCTGCCACCTTTCAGTGGCAACAGTAAGACTTTTGGTGACAGGTGGACCTGGGTTCAAATCTCATCTTGTGCCACTATGTGATTCAGGACATGCTACTTATCTTTCATGTTCTCAGTTTTAACATCTATAAAGTGGAAATATCTACTCTTTAGGAATTCTGTGCATCTTGAATGAGAGAATTCTTTCCTCATTTAGTCAGCAAATATTTATTCAGTCTCTATTCATCCTAGGTACTCTTCTAAGTGCTGAGGGTATAGCAGTGAGGAACAATCATCCTGATTCAAGTATTCATGCTGACTAGTACTTAGTACAGAGGGGGTCACTAGGATTGGCTTCCTTCCCTTTTAATCTCCAAACTATTTTATATTATATGCTATTTGCCCACTAAATTATATATATTACTTATATTATTAGCTTTCCTTTTTAAGTACTTACCCTTGTACCTAACTAGGCTATTTGAGAGCTGGGAGTATATCTTAGAATTATTTCTATTTATAATATTAGCAGTTCTATGCACCTAGGAGATAATCAGGAAATTTCACTGATGTAATCACCAGTGAATAACTGGCATTTTCTCTTGGGCAGATGGAGAGAAGAGGAGGTTTGCAGAGCAATAACATCATTCCAGTTCTTAACTTCAGAGGCAGATTCATTAATGACTTAACCTTGTGTCTACGTTCTCTTGGGTACCCCAAAATGTGTCTGCTGAAAGAGCATTGTTATTTTTGAAGGCATGGCTAGTAGACAAATATCCTCTGTGTTATTGGCATTTTTCTGCATACTCTAGCATGCAAATATTTATGTTTGAATTCAGAAAAATTTAAAAGCCTTGAGTGACAGAACTTTTAAAAATAGCTATTTTTTTAAAGAGATATTTTAAAGATATCTTGCGTCAACATGTTACATTACCACAGGATTGAATTTTTCTAAATATTTAATTATAAAATCAATTTCTCTTGGACAACTAGAATAAACTTATTTTATCATTTCCCTTCCACCTCTTTATATTTACACATGCATGCATTCTTGTGTGTATGTAAACACACAAACCCACAACACATACCACACATACCCACAAACACACACACACACATACACACGCATGCATTTTTCCTGGATCCTAAAGTTGAAACTTATTCTTACTTTATATTATTTTAATACCAGAGAAACAGAAATGACATTAATCCAGTATTGGGTGAGGTTTTCATCCAGAATTTGTTGTGTGGTGGATTTAAGTTTTCAATATATTATGATTGGGTCCCCTTTTTGGTAAATATATAAGAATGTCCTCAACAACGTTTGTGCTTATACATAGAAAATAATTAATCCTCTCTTTCTAAATCTCTTGAAAGTAAGTTCAAGAAATCATAAACATTCTTTGAAAGAGAGAATATATGAGGTCTTCAGAAAAGGTACTTGCCATTTACCAACATGTGACAATCATTTAATTTAAACTCTATCCATTATGGTTATAGAAGTCTAACTCCCTGTAACTAAAATATCACCAAACTTGGGGATTTTATAGATTTCTATAGGTTCAGATGCTTTTTTGCTAATTATTTGTTTAGAGACAGAGGTAGATACGGTTTAATTATAGGACCAAAGAGAAAAACTATGAAATACACATGTAATTATATTGAAAATTTTTCGGTTTGCACTACCAGATTTTTGGATTTTCCTTTGTGTAATAATCACAAGAAACTATTCACACTTTATGTAGTTACTAATTATGTAATTACTAGTTCTTGGAGCATGTCCTCTATTGTTGATTGACACATCCAGCTGCCAACCAGATGTTGACAGTTGGAACTGGGTTTACCTAAAATCAACTTCCTTGCCATTGCTCCGCCACTCAGGTTTTTCTTCCAATCATTCTTACTCTAAAGACTAGAGAAGTTATTTTTGAATCTTTACTTTCCTTCCCTATTACATCCCACTGTCCAATCCTATTGATTTTTCCTTCGTGGAATCTCTCTTTTTCACCATCACTTGCCTCAGGACCATATTACTGGACTTCCGTGTGACAGCAAAATCTTTTCATTGGTCTCACTGTTCTATATCCTTCTGTAATTCCAATTCATTCTACACACTGAGACAAAGACAAGCTTCCTAAACAACACTGTGAGTATATCTCCATCTTTCTAATCCTTCTTTGACCCTCCTCAGGTAAGAGGCCCTTTGCAATGCTCCAACATTCTGCTAAGATCTTATTCTAATATCTCACTGTCCTGAATACATTGAGAATAATAAGTTAACATTCAGTGAATGCTTACACATGCATTAGCTCCTTTTACAAAAAAAAAAAAATCTTTTTCTGACATATACATACCAAGCAGCACACATAATTATACAGCTTGATGAATTTTCACATACCAAAAACATCTGTATTACCAGCACCTAAATTGTATTAGCTCTTTAAATCATCACAGCTATTCTATGTGATGTTGTATTCTGCCTAGGAGAGGTCAGGTATAAATGGATGAGCTTGAATTTAAACCAAACTGTCAAAATCCAGAGCCTATGCTATTAAGCACATTTGCAAGCATCCCCTATACTTGATCCAGGCAAATTCATTTATTCATTGTTCAAACACTTTATATATGTATTTTTTGCCTCCACTATCATGCTATTTTTGTAGCCTAAAATGTTCTCATTTCTTCTTGCTCCTTCCTTAACTCTCTGCCTCTTTCTCACTTTATCTTTTACTACTTTTTCAATAATCAGATCAAAACCTACCCATTGCCTGGCATGTTTTTATAAAGTATAGGTTGCAAACAGAACCCAGGCTTTGCAGCCAAATATGTCTGGGTTCAAATTTCACCTGGACCACTTACTAACATTTATTTTAAAAGTCTCAGCATTGTCCTCATGTGAAATGTAGATCTAAAAATAATCATACCTTTGTTTATTTATAAATTGAAAGAAATCAAGTATAAAATGCCTACCACAATGGCTGGCAGGTAATAGCCACTCATTAAAAGGCAACTCTTGCTCTTGAGTCACTCCCACGCAGCTTTGGAGCCATGTGCATGTTGGACGGTCTCGGCCCACCTTGTTCACCAGCACTTGTAAATCTTTTCCTTTCAAGATGCCTGAGGAGATGCACCATGTAGAGGAGGAGATGGAGACTTTTGTCTTTCAGGCAGAAATTGCCCAACTCGTGTGTCTCATCATCAATATCTGCTATTACAACAAAGAGATTTTCATCTGGGAGTTGATCTCTAATGCTTCTGATGCCTTGGACAAGATTTGCTTTGAGAACCTGACAGGACCTTCCTAGTTAGCCAGTGGTAAAGAGCTGAAAATTGACATCACCAACCCTCAGGAACACACCCTACTTTGGTGGACGCAGGCATTGGCGTGACCAAGGCTGATCTCATAAATAATTTGGGAACTATTGCCAAGTCTGGTGTTAAAGCATTTATGGAGGCTCCTCAGGCCGGTGCAGACATCTCCAGGCCTGGGCAATTTGGTGTTGGCTTTTATGCTGCCTACCTGGAGGCAGAAAAAGTGGTTGTGATCATAAAGCACAATGATGATAAACACTATGCCTGGGAGTCTTATGCTAGGGGTTTCTTAACTGTATGTGCTGACCCTGTTGATCCCATTGGCAGTGGCACCAAAGTGATCCTCCACTTTAAAGAAGACTAGACAGATAGAGTATTTCTAAGAGAGGCAGGTCAAAGAAACACTCGTAGTTTATAGGCTATCCCATCACCCTTTGTTTGGAGAAGGAACGGGTGGGTGAAAGAAGTCAGTGACGATAAAGCAGAAAAAAAAGAAAGGTGAGAAAGAAGAGGATGATAAAGATGAGAAAAAGCCCAAGATTGAAGATGTGGGTTCAGGTGACGAGGATAACAGCAGTAAGGATAAGAAAAAGAAAACCAAGATCAATAACAACAAAAAAATGCATTGATCTGGAATAACTAAACAAGACCAAGCCCATTTGGATCAGAAAGCCTAATGAAATCACCCAGGAAGAGTATGGAGAATTCTATGAGAGCCTCACAAATGATTGGGAAGACCGCTTGCCACTCAAGCACGTCTCTGTAGAGGGTCAGTTGGAATTCAGGGCACTGCTATTCATCCCTCATCAGGCTGTCTTTGACTTCTCTGAGAAAAAGAGTAGGGCTTTCTTTGACCTCTTTGAGAACAATAGAGAAAAGAAAAACTTCAACCTCTATGTCTGGCATGTGCTATGACGAGCTGACACCAGAGTATCTCAGCTTTATCCGTGGTGTGCATATATATATATATATATATGACTTTGAAGATCTGCCCCGAACATCTCCCAAGAAGTGTTGCAGCAGAGCAGAATCCTGAAAGTCCACACAAAAACACTCTTGGGAAGTGCCATGAGCTCTTCTCTGAGCTGGCAGAAGACAAGGAATGTTATAAGAAATTCCATGAGGAATTCTCTAAAAAATCTAAAGGTTGGAATCCATGAGGACTCTATTAACTGGTGATGCCTGTCTGAGCTGCTGCACTATCACACCACCCAGTCTGGAGATGAGATGACATCTCTGTCAGAGCATGCCTCTCACATGGAGATGGGAAGTCCATCTATGACATCACTGGCAAGAGCAAAGAGCAGGTGGCCAACTTTGCTTTTGTGGAATGAGTGAGGAAGAAGGGCTTTGAGGCAGTATATATGACCAAGCTCACTGATGAGTCCTGCATGCAGCAGCTCAATGAGTTTGATGGAAAGAGCCTGGTCTCAGTTACCTAGTAGGGTCTTAGGCTACCTGAGGATGGAGAAGAAGAAAATGGAGGAGAGCAAGGCAGTTTGAGAACCTCTGCAAGCTCCTGGAAGAAAACTTGAAGAAGAAAACTGAGAAAGTGAAAATCTCCAATAGTCTGTTTCTTCATCCTGCAGCTGCAGTCACAGGTGCACTATGACTGGCACCTACAGCTGAACAGCCAATATGAAGTAGCTTGTGAAAGCTCAGACACTTTGAGACAACTCTATAATGGGCTACATGATGGCCAAAAAGCACCTGGAAATCAACCTTGACCAACCTATTGTGGAGACACTGCAGCAGAAGGCTGAGGTGGACAAGGACGACAAAGCTGTCAAAGACCTGGGGGTGCTGCTGTTTGAAACTGTGGGGCTCTCTTCTGGCTTCTCCCCTGAGGATTCTCAGACCTACTCCAATAGCATCTACCATGAACAAGCTCGGTCTAGCTACAGATGAAGATGAAGTGGCAGCAGAGGAAGCCGGTGATGCTGTTCCTGATACAATACTCCCTCCCGACTCGAGGGCGATTAGGATGTGTCTTGCATGGAGGAGGTAGACTAGGAGTTTATACTTGGAAATCTTGTGCCCTCTGAATAGTGTCCCCATGGCTCCCACCACAGCCTCGAGTGGTCCTGTCTCACCTGGCTCCCTCTGCTAATGTCTTGTGTTTATTCTCTACTGTCCTTGTGCCTAAGGCAGGAAACAAGGGCCCCTAACCCCATCCCCTCCCTAATTTGACAACAGGATTGGATGTTGCATATTATGGGTTTTTTGTTTATTTTGTTCTGAGATTAAAGTATGCAAAATACAGAAGATGCAGTTTTATACAAAAAATTTTAAAAGGGTAACTCTTTTTCTTCAGCATCTCTCTCTCCCTCCAATAACTGTTAGTCTCCATCCAATATTTGGCTCTCGTTTGTGCACAGCATAGTGAATTTTCTTTATTGTTGCCTTAGATTTTACTGACTTCTGTTATTCTAATTCAACGTCATTTGTGTATATTCCTTGCCTTTCCAAATAGGTAGTAAGCTCCTTGCTGGCAAGGACTGCATGCTTATTTGCATTCTTCATTAAAGACATGTTCAGCAGCCACCCTATATGCATTTTTTATTCATAAACATCCCTATTCCAGGGCAAATCAATGGATGACAAGGTCCTACATGAGAGATAAAAATGACATCTAAAAGCAACCTGCACCAAATTTAATATTTTCAATAAAATTATTTTCCCCGTTGTACTGATGTATTTATAACAGAACAGGTGACATGAATTGAGCTTCTTAGCTTAATCAAATTACCTGTGTCATCACAGTTCCGGAAAGAAAAAAAAAATGTATAATATGATTCTGACTCACTAATTCCATTAAAAGAAAGAAGAATTTAACTTTCTGAGAAATAAAACTTCTGCTTGGAAAAATCCACAGGATCAGTGCTGTTGTCTTTAAATTAATGATATAACCCCTTGGCTATAAGAAGCAGTTATTGTACAGGTGTAAAAAGAAACAAGCAGCCATGTAGAGAAAAAATAACTGCATTTCTGGAATGGAAAGTAATCAGCCTGGAAATGTAAGAAATCGAGTAGGAAATGAATGAGAATCTTAACAAAGCATCAGTATGCCAATTCTTGCCAATGGTTCTGTTCATTCAGGCAGGTAGTGAATGTTACAATTTGGTGGGAAAAATTCCTTTGAGATCTTTTTAAGGAGGAACAGTTTGAAAGCTGTTTGTGTCATAGTGTCAGGGTTTTTAGAAGCTGCCTCTCAGTTTATTGCTAATATTTTATGTGGCAGTGATAAAAAGATATTAAATTGTACATTTGAAATATTAACCACTGCTTCCAAGAAGGAATTATTCTTGCCCACTTAGCTCCTGAGCACTTGTGAATGGGCAGAGTCCAGGACATAAGGAAATGAAAATGAGAACAGAATTAACAAGGATAAATTGGCCTAACTAATAAAGCTCTTATCCAGTGACCAGAGAGGAGAGACTGCAAAGAAGACTGCGAGGAAATGTTTGGGGACCTTGGAATGAAAGAAGGGAGAGATTTTAGAGTAGCTCATTGGGGTTTGAAAAAGGCAAGGTGAGAAGAAGATTAATTGCAAAAGGTCTGTATCTTTTGTATCTGTACCTGATATTCCTCCTTTGCCATTTTTGTGAGTGGCAAATGTAATAATAACCGGTACAATGGTTAATGCTGGTTTCATCAGCTGAGAACCATATTCTGTTTAGAAAAGTTAGGAAACAAAAGCACTCCCCTTCCTAAGAGCCCCCTATCTGCTTCTTAGGGGCCGCACCTTAGGTATTTGGGGTAACTCAGTGTACTATCCGTTTTCACACTGCTGATAAAGACATACCCAAGACTAGGAAGAAAAAGAAGTTTAGTTGGACTTATATTTCCATATGGCTGGGGAGGCCTCAGAATCATGGTGGGAGGTGAAAGGCACTTCTTACATGGCGGCAGCAAAAGAAAAATGAAAGAAATGCAAAACCGGAAACCCCTTATAAAACCATCAGATCTCGTGAGACTTACTCACTACCAAGAGAACAGTATGGTGGAAACCACCCCCATGATTCAAATTTTCTTGCACCAGGTCCTTCCCACAATCCATGGGAATTATGGGAGTACAATTCAAGATGAGATTTGGGTGGAGACACAGAGCCAAACCATACCACTTAGTATAATAACAGCAGCAGCCCCAACAGCTGCTAATAATTTTTATTGAACACTTACTGTGTGCTAGTGGGAAATGAATGAGTGCTGAACACTCACATGGGTCATTTCGTTTTATTCTCACAGAAATATTTTGTGCTAAGTGCTGTTATTATCACCAAATTTTTTTAAAAAAAGGCAACTGAGGATTATAGTGGCTAAGTAATTTTCCAATTGCACATATACCAGTTTAGTGGTAGGGCATTGTTAGACTCCAAATCTATCATCTAAACTGCTACAAGATTCTATACAATAAAATAGCAAACTCTGAGACGCATTTGTTGGGCATCACCAGGAAAGGCAAAAGGCAAGAAGATTCTAAAGGTCATGCTGCACTGTGATATTTTAGCATATTCTCACTAACAAAGAAGAAGAAAAGGTATTCCATTCTCAGTTGTTTTAAAACCTACATGTTAGTATTTTTGCCATAATAGGGAAATTAGCTTCATTCTATTCAGCTTAACTTCTAAACTGAGAATCATAGAATGGTAGAACAAGATAGTAGTTTAGATAATGTGCCTGATCCTTCTTTACAAATGAAGAAACTGAGGCCCAGAGAGATTCTGTAACACTTAGTGACCAAGCCAGGACTAGTCTTGCTCTGTCACCCAGGCTGGAGTGCAGTGGCACGATCTCGGCTCACTACAACCTCCACCTCCTGAATTCAAGTGATTCTTGTGCCTCAGCCACCGGAATACCTGGGATTACATGCATGGGCCACCATGCCCAGCCCATGATCATCAACTACGAACCTTGGGTTTGTTCCACTCTAGCACATTGATATGATGGGTAGCGTATTTCATTTTAACCCTGCTGGATGACTGTTTAATTGAAGGTACCCCTTGTCAGCCTAGTAATCACAGAAGATTCCTAATAACAGTCTAGAGATTTAAATAAGTGATTCAAATTATCACCTGACCTGCAGAATGGAAGAAAATATCTGCAAACCACATATCCAACCAAGGACTAGTATTTAGAATATGCTTAAAAACTCTCAAAATCCAATGTCAAAAGAACATGCAATCCCAATTTGAACATGGACAAAAGACACAGACATTTCACCAAAGAGGATATATAGATTCTGAGTAGCACATGAAAAGATATTCAACACCATTGGCCATTATAGAAATTCAAATTAAAACCACAATGAGATATAATTGCACAGCTATCAGAACAGTTAAAATAATAGTGAGAACACCAAAGACTTCCGAGGATTAGGAGGAACTGAATCACTGATAAATTGCTGATAGGCGTGTAAAATGGTCCAGGCACTGTGGAAAACAGTTTGGCAGTCTCTTAAAAAACTAAACGTGCAAGTCCCATATGACCCAGCAATTGCACCCTTGGGCATTTATCCCAGAGAAATGAAAACTTATGTTTATTAAAATTCCTCTATGTGAATGTTTATAGCAGCTTTATTCATAATAGCTAAAAACTGGAAAAAATCCAGATGTCCTTCAGTGGAGAATGGGTAAACAAATAATAGTGCATATACAGTGGAATTCTAGGAATGAAGTGTTGATACATATAGCAACCAGGCTGAATTTCCAGAGAATTATGCTGAGTGAAAAAAGCCAATCCCCAATGTTGATACATTGTATCATTTTATGTACATAACAAACTTGATGTGAAAAAAATAGATAGAAAACAAGTTAGCATTTGCCAGGAGTTAAAAAGAGGATAGGCATGGGAGGGAAGTGCTGTGTCTATAAAAGCCCACATGAAAAATCCTATTTTAATCACTTCCTCTGTACCCCATCAGTAAGAGGGATATGGGGATCATCCAACACTGGACTAATGAGATTGACAGCAGTTTACTAGTCACATATACTCACAGCCAGGGAGAGAAGGACATCGTGCATGCAGAATCACATAGGAGCAGGTACACCCTGGAACGGAGTGAACACCCAGCAGCTGTTGGAGTCAGGCTTTGTACCACCAAGATGATGGGGTGATGACCCTTAGTTCCCATGGGAGGATGTGATTGCATTATTTGAATAAGTTTGCTGTTTTGCAGGAAGCTGAAACATTCCACTTAGGAATAAGCAGAAATTGTGCATGGTCCCCATGTTAAGGAGGGCTGTTTGGTCAGGGGGCTTTATCCACAGGAGCAGAGTAGGGAGGAGGGCTTGTGGCTAGGCCACTTGAATTCCTCCTGGTTTTCTCCAGGCACATACAACAGTGGGCCTTAATTTTAGGCTCTTTACCACAAATCCTATAGTAAAGGAAATATTCTGCATGTTGGCTGCATCAGTGGAAATAACCTTGCTGTGATAGGATACTATAGATTTGCAAAACATTACCACTGGAGGAAATTGGGCAAGACAAACAGTCAGGAGTAGTATAGTGGCTTAGAAGAGAAAGAGACTTTCCCATCACTTGGGCTTATTTCAGAAATAGAAATCGGTTCTGAAACACTGGTAGGACAGCTTCTAGAACACTGCAAGACTGCAAATCTCAAAAGATTATTACAGAAATTAACAATTATTCTTTTTATGCATTTTTTCATCTTCTGTTGTCCATTGGTTTTTCTACATAAATTAGGAGGTGCAAAAGAGGTAAAAGATATGGTACTCTTTCCTGAGGTAGGTCCAGTTTGGCAGTTTCTCAACATATGAATGCATCAGAGAAACTATAAGATAATGTAATCCAGTGTGGTTCTCGCTAGTACAATACAAAAGTGCTCCATGAGGCTTGAGAGAGTTTAGGATTTGGTGTACCTATCTAGCAGGGAAAGGCAATACACAGTCATAGTAATAGAATTGTGCAGAGAGAAAAGAAAAGGAATAGACTTTGAGGTATAAATAGATGCAACAAAATGTACAAAAATATATATGTTCAGGGTCAACAATTAGCCAAGCCCAAAAAGAAGTTTCTTTGATAAGTATAGCTCAGTGGCTAAAACGTCAGATTATAGAATTGAACTTCCTGGGTTCAAATATAGATATTTCCTCTTCACCAACTATTTAACTTTGGACAAGCTACATAACTTCTCCAAGGCTCATTTCCTTATCCATAAGAAGGAATAAAAACAGTACTAATAGCCCTTTTTTTAAAAAAAGAATGTAGAGACAGGCTCTTGCTCTGTTGCTCAGGCTAGAGTACAGTGGCACAATCATAGCTCACTGCAGCCTTGAACACCTGGGCTCAATTCATCCTCCTGCCTCAGCCTCCAGAGTAGCTGGGACTATAGGCATGCGCCACCATGCCTGGCTGATCTTTTTAAACGTTTTTATAGAGACAGGGTCTTTTTATGATGCTCAGGCTGGTCTTAAACTCCTGGCCTCAAGTAATCCTCCCACCTTGGCTTCCCAAATTGTTGAGATTACAGGCATGAGCTACCTCATTGGCCTAATACTCCTTTTTTATAGGATGGTTGTGATGTTCAAAAGTGAAAATGGGTACAAAGCTTTCATCACAGTGCCTAACATATAATTTGTACTTGATAATCACTAACAACAATATACAAGGCGCATAGGTATGATTGTACCAGATAATCAGGCATTTAAAATGTCAGAATCAGAAATCTCAACTTGATGGGCCCAGGCAATGATGAAGAGCCATGGAACATTTTTCAAAAGAGTTTACAATTCATTGGATAAAATATAAAGACTGAAACATTTGTTGATACACTAGAACTATTCCCAATTGTTGCTTTGCACAATCACTCAACAACATAGCCACTATTTTCTCTTCCTCACAGATAAGGAAACTGAGGCTCAAAGGCAGTGAGTTACTCAAGTTTGTACACAGAGAAAGGTAAGCACCAGTATTCTAGCTCCTTGCCCACAGCTCTTTTATATCACTCATGGCTTTCATTATAGATATATATCTATCTGTCATCTATAACCACAGATTGTTGTTGACTGATGGCTATTCCTGAAACAAGCTTCCAATCAGCACAGGGAATGAAGGGTGCATATTGGAAAAAGTAAGCAAATAGAGTAAGTGAAAGGTCATTATTTTATTTATTTATTTTTATTTATTTTATTATTATTTTTTTTTTGAGGCAGAGTCTCGCTCTGTCGGCCAGGCTAGAGTGCAGTGGCACAATCTCAGCTCACTGCAATCTCTGTCTCTTGTGCTCAAGCAGTTCTCCTGCCTCAGCCTCCTGAGTAGCTGGGATTACAAGTGTGTGCCACCACGCCTGGGTAGTTTTTGTATTTTTAGTAGAGACAGGGTTTCACCATGTTGGCCTGGCTGGTCTCCAACTCCTGACCTCAGGTAATCCACCCATCTCAGCCTCCCAAAGTGCTGGGATTACAGGCATGAGCCAACATGCCCGGCTGAAAGGTCATTATTACATATAATGAAAGTAATCATTTAGGATCATTAATCTTATAGCAGAATAAATGATAGAAGGAAGAGAGGTTGAAGCTGGGTGACTATATTACAATGAGCCGAGAATATTATTAGAACCTCTTCCTTGGTGTTATTGGTGGTTGAAACAGACAGAAAGAATAACTGGAAACATTTGAAGGAAGAACCTATACAAAAATCAATGTATATTTCAAGGCAAATGTTTTCAATCTTAGAACAGTGACTTCCTTACTTCGATATTTTGTATATTTATTAAACTATCTCTTCCAAAATGTTCCCCCCCAAATTAAAAACCACCTTCAATGTAATTATGAGGAGCCAAAGATCCTTAAGTCACTTTTCAATTATAATGATTACTATGAAATGCTACTATTATCTCCCCATTTGGACAAGGGTCCTAGCCACATGTAATCTTTTGAGAGGTTATTTGTCTAATTTTCTTTCTCCAAAACCACAAATTTTCTAGGAGAATGGTAATTATATTGTAAACATTTGGCTTTGCCATTATTGCTAATAGCATTACAATTTTCTAACAATAAACCTGAAATTTTCCATGAAATATAAACACAATCAGCTGTCAAAGCCCTTTTTAGTTTACAAAGACTTAGAAAAAAGAATTCTTGGATTTTTCTCAAGAACACAAAAAAATGGCATTTTAATAGCTCTTTTCCTTGTTTCAATGTTTTAATGAATCTTGTCTATAATTCCCAACTCTGAATATTACTGTGCAATCACATTCTTCTCGTGTTTTAACATATAGGTGAATTTGACAATTAGAAATTTATTTGATGATTAGAAACATGATTAACTATAAATTCAAGGTTTGGCTTTGATTTCTAAAGAAATGAGCTACACTAAGTTTTAGAACAACATAGCGATAGTGAAGGAAAATAAAAACAATGTGATAAAGTGTAAAACAGACTAGAAAACAATTTAAGTCCAAAGAGCTAATTTAGTTAACCAATAATCATAGAACTAATTTCTAATTTTGGCAAAACTTACTTTTAAATTTCACTGATATATAGGCAAAAACTGTGATCAGTACTTTAGAAATGAAAGATTAGTCACTCTGATGAGATAGTAGAATTTCTGTATATATAATAGAACCCAAATTAATTTGGGAATGTTTAGAGTGTTTTTACCCACTCCACAGAGAGTTTCTCAAATGGCACAACAGTCTTCTCTCTTCCTTCCTCTTCCTAACGAGTGGATATTCCACCCCATTATTTTTTAAAGAAGCTACACCGATTTATAGGATACAGCAATGGATGGAGAAGTCCTAGAAAGGACTGGATGCTATAGGGATGGAAAAAGATCTGAAAATTTTGTGGACAGGGAAACTTCGTAGCACGTGTGAGGGAAGTGGGTAGAAAAGATAACAAAATGCTACTATCTCCATGGAAAATGTTGCTAGATCCCCTTTTTGTAGGGTTGCCACATGCAAAAACATTTACAGGATTCATAGTTAAATTTCAAGTAAACAACAAATAATTTTTTAGGATAAACATATCCCAAAGATCATTGGATCATTCCATACATTTTTTTCCTTTTCTTTGTTTTCTTTCTGTTTCTTTTCAAATATTTTGGCTAAATCTAGCAGCCCTGTGTGACATTTTTGATTAAGGGATAGGCTCTTCTAAAATTTGGCATAGTCTTCTCTGAGATAGGATGAGGCAGATGCAGCTTTTAAAGGCCTCATTTTGAACAATAAGCATATGGCCAATGTCTTCGGAAATTCCTGAAGTTGGGTAAAACCTGGCTCTTGAATATCTTAAATTTGCTGTGGTAGATCCTTGGTATTCAAAGGTCTGAGTGTTTAAGCATGAGCAAACTAACAATAATAATAATTTAATAAAAGTTCAAAACTTCATAAAATGTAATAATATAATCTGTTGCAATAAACTTGTTTTTGTTTCCCAGGGAGTTCATCCCATAATTAAAGCAATTATGGAAAGAAACAGATGTATACAGGAAGGTCAGCTTTACTATAATTATTCACTCTCTATATTTAGCTGGAATTTTTTTAAAAAAGCAAAGTTCATTTCCACAGCAGAACAGAGAAGGATTCTTCAATTGCAATTTTACTTACATATTTTAAAATTTAAATTTTGAGGAGAAATCATATGCACAAAGCTGTGATTTAGCTTTCTTTTTGAGTTCACCAAAGAGCGAAAGAACTGTTCATGAAATATGGGGTATGACTGCATTCAAAAGGTGCTATAATTAATCACAATACGTTTTCCTAACAGTTTAGGAAAATATAGAATATCCATACTATAAGGTCTCAGCCTCATCCATCTGTATTTTACTGTTCTAATAGATTAAACAGGTATCTGATTAGAAATAAAAGTTGAAGGGTCTTTTGTTTCTTTTTATTTTTAGCTTTGCTAATGGATTTCTCTTCTACCCTTAGATGTTGGTACATATTCCTATATTCCGCCAACAAACCTTTGACAGTCCTTCATTGAACTGCTCCCTCTTAGTTCAGGAACATTGAACATGGTGATCTTTCTGGGTAGAAAACAAACTCTTCCCAACTTCTGCACTCCTATCAAACTAACTCCTACTTATTCTCCCTGTCTCTGCTTAGAAGACACTTCTTCTGAGAAGCCACTTTTAACCAAGACAGACTGGGTGACCCTATAATTAGCTCCAATACATCTTGACCTTACATGAGACACCACAATTATTATAATCAATTGTAAATGTTCATTTGTTCATATGTCCCACTAGGGAGAAAGTTCCTTTAGGACAGAATCTTATTTGCAACATTATCTCTAGTAACTTAACACAGTCTTCCCACAGAACAAGTCCCCAGTAACTATTGTTGAATGAATGAGGAAATAAATGATGTTTGTGCTGCTAGGAATGTAATTTGCTCCGGCAGATCTTCCAATGGCAAACTGGTTGCATCAGCAGTGCAAACACAGCCATTCCAACTAAAAACCACTGAATATTGCCACTATTAGCAAAAAATCAGTGGAATTCAGGCATCGATGTTTTGTCTGCTTTTGGTACAATCTGTTCCTTTGAAAAATACCCATGGAAATGTGGTTCACTTCAGATGCAGCCAACTGTGCTCCTATCCTGTGTCACAAATCACAGCTGTGAAGCTATATTAGTTTCTATCATCACTGAATAGAGTAATACCACTCTCTATTAAATCCCCCACCTTGGGAAGTCATGTGAATAGCTCAGACATCTTTGCAAACTATCAGTCAATGAATGGTTCAGTTCATTTTTTAATTTTGAGTCACACTGCAACTGAGGCCATGGCTACATAGTCAATATTTGACCATTGGAAGCTTAAATTGTTACCCAGGCTGATTACTGTTCAATTGGTCAGTTGCCCAGAAGATAATCCCACTGGCTGTGCTAATAACAGACATAATTAGTTATATTTAAAAAATTTTTTTAGTATCTCGAAAGCTGGTTTAAACAGACCATTAAAATCTGCTCATTGGCTGAGCAATCAACCTGCCAATATCAGCCATGAGTCACTACTGAGACTCAGATGATGGTGGGTGAGTTAAGATGAAAAATTTGATAATTGATATAAGTTTCTACATTTGATTACATGTCCTTTAAATGGAGGAAGGCTAGAATAGGAAATAAGAAGGTCCTGATATTTGTTTGAGTCTGATTTTGTGGAAAACAAAATAGAAAATCAAAAAAATAAATTCATACTCATTTAAAAACGAAAAGGGTGTTTTCCTCTCCCTCCAATTATTAATAACTTAATATGGCAGGCTAAGCTCAAGTATTATATATATTGATTCAAAATACCCTACAAGTAAGGTGTTCTCCTATATTGTTCTAGTTTAGTGATAGGCATTATAACATATAACCTTCATTCGTGGAGAGCTTAGACAATATGGAGCAGTTTCAGCAATTTTCATAATATACTGTCATTGTTGGGATGAGATGCGATAGCAGTGATGGTCTTATATTATTGCTCCTTGAGTGATTTGGGATATGTAGCCCAACTGAGTTTAAATACCAGCTAACTACCTTTAAAGTGCCTGGGGAATTGAAGTAGCTATATTTCAGAATATTTGTATCAAAGAGGATCAGCCTATCAGATTTGATATAGGCTTTCCAATTTATCTATTTTGTTCTGAGCACTACCCACTTGAAAACTCTGTGGTGTTATTTTAAAGCCTGTTTTGATATATGTGTTAGATACTGATGGAATATGTTCAGCCAGATGTAATGGGAAAAAAATACCTAGGCTTCACCTGGGCTATTTTCTTGAGCTTTATTAAAAAAAAATACCAAATAGTTAATGTTGCCTTGGTATTTAGTATCTTAGTCTGGGGAACCTTGGAAATAATCCATCCCATATACAGTCAAGCACGGCATAAACAAGTTTCAATTAAGGACAGACTGCATATATGAAACTGTTTCCATAAGATTATGGTACCATATTTTTTATTGTACCATTTCTATGTTTAGATATAAGATACAGACATACCATTGCGTCACAATTGCCTACAGTATCCGGGACAGTAACCTGCAGTGCAGGCTTGTTGTCTAGGAGCAATAGGTTGTACCATATAGCCTAGGTGTGTAGTAGCCCACACTATACTGCTCTGAGTCACTCTGATGTTCACACAACAATGGAATAACCTATCAATGCATTTCTCAGAATATAGCTGTTAAGCAACACATGACTGTATCTTCAGTTGATTTATATTTTATGATTACAGAAGGATGTCTGTTAAGAAATGCCAAATGATAATTATAAATAAGCTCAATTAATTCATAAATGTGGCCTCTGAGTCTTCCAAATTTCAGCCATTTTGCTTTCAGGAAACCTGTACTGAGTCATAGTGTCATTTTTTAAAAAAAAAATTTAAATGTCTTAGAGTCTGACAGATGTATAACAGAAAGCATGTGAAAGGGAAATGTTTTACTTAAGTTACAATGCTAGAAACATTGTCAAAACAGTACAAAATACTTCACTTCAAATCATTAGCTCTTTAAAAACACACCTAGAATGCATAACTACCCAAATCATCAACTAATCCTAATTTCAGAATTGTTAGTAATTGATAAGGACATGGCATTCTTTTGGAGTGAAAAAATCCAAAAGAAAATAACCAAAAACGAACTAGGGATGATCCCTCCAGCACCTGCTTTTATTGCTAGTGCAACACTGACCTAAGATATTTGGGATGGGAACTTCTCCTGGATATGCATGTTGGAGAACAGCCCTGTATCCTCAAGGACTCCAATTTGGAAATCTTACTCCTTAACCCCTCTAACTTCCATGATCTTTCATTGAAACAAAGCAATCAAATACCTATAAATGCTCCAAATGTCTAGGGGACCTCCTTACTTGACTTTGAGCATCATTTGTGTTTAGAAGCCTCCACTATTATCATTTATAGACTTCAGAATTAGAGACTCACAGTCGCCCCTTTCTTTCAGCTTTAAAATGTGGAAATAATCTAAATGTATCCCAGACTACTTTATTTTAAAATGTAGCCCTTTCAACCCAATCCAACCCAGCTCTCTCTTGCTAGATTTAATTTTCTCCATAGCAGAAAGCACCATCAGACCTACGAAGTATTTCATTCATTTATCTATCTCTACAACCTAGGATGCAAGCTCAAATAATGAAGGGGTTTTGTCCATTTTGTTCACACTGTATCCCCAGGAACTCATTAAGTATGCAGGCCTAACAAATATCTGTTGAACAGAAATGAGTCACTATATACACTACAATAATAAACTACTAGTTAATCAAGGCAGTCAAGTGGAAATCAAATCTAGACTTGGGGAAGGAGAGATTTAATTCAAAAAAGCTACTGAAATATGAGGAAGTGAGAAGAGGGGTCACTGCCTTCGAGAGATCACTCTGATCCAAAGATCTGTGGATGTCTCAAAGATCAAGCCAAAGAAAGGTTTTTGTTTTGTTGGAAAGAGTAAACAAGATTAGAAAGAACTGAGTGTGGGAAAGGGAGTGAGCAGGTGTCATCTTTACATGGTTGGTCAGAGAATCTTTTTCCCTGAGGTCAACCTATTCTTCATAGGGACTGTTAAGAAGGTGCTGTTTTGCATTCTAATGCGGGCTCAAGGATGAGTCAATGTCCTATGGCCTACGGGAGTGAGAAGCCTGATTACAGTTGGTCAAGTCAAGTTAAATAGGTATTTCGTTCAGATTGTCCAATGGAGGCTGAACATTTCAGCTAATCATTGACAAGATAATGAATGAGGATTTGCAGAGTCTGTGTTTGACTTTGACCTAACTGAACAAGGTGAGGGAGCACCTGCAAATCTTATAAAAGTAATATGAAAAGTCATATGTGATTTTTTGCAGTAAGTCATTTCCCCTAATAGAAAAAGGTGGTGAGATTTTTTGACTGCTGCTATTTTCCAGGAGCATAAGACTTGGATAAAGTTAAACATTTTCAAGTGGTTTAGTTCTATACTACCACCAATGAAAAAAAAAAGCTCCAAGTGAAAAATGTAATCAAACAAGAAGTGACACATATAGAAATTGTGTTGTACATCCCGTATATCAAGTACATTGTGTTATATATATTTTTCTCATTCCAGCTCTGTCACTTAGTAGAAGTTGCTTCATTCACATATTTACCATGCATACTAAACACAAAGACAAACAGCATGGAAATGTGTGCAATTTTGCCGGCTATTCCTTTCTGTGAGCACCTGCCCCAAATGAATGGGAGATGGGAACATATTCTTCCCAAGTTTCACAGTACTAATTGCAATTCTCCTATTTTTTATACACAAGGAACCTCATGCACAGACCAGCCACTTTTATGCGGTGTCTCCATCTTAGTAAATGACAAATTGACAGGTTCAGTTGCTTTTGCCCCAAATCTGAGGCCATCCTTACTTCTCCTATCTTTTGTCCATACTACATCTTGAATCTACCCACAAATCCCATCGCTTCTACCTTTAAAACACATGCAGAATCTGACCACCTTTCACCAGTCATTCCCCTACCCTGGTCTGAGGACATCCGCTGTGTTTTTCTAATTGCCTCCTTTATGCCTGCATGATCGTTCAGCAGAGCTTCTACCTCCCTGCTCCTTCTGCCTAGAATGTCCTCTCCCCATCACAGCTCTCTCCCTGAATCTTTGGTTCTTGCCTCTGATGTCACCCATCAGAGAAGTCTTCCCTGATTTTCCCGTGTACCTATGTAAAATAACAACCTCCTCATCCCTTAGCATTCCCTTCCTCTGCTTTATTTTTCTCTGTAGCACTACCTACTTGGATTCATTCTTTCTCTCTCATTCTATTACCGATTTTTTTCACTGCTGATATCCCCAGCACCTAAAACAGCATCTGATACAGACAAGGATTTCAATAGATATTTGTTGAATAATAAATGATTTATACTTTAATGAAATTTAAAGTTCTCTGTACAACTGTTGTGCTTTGGGAGATTAGAAGGAAAAAAAGAGAACAAACTGTCAGCACTGCTAAAGAATTTTTCACAGACTTTCATGATTATTACCTCTTAGAAAAAAGAACAATACCTACCACATTGAAATAAAATCACATTTTTGTTGTTGTTTAAACTCAATTACGAATCTTAGATAAGTGCTATAATACTAAGCTTACTTTTTTCTTTCTTTTATTTTTTCGGAGAGAGTATCTTGATCTGTCACCCAGGCTGGAGTGTTGTGCCATGATCTCTGCCTCCCAGGATCAAGCCATTCTCCCACCTCAGCCTCCTGACTAGCTGGGACTACAGATGCACATCACTACGCCTAGCTAATATTTTGTATTTTTGTTTTGTAGTGACAGGTTTCACCATGTTGTCCAGGCTAGTCTTGAACTCCTGAGCTCAAATGATCCACCTGCCTCCCAAAGTGTACCCAGCCTAAGCTTACATTTTAAGTGCCATTCAGATGGGTATCATTTCAGATCTTACTCATCATTTTATACCCAGTATCTGCTACAGGAAAAAAGGTTGGCATAACTTGAACAGAAAAAGTTTAGATTTTCTAAATTTGTATTTTCCATCAGTTGGGCCACTAGTCATTAGTTCTGTATACTCCCCAGATTGGTTCAGGAAGATAAGGCACTGAGAGATATGCTCCAGCTCCTAAGGGAAAATTCTGATAAGAGTTGGACCAGTTAGGAGTACGCCATTGTTTTACGGAGAGGGACATGAAGAGGGATGCCTACAAAAGGTCTAAGATCTGAACCCAGACACAACCTTGTAGAAATGACATAAAATCTGTTCTGTTTGCATGATATTCTAAGATCTGACTCTACATCTCACTCCCCTTGAGTAGGAGCCTTGGCCAGGCCCAATTGTGCAGTAAGCCATCGATAGGATTTCATTCCTAGCTGCATTTTGTTGGGAGAAGGAAGCTAGGACCATGAAAAAATCTTGTCCAGGGATAAGAAGTGGAAGAATAAGTGTAAGAACCTAGATGTGAGTTTCCTTTATTGATAAAAATCCAATAAATAAACCTCTCTTGTTATGAGTGGCCTAGGGAGAATAGAAATAGAAACTCTGACTTTTTTAGACTGGTTCAAATCTATTCTATAAGTCATCTGAAAAAAGTTTTCATCTTGATAATAATAAAATAAAATGATATTAATATCTGAGATTTTGTGCTGATTAAAATATAATCATCAACCTGGTACCAAAGATTTACAAAAAGTAGGCAGTCACAAGACTCATAGAAGTGTAAATTAGTACAAAGTTTATAGAGGGCAAATTGGTAATATGCATCCCAACCATTACCGCATCCATGCCCTTTTTAATCTACCCATTTCATTTCTAGGATTTTTATTTTGCCCTCTGTCCAAAATTTATAGATGTGCAAAAATAATTTATATAGAAGATAGTTTTCAAGGTTGTTTAAAACAGCAAAAATTTGGAAGCAATCTAAATGTCCAACAAAGATGAATTATTTTAAAAATTACAGGGTATCCATGAACCAAAGTATATTATTAAAGTGTATTATTCTTTTAAAAATACTGTGCAGGGCAAACTATAAGCTGGTCAAACAAAAAATAAATTATCCAAGCCTGGCTTGGGAGCTGCCAGTTTAAAATCTCTTAAACTCATCATAAACATAGAGCTGCCAGTTTAAAATCTCTTACATTCAACATAAACAAAGAGTTCTTCCTGCTTGTGTTTGTTTTGTTCTTTCAGCCTGGAACATTTTTCTTTGCCTAACTCATCATCCTCTACCATCAAAACTGTCCTCTTTCTTCAAATCTACTCTCTTTCTTTGATTTTCAATATTTTAATACCTTTAATTCATTTCCAACTTCAAAGTATTTTTGTAATTTTGATGTATAAATTAAGATTTCTAATATTTCTTCCAAATCAGATGAGTCAACAGCTCAAGGCCAGTGTTCTCACATGGAATGAATGGGGTGGAGCCAGGTGATGGTCAGAATGTTTAACAACCATTAGAACACCAGCACCAAGCAGGAAGAGGAGCCTTCAGCTGCAGTGCTGGGGCACGGCTCTGGTTTTTACCTTCTAGTTGTCAGATCACTGGGTCATCCTAGTAGTTCCTGGGAGATAATCCAGGGTATGTGGAGGCTCTTGGGGAATAGAGCACTCATGAACTCTGGGTAAAACAATTTACCCACAGTTGTGTGTCTTCTGTTAAGAATGTTTTCAAATAAAAAGAACAAGTATAATCAGAGACTTGCTCAAGACCCCAGAGGTGACTGAGTCCAGTGATTTTTCCATTCTTTTGTTCAATCCAGAAGAATGTCACTTTGAATGCTAATAGAATATTAAAGGACAAATTGGAGAGAGGAAGCAAAAACAAATTGTTGTAATCTGTGTGTCCAATAAATGAGGGGGCTGGGAGAACCAATGGAGATCATGGGATTGACAAAAGAGGAACACATGTCTCCATTTCTGCCCATCAAAAGCTTCTAGAGATGAAAGAAGGCAACTACTACATGGTTTTATAATGGATGCAATTTGTACTTAGAAGAAAACAACGTTTTGCAGATTAGCATTCAAGGAAATTCTGCTTTCTTTTTCTGGTCTACTGACCTTAACAAGGTTTCCTTTATTTTGTGCTCTCTTGCTTTCATGTTTAAACACCATTTTCTCTCCCCACAATAAAGTATAACAATGATAAAAATTAAGTTTCAAAAAAGGTTTCTAAGCATACCATTGAAACTGTTACATTTCTCCTCAAAAACAACATATTTGACTCCCCTTTTATTAACTCTAATAACATTCAATTATTGTGCAAAGTTCCCAAACTTCATTCCAAAGGCAGCCATCTGGGAAAGGAAGTCATGCTCAGAAACTTCTCCAGAACCAGTCTTCAAACTAGATACCTTCAATGTATAATTCAGTGTAATTCTGGCCCCTTGACTATGCCGATGTGTTCAGAAATGCATGCAAGACCTTTTGTCTTGGAGCTGGGAAACTTTTCCTAGAAATACATAGGAAGAGAAGCTTTCCCCATGGAATTTCTGAGATTTCTTTCCTCATAAGGCATAAAAATGCCTGATGGGCTCCCCAGGACCTTATATCATCAATTTTCATCTTTTAAGCCAAGAAAGAGAGGCAGAATCTGGAAATGACTTGATCTCCTGGATGTAACCATGCCTGAAACTATTGTACTCCCATTAACCTTTTTTTTTTTTTTTTTTTGACTGGAGCCAGTCTGAACTGAGATTTTGGCACTTGATGAATACATTTGAGATTAAATCTCGTGAATATGTGTAATGGTGTTGTTACCAACTACTGATTAGAAATAGTGACACATGGACAATTTCCTTCAACATACAACTTCAAAATACTGAAAAGAATAAACTAAAATTGCCGAAAAAGGGAGAGGAGGGGAATGATTAAATTAGTCACATAGGAAGGTCATCTGTCCATAAGCACTCTCGAAATAATTGATCCTATTTGAAGACTGTATTCGTTCATTTTCATGCTGCTGATAAAGACATACCCAAGACTGGGCAATTTACAAAAGAAAGAGGTTTATAAGACTTAATGGCTAGGGAGGCCTCACAATCATGGTGGAAGGTGAAAGGCAAAGAGGAGCAAGTCACATCTTACATGGATGGCAGCAGGCAAAGGGAGCTTGTGCAGGGAAACTGCAGTTTTTATAACTATCAGATCTCATGAAACTTATACACTATCACAAGAATAGCAGGGGAAAGACTTGCCACCATGATTCAATTACCTCTCACCAGATTCCTCTCATGATACTTGGGAATTTTGGGAGTTACAATTCAAGATGAGATTTGGGTGGGGACACAGCCAAACCAGATCAAAGACCTTCAACTTGTGACTGCAAAATGGGATACTTCACTCACTTTTTTTTTTTAACCTAACACTTGCAATAGTTACCTTTCTCTATTAGCCATTTTTTTCTTTTTTTTTTTTTAGATGGAGTCTCGCTCTGTCACTCAGGCTAAAGAGCAATGGCATGATCTCAGCTCACTGCAACCTCCACCTGCCAGGTTCAAGCAATTCTCCTGCCTCAGCCTCCTGAGTAGCTGGGAATACAGGTGTGCGCCACCATGCCTGGCTAATTTTTTTGTATTTTTAGTAGAGACAGGGTTTTACCATGCTGGCCAGGCTGGTCTCGAACTCCTGACCTCATGATCCACCTGCCTCAGCCTCCCAAGTGCTGGGATTACGGGTGTGAGCCACTGTGCTGGGCTTCATTTTTTTTTTTTTTTGTCCCCCATGCTGTAGCACCATGGCACCATCTCAGCTCAATGCAACCTCTGCTTCCCAGGCTCAATAAATCCTCCCACCTCAGACTTCCAAATAGCTGGGACTACAGGTGTACACCTGGCTAATTAGAAAAAAAATTTTTGTAGATACAGGGTTTTGCCATGTTGCCCAGGCTGGTCTCCAACTCCTAGGCTCAAATGATTTTCCCACCTCAGCCTCCAAATATTCTAGGACTACAGGCATGAGCCACCATGTCTGGCCCATTTCCATTTTCTGCACTCATATTTAACATGAGTAATTCGCATTTGCAGTTGATATGTAGAGGTCACTGAATTGTTTATTATTATATGAAAGAGAAAGCTTCACAGACTTTCATTTCTTTTTTCTTTTTATGTTTTTCCTGTATCTTATGGGAGAGGAATTATTCTTTGAGTGGTAACTAAGGATCTCACACTTTACATACATTATGCCACTTTAGTCTCAAAACAGGCCTGAAAAGGTGGATTTCTCCACTTTTTCCAGCTTATACATATGGAGATTTTGCCAAGTTTAAGAAACTTGCCCAAGGTCAAAGCTCATAAATATCCAAATGGGAATTGGAGCCCAGATTTCCTGTTTTGACAACTCATATTCATGTAATAATAAAAATAAATAGACATAGCAATAAAAACACTTAAATTTACTATGTTTTAAGTACTTCATGTAACCTAACAATGTTATGTGGTAGATATTCTTCTTATCTTCGTTTCAAGAATGAGACAACTGAAGCACTCGGTTGCTCAAGACTTCATAGGAAGCAGTAACTCAGATTCAAATCCAGGTCAAACTTCAGGAATCCATGTTTTCAAATACTATGCTCTACTGTGTCATGTAATTTAATGACTTTCTTTAGGCTAGATCCGTGTTTCACAGCCATGTGTTTATTATCATCTTCCTAAGCAGACATTGGAAGTAAAAATCCTCCCATTGGGAATGCATGCCTTCAGGTACGTGTTCTTACTGTAGGTTGTGTCTCATTCATCTTCATCATTTCTGCTAACCAAATTTAACACCTTTTCTTCATGAAGTTAATCTTTGTCCTGTGGATTTGTATATGAGACTCTTGGGTGCATTAATTGATTTGAATAAACAGCATTTGCCCCAAAGCACAACAGTGCTCTTTCAGTAGAACATGGGGAGAAAAAAATCCTCTCCAGTCTCCCTGCCACTCACACCTTTCCTAAAGATGTAAGACGGTACCATTTTGAATTTAGAGCTACAATCTACAGAAAGATTTCTCAATGGAGTGCTAAAAATTCCTTTTTGGGGACTCTTCATTTAATGCATCTTCTGAAAAACACCTGTATTTCTATTTGTGAGGTTTGAATACTATATAAAATATAAAGATCTTCTAACAAACTCAATGTTTGGCTTTCACAGATTGTGAAAGTATTTTTCCCCTAGAGTCTAGAAAATTGGCTCTCATTTCTCTAAATAAAAGAATAACATTTAAGGGAAGAAGAGCAATTCTTTTCTATTCAAACATTTGTTTTTGGCTGTGAAGTTACTTGGTATTCCATGAGAAAACAACTGTTAGTATTTTACTTCTACCTTGACTGATGTAGCCTTTATTTTATGACTACCACTAAAAGATGAATTATGAATTAATAGGGAATTGTTCATTTCAGTTAAGTCAATAATATCGTTAATAAGTGAGGATTGCCCATGAAAAGCCAATAGATCATTGTGTTAAACATTAGTAACTTACATTAAACCCAATGTGACTAATATATTAAATATATATTAGAAATTTGTTACACATATCCAGTAATAAACTTATACGAACCTTAAATTTGAGTTATATTTGCTGACTCCAGTCGATATGATAATAGGAGCTATTTTCAAGGCCTTAGGAGCAGGTTCTCATGCCAGAGACTAGCGAGTAAATTTAATGGACGCTTCCCTGAAGTCAGACTTGCCTCATCTGTGTAGCATTCACATGAATTTTCAATTCAATTTCAACCTCAAATGGGAGTTCCCACAAATCCAAACACCTTGTTGAAGCAGGAGAAAATGAATTATGCGGATAACAATATTTTATCAAGCTCGAAACTCAGCTGTGTTATGTCCAAAGTAGTAAAACCGTGTAAATAAATTGCTAAGTCACAGTGAAATTGATGACTTGTATCTCATGTTTTAAAACCAGGATGACTAGTTTAAAAAAGAAAAAGAGAGAGACAGAGAGAAAGTTGGAAAATCATTCTTTTGACTTGGCACATTTGATTGTTGTTTCCAAGTTCAAATGACCGTTGGAGCAAAAAGCTATCCAATTAGACTTAAATAACTTTAATATTATTTTCTGTGTTTGTGTGTTTATGCGTGTGTGTGTCTGTTTGGACTTTTTTAAAACTAAGTTTTCCTATTCAAAGATTTTTTTTAAATGTTTGGTTGCATAATATTGTGCTATAACAAGCACATAATTTTCAGCTGATTGTCAATAAAACTTTTAAAAATGTACATGCCTAGCATACCAATTTTGACATATAGAATAATCCCGGCAGGTTAAGTTCTCATCACCTCCCATACATTTTAGAAACCACTCCCTCCAACCAAACTTGGATTCCACCGTAAAGAATACCAAAAAGGCCTAAGCCAGAGATCTATTAAACAAACAAAAGCTAACACTTATCTAGAGAAAACGGCAAGCACCAGCTCCTTCCCAAAGAACTGTTTGAAAATGTTTCTGCACCCTGATCTGAGAGTCAGAAAGCAGATGGAGAAGACCTTCTAGAAACAATCTACTCAGCAAAACAACCATTTCTTAAGTAGGTGGGAGTGGAAAAGAAAGAAAATGAGCAAACTGGAAATAAATGTAGAAGTAGAGAGAAGCACAATAGTTACCTCTTTATCTAGAATCCTCGCTGACGCTAGCGTTTGGGTCTCCAAAATACATCCAGAAATGAAGTGGATGTGATCACACGCTCCAAGTCTCATTCTCTTGGCTAAAGTGCTACCTTTTAAAGCCTTCTCCGGCTAAAGAGGGTTCATTAAATACTTTCCCTTGAGGGCTACCTAGGGAGTTGGCCTGAACAGGTAAGAGGTTTCAGAAGGAATACTGGGATCTGATAAACGAGGAAGAATAACCTCTCCGGAGAAGAAGAGAGGGAAAAGGATCTAGGCCGACAGAACAGCAGGGGAAATCGTTTCCACTTGCTAAAGGCAGTAAGGACAGCAACATTGGCAAGCTTTTCTGAACTGCAGGAATGCTTTTTCCCTGTGTTATTTTGGCAAATTTCATTGAACTCAGCATGGATGTTCTTGCTAGGATGTTGGTTTTCATGCAGCCAGCTGTTTAGGCGCGGCTTCACTGACCTTAAGTATTCAGAAAGTATTCCTACACTGGGTGGTGTCCAGGGCCTGACACTTTCCACCGACTTTTCCATGAACCATGTTTGCTCCTTCCTTAAACCTGTCACTTATAGAGTGTTTCTGCAGTGCATTCCTCTGTGCCGCAGTTTCTTCCTTCTGGACACAATTTATTTTAAATGGGTCAGCATTTTTTTTCTTTTTCGATGTTTTAACTTTTAAATATTCCATTAACATTTTGGGATGGGCTGAGCCCCTGTTACTTCCTATTATACTTTCTCTATCCTTTTCTTCATTTTATTGGGAGCCTGGGATGATGCAGACAAAGAGAGTGGGTAGGAAAGGGCTTCCATTGTTACATTTATTTTACCACCTTTACAGAGAAAGGCAGGATATTTTGATTACTTGGGAATTAATTCTGTTCTGTTACATATTTTATTCTGCTTTTAAACTTTTAGGAGGAAACTGAAAGGCAGGATGGTATTTTCAAAGATTGTGAGCTGGTTCTGTTTTGCTTTTGTATATAATAGTAATAGGCAACATATAGTGAGTGCTTATACGTGTCAGGCACTGTTCTAAGCTCTATGCCTGTATCAATGTAACTTTACAACAACTTTGTAAGTTGGTACTGTTTTATCTCAACTTATAGCTGGGACACCCACCCAAAAAGTTTGGTACTTGGCTGGGCACGGTGGTTCATATCTGTAATCCCAGCAATTTGGGTGGCAGAGGTAGGAGGATTGCCTGAGCTCAGGAGTTCGAGACCAGCCTGGGCAACATAGCAAGACCTCATCACTACTAACAACAACAACAACAAACAAACAAACAAAAAACAGCTGGGCTTGGTAGTGCATGTCTGTAATCTTAGCTACTCAGGAGCCTGAGGAAGGAGCATCTCTTGAGTGCAGGAGATGCTGGTTGCAGTGAGCTATGATTGCACCACTGCACTCCAGCCTGGGTTACAGAGCAAGACCTTGTCTCAAAAAAAAAAAAAAAAAAAAAAGAAAGAAAGAAAAGAAAGAAGAAAAAAAAATAAATTAGGTTCCTAAGTCCATGTCTTTCTTAATATAATGCACTGCCTTCTCTTATACTGTGTGAAGCTCAGACCAGACCTTTCATGCTTAAAAATAAATGAACACATAAATCTTTTTTGACTACATTCTATTTGAATATTAAGTTAAAATTAATAAAAGAAAAACCCCTCTACCACCCTTCCACTCTATGTTTCAGTTAGAGACTACATGTTTCCTGAATCACATCTAGTGAGCATCTTTGACTTTGTACACCACAAGAAGTAAACTTAAATTTTGGTACACTGCATATCTCTCATACTTGGGGCAGAGAAGGCAAGACCCTGGACCTCTGCAATGGAGTAGATAACATTTCTACTCTAAAAAACAAATTTTTCACTTGGAACAACTTCCCTTTCATTAGCCTCAGTTTTTCCCCTCCTTGAAATCGCTGGGTGGAAATTGTCAGCCTTTACGTTAAATCTCTTAATATTTAATAACTATACGTGTTTATTTAATTAATTTATTTATTTTTTGTGATGGAGTTTCGCTCTTGTTGCCCAGGCTAGAGTGCAATGGAACAATCTTGGCTCACCGCAACCTCTGCCTCCCGGGTTCAAGTGATTCTCCTGCCTCAGCCTCCTGAGTAGTTGGGATTACAGGCATGCACCACCACACAGGGCTAATTTTGTATTTTTAGTAGAGACAGGGTTTCTCCATGTTGGTCAGGCTGGTATCGAACTCCCAACCTTAGGTGATCTGCCCACCTCGGCCTCCTAAAGTGCTGGGATTACAGGCGTGAGCCACTGCACCTGGCCTATTTTATATTTTAACTATATCTTTATTCACATGTATATTCCTAATTCCTTTCCCTGCTGTATGTTCAGTGCCAAAGTATCCGGTTCAAAAAAAAAAAAAAAAGTTTTTCCTGGGGATAGCTCAGTCAGTAATCAGGCATCACATCCCTAAGCATCCTTTTGTTATTCCAGACTGTTTCAAGTAAAAATGTCTCTCTATAGATTTATTTTCCCTGGTCTGTTAAATGCTTACATAATGTCATCACTGTCACAGCTATGACCATTCTAAGGAATGGTGGCAACTCCTTGCTGCCACATGGTTAACACGGTTGCTATATTGCTTTGCCATTGATTGATTGTGATTGAAAGTCTTCATCCTAAGTCATCCTTTGATGTCTTATTGATAACTTGAAGGATATTTTATTGGTGTCATAAATCCCACATTTTAAGAATCCTTTAGGTGATAATGGAATTGATAATTACAAATTAAGAGAGTCCTATTTTATGAAGAGGAGGCATTTTAAAGTTCTTGCACAATTCAAAACTCACAAAATCCAAGTCAAGCTCTAACAAATGCTGGTGGTTTTTGTGCATTCCAGCTTACATGGAAATCACCTCAACATTGTCAGTGGGTCACTCAGTAGTTACTCAACATGCATATCCTGCAATTCTTAGGAACTGAAAAAATTTAGATCCACATGACTTCATTTTTTAAAATACGGTTAGACATTATTAATATTTCCATCTTGTATGCTTTCAAATGTCATAGTCCAAATTAAAATAAAACCATACAGTATTTTATTCTTCCACCTAGGTTTATGGAGATAGGCAAGTCTATATAACATTGAATTTAATTCTTTGTTGTACTTGCCCCTATTGAGTATGCCATGGTGAAGGACGATACCTGTGCCTGGCATTGTCTGGAAAATAGGTGAGGCCAAACCAATATTTTTTCAAAAATAGATGAATAAATACATAAACTGTTGTCCCACTGAACTTATTTTCTTAACATAGGATCTTGCTAGCTGTAGAATTAATTTTTTTATTTCATCCCTTTTAAACCTTTTATAGGCTTTTCTATTCATTTCTTTGGCATTTGTAAGGCCTCATTGAGAACATGCTACTTACATCCCTAGTACTACTGATTCCAAACGGAATGAGAATGAGTTGGCTGATGTAGGTGCCAACAAAACCTAATTCTATCTAAGACTGCATAGATAAAACTACAATTTCCAGAACAAACGGAGATAGTCTTGCTCAAGTTTTGCACCACACAGGCTGTGTCTGACAGGCAGGACTCAACAACCACTGACACACAGGACAAACCACATGCCAGGCACTGTGCTAAGTGTGCTAAACACATCATCTGCTTTACCCCCAAGCAGCCCCCATGGAATACCTTTTATTAATATTATCCATTTTATATATGAAGACACACATATTTAAAGAAGTTTATCCCAGGTTCACAGCTAATAAGTCACCAAGCTCAGACTCAAACCTTAGGTTATTCTGACTCCCTAGCTGTGTCCTTAATCACTGTGCTCTATTGCCTTATGAGATGGAGCTTCACAAAGAAATTATTGCCATAGGAGGCAAATCAAAACTGTCATTTTTTTTTGAGAAATCAAAATTACTGTGCTAAGTTTGTATGGATGATTAAAAACACCAAAAGACAGAATAAATATTTTCATCTCTCTGAAGGGTTATCACACAGTAATAATTAGTTTAGATTTTTTTCATACATCAGCATTAAGAATGGAAGTTTTAGGGTGAGCAATTCAATCTCAATATGAGACAAGAACTAGTTATATCTATTCCAAATAGATTACTGGATGCTTTAGAAGGAAATAAAGGCTTCTGGTCATCATGTGGGAATGATAATTGCTCGCAAAGATGATAACAGATTTTTAGATAAGCTGAACTAAATGGCCTTAATGTTCCTTTAAAACGAAAGATTTTATGATCCTATGATAAACAGAAGCTAATAAAAGGGGAAGGAGAAGAAAGGGGGAAGAAATACTTATTGGCCACCTAGTTATAAATACTCTGCTCCAACTCACTTAATACTCACCATGAGGTCAATGTTGTCCAAGAGGACAACATCATCATCCCCATTTTGCATAAGGAAGGAACTGAAATAATATTCCCATATCATAGACAAAAAAACTGAGACTTAGAGTAATAACATGGCTAAGACTACACAAATGTGTAATAAAGCCAGAATTGAACTTCTGATCTTCTTGACTCTAAGCAAAGGTCTTAAACAGAGGAAAAAATTGTGGGTATGGAACTACTGGAAGAGATACAGGAAGACCAAGTGCAAATTCAAAGAAATAAATAGGAGAGAACATGGAGAAATTCTGGGCTGAGGATGTACCATCTGCACAGCATACCCTTGGGGAATAGTTGGCAGGCTATGGAAGTAGGGGAACAGGAGGAAGAGATAAAGGTATTAACACAGTATGGCTCTGCCAGGATAGCCTCAGATGTGTTCTAAGAACTTAATGTTATTGCTTCAAATATTTTAGACTGAATATAGGGAAATTAAGCGTCTTAAAAGAGATTGGAGCTGAGGTCTGGGGGGTCATTGGGGAAAATCTTATATATTCCCAGTCTACTAAATTTGCTAGCCACTGGTCAGAAGCAATATAATGAGCAGAGTTCAAGTAATTAGGTTTTGGCTGACTTCCTATGAGCACTTTGAAAGCTTAATGGGCATTTGTATGCATTTATTTCTTCAATGATTGTGTTGTAGATGCTGAAGATGCATCATTGAATAGATAGAATCCCTGGCTCCATGGAGCTTGCATTTGAGAGTGGAGAACAATGAAAATAATACATAAATACATTCTGAAGCATACGGAGAAAAGCGGTATGGAAGAATGAAGTAGAGCATGGCAAATGTGTTGGGAAGCAGGGAGGGAGCATAGCCACTTTAAATCTGTCTGCTGAGAAGGAGGCATTTGAGCAAGGCCTGAAGCAGTGGAGAAAAAAGCCCTGCAGATATTTCTAGGCAAAGTGTTCTAGAGGGAGGGAAGAGCTAAGGTAAAGGCCACAGGAAGGAAATGTAGATGCCTGTACTAAGAACAGTGAGGTGTGGAAGCCAGGAAAAAGAGATGAGGTCAGAAAGCAATCATGTGGGATCTTGAGGATAACCATAAAGCCATTAGCTTCTACTCTGCATATACTAGAAATTGTTGAGTATAGGCATGATATAACTTAATTTACATTTTATAATTACAAAGTAGATACCAAAATGCCCCATTGTGTTCATAAGAAACGGGTCGTTTACTACAGGTGCCACAAAGCAATAAGAAAAATGATTCCTAGTGCACATCATGTTGAAGAAATGAACTGATAAAATTAAATACCAAAGAAGTAAATAAGCTCTATAATAAAAACTATAAAACACTTTGATGAAAGAAATTGAAGAGGAAACCAAAATGTAAAGATGTTCAATGTTCACAGATTAGAAAGATCAGTATTGTTAAAATCTCCACAATATCCAAAGCAATCTAAAGATTGAATGCAATCCCTATCAATAATACTTTTCAAAAAAATAGATAGACCCCATCCTAAAATTTATATGGAACCACAAAAGACCCAGAATAGCTAAAGCTGTCTTAAGTAAAAAGAACAAAACTAGTAGAATCACATTATTTGACTTCAAATTATACTAAAGAGCTATAGTACCCAAAACAGCATGGTACTTGCATGAAAACAGACACATAGACCAATGGAACAGAACACAGACCCAGGAACAAACCCACACACGTACAGTGAACTGATTTTCAACAAAGGTGCCAAGAACATACACTGGGGAAAAGACAGTCTCTTCAATTAATGTTGCTGGGGAAACTGGACAACCATATGCAGAAGAATCAAACTAGACTCCTATCTCTTGCCATATACAAAAGTCAAATCAAAATGATTAAAGACTTAAATGTAAGACCTTGTATTAGTTCATTTTCATGCCACTGATAAAGACATGCCCGAGACTGGGCAATTTACAAAAGAAAGAGGCTTAAGTGGACTCACAGATCCAAGTGGATTGGTAGACCTCACAATCATAGTGGAATGCAAGGAGAAGCCAGTCACATCTTATGTGGATGGCAGCAGGCAAAAAAAAAAAAAAAAGCTTGTGTAGGACAACTCCCATTTTTAAAACCATCAGATCTCATGAGACCCATTCCCTATCAAGAGAACAGCATGGGAAAGAACTGCTGCCACAATTCAATCATCTCCCATCGTGTCTCTTCCACAACACTTGGGAATTACGGGAGCTACAAGATGAGATGTGGGTGGGGACACAGAGCCAAACCATATCTTTCCACTTCTGGCCCCTCCCAAATCTCGTATCTTCACATTTCAGAACTTATCATGTCTTCCCAACAGTCCCCCAAAGTCTTAACTCATTTCAGCATTAACTCAAAAGTCCACAGTCCAAAGTCTTATCTGAGACAAGGCAAATACCTTCCACTATGAGCCTGTAAAATCAAAAGCAAGTTCCTTACTTCCTAGATACAATGACGGTACAGGCATTGGATAAATTCAGCCATTCCAAATGGGAGAAATTGGCCAAAACCAAGGGGCTACAGGCCCCATGCAAGTCTGAAATCCAGCAGGGAAGTCAAATCTTAAAGCTCCAAAATGATCTCCTTTGACTCCATGTCTCACATCTAGGTCGTGCTGATGCAAGAGGTAGGTTCCCATAGTCTTGGGCAGCTCTGCCCCTGTGGCTTTGCAGGGTACAGCCTCCCTCCCGGCTGCCTTCATGGGCTGGCCTTGAGTGCGTGCAGCTTTTTCCAGCGCAGGGTGCAAGCTGTCAGTGGATCTACCATTCTGGGGTCTGGAGGACAGTGGCCCTCTTCTCACGGCTCCACCAGGCAGTGCCCCAGTAGGAACTCTGTGTGGGAGGTCCCACCCCACATTTCCCTCTGCCCTGCCCTAACAGAGGTTATCCATTAGGACACTGCCCCTACAGCAAACTCCTGCCTGGGCATCCAGGTGTTTCCGTACATCTTCTGAAATCTAGGCAGAGGTTCCCAAACCTCAATTCTTGACTTCTGTGAACTGGCAGGCTCAACACCACATGGAAGCTGCCAAGGCTTGAGGCTTGCACCTTCTGAAGCCATAGCCTGAGCTCTATATTGGCCCCTTTCAGCCCTGGCTGGGCAGCTGGGACACAGGGCACCAAGTCCCTAGGCTTCACACAGCTTGAGGATCCTGGGCCCAGCCCACTAAACTACTTTTTCCTACTAGGCCTCTGGGCTTGTGATGGGAGGGGCTGCAGTGAAGGCCTCTGACATGCCCTGGAGACATTTTCCCCATTGTCTTGGGGATTAACGTTGACTCTGTGTTACTTATGCAAATTTTTGCAGTTGGCTTGGCTTTCTCCTCAGAAAATAAGATTTTCTTTTCTATGGCATTGTCAGGCTACAAATTTTTCAAACTTTTATGCTCTGCTTCCCTTATAAAACTGCCTTTAACCGCACCTAAAGTCACATCTTGAATGCTTTGCTGCTTAGAAATTTCTTCTGCCAGATACCTTAAATCATCTCTCTCAAGTTCAAAGTTCCACAAATCTCTAAGGTAGGGGCAAAATGCTGGCAGTTTCTTTGCTAAAACATAATAAGAGTCACCTTTGCTCCAGTTCCCAACAAATTCCTCATCTCCATCGGAGACCACCTCAGCCTGGACCTTATTGTTCATATCACTGTCAGAATCTTAGTCAAAGCCATTCAACAAGTCTCTAGGAAGTTCCAAACTTTCCCATATTTTTCTCTCCTCTTCTGAGCCCTCCAAACTGTTCTAACTGCCTGTTACCCAGTTCCAAAGTCGCTTCCACATTTTCAGTATCTTTTCAGCAGCCCCCACTCCCATTACCAATTTACTGTATTAGTTCATTTTCACACTGCTGATAAAGACATGCCAGAGAGGCAGTTTACAAAAGAAAAAGGCTTAATTGGACTCACAGTTCCACATGGCTGGAGAGGGCCTCACAATCATGGCGGAATGCAAGGAGGAGCAAGTCACATCTTATGTGGATGGCGGCAGGCAAAAAAAGAGCTTGTGCAGGAAAATTCCCCTTTTTAAAACCATCAGATCTCATGAGACCCATTCACTCTCAGGAGAACAGCATGGGTAATACCCACCCCCATAACTCAGTCATCTCCCACCAGGTCCCTTCCGAAACACGTGGGAATTATGAGAGCTACAAGATGAGATTTGGGTGGGAACATAGAGCCAAACCATATCAGACCTCAAATCGTGAAACTACCACCTGAAAACATTGGGGAAACTCTCCATGACATTGTCTGGGGCAAAATTTTCTTGAGTAATACCCCAAAACACAGGCCACCAAAGCAAAAATGGACAAATGGGGTCAATATCAAGTTAAACAACTTCTGCACAGCAAAGGAAACAATCAACAAACTGAAGAGAAAGCTCACAGAATGGGAGAAAATATTTGCCAATCGCCCCAGTGACAAGAGATTAATAACCAGAACATATAAGAAGCTCAAACAACTCTATAGGAAAAAAATCTAATAATCCAATTTAGAAATGGGCAAGCAATTTGAATAGACGTATCTCAAAAGACATACAAACGGCAAACAGCCATATTAAAAGGCGCCCAGCATCTTGATCATTACAGAAATGCAAATCAAAACTACAATGAGATATCACCTCACCACAGCTAAAATAGCTTACATCAACAAGACAGGCAATAACTAATGCTGGCAAGGATGTGGAGAAAAGGGAACCCTTGTGTGCTGTTGGTGAGAATGTAAATTGGTACAACTGCTATGTAGAACAGTTTAGAGTTTCCTCAAAAAAAAAAAAAAAAAAACTAAAAATTGAGTTACCATTTGATCCCACAAGCCCACTGCTGGGTATGTACCCAAAAGAAAGGTAATCAGTATATAGAAGCAATATCTGAGCTCCTACGTTAGTTGCAGCACTGTTCACAATACCCAAGATTTGGAAGCAACCTAAATGTCCATCAACAGATGAACAGATAAAGAAAATGTGATACATATACACAATGGAGTACTATTCAGCCATAAAAAAAGAATGACACCCTGTCATTTGCAACAACATGGATGGAACTGGAGGTCACTATGTTAGGTGAAATAAGCCAGGCACAGAAAGACAAACATTACATGTTCTCACTTATTTGTGGGATCTAAAAATCAACTCATTGATGTAGAAAATAGAGTGATGGTTACCAGAGCCTAGGAAGGGTAGTGAGGGGGCACAGGGGGTGTTTGAGTACAAAAAACAATAGTTAGAAAGAATAAATAAGACCTAGTATTTGATACCACAACTGGGTGATAGTAGTCAATAAAAATTGTAAATTTTAAAATAAATAAAAAATTGTAATTGGATTATTTATAACACAAAGGATAAATGCTTGAATGGATGATACCTCATTTTCCATGATGTGATTATCACGCATTGCATGCTTCTATCAAAACATTTCATGTACTCCATAAGTATATACACTTACGATATATCCATAAAAATTAAAAATAAAACATTTTTTTAAATGCACTGAAATTTCCTCCAGATATCTAATCTCCACCTGCCCTAAACAAATTATTCTCTCCATCAGTAATACCGTCTCTCTTCCCTCTTCCTGACACAGCTGCCAAAAGTCTTTTCTGCTGTTCTCAGCTCCTGTGCTCAACTTATATACCTCATTTGGCCAAGTAAATGCATTTTATTCAACTCTAAGAGCAAACTTTTATTTTTTTCCTTAAGTGTGCCCTTAAAAGATCTCACTCTCCACCCTATCCAAACTTAACAAAAACATTCACCCCCAAAAACCACTTCCTTGGGGATGACTTTGCTGCTAAGAAAATAAAATTTTCTCCATGTTGTTATGTTTACGTTGTCTACTATTTAAGTAGACCAAACAGAATGTGATTAGGTTTTTTGAGACATGGGTTGGGGTCTTTGTCGAAGTTAGCACCTTAGCTCATGGGCTATAATAATAAGGTGTGGGTGCTAATATATCACAAACTATAATATATTTGCAACTACATCTTATTTCAGAAAAGGATGTTGTTTTGGGAAGCAGTGAGTCAGCAGAACATTGAACACAAGGCAAAAGAAAGGAGATTTCATTCCCACTTTCAAATGGAAGTTCGTAACATTCCTGAATTATCCACAAACAGGGCTGCCAACCTGGAATCAATTAAGAGTCTCCCACTGGGGTGCAACGGGAGGGAGTAAGATCTTCAAAACTGTATTTTCATTAGTAAAGTAGAGAAACTGGCTTCAAGAAGGTGGCTGGCTTGGCTAGTAGGCCAGGAGGAGAGGAGAAGGGCAAAGTGTGGGAGAAGGTATAAAAGTCCAGCTTTGCCATTTTGCCAAGCACCGCTTTGAACAGAGCCAGAGGGTGTGAAATCAGAAAGCTTAGTAGCACCCCAGTTCTCCCTTTGCACCCTTTGCAAAGGTAGTACCATCAACAGGAATAGCAACTCTCAACAAGTCTTCATTATAATAGAATGTCCTCTACAGTTTAAGTTCAGTGACCACAAACCTCTTCATCACAAGAGATTTCCAGTCTTACGACAGGCGGTAGGTGGACACTAGAAAATTCTCCTACAACCATTTACTCCAAAAACACAAGCAATGTCTTAGATCCCTGCTACTCCAAATGTGGTACCCACACCAGCAACAGCAGAGTTAGAAATGCAGAATCTTGGACTGCATTCTAGGCCCACTGAATCAGAAACTGATTTTAACAACACCCCCAGGTAATTTATATGAACATTAAAATGGTAGAATTGACTTAAATCAATTAGGCTCGAACGTTGCATATTAGAATCACCTGGGGAGGTTTTTACACACCCTCCCCAGTACAGGCAGTACTCTATATGATGTATCTCAATTATCAGTATTTTTAAAACCCAAGTGGTTCCAATATGCAGCCAATTTTGAGGAACCATGACTTAAAGATAACAATAACAATATTTGTATTCAAATGAAAACTTTCCCCAAACTTTGCATTACTAATTACCTCTTGGGTTTTCCTGATAACTTAGATATTAAACATTTCAATGTATGGTTCCGGGCGGGGGTCTGGGGAGTGCGGCAGCCATGGCGAGCCACCTTGTCCTCACCGACAGCACCAAGATGCCCATCCTGGGGCTTGGCACCTGGAAGTCCCCTCCTGGCTAGGTAACCAAGGCTGTGAAGGTGGCGATCGATGTCAGGTACTGCCATATTGACTGTGCCTACATGCACCAGAATAAGAACGAGGTAGGGGTGGCCATTCAGAAGCAGCTTAGGGAGCAGGTGGTGAAGCATGAGGCTCATCAGCAAGGGGTGGTGCACATACCATAAGAAGGTCCTGGTGAAAGGAGCCTGCCAGAAGACGCTCAGCAACCTGAAGCTGGACTACCTGGACCTCCACCTTATTCACTGGCTGACCGACTTTAAGCCTGGAAAGGAATTTTTCCCATTGGATGAGTCAGACAACGTGGATCCCAGTGACACCAACATTGTGAACACATGGGCAGCCATGGAAGAGCTGGTGGATGAAGGGCTGGTGAAAGCTATTGGCATCTCCAACTGTAATCATCTCCAGGTGGAGAGGATCTTAAAGAAACCTGGCTTAAGGTATAAGCCGGCAGTTAACCAGATTGAGTTCCACCTGTACCTCACTCAGAAGTTAATCCAGTACTGCCAGTCCAAAGGCATCTTGGTGACCACCTATAGCCCCCTTGGCTCTCCTGTTAAACCCTGGGCCAAGCCTGAGGCCCCTTCTATCCTGGAGGATCCCAGGATCAAGGTGATCACAGCCAAGCACAATAAAACCACAGCCCAGATTCTGATCCACTTCCCCCAGGCAGAGGAACTTGGAGGTGATCCCCAAGTCTGTGACACCAGAATGCATTGCTGAGAACTTTAAGGTCTTTGACTTTGAACTAAGCAGCCAGGATATGACCACCTTACTCAGCTACAACAGGAACTGGAGGGTCTGTGCCTTGGTGAGCTGTTCCTCCCACAAGGACTACCCCTTCCATGAAGTTTTGAAGCTGCGGGTGCCTGCTCATCCCCAAGTGACATATACCTGTGTTTCCAATCTCATTTTTTTCTTGCAAATGTAGTATGGCCTGGCCTGTGTCACTGAGCAGTTGGACAGCAACCTGTAGAGTGGCCAGCAAGGGCTTGTCTAGGTTGATGTTGGATCTGAAGAGCAGTGTCAGTAGAGTAGAAGTCTCTTCTAGTTTGCTTTGTTCTTTTTGCCCCACTGGGGAAAGTATAACCTGAATACCCTTTTCTGACCAAAGGGAAGAAAAATATACCAGGTCAAAATAGTGCCACTAACAGTTAAGGTTTTTTTTTTTTTTTTTTTTTTTTTGAGACGGAGTCTCGTTCTGTTGCCCAGGCTGGAGGGCAGTGGTGCAATCTTGGCTCACTGCAAGCTCTGCCTCCCAGGTTCATGCCATTCTCCTGCCTCAGCCTCCTGAGTAGCTAGGACTACAGGCGCCTGCCACCATGCCGAGCTAATTTTTTGTAGTTTTAGTAGAGACGGGGTTTCACCATGTTAGCCAGGATGGTCTCCATCTCCTGACCTCGTGATCCTCCTACCTCAGCCTCCCAAAGTGCTAGGATTACAGGCGTGAGCCACTGCACCTTGCCAATGGTTGAGTTTTGACTGCTTGGAACTGTAATCCCTTCAGCAAGACTTCTCTTTGCCTCAAGTAAAAAGTGCTTTGGTGAAAAAAAAAAAATCTCAATGTATTCTGCCATATAATTAATGCTTAGATTTCCCAAATTCTGATGACGCTAATTTTAATCTGCAATAGATCCATAACTGACAAAGGGTCACTTAGTCAAGAGAGTTTGCTGAGTCTTACCACTCAGAGATAAAACAATTATTTGTTTTTAAATAGCGTTTACAGTTCAAGATTGCTTTTCTGATTGAATACTTCTTCTCTCTTATTTCTCAAATTATTACTCTATTGAGTAAGAATCTTAACTATGTTCAACATTTTCAGGCATGATTATTATAAATATTTTGCAAGTTAGCTTCAGGAGCTGAAAAGATTTCTTGATGTCAGGTGATACTTTTGTTGAATCAACAAGATTGACTGGTCTCATGGCTGGTGTTTAGCAAGTCAATCATTTTCACTACACAATAGATAACAGTGAACTAAAATTTTCTTTTATTCATTGGGAGGCTATTCTGTGATACTAAGAACAAAGAAAATCAAGTCTCTGTGGAACCAGAGTCAATCTTCCAAAATGTAACACATCCATTAGGAGAAAAAAAGAGTGTCAGACAAGAAACAAATTGGCTAAATTGGTTGAAATATCTCTCTAAAATTAAGTTTACATATTAAAGGAAAGATAAAAGGAATATGCACATCATTTGCTAAGACACAAATATCATCTGATTTTCAGCTATTTCACATTTCTATTTTTTCCCCCTTACTACATTTTCAGCACTTTTGGTTTTGAAAAGCAGAAAATGAAGTCAAACTGGCTTAAACAGAAAAGAAGATGAATTTATTGGTGCATATAACTAAACTATCCATGGGTATCTGACTTCAGGTGCTGCTGGATCCAGTTGCTCCAATAATGTCAGAGTTAGTCTTTCTCTTTCTCCAGACTCTGCTTTTTCCCCCTTACTTCCTTAATTTTTAGTTGTTTGTACCCCACAATTGTCAATTATGTCCAATAAACTTCAAATATATATCTCATTGCCTGATCGTGTTTTCATTGCCTGTCTCTGAATCAGGTTTATAGCCAAGGAGATACTTCTTGGCAAGATCTTGAGTCTGTGCTTATCCTGTGGAGTTGGAGATAGGGCCAACCCAGTTTAAATCATATAAACTGAGAAGAGGTGAGGGTAATGATGCCCCAAAGGATAATCAAAGGAACGATGTCAGAAAAGGGAGAATGGATACCAAGGAGACAAAAATACTACTCTAGAAGAGATCCTGCATCATTTGCCTTTAAGACCGATACATAATATAACAGTTTCCTTTGAGAAGTCCAGGAGAAATGAGCTTAGAGAATTATCTTTTCATCTTTGTTTTTACCCGGCAGCAGAGACTTCCAACACATCTATGTTGTACCAACTCAATTTTAAGAAAGAAGAAATGTCTGACATTCCCTGTCATAAATTCTTGAAGTACCACAGTCCATGAAGGGGAAACCTGAGGGCTGAGGGAAGTGGTGGAATAAGCACACTGTGGTCAGCCTTGCTAAGTGTTTCATTTATCTTGTTGAATGTGAAATTCATCTCTTTTGAGCATAGCCCGGTGCCCACTTACTTGTATGCTCTCCCTTATTCATCTACTGTTGATATAAAATTACTTAAACTCAGGGTTTTTAAGTGACTTGAGCAAAGAAAATCAACTTTCTATGGACCTAAACTCTATTTTCCAAAATGTAATACATCCAGGAAAATGTGCACCGAGGCTTCAAGGTGGGTTCCCAAGACTCAACCGATAACTGCTCTTTATCATCATAAATAGCAGCTCCCAGAAACCCAGCACAGACCCCAAGAAATTGTCACATGACTAAGACTGAACTCTTATCTACTTCTCAGTCTTGTATTTTTTTAAGACAAGTGAAAATGAGAAAAGTTTTGTACAATTGCACAATAGAAATAGGATTCATCAAATAAATGGTTGAGAAACACTCAAATATTTTCTGTGGAAATTCTTTCTTTCCATGGCTTATGGATGTGAAGAGTAATGTACTAGACAGATATCTAAATATCTTGTCTTTTTCTCTGCCCACCCCATTCCAAGAATTAGAATATCAGCCCTTATTCAGAATTGTCAACTTGTCATCCTAGGAGATTCGCAGTGTAGTATCAGTTTTTAAAATGTGCCACCATTGCTTTAAAGTAGGGTTTCACAGTCGCAGTACTATTAATATTTTGAGTCAGATAATTTCTTATTGCAGGGGACTGTCTTATGCATTGTAGCCTGTTCAGCAGCATCCCTAGCTTCTACCCACTAGATGTCAGCAGCAGCACCCCCTCTTTGTAACGACCAAAATCTCAGACATTGCCAAAGGTCCCCCTGGGTGCAAATGTGTTCCTGGTTGAGAACTTCTGCTTGAAAAACTGAAATGAAAATAGTGAAAACCATGAAATACTTTTCTAAGATAATGGGACCACTGTACTCCAGAATAAAAAAAATATTTCCTTTTCTTTTAAATTCCGGCATTGTTACCATTATTACTTTAATATTAACCCAAAACATACTTTTTAAAAGTTCTGAGAATAAAAGCTGAACCTGCAAAATAGGATAACTCCTTTTGCTACATTAACCTTAAAAGGTGCAGAAGTAAAGAGAACTACTGCTTGCAGGGGTGTCAGATGGACATGCCTGCTTAAATGAAGATTCCTCTTTTCCACTTTCCTCCTGATATCTGCTGGTCACTATAGCCACAAGAACAGGAGTGATTCAGAACCAGGACACATGCACTCCAGCATGACAAGTTCAATTTAAACCTAGATCGGCAACATTAAAAAACTACACTAAATGTAATGAATGAATATACACCAACAGGAGATCAATGCACTTTGCCACACCAATTGCTTGGGATTCTTTAAGAGTAGGAAAAACTCAAACATTTTCACTAAGGCTTCACTTTGTTAAATCTCTCCTGAGACTTTTGGATCCCTGAATTTTAGGCAGGCTTAAACACAAAGTCCTTTCTTAGTACTTGGAGATATTTTACCCATAAGGTAGAGTAATGAGGGTCTTCAGTGATAATGAAGGAGCAGAATTTTGAATATTTTAATATATTCTGGAACACTTATATGTTTCAAGCTAAGGAACCAGTATAATTCCAGTACAGAAAAAATGTATTATTTAATGATATTTTTTATTTTTTAATTTTTGTCCTAACAAAGTTCTAAAAATATAGTTAGAATTATGTTCAGAACCAGAAATATATTTCAAAATTGAAATTGTGATGTTTAAAACAGAAACAATGAGTTGCTTCCTAGAGGGATTAAAAGTCATTATTTGGGACATATTATGTCCTGATTTTTATCACTGCACCCTATTAAAGAAAATGATATCTAGGGTTTTCTTTTTTTAGAGTTTGCTGTAGCTATACATCAGGTTAAAGAGCTTGGGAGATGAATTTTTTACTTTCAGAAACTCAACGTTCTAAAGATGACTTCAATGTATCTACTGATTGGTCTTTGTATAGAACCAAATTTAAGCTATTTTAGGCAAGTGATTCTATAACTTTAAAAATTCTTCTAGAAAAAAATAAGAAAATATATAACTCATCTATTCCTTTCAAGAAGAAAGTTTATTGTTTTATCCAATTTAGTCCCTCATAATGCACCTAAGAATTACTTCCATTTGAGTATTTCCCAGTAAAGGATGCTGTTTATAAATGCTCCTGTCCCCCTGTTTGAAGTTAGATTTCTGTTTACTCTTCTCCAGGTTAATTGTTCTGATTCTAAGAGCATTTCTTAGAATTGTTTTTAAGTTTTCATTCTTTATCCAATTTTGAGTCTCTCTTTTATTTAGACATAACTTTGTAAATAAAGATATTCAAGAAATGAATATAGAGTTTAATAAAATGTGAAGCAAATAGAACCTTTCAAATTCCTCTTGATGTCATCTTGGTATTAAGTTATATATATATGTTATATATAAATTATATATAACATATATATTTTATATATATATTTATATATTTCATATATATTTATATTTCTTATATATATATGTATATTTATTTCTCAGACCCTGGTCACTTCTTTAATGAGCTTAGATTCTTTGGAATACTAACCCATAGTTTTCCCTTAAATTATTTTCATCTAAGCTCAGAAAAATAGCAAGTTAATTACCCTTTATATGTGATAAAATGAAAAATCACTCAAAACCCAAGACCAACAATGATGTAAGAAACTGGCTGGAATTCACATTCTTAGGTATAAGTGTGATGAAGAATAATTACATTAAACAATGGAATATCAAAAATATGCTCTTTCATCCAAGAGTGACGTAAGCACACGGAATTTATCACAGGACAACAATCTGATATGGATTTTAAGAGTTTTGCCCAAGAACTTTCCATGAGGTCTTTGTAAAAATAAATTAATAAGATTTTCATATTAATTTCTCCCTTCATTTTAAAAATGAGAAAATTGAGAAAAATGGAAGAGTACTTGAGTTTGATAATATCTCCCTTTTTATACAAAATTCGGCCATGTATACAATAAAACTTCTGAACATTAACTTACAAGAAAAATGATACCTTCTTGTCAAGGGCATGATATGTATATGTTGATGAATTTTTATTTATTAACTCATTAACTTTAGCTTGCTGTTGGAAACTGTGATAAATCTAAAAGCTAACAATTGGCTTAGATGCATATATCCTCAGATTTGGCGGGTGTTCCACAGCTTAAAAAGAAAGAAAACAAATAAGTAAACCAAAACAAATCCATAGTCCTGCAAAGTAAGGCCAAAACCAGATGATTTTGAAAACAATGAAAATTTGTGTTTCAGTGTTTGCAGACAGAATATTTCATAAAGAAAGCTGTATGTCATGTCAAATAACCTGCTTATAAAGTTCCTGAGGGAAAATCATTGCATCATTTGTAGAGAAGATCTGTTTTTAACCACAGATTAGCTGATTTATTTTCTCTGATAACATGGAAAACCATTTTGATATTAAGCTGTAGAGTCAGGAATGATGCCCAGGGTGAGGCTAGCAGCAAAATGATATTTGGTGCTTATCTGCAGGTAAACAACTTCCCTCACTCTCATAAAGAGTCATCTATTTTTCTACTCAGAGAGAGACAGATGAGGCATTTGCTTTGGGCAGAAAGCTTAAGGGAAGAACCAAATTATCAGCAATCAAGATAAATAATGTTTTAATGTAATCTTTTTTAAAAATATCAAAATTAATACAAAAAACCCCATGGTGGACCAAAACTTAAATCTTCACATAAAGAAAGAATCAATATTTCTTTGAGATAGGGTTTTGTTCTGTGGCACATGCTGGAGTGCAGTGGCATGACCATAGCTCACTGCAGGTTTGACTTCCAGGGTTCAAGCCATCCTCCCACCTCAATCTCCCCAGTAGCTGGGACCACAGGCATGCCACCATGCCTGAATAATTTTTTAGTTTCTTCTTTCTTCTTCTTCTTTTTTTTTTTTTTGGTAGAGACAGGGTCACCCTATCTTACCTAGTCTTGTCTTGAACTCCTGATCTCAAGGGATCTACGCACCTCAGCCTCCCAAAGTATTGGTATTACCGGCATAAGCCATTGCGCCTGGCCTCAGAGAATGAGTATTGGTTCAAATTTGTCATTGGCAATAGCTGGTAATAATTTGCCATGTAATAAATATTCTAAAGATTTTCAAGACCAAACACATTTTCCACTATATGTTTTGAGAAAAGAAAAGAGGAAAGGGCATTAGGTCTTCTTTATTCGGACGTTAGATTACTGTTGCTGTGGTCAACTAGGAAACATTTCATTTTCACGTTCATCATGTGACAGTGTTGTGATGTACATTACCTAAAAAATATATGGCTTCATCATGCTTCATTTTAGATGCCAGGAGTGTGAGTCATCTAGGAACAATATTCTGTCTGAAATTATGTCAAAGGGGGATAGATTTTAAAAGCTCCTCTTACATTATACTTCCATTACTTTTGTTCTTATATGGGGTTTAATAGGACAACAGAAGACTTTTTTTTATAAAGGCAATAATTCCAACAATTACTACATCTGTCAAATATCTGAGAGTTGTTATGCGGGTAAGATGATGTCTGGGAAAGTGATGACAAATTACCCAGCACTATGCAAATGCTAATTATTCGTTCCAGTTTTTAAAAACCCTCTAAAATATTGAGATCATTTTATTTTATTTTTAAATAATTATAGGCTCACAGAAAAGGAAATAACCGTACAGGGAGGCCTCATGTACTCTTTCCTCAGTTTCCTGAAGTCCCATTTTACATAATATCAAAACCAGAAAATGGACATTGGGACAATATAAAGATCTTATTCAGATTTCATCAGTTTTTACCTGCGTGTGTGTGTGTGTGTGTGTGTGTATACGTCTATGTCACTTTATCACATGAATAGATTTGTGTACCATTCTTGACTCTTTCCTTGACCTCATCCTCACATTCCAAATTTTTACCCATAATATACATTTTCACTCTGGGAAGAACAATACTTTTTCCTGTTCTAATCTATTCTCTTCAGTATCATCATGGTGATCCTTCATTTGGATGGCTCCTCTTTAAGCACATTTGATAGTTTCTTATAGGTAGAGCACAATACACCTATTTTTCCTCTTCTACAAGCTCCAGTCACCTGGCTTCTGGCTACTCCTGCATTCTTGTCTCTGAGTCCTCAATAACTGTGGTTGACATTAGGGCTTACAAATATCCCCTGCTGGCTCCTTAAGATACATGGTAAAATTACACTTTCCCATCTTCTTGAATTAAGACGTGTTCATGGGACTTGTTTTGACTAAGAAAATATGAGCAAAAGTGATGCATGTGATTGTGGGGGAAAAGTAAGAGCCAGCATCGGTGTAAACATGGTGCCTTTTCCTGCCACAGTGACTGATGATGCTCTAGATGGTGGAAATGCTGCTAGCTTCAAGAAGTTTGAGCCCCTGCAAAGCTGAGACCAATCTTCATCATTATCAAAAAATACGTATTAGTTTTAAGCCACTGAACTTTCGTGGTCATTTGTTAGTACAGTATAACTTTGCCCATCCTAACACAATTCTGTGGCTCTAGCTGCAAGAAATTTCTTTCCTCTATGTGTCTCTGCAAGAAATTCCTTTCCTCTACGTGCTTTCTGCTTGATGAATGCCCATTTAGACTGTAAAGACTTCTTCAGATGTGAACATCCTTCTCTGGTTTTCTTTTATACTCTATAACCAGTCTTGTTCTACATCTGTACCTCATAGAGGCGTGTGTGCATGTGCATGTTTAGACATATTGGCACATGCATCATATTAGATGGCAGATATTTGTTTATTTGACCCTATCCCATGGCAAATTATGAGCTGTTCAAGGACAAATCTACACTGCAGTAGACATGGCTAGTTGAGGAGTTGCATCAGAGACATCAGAGATTACATGGTCCTCAAAATCTAAATTATTTACTGAGGTGCTTTACAGAAAAAAAATTGTGAGCTTCTAACCCAGAGAATTGTAGAGTAACAAGAAGGAAAGTAACAGGATGCTTGGATGACCTCATGAAACAAAATTGTCTCTCCATGATGGGCAATCTGCCTTCTTCTGTTACCAGGGAGAAAAATAATTCTAGCTTGTTTGAGCCACTGTATTATAGGGTCTCTTTGGGCACAAGCTAAGTTGTTGTAACAAGGTAATGTATGTCCCTAACTCATTTTCAAGTCACATAGGTCCTCTCTAAGTGTATGTGGAGTTAAATTTGCTGGAAAAAAAAACTTTCCCATAAAGTTATATGACAATAATACTATAGATTTACAACAGTAATACTATAGACTTAAGATAGTAATATAGTAAGGCTAGACATTACATGAAAGAGCATAGATGTGGTTTTTTTATTCATATATGTAGGCAAACACATTTTAGAAACAATGCTAACCATGTACTCTTTGGATTGTGCAATAATTTAATGCAAATTGGACACAGGAAAGTTCAAATCCAAGCTCTACTACATTGAATGTTTCCAAGAGAAATTAGCAAATAGGCAACAACTGAGCAGACAATCATTGATTCAAAGCGTATGGATGGAGAGAAATAAAACTAGATTTGAAGAAATAGGTTGGAGAATGTACATTCTCAAAATTAGGGTGTGGGGCTCCAAAGACGGCAGCAAGGTGAGTCCAAAAGGAATGCCATGAGCTGTGAGAATACAGTGAGACCCGGGGAGAGAGGGTCAACGCCATTAGGAATTTGGACAGACATCTGGGAAGATAAAAAGTAAAATATGTTTTCGGCTCTTAAAAAAAAATACAATCTCATTGGTGGTCACACAGCTAACATAGATGAAAGAATTAAACAACAGTGTTGGAAGATTGGCATCATTAACTATTAAAACCAGAAGTGTTTATACTATAAGAGATTTTAAAACAGTGCCTGTGACTGATAGATTTTTTTAAATTTTTACTTTTTAGTTTTTGCAGCTACATATTAGATATATGTATTTGCATTCATACACCATAGAATTTTTTAAGTGAGCCAGAAGAAAACCAATCAAATATATAGTAATCTCTGTACTATGCACTGATTGTTTTAATGCTGCTATTTTAAAAATTCCTAATATCCCCAAAAATTGAATGTCTTGGTTTTTGTCACATAAGTTCTTATTCTTACCTTTAAACAAAAATCAATGTCAGGAAATATTTGTTGAATACTAAGTAATAGAATCTGCACTGTAGTGTGACCAAGATGTTGCTGTGACATCTGAGATGCTTATAAAATAGGGTAGGAGCAGGAATAAGGCACCAATGCAGGCAACGCTGCTGCACTCTAACATCTTGCTAACACCAAGATGCAGCAAAAAGCAAAGCATGCTGGGCTGAGCGTTCATTCCAATTGAGAGCCAGTTTCATGGGAAAGGTAACATTTTTAAAATCCCTTGGGATGAAGCAAAGATTTTAAGACTTATTATTGGTGGACTAGAAAGGCAAGAATATATGACCACAGTTCAAAGACAAAGGGAAAAATATACAGAATATTTGAGATACAGATACTTACAGCGCACTATACAAAAGTCTGTCATCCATGTATTCTACTGAAAAATTCTATCAGTTGTGCCCCCAAACTCTATCCCCTTCTCTGTCCCCTTCTCCATCCTCACTGCTTTGTGCAAAGCATTCTAGACTTTGTCATCTTTTATCAAGCAGCTGTCATGGCCTCCTATTGGCTTCCACTCTGGCTCCTGCAATCCATTCTGCACACAACAGCTAGTCTTCTTTGCGAAATGCAAGCTCTATCCAACCTCTTCCCGGTTTAAAACCCTTCAACAGCTTCTTAATGTGAATAGGAGAAAAATCTCAATCTTCTAAATCAGCCTTTGAGGCTTATAAGACATGGCCTTGTCTATACTCTAGTCAAACCCACCCCCGTCTCTCCTGCCCACTACCCTCCCTCCAAACTGGCTTATGTTCATTTCCTTCATCAGAACACCTGGGCATGCTCTTCCCTCCTCCAGAAACAATTTCATAGGGCAAATTCTCACTCATCCTTTAGGTCTCATCTTAGATGTCACTTTTTCAGAATATTGCCCCCCTCAACCTCAGCTGAGTTTCTTTGTTTAAATCTATCACTATTCCTTTGTCCTTTTTTAGCATGTATCCCAGTTTGTAGCAAGTGTGATCACTAATATTTGTCTCCATTATGGCTATTAAACTCCAGGAGGGTAGAGATCATGCTGGTCTTGTTAAACCTCTTGTCCTCAATGACTGGCACTCAAAGAATATTCAGTGAATAAATGAATGAGTGCATGAGTGAAGGAGTGAATAATCAAGGACTTTTATCAAATAGACAATAAGTATTATTTTAAAAGCCCCCTGATGTTTTATCTTCACAATGCATCAGGACTCATTGAAACAACCACATTTATATTACAGAGTTTCTTTGGACAAAAGTAAACAAAATCCAGACAAGCAAAGAAAAATGCAAGTTTTTGAGATTGCACTACTCGAAAAAAACATTATAAATAACAATCAAAACACATTTTTTAAAATAAGCACTGTCTAAACACATTATGCCTTAATTAATTGATGTTCTATCGAATGGTAACTATTGCTATCCTCATTTTGTAGACAGAGCTATGAGGTGATTTCTCCTAAATTTCCCAGCTATTAGGATGGGAGAGCTCAGAAACCAGAAGGAGTAACTCATACTGCCAGGTCTGTCTCTTGGTGAGTTTGAGTATCCATTAACATAATATTATAGTACATTAGTAGCAATTTGTCTGAAATTTTAGATTTCTACTGCCTTATGCAATACTCCCTTTACTCTAGTCAAAATATGATCTAATTAATAGTAAGAAACATTACAGACTTTGGATACAAGAAGAGATAAGGCATGATTTATATGTGAAAATGTTATCATCTATTTATTATGTTAATTCTTTGAGACCGTTAAGCATTTCATTGTTTTGGTCTTTAAAAAAGCTGTGTTAGAGAATTTCTAATTTATGAAAGCATTAATGTTACCTGTAAAATTTTATCATTTTCATCCTGCACAGCAGGATTGGGGACCCAAAACCATGGTACCACTTTAGAGGAAAAACTGACAGCCAGTAGATTAGTAAGTATATCAGATGGATTTGGGTACAAAATGGAGCCACTTAAAATAGACTTAACTTTTTAGTAAAGAGTATTATGACAAAATGCAAGCAATTTTATTTTTAATACAGTACCTTGGAATAACTTTTACTTTCTAAACTATGTTCTTTTGCCAGATATACATAAACCTAGAATTTTATGGATTATCCTTTACTAAATCTTATGCTTACATTTATTTGGGACAATGATTCCCATATTACTAAAGAATGAAGGCAAACATTTTTAGATTCAATTTGTGTTAAAATAATCTTAATCATATCATTTGGGTGTCAAAATAATAATTCATTTTGTACTGACTTGTCTTTTTTGAATGACACAATTTATATCCCATCTCAAGTGACCTAAATGGCAATACACTATAATTTAAAATCTTTCTTTGCTAATTATGCTTCTTAATAGATGCATATTGGAAGAACAGGTGTACTGGAAGAGCATATAGACATGCATATGGAAGTACATAATAGATGCACATTAGAAAAAAAGTGTTCCTAAATTAGGTATGTTTACACACACACACACACACACACACACACACACACACATCTCTACATATGTAGATATTATGTACGTGTATATTCCGTTAATGAACATTCCAATGAATATTCATTGGGAGCCACATAGCCTAATGGTTAAGATTATAAGCTCTAAATGAAGCTAATCTGTATTCCAATCCTGGCTCTACTGCTCTGTGATTCTGTGGCTTAGAAAATGTATTTATAAAATTGGGATAAAATTACATATCTTATGAGTTTTTTTAAAGAGTAAATGTGGTAAAATGAATAAATTGTAGAAGAGTGCCTAGCCCAAGTGCATATTTGATAAATGTTAGCTTATGTAATATAAAGTATTTGGGGCTGTTGAATGGCACTTAAGAAATAATTATGATGAAAGATAAAAAGATTTTCTACCCTGTTAATTTATTGCATTTTAAAATCATTGATGTATTCATAAAGAGACTTTCTGATTTGTACTGAGAAGTTTATTTAAAGTAGCGATACTTGCCATGTTCTACAGTAAAACTCATTTTGATTGATTTTTATCTACTGATGTAGAAGAAAAACAGTGGTAAATAACATTCAACACTCAATGAATCTAACTATCTAATCTCAATCCATCATTCTCACCACTCTTAGAAATCAAAAGCATTCTAAGAAAACAATACTTAGGATGAAGAGTGATACTTTAAACCTTCAAGTAGAAAAGCTTCAAGCAAAAATACAGATCAGTATTCAGTGCAGAATATGAGATTGGGTTTTACCAATTGGCTCTCCTGAGTTCACATTTTGGCATATGAAATTTTCATTTGAGCAACAAAATGCATCTAATTGTGTAATTTGCACTCCTTAATGAATGCATGTAGAAAGCAAGAGTAAATAGATCATGTTTTAATTCTTGAAGTAAAAAATATCACTGGCTCTTACAGGCACTGGCTTCTAAGAATCTTCTTGGCTTAGAATACAGTAATGAAATTGTAAGAGGAAGTGAGAAATTGAGGTAAGTTAGCAATGGATCATACAAGACAGAGAACTCTGAGATATTTGTGTCTTCAGTGAATATATATAGCACATGCTTTATACAATAATGTTAAGATGTTCAATTCATAAATCTGCATCCCCTAAATTATTTTTTACTATTAAATTTGGTTATTTAACATTGAATAAAATATTAAGATCATAGAGGGATGTCAGCAGTTTATTAATTTTTGCTAATGCGTTTGAATCAGGCAAACACAATATTTACACGTGAAGGACAAAATCCTCCTATTTTTTACCATCCTTTTTAAGGTGAAATGGAAAATACCACTAAAAACCTCTTTCTGACATTTCCACTACAAGAACTTTATATAGAAAAATTCAGTCATTCATTTTGTTACATAAATATTTATTAAAATATGTAGTTTATGCCAATTATTTGCACACATGTATTTAGGACATTGCTTTTTCCCAACTTTATGTTTCTATGATGAAGTACAATGATGTAGAATAGATTGTTACTTTCATAAATAGCCATTTTATCCTTTTTCCTCAATTTGAGTAATGTGCCCATCTTAAAAACTACATTGCCTAGCATACATTGTACATAGGTTGAACGTGCAATTAGACTGTAGCCAATAAGATAAACCTAGTGGAAAGTATTGGAGTTTCCAGGGAAGTTTCTTGTATAGAGAGAAGGAACTCAGCAGATAACAGGCTTTTGCTCTTTGGCTCAAACAATCTTGCTACCAACATTTTATAAGCATAGTGAAGATCACTCCACCTTTCTGAGTAGAAAGTATCAGATGCCTGGACCCCAAATGTTTCTGACTTCAGCTTCTTATATCAGACTTCAGCTTCTTAAATCTGGACTTATCACATAACAGAAAAATAAACTGAAATCTTTCTTAAGCCATTCTTTTGGGGGGTTTCTGTTATGAACATCTAAAGCTATTCTTTAACTGACATATGGGGATATGCATTATCAAATTCATTTTATTAATAAATTATACAAGTTAATTAGTTCTATAAATTCAATGGAGAGTGTACAATATTAAAAACATTGCATATATGAAAAACCCACACCTAACAACACACACAATGGTGAAAAACTAAAAGCTTTTCCTCTAAGATTAGGAACGAGACCAAGATATTGACTTTCACCACCAATTCTGTTCAACAGAGTGTTGTAAGTACTAGCCAGAACATTCAGGAAATAAGTAATAAAATATATCCAAATTGAAAGAAGTCAAATTACCTCTGTTCACAGATGACATCATATTATAGGTAGAAAACCCTAAAGATGATTCACATACACACACACACACACACACACACACACACACACACACACAAACTGTTAGAGCTAATAAACAAAGTTGGCAGAGTATCAGGATACAAAATCTACATTCAAAAATAAATTGCATTTTTATACACTAAAAATGGCCAATGTGAAAATAAAATTAAGGAAACAATTCCGTTTATAATAACACCAAAAAAATAAAATAATTAGAAATAATTTAACTACAGAGGCAAAAGACTTATACATGGAAAACTATAAAACATTACTGAAATAAATTAAAGAAGACATAAATAAGTGGAACGATGTCTCATGTTCATGACTGAAACACTTAAAGTTGTTGTTAAGATGACAATACAAAACCCAAAGCAATCTACAGGTACAACGCAATACTCAAAATCCAACAGCTTTTTGCAGAAATAGAAAAACTCATCCAAAAATTCACATCGAATCTCAAACAACTCAAATAACCAAACAATCCTGGAAAAGGAGAACAAAGTTGGAGGATTCATACTTTCTGATTTCTTACTTAGTAAAACTTACTAAAAAGTCACAGTAATCAAAACAATGTGATACTGATGTAAAGAAAAACATATCAACCCGTGAAACAGAATAGAAACCCAAAAACTAAACACTCATATATATATGGTCCATTTTTTTTTGACAATGGTGCTAAGACCATTCAACTGGGAGATGGGCACTTTTCTACTAACAGTGCTAGTTAGTTTGGAAACTAGATATCCACATGCAACGAATAAAGCTGGATCCTTACCTTACACCACATACAAAAGTTAACTCAAAATGGACCAAAGATCTAATCTAAAGAGATAAAAACTATAGAACTCATAGAAGAACAGATGCGGAAAATCTTCATGACATTGGATTGGGTAATGATTGCTTACATATGGCACCAAAAGCACAGGCAATAAAAAAAGGAGATAAAGTGAACATGAAAATTAAAAACTTGTGCATCCAAGAAAACTATCAGGAGAGTGAAAAGACAACTCAGAATGCGAGAAAATATTTGCAAGTTATATATATATAATATATATTACACATATTATATATATGGGATTAAATTTCAGAATATATAAATATTCTACACGTCATCATCAACAACAACAAAACAAACCCAATTCAAAAATGGGCAAATAACTCTCTTTTTTTTTAAGATGGTTGACTGGCTCTGTCACTCAGGCTGGAGTGCAGTGGCATGATTATAGATCATTGCAGCCTCAAACTCCTAGGTTTAAGCAATCCTCCCCCTCCCAGCCTTCTGAGTAGCTAGGACTGTAAGTATGTGACACCACACCCAGCTAATTTTTTTTTTTGTACATTTTTTAGAGACAAGGTCTCACTGTGTTGTCCAGGCTCGTCTCAAACTCCTGGCCTCAAGAGATTCTTCAGCCTCAGACTCCCAAAGTGCTGAGATTACAGGCATTGAGCCACTGTGCCTGCAATCCTTGGCACGGGTATGAGCAAAGAACTTGCATCGACATTTCTCCAAAGAAGATATACAAATGATCAGAAGCACAAGAAAAAGTGTTCACCAATACTAGTCATTCAAGAAATGCAACTCAAGTCCACAATGAAATGTCACTTTACATCCATTAGAATAGCTATTTAAAAAAAAAAGGCAGAAAATAACCAATGTTGGTGGAATGTGAAGACATTGGAGCCCTTGTGAATTGCTAGGAGGAATATAAAATGGTGCAGCTGCTGCAGAAAACAGTTTAGTGCCTCTTCGAAAAGTTAAGCAGAGTTGTCATATAACCAAGCAATTCTATTTCTAGGTATATAACCAAGATAATTGAAAGCAAGAATTCAGATAGGTTCTTGAACACCAGTGTTCACCAATGTTCATAGCAGCATTCTTGATAATAGCCAAAAGGTGGAAGCAACCCACATGTCTATCAACAGACAAATGGATAAATAAATACAACACATACATACAATGAATTATTATTCAGCTTTAAAAAGGAATGAAATTCTGATAGGTGCTATAATATAAATGAACCCTGGAGATACTAAGCTAAGTGAAATAAGCCACAAACACAATGGCAAGTATTGTATGATTTCCCTTGTAAGAGTGTAATAGTCAGTTTGGGCTGCTATAAGAATACTATATAGACTGGGTGGCTTAAACAACAAATATTTTTTTCTCACAGATCTGGTGTCTACGAAATCCAAGATCAAGGAGCTTGCAGATCCTGCATCTGAGAAGGGCCACTTCTTGGCTTGTAGGCAGCTGCTTTCTCACTGTATTCTCATGGGGCTGAGAGAGAGAAAGAGAGAGAGAGAGAGAGAGAGAGAGAGAGACAGAATGGAAGGATGGAGAAAAAAGCTTTCATATCCTCATCTCACTTCTTATAAGAGCACTGTATTAGTCAGGGTTCTCTAGAGAGACAGAATTAATAGGATAGATGTATCTATAAAGGGGAGTTTATTAAGGAGTATTAACTCACATGATCACAAGGTGAGGTCCCAAAATAGGCAAGCCAAGCTGAGGTGCAAGGAAGCCAGTCCAAGGCCCAAAGCTGAAGAATTTGGTGTCCAATGTTTGAGGGCAGAAAACATCCAGCACAGGAGAAAGATGTAGGTTCAGAGGTGAAGCCAGTCTAGTCTTTTCACGTTCTTCTGTCTGCTTTTAATCTGGCTACCCTGGCAGCTGATTAGATTGTACCTACCCAAATTTATGTTGGGTCTGCCTTTCCAAGTCCACTGACTCAAATGTTAATCTCCTTTGGCAACACCCTCACAGTCACACACAGGAACAATAATTTGCATCCTTCAATCCGATCAAGTTGACAATATTAACAATCACAGTCACTAACGTCATTCATGAGGGCTCCACTTTCACAGCTTAATTACCTCCCCCAAACCCCTCCTCCTTATACCATCACATTACAGGTTAAGATTTCAACGTGAAAATTTTGGAGAGACACATATATAACAATGAGATATCTAGAATAGGCAAATTCATAGAGATAGAAAGCAGAATAGAGGTTATCAGGGGCTGGGAAGAAATAATGTGGAGTATATTAGTCTGTTCTCATGTTGCTAATAAAGACATACCTAAGGCTTGGTAATTTATAAAGGAAAGAGGTTTAATTGACTCACAGTTCCACATGGCTGGGGAGGCCTCACAATCATGGCAGAAGGTGAAAGAGGAGCAAAGTAATGTCTTACATGGAGGCAAGCAAGAGAACATGTGCAGGGAAACTGCCCTTTATAAAACCATCAGATCTCATGAGACTTATTCACTCTCAGAAGAACAGCACAGGAAAGACCAGCCCCCATAATTGAATTACTGCCCACAAGGTCCCTCCCACAACATGTGGGAATTATGGGAGCTACAATTCAAGATGAGATTTAGGTGGGGACACAGCCAAACTATATCAGGGAGTGATTGTTTAAGGAGTTCAGAGTTTCTGTTTGGTATGATGAAGAAGTTCTGGAAATGGATAGTAGTGATGATTGTGCAAATGCAACTGAATTGTACACTTAAAAATGTTTTGAATGGCAAGTTTCATATTGTATATATTTTACCACAATTTTTAAAATACATATTTCTATGATTTCATTTTTTATTTCTAGTTGTGTAATTAATTTAAAGTAAGTTTAAAATAATTTTTAAATATCAAACATGTAATATTGACTGTATTGTCTTAGAAAAGCTATCCAGATAATAATTCAACATGTCATAAAAAATAATATAGCAATTTTTTACTTAGAACTTTTTTAAAGATTATTTCAAAAGAATATCAATTAAATCTTATTTTCTTATCATGACAGCTATCCCCATGTATTTTAAATATCAAATAAAGCATTCAGAAAAAATAAGGCACACAGATTCTGTAGCTAAAACTAGCTTGGCCAAAATTAATGCTAGTAGATGAGAGATTTCAATCTGAAAATAAATCTGTTTCTCCAATTCCAATGACTATTGTCATCTGCCACAATTTAGAGTACATCTAGAAGAAGATGAATATTTTTGATAAGAATTCTACACACCAGTGAAGATGTCACTGTCTAGTCTTGATTTGCAACCTAATATAAAATTTATTTTGGAAATAAAATAAATTATATTGGTTTTTTTCCCTGATTTTAAAAGACTGGCCTGTTTTCTTCTTAAGAGTTTTCTCTTACATGAGAAAAAAAGCAAAGTGGGTAAACGCTTAAAACACAAATGTTAACCACATCATAAAGAACTCTAAAGTGCGTTCTATTTAATCCATTCTTTTCCTAATACATGTAGGAGGAATATGGTCATTGCATTTCCAGAATAACAGAATTCGAAATATAGAGTGTGGCCAATTCTATAACGTGCATTTTAAATAATTATTTTAAGATCAGGAATGTGTCCACTGTGTTCTGGTGCCTTTGAATGTTAAGCTTCTTTCTTTGATAGGAATCTTACCGTTTGGCTCTGAATATCAAAGCACACCACGCTTTAGGGGAAAATGGATGGAAACTGTTTTTCAGTGTAAGATAGGATAGGAGAGAAAGTAAAAACAACCCATTCAATAACACAATGCAGAAAAAAATAAGAATATCTCTGAAAATGACTTCTACAATAGTCTAAATCCTTTGTAATCAATATTGGCTCTGACAGTCTTAACAGAAAGTTTCTGCACACTGAAAGCTGTGTCACAAGAATACGTAAATAACGTTCCTTTCCCACACACCTCACTATAACTGCAGTGCCTAACACCTATTTTTCCTAAGGAGCATCACTTCTAGTCTTAGAAGAGTTAAAGTGAAAATAAAACTTTTCATTTCATCATTTTATGAACATGAAAATACGTCAGTTTGGCTCCAGTATTACTGTTTTTTGGATTAGAGAAAAATAGGAATCATGTATTTTTTGAAGACTCTTGGACCACTGGTTTTGGGTATGATGAATATTTATTGCGGATTGTTTAGAATGCTCTGATAAAAATTAACTTTGTTCCATTCTAGCTCTTGACTCTCAAAGACAGGAAATTATCAAAAAAAAAAAAAAGAAAGATTGGCAAAGGAATATTGTAACATTTTGGCATGCCTTATATTCTTTCAGTGGACAGTCTTAGAATACACAGTTGACACATTTTAATTCCCAAACTAGGGTTATCCCAAGTAAATGCAGTAGAACACTAACCCAACTGTGCTATTCCTTTATATTTTTCCTTTATATTTTTTATACTTTTTCATAGATACTATGACTTAGACCAAACTTAACAGCAAAGCAATTCCTTGGCCTCATAGGTAAGGCTTTGATACTGAAAACTTGGTTTATTAGTTCATTCATAAACACCACATTTAGGATGCCACTATTTGTATTTGAAGTTGAACCATAACCATCTAAGTTAGAATATTTACCTATGAGACATATTAATATAGCTTCCTGATTGACTTGAACAAAAGCTTTAATAGTTTGGTTTGAAATATCTAGCTTATTGACATGAAACCATTACCATTTGGAAATCCTGGACCCATAGTTCACTCATTTACCATTGCAAGATCCTCTGAGGTTTCCACTTGGGAAAACTGGATGCCTAATTACCTAGTGTTAATGAAGCCCTAATTTTTACGACATAAACTGGTCTGGTTAACTTTGCCAACTTCACAACAATTAGGCATTATTAGTATTACCTATTGACTCATTGAGCTATAAAATAAAATTTAGCATTTCATTCTCAGCAACATTGAGGTATCCAAGAAGAAAATGTCATGACTTACGACAGGATCTTCTAGAAAAGTTAAATTAATGAATTCAGATGGCTTTTCAAATAAAGCCGTATTCTAAATATGAATTTTAAGTAGCATTAACTGCTATTAAGTAACATTAATTACTTTAAGCATCAACTTGCTTCTGAAGATTTTAATTTTTATCACAATTAAGTAGCAGAATTAATAAGAGAAATTATAGATTAGTGACTTTTATTCAAAAGTGGTGGAACCACTGGCAGTATACCAGAGTTCTCACTCAGAACAACTAAAATCAGCAACATCACAGAAGAGCTGAACAACACTCTTTTTTTTTTTTTATTATACTTTAAGTTTTAGGGTACATGTGCACAACGTGCAGGTTAGTTACATATACATACATGTGCCATGTTGGTGTGCTGCACCCATTAACTCATCATTTAACATTAGGTATATCTCCTAATGCTATCCCTCCCCCTCCCCACCCCACAACAGGCCCCAGTGTGTGATGTTCCCCTTCCTGTGTCCATGTGTTCTCATTGTTCAATTCCCACCTATGAGTGAGAACATGCAGTGTTTGGTTTTTTGTCCTTGCAATAGTTTGCTGAGAATGATGGTTTCTAGCTTCATCCATGTCCCTACAAAGGACATGAACTCATTCTTTTTTATGGCTTCATAGTATTATTTGGTGTATATGTGCCACATTTTCTTAATCCAGTCTATCCTTGTTGGACATTTGGCTTGGTTCCAAGTCTTTGCTATTGTGAATAGTGCCACAATAAACATACGTGTCCATGTGTCTTTATAGCAGCATGATTTATAATCCTTTGGGTATATACCCAGTAATGGGATTGCTGGGTCAAATTGTATTTCTAGTTCTAGATCCCTGAGGAATTGCCACACTGACTTCCACAATGGTTGAACTAGTTTACAGTCCCACCAACAGTGTCAAAGTGTTCCTATTTCTCCACATCCTCTCCAGCACCTGTTGTTTCCTGACTTTTTAATGATTGCCATTCTAACTGGTGTGAGATGGTATCTCATTGTGGTTTTGATTTGCATTTCTCTGATGGCTAGTGATGACGAGCATTTTTTCATGTGTCTTTTGCCTGCATAAATGTCTTCTTTTGAGAAGTGTCTGTTCATGTCCTTCGCCCACTTGTTGATGGGGTTGTTTGTTTTTTTCTTGTAAATTTGTTGGAGTTCATTGTATATTCTGGATATTAGCCCTTTGTCAGATAAGTAGATTGCAAAATTTTTCTCCCATTCTGTAGGTTGCCTGATCACTCTGATGGTAGTTTCTTTTGCTGTGCAGAAGCTCTTTAGTTTAATTAGATCCCATTTGTCAATTTTGGCTTTTGTTGCCATTGCTTTTGGTGTTTTAGACATGAAGTCCTTGCCCATGCCTATGTCCTGAATGGTATTGCCTAAGTTTTCTTGTAGGGGTTTTATGGTTTTAGGTCTAACATGTAAGTCTTTAATCCATCTTGAATTAATTTTTGTATAATGTGTAAGGAAGGGATCCAGTATCAGCTTTCTACATATGGCTAGCCAGTTTTCCTAGCACCATTTATCAAATAGGGAATCTTTTCCCCATTTCTTGTTTTTGTCAGGTTTGTCAAAGATCAGATGGTTGTAGATATGCGGCATTATTTCTGAGGGCTCTGTTCTTTCCCATTGGTCTATATCTCTGTTTTAGTACCAGTACCATGCTGTTTTGGTTACTGTAGCCCTGTAGTTTAGTTTGAAGTCAGGTAGCGTGATGCCTCCAGCTTTGTTCTTTTCGCTTAGGATTGACTTGGCAATGCGGGCTCTTTTTTGGTTCCATATGAACTTTAAAGTAGTTTTTTCCAATTCTGTGAAGAAAGTCATTGGTAGCTTGATGGGGATGGCATTGAATCTATAAATTACCTTGGGCAGTATGGCCATTTTCATGATATTGATTCTTCCTGCCCATGAGCATGAAATGTTCTTCCATTTGTTTGTATCCTCTTTTATTTCATTGAGCAGTGGTTTGTAGTTCTCCTTGAAGAGGTCCTTCACATCCCTTGTAAGTTGGATTCCTAGGTATTTTATTCTCTTTGAAACAATTGTGAATGTGAGTTCACTCATGATTTGGCTCTCTGTTTGTCTGTTATTGGTGTATAAGAATGCTTGTGATTTTTGCACATTGATTTTGTATCCTGAGAGTTTGCTGAAGTTGCCTATCAGCTTAAGGAGATTTTGGGCTGAGATGATGGGATTTTTCTAGATGTACAATCATGTCATCTGCAAACAGGGACAATTTGACTTCCTCTTTTCCTAATTGAATACCCTTTATTTCCTTCTCCTGCCTGATTGCCCTGGCCAGAACTTCCAACACTATGTTGAATAGGAGTGGTGAGAGAGGGCATCCCTGTCTTGTGCCAGTTTTCAAAGGGAATGCTTCCAGTTTTTGCCCATTCAGTATGATATTGGCTGTGGGTTTGTCATAGATAGCTCTTATTATTTTGAGATACATCCCATCAATAAATAATTTATTGAGAGTTTTTAGCATGAAGGGTTGATGAATTTTGTCAAAGGCCTTTTCTGCATCTATTGAGATAATCATATGGTTTTTGTCATTGCTTCTGTTTATATGCTGGATTATGTTTATTGATTTGCATATGTTGAACCAGGCTTGCATCCCAGGGATGAAGCCCACTTGATCTTGGTGGATAAGCTTTTTGATGTGCTGCTGGATTCGCTTTGCCAGTATTTTATTGAGGATTTTTGCATTGAGGTTCATCAGGGATATTGGTCTAAAATTCTCTTTTTTTGTTGTGTCTCTGCCAGGCTTTGGTATCAGGATGATGCTGGCCTCATAAAATGAGTTAGGGAGGATTCCCTCTTTTTCTATTGATTGGAATAGTTTCAGAAGGAATGGTACCAGCTCCTCCTTGTATGTCTGGTAGAATTCAGCTGTGAATATATCTGGTCCTGGACTTTTCTTGGTTAGTAAGCTATTAATTATTGCCTCAATTTCAGAGCCTGTTATTGGTCTATTCAGAGATTCAACTTCTTCCTAGTTTAGTCTTGGGAGGGGGTATGTGTCGAGGAATTCATCCATTTCTTCTAGATTTTCTAGTTTATTTGCGTAGAGGTGTTTATAGTATTCTCTGATGGTAGTTTGTATTTCTGTGGGATCAGTGGTGATATCCCCTTTATCATTTTTTATTGCATCTACGTGATTCTTCTCTCTTTTCTTCTTTATTAGTCTTGCTAGCGGTCTATCAATTTTGTTGATCTTTCAAAAAACCAGCTCCTGGATTCTTTGATTTTTTGAAGGGTTTTTTATGTCTCTATTTCCTTCAGTTCTGCTCTGATCTTAGTTATTTCTTGCCTTCTGCTAGCTTTTGAATGTGTTTGCTCTTGCTTCTCTAGTTCTTTTCATTGTGATGTTAGGGTGTCAATTTTAGATCTTTCCTGTTTTCTCTTGTGGGCATTTAGTGCTACAAATTTCCCTCTACACACTGCTTTGAATGTGTCCCAGAGATTCTGGTATGTTGTGTCTTTGTTCTCATTGGTTTCAAAGAACATCTTAATTTCTGCCTTCATTTTGTTATATACCCAGTAGTCATTCAGGAGCAGGTTGTTCAGTTTCCATGTAGTTGAGCGGTTTTGAGTGAGTTTCTTAATCCTGAGTTCTAGTTTGATTGCACTGTGGTCTGAGAGACAGTTTGTTATAATTTCTGTTCTTTTACATTTGCTGAGAGTGCCTTACTTCCAACTATGTGGTCCATTTTGGAATAGGTGTGGTGTGGTGCTGAAAAGAATGTACATTCTGTTGATTTGGGGTGGAGAGTTCTGTAGATGTCTATTAGGTCCACTTGGTGCAGAGCTGAGTTGAATTCCTGGATATGCTTGTTAACTTTCTGTCTTGTTGATCTGTCTAATGTTGACAGTGGGGTGTTAAAGTCTCCAATTATTATTCTGTGGAAGTCTATGTCTCTTTGTAGGTCACTAAGGACTTGCTTTATGAATCTGGGTGATCATGTATTGGGTGCATATATATTTAGGATAGTTAGCTCTTCTTCTTGACTTGATCCCTTTACCATTATGTAATGGCCTTCTTTGTCTCTTTTGATCTTTGTTGGTTTAAAGTCTGCTTTATCAGAGACTAGGATAGCAACCCCTGCCTTTTTTTGTTTTCCTTTTGCTTGGTAGATCTTCCTCCATCCCTTTATTTTGAGCCTATGTGTGTCTCTGCACATGAGAAGTGTTTCCTGAATACAGCACACTGATGGGTCTTGACTCTTTATCCAATTTGCCAGTCTCTGTCTTTTAATTGGAGGATTTAGCCCATTTACATTTAAGGTTAATATTGTTATGTGGGAATTTGATCCTGTCATTATGATGTTAGCTGTTTATTTTGCTCATTAGTTGGTATAGTTTCTTCCTAGCCTCGATGGTCTTTACAATTTGGCATGTTTTTGCAGTGGCTGGTACTGGTTGTTCCTTTCCATGTTTAGTGCTCCCTTCAGGAGCTCTTTTAGGGCAGGCCTGGTGATGACAAAAATCTCTCAGCATTTGCTTGTCTGTAAAGGATTTTATTTCTCCTTCACTTATGAAGCTTAGTTTGGCTGGATATGAAATTCTGGGTTGAAAATTCTTTTCTTTAAGAATGTTGAATATTGATCCCCACTCTCTTCTGGCTTGTAGAGTTTCTGCTGAGAGATCAGCTGTTAGTCTGATGGGCTTCCCTTTGTGGGTAACCCAACCTTTCTCTCTGGCTGCCCTTAACATTTTTTCCATCATTTCAACTTTGAAGAATCTGACAATTATGTGTCTTGGAGTTGCTATTCTCGAGGAGTATCTTTGTGGCATTCTCTGTATTCCCTGAATTTGAATGTTGGCCTGCCTTGCTAGATTGGGGAAGTTCTCCTGGATAATATCCTGCAGAGTGTTTTCCAACTTGGTTCCATTCTCCCCGTTACTTTTTGGTACACCAATCAGATGTAGATTTGGTCTTTTCATATAGTCCCATATTTCTTGGAGGCTTTGTTCATTTCTTTTTATTCTTTTTTCTCTGAACTTCTCTTCTCACTTCACTTCATTCATTTGATCTTCCATCACTGATATCCTTTCTTCCAGTTGATCAAATCAGCTACTGCGGCTTGTGCATTCATCACGTAGCTCTCATGCCATGGTTTTCAGCTCCATCAGGTCTTTTAAGGACTTCTCTGCATTGGTTATTCTAGTTAGCCATTCATCTAATTTTTTTTCAAGGTTTTTAACTTCTTTGCCATGGGTTTGAACTTCCTCCTTTAGCTCGGAGTAGTTTGATCGTCTGAAGTCTTCTTCTCTCAGCTCATCAAAGTCATTCTCCATCCAGCTTTGTTCCATTGCTGGTGAGGAGCTGCGTTCCTTTGGAGGAGGAGAGGCGCTCTGATTTTTAGAGTTTCCAGTTTTTCTGCTCTGTTTTTTCCCCGTCTTTGTGGCTTTATCTATCTTTTGTCTTTGATGATGGTGATGTACAGATGGGGTTTTGGTGTGGATGTACTTTCTGTTTGTTAGTTTTCCTTCTATCAGGCAGGACCATCAGCTGCAGGTCTGTTGGAATTTGCTGGAGGTCCACTCCAGACCCTGTTTGCCTGGGTATAAGCAGCGGAGTCTGAAGAACAGTGGATATTGGTGAACCACAAATGTTGCTGCCTGATCGTTCCTCTGGAAGTTTTGTCTCAGAGGAGTACCCGGCCGTGTGAGGTGTCAGTCTGCCTCTACTGGGGGGTGCCTCTCAGTTAGGCTACTTGGGGGTCAGGGACCCACTTAAGGGGGCATTCTGTCCATTCTCAGATCTCCAGCTGCGTGCTGGGAGAACCACTACTTTCTTCAAAGCTGTCAGACAGGGACATTTAAGTCTGCAGAGGATTCTGCTGCCTTTTGTTTGGCTATGCCCTGCCCCCAGAGGTGGAGTCTACAGAGGCAGGCAGGCCTCCTTGAGCTGCGGTGGGCTCCACCAAGTTTGAACTTCCCAGCCGCTTTGTTTACCTTCTCAAGCCTCGGCAATGGCGGGTGCCCCTCCCCCAGCCTTGCTGCTGCCTTGCAGTTTGATCTCAGACTGCTGTGCTAGCAATGAGCGAGGCTCCGTGGGCGTAGGACCCTTCAAACCAGGCACGGGATATAATCTCCTGGTGTGCCATTTGCTAAGACCGTTGGAAAAGCGCAGTATTAGGGTGGGAGTGACCCGATTTTCCAGGTGCCATCTGTCACCCCTTTCTTTGACTAGGAAAGGGAATTCCCTGACCCCTTGCATTTCCCGGGTGAGGCGATGCCTCGCCCTGCTTTGACTCACGCTTGGTGTGCTGCACCCACTGTCCTGCACCCACTTTCCGACACTCCCCAGTGAGATGACCCCGGTACCTCAGTTGGAAATGCAGAAATCACCCAACTTCTGCGTTGCTCATGCTGGGAGCTGTAGACTGGAGCTCTTCCTATTAGGCCACCTTGGCTCCACCCCCCTGAACAACACTCTTAAGCAATTTACCCTAATGACATTTATTGAACACTGCACCAATAATGACAATAAATACTCTTTGTGAGTCCACACAGGACATTTACCATAAGATGAGTCTATGATAAGTCTTCAAATAAACTTAAACAAATTGTATAGGATTTAAATCACTCAAATTATGTTTTTGAAACATAATATAATTAATTAAAAATAGTCTAATAAAAATAACTGGAATATTCCTAGCTTCTTGGAAATTAAGCAGTACATATTAAATAAAACTATGTGTCAAGAACTCACCAAAAATTAGAAAATCTTTTCAATGAAATAATAATAAAGGTCCAGTATATCAAATCTTGCATGATACATCTGATAGAGTGCTTAGCAGCATATTTGTGACTTTAAAATGCATATATTAGGAAACAACAAAGGCTGAGAATCAATGAATTAAGCATCCATCTTGAGAAATTGACAAAAGAAGAGTAAATTAATCCCCAGAAAGCAAAAGGAAGGAAATAATAAAGAACAAAAAATAAATCTGACAATTTAGATGAAAAGTAGACATTTCTTGAAAACCACCAATTACCAATCCAACGCAAGAAACCCTATGTTTAGATGGTTTTAGCAGTGAGTTCTTCCAAATATTTAAGGAAGAAAGTGTAAAATAAAAAAAGTAGAAGAAAAATTTCTTACCTCATTTTATAAGATTAGCATAACTTTGATACAAAATCTCACAATGATATTATAAGAAATAAAATTTTAATAAATCTTTCTCATCAACAACATGTAAAATCCTCAACAAAATATTATATCAATCTAGGGATATATAAAAAGGATAAGAGAATACAATTAAATGAGGTTTATTCTGTGAATACAAAGAATATTGGTTAACATTTGAGAAAAATGTAATTTGATGCATTAGCCACAAAAAGAGAAGAAATTAATATCCCTAAATGCATAGACAACTTGTGATAAAATTCAACATTCTTTACTAGAAACAAAACAAAAACCTCTAGCCTAAGTTGAATAGACAGGGATTTTCTTAATCTGATAGTAGCTTTTAAAAATAAATCAAAGATTGTACAAAATGATGAAATGTAAAAAAATTGTCCCCTCCAAAATAGGGAATGAGACAAAGATGGCTGCTCTTCCCATTTCAAGTCAACATTACACTGGAAGTCCAAGCCAGTGCAATCAGGGAGGGAGAATAAAAGACAGTGGGAAAGAAAGACAACATAATTTTTGGCAGACAACATGATAGTATCTGTAAAAAATCTGAAAGAACCTATGCAGAAAGTTTAAAAATAAGCAAAACTCACCGATGATGATAGAAGTCAGGTTAATGACTATTTCTGGGGGTGGTAGGGTATGGTTTCTGGAAGAAACATGTAATAATATCCTGTTTGTTGATCTTAGTGCAACCTACACTGAAGCTTTAATTTTTGAAAATGAATTGAGCTGCACAGTTAGGTTTGGTGCACTTTTATATATGTATGCTAAGCTATAAATAATTATATATCATAGGTAACATTTCTTGAGTCACTGAGATTATCACGTGTCAAAAATTTTGTCACTTAATCTTGGACATAATTTCAGGAGGTGGATCCTATTTTAGCCCCATTTTACAAATAAAAAATCCGTAGTTTGAACACAGATCTTTATGATGCCAAATTCATGTTCTTTATCACAAAATGTAATGTTTTTAATGCTTCTTAATTCAATGTTTTCTGAATCTCTCTTGACAATTCTTTCCGTTCCAGATTTTGGGCGATAAACACAGGTTAAACTCTAATTCAAAATGTGAATTTACAACAGCCATGAAAATTATTACATGCCTGAAAAACCCATGTTTAAGGAGATAATACTGAGTGCACATTGCATTTTACTTGCATTCATGCAAGATTGACTCAACCTGTCAAATGTTTGAAAATCAAAGCCAGACTTATGGCCCAAACATATATTAAATCATGTGCACAAATGATTCATAACAAAAGCCAATCCACCCCCAGTGTGCTAGCAGCCAAGAACAAATCACAGTTATGCCTAAATCTGAAGAACTACTCTTCTCATATATTGTTAATGATGAGATTACAAAGGCAGCAAAGCACCGGAGATGAATGGGTGACCATAAAATATAAGACGTATGCTCCAGTAAGACCCGAAGTAATTGAAAAAAATTAGATCATGGTGGCACATCTTTCTATACCATCTAGTTTTTTCTACCTCCCAGCAGAAGTTGATATAAGAAGAGAAAATATTTGCTGGTCGGCACACAAGGCAGTGAAACCTTCCCACTTTTGTGCAGATGGAAGCTAACTTAATCTGGTTCATATGTTTTAAGCACATCTTAAAATAAAAACTGGAGGCTCACTTGTGCCCATAAAAAACTGCATAAAGCTGCAGAAGTAGGCAAGCAATTTAAATTTCCAAAATGTTTTTGCAATTCTTTCTTCATTCCAACAGGGTAATAATGCTACCATTTTCACTTCATCATTTGATTATTTTTAAAATCCACATTTACATTTCAAATATTATATCTGACCTAATTATTGCAAGAAATGTTGAAGTTGCCTCAAAAAATCAATTACAATACTCAGTCTGTTTTGTTTCCACTTACAAATTCATTATTTGAATGTGCTATCAGAATTCATAGCAGTAGAGTTTCCAGCTATAATACCTGGATGGCATCTGTTATTTTCTCTTGCAAGAGAGTCCTTGGAGTACTTTGGCAAACGTGGTCATGAAAATATACAGTAACTATTTTTTAGCATTATCCTACATAACTGGACAATGCTTACCTAACAATTGCTTTTAGATCTTTATTGAATTTTAAAATAACATGACACTCATACTCATAGGTATTATTATTAATTATTATTCAGGAAAAACAGAAAGGCAAGCACTAAATTTTGGTTGTTTTTTTTTTTTTTTTTTAAGAATTGGGTCCTGGCTGGTGTGGTGTTTACAACTAATTGATTACAACCAATTATATATTTCTTTGTCCATTCTCTTATTGATTCACTTGACTAGCCTTAAAAAGAGAGAGAGAGAGAAGATGAAGAGGAAGAAGAAGAGGAAAAGGAAGAGGAAGAGGAAGAAGAAGGAGAAGGAGAAGGAGGAGAAGGAGAAGAAGAAGAAGAAGAAGAAGAAGAAGAAGAAGAAGAAGAAGAAGAAGAAGAAGAAGAAGAATTGGCTCCTTTATCTACTATTCTATATAACTAGTTGGCATGTTTCTACTTTAGCCAAAAAAAGGGGGGGAAGGATGTGCTGAAAATAATTTTGGCTTCATCTTAGTTTATTATTTTAACCTCTGCTTAATGCAGTCTTCAGGAAGGCAGGTTTCATGTGGGTTGTATTCAAATTTATTATTACATTTTAGCACAGTGCCTATTGTATAATAGATGCTCACTGAGTTTCAGCTGAATGCATGAATGAGTTGGCCATTCAATGTTATCTTTGAAAGCTCACAATAGGAAAGAGAAGATTGTATTTGTGTCAGAGGCCACAATATTACCAAGAGTCAGGATACTCCCAGGTTCAATGGTACATTAGGAGGACTCACAAAACTCAGCAAATAGTCATACCCATGGTCATGACTTTTTACAGCAAAAGGACACAGTGCATAATCAGCACTGGGAAAGGACTCATGGGGTGAAGTTCTTAGGACAATAGGCACAAGCTTCCCAGAATCTTCTCCCAATGGAGTCACGCAGGATGTGTTTAATTCCCAAGCAGAAAGATGTGACTTCACACTTAAAATGCTGTCTACCAGGGACGCTCATAAGGACTCAGAGCCCAGGGTTACTGGGGGTAGGCACTGTCTGCCTAGCATACACCAACATTCCAGACTCCCCAAAAGAAAGCAGGTATTCCTTATAAACCATTTTTTTTTTGCGTAGACAATTTAGGCACAATGGGGCATTCTTATCAGTTCTAGGAATAGTGAGAACCCTTCTGAAATCCCAGTTCCCAAATGCCTGCCAAGGGCTAACATTGCTTGCAGGTTTTTCTAATGATAGCAGTCTCTGGTCTGCTACGTTTACCCTTTTCTACATAGTGCTCATTTGCTCATTTCAACTATTCATGCAAAGATAGTGCATCTCAACTTTTCTATTTGATTACTTTTTCCCATTTTAACAGAGTCCTGTGAAAAATCCCATTTATATCCAATATCACTGATTGCTAATATTTTAACTTAACATTAAGTAACATAACTAGTAATATGTGCCCCACTTAGGTTGATGTGATAAGAACAATATTCAATGGCACAAAACTAATAAAAAGCTAATTTCCTTACTGGACTTCTCTACTGTTATGAGTTATTTTTATGGTGGTCTTAGGAGGGGGCATTTTTCCAATTTCTACTTATTTTAAAAGGCAAAAACATTATTTTATTAATATTGTATCTTAAATCATTTAGGCTTTTTGTAAATTATCAATGCTAAAAATATTGGTTGAATTCTGTGAATAGAAAGAATATGCTCTTTGAAATATAAATGTTGTTATTGGCTGAAACTTTAATAAAGTCCTTTAAAAGAATAGCTTTCCTGCCTACAAGTTATCTTATGGTTAAGGGCATAGATTTTTTTTTTTACTAATAAATTAATAAAAATGAGCCTAAGCTTCCAATGGAAAATGCATGTGTTTAAGGGAGATTTTAATGAAGAAATTGTCTTCTGCTGGGAAAGATGGGATAACTGTGGTAAATTGCCTTAATAGAACCAATACTTTACCCTGAGAGAAATATATGCCATTGCCATGTAACTATGCAGTCCTTCCCATCAAGAGTACATTGTTCTACCCTAGAACCTGGATTTCATCATATGATGTGTTTTGGACAACAGGATGCCATCAATCATGATGCAAGTAGAAGCTTGAAAAATTATTTACCAGATTGGGTTACGTTCTTATCCTTCTGCCATTGTCAAGAGAAGGATGTTCCTGTGCTGGCCCACTGCTCTAAGGAGAAAGATGAGTGACATGTGGAGCAATGCTGAGTGTTCCCATCCAAGCCCAGTCTAATGCAGCTGACCCCCTGCCAACTCCACATGCCTGAGTGAGCCAAGCCAAAATTAGAAGATCCACCCAGGTGAGCCTGGCCTAGATTAGCTGAACCATATTGATTCATGAGAAATAAATGCTTATTTTTGTATGCCACTTGACTGTTAATAAAAGTCATGTAAAAGTCATGGAGGCAAATTATAGGAGACATTGTAGCCAAGGCACAAAGATGAGAGTTTGGACCAATACTGAGCATTCATAGCTGCCCGAAAGCAAATACCAGGTATCTCCTGAAAATGATATTTACATTTTTAAAGCATTTTTGTTGGATCAGTTAAAACCAAAACAAAAAAATATTTTGCAAGGCCATTTAAAGATAGGGCTTGAGTCATTCCAGCTTGGGCATTAAAAGTTAATTTGATATCATTGTATATTTATAGACTACAGAAATTTTGATTCTCTGGTTACATTCTATTCTTCTATTAACTTCTTATTTAAATCTTGAATCATTTTTTTTTTCCACCACAGACCAGCATGGGAGAGTGAACACAGAAAGTGTGGCAAACAGTTCCATTATAGTGTGGTGAAAAATTCCCAAAGTCAGTCTTGAGTTTCACCAGTAGAGGAGTGAGTAACAGGAGAAGAAACAAAACTGAAAGACAAGGAATTGATATTTTCATCCTATTCCAGGTCTCTATCATCAAGGGGGATATAAAGGCAAGGCACAGAAAAAGGAAGTAAGAACTGTCCTATTATGGCCACAAGTTCTCAATTTCCCAAAGCTTTTCCTGCTCAGACATCCCTATCAGCTAACAATAATAAGGCAATCTGCTGAAATAACTAGTTTCTTATAAACTCTAAAGTCATTTAGGGCAAAGCCCTATTTGATGATGTTGGTTAGGGTAGCACAATCTGTCACAACAAATTAACTCCTGCATTTCAATAGCTTAAAACAGTCAATGTGTATTTATTGTTCACTGAATAGTCCCATGTGGGAAGTTTTCCTTCTGAGTTTGTTCTTCAAGGACTCAGCCTTTGTCCATCATATGGTTCCATCATTTCCTATGGCCTGGGAACCCTTTGCAACCAGCTACTGTACAGGAAAGAAAGAATGGAGAAAGTAACCTGCTTCACAAAAGCCCCAGCCCAGAGGTCACAGTTTCTCTGATAGTCCACTTTCAAGAACTAGTCACATGGACTCACAAAGATGCAGAGGAAGTTAAGATGTGTAATTTCATGCTGTACAGAAGCCTTTTAGCAACAACTTTGTAGAATTGAAGTGGAAGCACGAATTTTGGGTGGATCCTAGCCATCATGCTTGCCACAATGATACAACTATGTTTTGCCCATAGAAAACATCACAAGTCTTAAATGTAGTGAGTTCTCAATACATATTGGTAGAATAACTAAATTAATTATTTGAACTCATGCACCTGTTCTTGTCCTGAAGTGTTAATACAGCTATTATTGGTGTATTTGTTGGCTTTCACTTTGTATTTGCTCTGTACCAAAGGCTAAGCTCATTAACTAGCTGTGAGAATTGCTGTTACCAGTGTTCCCATTTTGCAGATGAGGAAACTGAGATGTAACAGTAAAGTAGCTTGCCCAAGGTCCCAGAGCTATTAGATATTAAAATCAGAATTCAAGTCTGTCTGACTCCACAACTGAAACTTTTTAAGGCACTGAATGACTTCTCCACAGCTATTAGCTTAATCACATGCTGATTTGTAACAAAACATTTTCCATTATGGGCATCTCTTTGCTAGTTATTGCAGTCTCTTTGAGGAGATCATTGAACCCTTTAATAAATAGTTCCCTGCCTAATCTTTCACTGAAAACTGGGTAAGTTGTGAAGGCCTTAAATTGTTGCTGGATCCAGAGTGAGGATCAAAATCTTAGTGAAAATGCAATATTACATTCTTTGTGACATCACATTTGAGCAGATGAACTTTTTTATGACAGTTTAAAACAACTTTTTCCAACATATATCCTTGGCCCGGGCAATTTACAAATATTAGGTGTTACAGGATATTTTTACAAGAATTATTTTATTTTTGAAATGAGCAGATATTGTTTATCTTAATATAAAAGTTCAATAAAAAATAGGATGAACTATTTATGTTAACTGTATCAGTGGATAATTCATATTAGCTGTCATATCAGACAAATCTTCAAAACCATAGTGGCTCCTGGGTGCCTTTCTCTCAGACATAAAATCTAGTGGGTTGAGTACCCCTCTTTCATCTTAGAGCCATGTTACCATGGCTTGTAAGGCTGCAAAGGCAGGAAAAGAGACATGGGGAGGAGGCACATTCTCTTAACTGTCTTGGCCCCCAGCTGACACATCTATTTTGGGCATTATCCATTGGCTGGAACTAGTGATGTTGCCCTAGCCTCACTCCAAGGAAGACCAAGAAATGTAGGGGAGCACAGGCCTATTTGGCAGGTACAGTTTCTGCTGTGTTCATGGCAAAAACAGGCACCCAACTTTCTTGAGAGCTACTCCAGTAATTTTTCCATGTATTATAGTGCTCCTGCAAAATGGGCTTATGGAGCTCAAAAGAAATTATCTATGATCCTTTCAGGTTTGTTTATCAAGACTAATTTTAAATAAAAATAAAATTCTTATAGAATTGTGGTGGCAGACATTATCATGAAATTCTCAATCTTGTGACTCTGAATTTGAATGTCCTGACATTGACTTAGGAAATTTATTGTATAAGCTCCAAGTGATTTACAGCCCAAACTGGAGCCCTGAAGCTTGATAACAGCATATATGATTTAGTAGGTTCTTCTATAAAGCATTACATATTTTTTCTCTTTGGATATGTATTCTGTTTCTTAGGTTCTACAATAAAACCAAACTATCTTACACATAAAGCTTTCTGCAGGTATATGTTGTGATCTTGCAGGCATCTTTTTTAACACTAACTGAAAAATCAACACAATGCAAGTGATGACATAGCTGCCTATTTTCCCTTTCTTTTCTTTGATGATAAGGATCACACAAAATGCATTACAGTAAAATACTGAATAAATTTTTTCCAGCTTTAGCAAGTTTTGTTAATTAATGGTACACAAGGTAGAATGGTATTTTCAAGTCCCATTTTTAAGAAAATTGGTAGCATCATATTTCCTAATAATTTGGACTTATTATCCATCATTGATCTCTCAAGTTATTTATAGGAAAATTACTCTTTTTACAAGAAAACAGATTCTTCCAACTCCGCTCACTTTGATTAGGAAAGATGTCCCTGAGAGAGTTTAGAAACTCTTGCAAAGACTCTCATATGTTAACCTCTTTTCATTATAATGAAATATAGCCTGTTATTCGTATGTACTAGTGGACAAGAGATATTATTTTAAGCAAGTCCTCAATCATGGGCTATGGAAAATTTTATAATGATTTGCCCAAACCAAATGATTACAAGCATTTCTTATGGTGGCATAATTTTATCTGGAATTTCATTAGAATGACATTACCTTGGCCCTTAAATAACATTTGTTTTTCTTGACTGTCAAATACCAGATTATATTATTAATAGTTAAATGATGAGCTCAAAAACTTTCATTTATATATCATTTGATGTCTGTATTCCCTAGGCACTAAGGAGAGGTTTCAGAAGTGTTGATGTCTTGTGTTTTATTTATGCCTAAAAGAGGGCGCAGTCTGTCTGGTTTGGGAAAGCTAGAAAATGGTCAGAATTCCTCAGAAAAGATCAGGCCATTTGAAACAGTCCATGGCAAGTGGCATTCAGTGTGGAGACATCTGTTGTAACTCCCTCAGTATTAGTAGGTGAACTTTTAGTATTTACTGGCTGCAAAAACATATAACGGGAAAAGTTTCAAATATGAAAAAAATTTAAGAGAGTTGTTAAGACATTTAATTTAGACAAATTGAAGAATTTAAAGCATGAGAAATTAGAGGAGAAAATAATTTAGTTAGAATTTGCAATTCTTCTCACTCTTCGCACTCAGTAAATCATGTCCTGAAATGATCATGAGATAGAAGAAATGAAGATGCTCTTTTCTCACTCTTCTCAGTTGCCAATGGCTTCTCATAGTGTGAGCATCTGGTCACACAGGCAGTGATTCTAGTGAACAAGATTAAGTACTTATACAATATTTTTCCTAAACACCTGCTAACATCTTTATCTATTCTTCAAACATCAAAACAGCACTGGAGGAAAAACTGACCAGGTTGGGCCTACTGAGGAACTATATGCCTGTAAACTCTATGAGAAACGTGGCAGACTTTCAAAGTTAATTTTAACAACACCTAATTTTCACTTTACTAAGAATTTGAGAGTCTAAGAGGATGTAATTGATACCATATATTTGTCATAACAGGATCCATATCCACATCATTATTCACTCTGAGTGGGCAAAAGTGTTTGTAGCTACTTTGCAGACTTCTTGAATTATCCAGGGGGTGTGATGGACAGTGTGAGAACTACTAATCCAGAGGTCAATGCTAAAAAGGCCAATATGGACTGGCTGAGCATGTTTAAAACGCATAGCCCTCAGGATTTAGCCACTTTCCCAGCAAAGCAAGTCAATAGCCTACTCACAAGAAACATTCACCTCTGCATGGATAGGGGTACACAAATGAACATGACATTATTCTCTAATTCAGTCAATCTTCAGCAAAGAGCATACAGATTGCCCACGACTAATATTCAAGTCTTGGAGTGACAGCAATAAGGGCTCAACCCCTTACTACTGGAGAATTAAATGTAAGTCACTTAATTCTGAGCTTCACTATTTGCATTTTAAAATAAGATCTTGTGAGAACTCAACTAAAGCAATTATGTAAAGTGCTAGAACCCAGTAAATAAAGTAGTTGCAAAGGTAAGGCAGATTTATGTATACTGATTTGAGGTGATTGCCTAAATATTGTTAATTTTTTAAAAAACCAAGGTTTAAAACTATATTTAGTTTTATAAAATCAGTAAAAAAATGGAAATATCTGTATATATATATATATGTGTGTGTGTGTATATACATATACACACCTATATATGCATTTGATTGTATAGACCAGATTTTGGTGAGCTTTTCCTGTAAAAGAACAAATGACAAATATTTTGGACTTCGTGGAGCAGATGGTTTCTGTTGCAACTACTCTGTTGTAGAAAATAAGCAGACATGCACAATACATAAATGGATGGGTGTGGCTGTGTTCCATGAAAACTTTATTTAGCCCAAGGGCTATTCCGTGTCTCTGGAAGGATAAACAACACCTCAGCAATAACAGTTGACTCTGGAGAAATAATCCAGATGGATGAAAGAGACAGAGATTCACTTTTCATCTTATACATTGTTATAACTTTGAATTACATACAATGTACTGCATTTAAACAATAAATAAATTTACCTTTGGGAATGCAGGTATATTTCTCAGATATTGTGGATTCTGCTGCAGACCACCACAATAAAGCAAATATCAAAATAAACCAAATCACATGAATTTTTGGTTTCCCACCATGTATAAAAGTTATGTTTATGCTATACTGTTGCCTATTAGGTATGTAATAGCATTTTGTTTTAAAAAAGTACATACCTTAATTTAAAAATACTATAGTGCTTAAAAATGCTAATGATTATATAAGCCTTCAGTGAGTTGTAATCTTTTTACTGATGGAGGGTGTTGCCTCAATGTCGATGGCTGCTGACTGATCAGGGTGGTGGTTGCTGAAAGCTGGAGGGGCTGTGGCAATTTATTAGAATAAGACAACAATAAAGTTTGCAGCATTGATTGACTCTTAATTTCACTGAAGATTTCTCTGTAGCATGTGATGCTGTTTGATAGCCACAGTAGAACATCTTTGATATTTGAAGTCAATCCTTTCAAATCCTGCTACTGCTTTATCAATTAAATTTAAGTGATATTCTAAATCCTTTGTTGTCATGTCAAAAATGTTCACACCATCTTCTCCAGAAGTAGATTTCATCTCAAAAAACCACTTTATTTTCTCATCCATAAGAAGCAATTAAACTCATCCATTAAACTTTGATCAAGAGACTGAAAAAATTTAGTCACATATTCAGGCTCCACTTCTAATTCTACTTCTCTTGCTATTTCCACCACATCTGCAGTTTCCTTCACCGAAGCCTTGAATCTCTCAAAGTCATCCATGAGGGTTGGAATCACCTTCTTCCAAAAGTCCTGTTAATGTTGGTATTTTGACCTCTTCTCATGAATCATGAATGTTCTTAATGGCATCTAGAATACTGGATCCTTTTCGGAAGGTTTTTCGTTTACTTTGCCCAGATCAATCATTGGAATCACCATCTATGGCACCAAAAGACTTATGAAATGTTTTTAAATCATAAGACTTGAAAGTAGAAATTACTCTTGAATCCCTGGGTACAGAATGGTTGTTGTGTTAACCGGCATAAAACCAACATTAATCTACTTGTATATCTTCATCAAAGCTCTTCTTAGGTGACTAAGTGTATTGTCAATAAGCAGTAATATTTTAAAAGAAATCTTTTTTCTGAGCTATAGTTCTCGACAGTGGGTTTAAAATATTCAGCAAACTATACTGTAAACAGATGTGCTGTCATCCAGGATTTGTGATTCCATTTATTTTTTATTATTATTTTTTATTTTGTTTTGAGATGGAGTCTTGCTCTATCATCCAGGCTGGAATGCAGTGTTGTGATCTTGACTCCCTGCAGCCTCCGCCTCCTGGGTTCAAGCAATTCTCCTGCCTCAGCCCCCCTGAGTAGCTGGGACCACAGTTGCCTGCCACCATGCCTGGTTAATCTTCTTTTTAATTTTAAATTTTATTTTACTTTTCCATAAGTTATTGCAGTACAGGTGGTATTTGGTTACATGAGTAAGGTTCTTTAGTGGTGATTTGTGAGATTTTGGTGCACCCATCACCAGAGAAGTATAATTTTTGTATTTTTAGTAGAGACAAATTTTCGGTATGTTGGCCAGTCTGGTCTAGAACTCCTGACTTCAAGTGATGGACCTGCCTCAGACTCCCAAAGTGCTGGGATTACAGGCATGAGCCACCATGCCCTACCTGTTATTCCATTTAAAGGGTATAGGCAGAATAAATAGATTTACCATACTTCTTAAGGGTTCCAGGGTAGATTTAGCATAATTCTTAAGGGTCCCAAGATTTTCAGAATTGTAACTTAACATTGGCTTCAATTTAAAGTCAGGGCATAACCCCCTAACAAGAGTCAGTCTATCCACTGAAGCTTTGAAGCCAGGTATTGACTTCTCTCTAGTTATGAAAGTTTTAGATGGCATCTTCTTTCAATAGAAGCTTATTTCATCTACACTGAAAATTTGTTGTTTAGTGTGGCCACCTTCCTCAATGATCTTAGCTAGATCTTCTGGATAACTTGCTACAGCTTCTCCAAGAGCACTTGCTGCTCCATCTTGCACTGCCATGTTGTGGAGATGGCTTCTTTTCTTAAATATCATAAACCAACCTCTGCTGGCTTTTCTTCTGTGGCTGCCTCACCTCTCTCAGCCTTTATAGAATTAAAGAGAGGCAAGGATTTGCTATAGATTAATCCTTGGTTTAATAAGGGTATGCTGTGGCTAGTTTGATCTTCTATCCAAACCACTAAAACTTTCTCCATATCAGTAATAAGGCTGTCTTGCATTTTTATCATTTGTGTATTCACTGGAGAGCAATTTTAATTTCCTTCAAGAACCTTTCCTTTGCATTCACAACGTAGCTGTTTGGCGCAACAGGCCTAGCTTTCCTCCTATCTTAACTTTCAACGTCGTTTCCTAAGTTTAATCGTTTCTAGCTTTTGATTCTAAGGGAGAGACATACAACTCCTCTTTTCACTTGAACTTACAGTGGCCACTATAGTGTTATTAATTGACCTAAATTCAATATTATGGAGTCTTGGGTAAGAGAAAGACCCAAGACAGGGAGAAAGATGGGAAACGGGTGGAGCAAGCAGAACAAACACATGTATTGATTACATTCTCTTTCTTCTACGGGTGTAGTTCATGGCCCCCCAAAACAATTACAATAATAACACCAAGGATCACTGATCAAAGATCACCATGGAAGATATAATTATAATGGTGAGTTTTAAACTAGTGTGAGAATTACAAAAATGTGACACAGAAACACGAAGTGGGTACTTACAGACTTTCTCAAAGCAGGGTTGCCACAGACCTCCAATTTCTAAAAAGTACAGTATCTGTGAAGTGCAGCAAAATGAAAGGCAAAAAAACAAGGTGGACCTGTAATTATTTTTTCCATGTATCAATCAATTTCCCAGGGCATCAGTTTTATCTTCTGTGGAAAGGGAATATAACATCATTTCTCCTTCTTTCACTGGGCCATTGTGGAAATAAAATTAAACAATGAATGTAAATGTGCTTCATAAACAGGAAAGTACATGTATAGTGCTATATTTATTATTTTATAGCTGTTTCATTTGGGGAAATAGGGCAGCTTAGTAGCTGAGAGCTCAGGTATTAGAACTGTTCTATTGAAGACCAAGCAGAATATTTCCAGTTTCCTTTCCCTTTTATTACCACTGTGTTCTAATAGAATGCAAACTCAAATCAATACTGGGCTCAAAGTAATTTAGACAGTAAATCTACCATATTGAAAACTGGTATCTAGGAAACAAAGTTCTAATTGGGATCTGCACTTTTAATAATTCACAATATTCTTTTCTTAAATCTATGTAATTTACTAGGGAGGAAAACTAAAATAAGGAACATGTTTTCCTCATGTCTTTTTTTTAACTTTCCAAGTCAATTCTGGAGTTATTTGACACTGGACCCTGTCCAGCTGACATTCACAGTTTCTGTAAATGTTGTACAATTAGAATTGATCAGAATAATAACCTTATCCACAATAAAATCCTCAAACACTAAATAAGATTTAATTAAGTCATGTCAAATATGTTATAACACAAAGAAATAGATAAATGTGTTTTAAAATTATTTTCAATAATAAATGTTAAAATGAAAGGAAGCTTAGATTACACTTGAGCTAAACTAAACCATTTATTTTCATTAAAAATTGATTTATTGAGATTTATTTGAGAGGCAAATATAAAAGACTGTTGGATTATATCTACTCTAGCAATTGTTTATAATCACTGGGATGGAGAGTAAGAGATGGAAACATTTTAAGAGACATGAAGAAAGATAGGTCTGTCAGCGTAATGGGATAAAGCACCTAGTGTTTATAAAAATAAGAGTATAGCACTTTGTGAACTTTGAGAAATGTGAACGAACATTGATTGGTAAAATGTCTATTTTATAACTGCATTTAAATCATCTTGAAAGTTTGAAGAACATGCACCACTTTATTTAAGGATGCCTTAAATACAGAATTTGCCAAGTAGTGAAAGCTGGAGATGAAATGTGGAGAGTCTTATGGGTATTTTGACCAACAATGAATCCAATACTGAAATGGAAGAGGCCATATTTGTCACCGAGTCTTAGACCCAAAGGTAAGACAGCTATGAGCAAAAAATACAGGTATGTATAAATCTGAACTCAACAATGTGAACTCTACAATAATAGACGGGAGTAGAAAATGGATTTTGTGTAGCAAATTCTCTTGGTAGCCAAAGATAAAAGACATTCTTGTTTACAAACAGAGGCACCAAAGCAAAGAACCACTTCACTGATGCAAAAGCTAATTAAAACTTTGAGAAATTTTTCCAAGGAAGAGAAGATGGAGAGTGAATATCAAAGGGACTAGCTTGGGAGGAGTGCCCTAAGGATAAAGGAAACAAACTACAGTGAAACTTATTAGATAAAAAAATAATAAACACATAGCCTTCACTGTGGTACATATTCTTGCTGAAGTGGGTGGTGGCAGAAGAGATGAATAACATGGGGTATTCCCACTAATTAATTGCCACATTACAACAAAGCAATTTATATTCCAAAAATGAAATTTCTGAAACCAAATACAGTTGCAGAATTTGTCTCATCAGGAACAGTCTGCTGAAGTGGCCTTACTAGTCCCACTTGCTGGAGAAGTGAGAGTTAGTGCCCGAAGGTAGAATTTTAGGGCTTGAAGCTTGTACAATTTGGACCTTCTCAGTAAGTAAAGAAAAATACGAAATTACTAATACAAAACTAGATAGATGTAAGAGCAGAGTTTTATTTGGAATGAGAAACAAAATCACAACAAATTACACATATCAAAATACTGGCAAATGCCACAACTATCACATAATCCAGAGGGAAAAAAACATAATATACAATTAATACTTTGACATAAATCTTACCCTGCACCTTTTAGTCAAGATGTCAGAAAAATTGGCAGTAGGGACCGCATGGAAGCCATTCTTAAACCAGGATGGCTAGCCTAACTTCATAACTTTATTGGATGCTTGGAAGTGACTTGGAGCCACATAAATCCAAACTAAGTGTATCCCCAATTTAATCTCCTTTAGCAGATCCCACTCATTCATGGACACTCTGAAGTCATTCAGTCAGGAGAGGAAATGTGATGGAGGGCAAGTTAGAGTGGTGTGACAGTGGTCTAAAACAACTAAAGTCAAAATGATTTTTGCAAGTTTTACAAAAACCCATTGTGGTGAACACATTGTGAGCACACTGCTGGACTCCTCCCAGAACCTTGCAAGGGGCCCAGGCAAGTGAGAGTTCCTGCAACTCAGCTCAGCTTCCTTTATGTCACTGTAAGTTTGCCTCTGCATGGCCATTGGTGCTTCTCCACTGAATACAAGTTGCCACAGATAGGAGGTAAAAAAAGTGTCGGCTAGCCAGGCGCAGTGGCTCACGCCTGTAATCCCGACAGTTTGGGAGGCTGAGGCGGGTGGATCACCTGAAGTCAGAAGTTCAAGACCAGCCTGGCCAACATGGTGAAACCCTGTCTCTAGTAAAAATACAAAAGTTAGCTGGGTGTGGTGGCATGCACCTGTAATTTCAGCTACTCAGGAGGGTGAAGCAGGAGAATCTCTTGAACCTGGGAGGCAGAGGTTGCAGTGAGCGGAGATCACACCATTACACTCCAGCCTGGGCGACAGAGTGAGACTTTGTCTCAAAAAAAAAGAAAGAAAGAAAAAGAAAAAGTCTGGGCCAGACAGTAGGTCTTCATTAGAAATGATTATGAATATATAAGATAATTTACTTCCAGCTATTGCACTTCTGCTTCATATTTGTAAAATGTACCAAAAGTGAGAACTCTAACAGGTACTTAAAAATATTTCAGGGAAATTTTTTCTTGTTAATTTCTTTGAAAGTCCCAGATTCTTTCACAGAAAGATTAATGAGACTTCAATGGCACAAGATTTAGAATTTCTAGGCTATATGTAATATGACCTGAAGGATGATGTTGGAGGTTTCTCTATCCGAGAAAAATCTGCCCTGTAAGAATGTTAAACTTCTCCCTCAGACTCTAATCATTATAGAATAAAAGAATGATTCAAGGCCATTCACCATTATAATTCAAAGTCCTCTCTAGCTGAAGCTAAGAAGTATGGCCACATTATTATCAATTAGAAAACTCATTGAGAATCAGTATATTAGAGCAGAGAGTTACCAACCATGTGTCTGAGAAAATATTACCCAGGAAAGCTATGTTCTGAAGTTTTGAGGAAGAACAGACATAATGAATATAGATGGAAGAAAATGATCTCTTCCAGGAAAGTTTCTGCATATAGAGGACAAGCCATAATTGGGCATTCCGTGAGACCTGGGAAGTGGAGCATAGTGGCAGCTGCGTTCAAAAGAGGTAAGAAAAACATAGAAGGAGGAGGTAAAGTGATGCTAAGTTACACAGCTGTTTTATTGTGTAGTTTTGCCAAGGGCTGGCTTTGCCCTTGGTATCTGACAATAACAAAGACTGATGCATGTGCATATATAAGGCCATGGGTCCAAGCTGCATGTGTAAGCCATGTGCATTGGACTGGAGAAGTCAACAGTGAACTCCAGGGAGTGAGCAGGCCCCTTTTCATACCAGTCGCTTTAGATAGCAGAGATTTGACAGTGGTCTATTTTAGGTGACAAGCTCAGGCCAACATTTCCCAAAAAGATGTACATGCACCCCTGCTGGTATGTGAGATGTTATGATTTAAACGGTCATTTCTAATGCTTTTATCTGGCATTTTAATTATCTTAGTATGATAAAGGAAAAAATATTGACCCAGTGGGTTAACAGATATTATAATGTTTTCCTTTAAATTAATTACATACATAAGAAGCAAATCAATTTAGAAGTAAAGAATAATTAAGAGTATTCTGAATACGTGATATTGAGATGTGACAAGTATCACAAAAGGGAATTAGAATAATAAAGCCTAGGAGCAATCCCATTACTGAGTCTAAACCCAGAGGAATATAAATCATTCTATTTTAAAGACACATGAAGGCCAGTCACGGTGGCTCATGACTATAATCCCAGTGCTTTGGGAGGCCAAGTCGGGCAGATCACTTGAGGTCAGGAATTCGAGACCAGCCTGGCCAACATGGTGAAACCTCATCTCTACTAAAAGTAAAAAAAGTAGCCGGGTGTGGTGGCACACACCTATAATCCCAGCTATTTGGGAGGCTGAGACAGGAGAATCGCTTGAGCCCAGGAGGCAGAAGTTGCAGTGAGCAGAGATCATGCCACTGCACTCCAGCCTGGGCAACAGAACAAGACTCCATCTCAAAACAAACAACAAAACAAAACAAAACAACAACGACAACAAAAACACATGTACACACATTTTCTTTGCAGCACTATTCACAATAGCAAAGACAGAATCAACTTAAATGCCCATCAGTGATGGACTGGATAAAGAAAATGTGGTACACATACACCATGGAATACTATGCAGCCATAAAAACGATGAGATCATGTCTTTTGCAGGAACACGGATGAAGCTGGAGGCTATTATTCTTAGCAAACTAACACAGGAACAGAAAACCAAATAACACATGTTCTCACTTATAAATGGGAGCTGAATGATGAGAACTTATGAACACAAAGAAGGAAACAACAGACACTGGAATCTATTTGAGGGTGGAGGGTGAGAGGTGGGAGAAGAGCAAAAAAGATAACTATTTGATACTAGTTTTAATTCCTGGGTCGTGAAATAATCTGTACAACAAACCCTCATAATACCAGTGTACCTATGTAACAAACCTTTACATGTAACCCGGAGACTAAAATAAACTTTTAAAAAATAAATAAAAAATAAAGCCTAGGAAATAAATTTGTATATAAACCTCTGCTTTTCTAAGAGTATAGAGAAGTGGGCGTTATGCAAAGGACTGCAAGAGACAGAATGCATTTTGCCTTGAAGGAAACTCATATCTCAAGTTCCTAAATTTTATCAAATAGAAATGGAAATAGAAAACCCAAAATATGGCTAAGTTTTCTTTTAGTTTTATGTTTTATCAGGGTTCATGCTGCCCATTTTCACCCAGGAGGAGCTTGAGGTGTAAGGTAATTAGGTTAGTTCCTAAGGTTCAGGAAACAGTTAAGATTTGAATGCAGGACCGTTATCTCCAAATTCCATGATAACTATTACTCTGGCATGGTTCAAGACATTCTGGCAAAAATTGGTAAGGTGGAGAATCAGTACAGGTAAAAAAAAAAAAAAAAAAAAAAAAATGGGAATGGCTCATGCACAACTAGAACATTAACTTCTATATCTATTCCTGGCTAAAATGTTACCAATTTCTGGAGACACAGACTTGTTAACATGAAATATACACAGCTGTCAGGATGTTTAAACAGAAAAACATGATAAGGACAATTTATGCAAAAACTAAGTATGTATACATATGTATGAGTATGCATACATACGCACTTCCATTATATGCATAGGTGAAATGGGAGTTTGTTGATAAGAATCAACATTAGATTATGCCACAGTGGTTAAGAATGAGGGCTCTGACCCCTTACTTCCTAGACTCAAATTCCTTACTAGCTATGTGACTTTGGCCAAGTTTTTCAACTTCTCAAACCATGTTTCCTCAAAACTAGGATAATAATAATAGCTATCTTATACAGTTGCTATGAGGATAAAATGAGATAATATTCAAAACATGCTGAAAACTGTGCCTAGAATACCATAAATTATACATAGCTATAAAGAGTTAGCCTTATTGTCCAGTTGATGACACAATTTAAAATAAACGCAAATGCACAGAAAGTTCACTCTTCACTGGCCCAATAATCTGTTTCAATCTCAACTTACATATTATTAAATAGAAGACTACAATTATTTTCACACCAGCATTTGACACAAGAATTGGAAAATGTTTTGAAACCTTTTTAATTATATGGGAAGTTACTATGTAGAGGAGACCTTTGCTTGACAACTGGTCATTACTAGGAGTAGCTAAGAAGGTAAATATTGTATTACATGTGAGACCTTTCCTGATGTTTTACTCTTACTGATTCTCTGGTTTATCAACGTGTACAGAAGATAAGTGCTACACAGGAGTGCCAGCTCTGTCTTAAATGGAATTAAGTCTGAATCCTAGGGGATGAGGAAGATTCTGCCAGGTAAAATAGTGAAGAGAGAGGTGGAGCTTATCCAGGTGGGTGCCCACTGTATGTTAATGCCTAGATATGAAAAAATGCTGTTCATTTCTGAACAGTATGTCCCCTGTCCATGGTTTGAGCTTACAATACAAGGTGGGGGAGCTTGAGAGACTGAGTCTGGTTGGGTGTAATAGAGCCTCTTTGTCATGCTAAGGATTTTAGATGTTATCTGGAGGGAAGTTGCGAACAACCGGAAAGCTTTAAACTGGGAAGTTACATGGTTATTTTTGCTAAGAGGCTACCAGCATCTATGTGACAGAAATTCTTAATGTGGAGTCCATAGACACTCCCTGAAATATAGTGGGTCTATGAACTGAGATAGCAACAAGGAAAAAAAAATCATATTTATTTTTACTAATCAATTTAGTGTATTACTAAAACAGCATGCATTTTTTATATCACACATTTGTTTATAATATACTGATAACTATTTTAATATAATTGTTTTCTCTATAATCCTGTCTTTTTTTATTTCATGCTTTTAAAACATTTTTCTGATAAGGAGTCCATAGGCTTATCTAGACAGCCAAAGGGGTCTCTAGCACAAAATAAGGTTAAGAACCCCTAGGAAAGGGTTACAGGTATACCTACTGAGACTACACAGGATTCCTCACAGCATATGCTAGGCAAGTGGCTGCAAGTTCTAGTACAAACCAAATATCCCAACAAGGTAATAATTAAGCTAGCTTAATTAAATACTCCAAATACTGTTATCGCTAGTACTTCTTTTACTGTGTGTGCTAGCAAGAAAGTTCAAAATATTAAATTGTCTCTTTCAAATCAAGTTCCCTGGCAACCTTGCAGGCACAAACCCTCCATATTGTGTCAGGTTGCTTCTGTGCATACACAGTATTATAGTGGATATTTCCTGATGTCTCTCCAGATCCATCCCTCCTCCCTCTGGCAAAAGCAAGCAATTGCAAACAATCAAATCAACTAATTGGATGCATCTCTTATCCTCTTTCAATATGTATCATCTTGGGGGGAGTGTCATTCCCCTCAAAACATGTATGCCGAGGCTAAGTCAATCTTTGTATCACTTTCCATCAACCACATGATCTAAACTTGTCCAATGAGAGTAACACTCAAGATTTTGCAGGAACTAGCTGACAAGATTCTAGTTGTTTCTACTGGATTTGAATCCAAGGGTCTATGAGAATGGAGCTCCTACAACCACATTTGCCACCAAAATGGAGAGCCTGATATCAGAAGAAGAAGTTAGCATGCAGAAACTAAAGAGGGAATGGGGAGAAACTGAGTTCTGATGACACTATTTGATCCCTGGAGACAGAGATAACACTGGACTACTTAAATTCATGAGCCAAGTGTTTTTGTTTTTTATTTTATAAAAATTATGGAATTATTTAAATTATTTTTTTGCTAGATGGAGAGGAGCCTAATGGAAAGAACAAATGTTCATATACGATGTGGAAAAACAGAAAATAAAATTTAAAAACTCTATGTAGTTCACAGCATACTGTGGATTCTTTTCTTCCCAATTAATTTATGGTGGCATAAAAGATTTTCCAGAAAAGAGCCCCTTCCTCTAGTGTTGAGGGGTATCTAATCATTGAATACATAAACTATTATAATCACATATTTGGTGTCCATATTGTGTTAATAGCATTCCTTAGGCAGAACGTTGCCAAGAGTACTCCATAAACCACCCACAGCAGAATTATATGGGGTTGAGCTAACAGTAGACACTGTTACAGTACTGCCAGGTTCATATGCCCAATGCACAGCAACATACCAATACACTGAGACAGTGGGGTTTGCAACAGAGAAACAGTTTAATAATCACAAGATGTGAGGAATCCTCAAGCTTCAAATCTGTCTTCTCTAGGGGTTGTGGGCAAAGGTTTTTAAGGGGCTCATGGAGAGCGAGGGGTTAGAAAACTAATCATCCATTGGCCATGGTAAGGAGAATGAAATCATCAGGATGTGGAAACTGCATTCTTCCATGAGTCAGCTCCTTGCTGGGCTCTTCAGACCAGCTGGCATCAGTAGTTTTATTAGTATGCAGAACTTAAAGGAGAAACTCAAATGGAAAAATTTTTCATCTCACAATGTCTTATAATTTATATATAGAACAGAAAATAAACAACGAGTCTTGTGACAAAGACTACATTATCCTAGGGATGTAAGCAGTGATCAGATTAAAGGAAGTGGGCCAAAGGGCAAGCTAGGTTCATGATGGATGCTATGGTGCTGCAAGACTAGTTGGAGTTTATTTTATTACCTTAATCAATTTTATAAAATTTCCTTGGGGGTGGTTTCAACGTTCTTGGATTCCAGGCCAAATGTATTGAATAATATCTCTGGAGGAAAGGGCAGGCCTAAGAATCTGCATTTTTCTTAAATACCTGGTGTTGTCCACACACAGAAGGGGCTAAAACCTTCTTTCTTATGGTTACTAATGCTATCGAAAGTACAGAATTATGCCATGAGGGTATCTAGGATTGCACTGTGCTAATTCTTCACTGAGTATTTTTTGTATTTTTCACTTTAAGCTTTTATGTTATTGGTTAGGAGTTTTTCACTGCCATTTATCACGGTCAAGCCATACCATGTACCATCATTCCTGAAGCTCTTAGTGTAAAACAGATTCCCAGGATTTATTCTGGTTTCAGTTCATGTGGTGGGAGCCCTGAAAACCTGCATTTTTATTTTTTACCTGACCATCTGGAACACCTGAAGTGTGTGTCAGTGTTTGCTATTCACAGTAACACGACAGTCAGTTGTGTGGACTGTATCATCTTTCAGATGAAGCAGAAGCCTAAGTAGGCCTTTGTGTTGCCTTAATGTTTATTTAGTGCACAAAAGCATTGGGTGTTTGTTCTCGTTAGGGACTATTAACAAATAGAAAATACTATTAGTTTTGTTCAAACTTTCACATCTGTTCCCATCCTGTATAGGATTTTAATCCTGTATATTAATCAGGTAGGACCAAGTTTCACAGGTAATTCTGATGCATCTGGAAGTTTTGAGAATGATTAAGCTGGAGAGATCAAGAAAAAGAATGAACTCTAAGCAGTATAGAAAGAAAAGATTAAACCTGAAATCCTTGAATTCCCTTTTTATTTGATCAATCCAGAAGACACCTTCAGTTTTCCCTATCTGTGGTTAGTTTTTCCTCTTTTTAGCACACCACATTTTCTTTCACACCTATGGAGGTTCAGAATTCATGGTACTCTTTGTATAGAACAACTTAAGCCACTTGCGGGCACCAACCAGATTTAATTAGGAATATCCCTAAGGAAAAGACTTGGCCCCTCTATGGGCGTTGTTGCATGCACATCTTGTCACTACCCAGCAGGGCTTAATGATTGATGACTTTTGGGATATTTTAAAAGTAGGAAATTGAGCATACAATTGAAAATGCCAAAATGCGGCTGCATTCATGAAGCAAACTCACTGTGAGCTCTGAATTCCGTTTTTGTCCCTCAGTTAAAATTGAGTTTGAGTTATGCACACATTTCAGGAATAGGAAAACTATTCTTTATCTATTTTCAGATATGGATTTTGGCATCTTCTTCAAACTAGCTGTAGAAATGGAGCTGCATATAGGTAAGCAGAAACGCTGCAGTTTCTTAAGAAGTTTTTGACAATAACTTCAGGTAAAAATGAGAACTTTTCCTACACTGTAAACTGTCCACTACTGGGTGGGGGATTTGTGAAAATGTATCATTCTACTAAGTGGAGAGATTCCTTACATTATTCATTCAAGGTATTTTTCCTATTTTTCCTGTGGAGGAGACAGAGAGTGAGAGAACAAAAGAGAAAGAAAGAGAAGTGATTTTTTTTTCACCAGTTACCTATTTTTATTAGGAAATCATAAGAAAAACATACATTGTATGTTATAACTATATCTATTATTTCTTGTAATTAATAAATCTGAAGAGGAAAAATCATTTAAGGCAGTATTTCCACGTCTTTCAATGTATGTTTTTAAAAGTTAATACTTGTGCACTTAAAAAATCTTTTCGCACATGTGATAAGACAAAAGGAACTGATCCCTATTTTTTCCCACAAATAAAGCTGTTGTATCTTACTCTTGTACAGGGTGCATATATTATTATTGACATAAATTTCCAATCAATATTTAGAAATAAAGCTTCATAGAAAATTTCATTTCACCTAATCAATAGACAATCAACCTGGCCATCTGGAACACCTGAAGTGTGTGTCAGTGTTTCCTATTCATGGTAACAAGGCAGTCAACTGTGTGGACTGTGTCATCTTTCAGCTGAAACAAGAGCCTAAGGAGGCCTTCGTGTTGCCTTAATGTTTTTTTAGTACACAAAACCACTGGGTGTGTGTTCTCATAAGGGACTATTAACAAACAGAAAATACTATTAGTTTTGTTCAAACTTTCACATCTGTTTCCATTCTGTGTAGGCTTTTAATCTTGTGTATCAATCAGGGTTCAATCAGACCACTATGAGCCATGTATGGACTTTATGAAAAGGTGGGAGATGCTGGAGAGGTCAATTCAAGTCTGTGGCTCCTGTATCTGGTTTTGGGCTTCATCTGCTATAGGGTGGCTAGGTCAGTCTCCAGGGTAAAGATAGATGTGAAATAGGGGGTCAAGGACAAACTGAAACCTTCAAGAATGAATTGGAACCCACCAGGATGAATGACTCTCTTGATTTCATCAGGAATGTCTGGTATGTGATGTGTGTGTAAGAAAACAGATTCTCTGCCAATGTAGACAATACTTATCATGGTACTTTTCGCAGTAATCATGACTCTGCTTCAGAATCCTTCTGAACACAGATACGTAGGTAGTTGTTTCCAACCTAATGAAATTGATCTAAGATAAGAAACCTATTTGCCATATCCAGTGTCAACACAGCATTCAAGAAAGGGGTACCCTGTTATAGGTCATCCTCATTCTCTGGATCTCAGTCCTCATTGATTTTATGATTTAAAGAGGCTTTGAGGATAATTGATCATGACTTACTTAAAGCATTGCTTTTTAAAGGGAAAAATGAATTTCAAGGTTCACCAATCAACTAACTGGTAGTTTCTCAAGAGAAATTAGCTGTTTCTTATTAGCAGTAGCAATAATAGAACCTGCTCTTTGGAAGATTATCTACATTTATTTTTATTTGTTCTTAAGTTACATGCTTCAAGTTTATGTAAACTTGCTCAAAACATTAGTCAACAGATCTTGAAAATGAGATAAAAGTCAGAAGGAGCTACGCTTTCAAAAGAAAACAGAGTGAGAATGCCTTCATCCAACCTTCATGGGAAGTCCTCTATAAGTTCTAAGTTCAGAAATTACACAAGGGCATAGACTTCATTTTCTTTCTACTTATCTTCAGTTTCAGCATAAAACTGCATTTCTTGAACTTGACTCCTTTGATCTGACTTCTGTCCATTTGGGCACAGCTGAATGAATATACCTCTTCTCCTCTACAGTGATCCTTCAGCTCTTATTTTTCCCTCAAATCGTCTCTGCATCTCAGATCTTGAGTGTCTTTAAGAATTCCTATTTTACCATGTAACATTATATTTCACACATCTGTATACTGATTTCTCTTCTTTAGAATCATTTCTAGTTTATTGATATTTCTTTGTGAGTTGTGAGAATCATAAAATGTCTGGCACAAAATTGAGCCAGAGCATCACCACACTTATTCTGGAATATATACTTCTAAGAGAGCCTTAAAATTAAAGAAATAGCTTCTTTTTTTCATGTATCCATATCATAATATGTCCTCATATTGATCTCGTGGTCAATTAAACTCCTTAAAGCTTTCCATGTAGGGTGCTTTAAGCCACAGTGTCATTCCTGCAATCCACAGATGGACTATTTAGACTCAAAAGTAAGTCATCATATTTGTCATTTTTATAGTTTGCAGGTCACAAAAGTATAATGGGAATGAGTTGAGTCCTCTGCGAATTTTCAATTGAATTCACAGTCACTTTAAGCAATAGCTACTGCTTTTCTAAGAACTCACAAGTCAACCTTAAAAATACATTATTTTGGATTTTATCTGGCCTAGTGGCAAGTTTACTTGTATACACAGGTCATGTCTTCAAACTGTTAAGAGATGATAAGATCTGCAACAGTAGGAATTGTATCTGCTTAGTTTTCTGATGTATCCCTAGTAATAGCCCCTCACTCACATCTGTAGAATAAATTCGTTTATATGCAAGGCAGTTTCCATATAATAAATTATGTAATCCTTTTAACCACTCTAAGAGGTAAGGCTATTTTTATTCCATTTTACAAATGAGGAAGTGAGCTATCTGCTTTCAAATTTCAGAGTGGATATTGATTGGTTACTAGAAATCAGCTATAACATGTATGTAGAAAACAAGAAACTATAGCCCAAGAAAGGGACAACCAAATTTTTTAAAAGAGATTATATTTTCTTTTTTTCCCCTTCCCCATCCCTCTCCTCTCTCCATTCTTTCTAGTCTCTGTTTCTGTGAGATTGACTTTTTTTAGATACTTCATATAAATAAGATTATTTGTATTTGTATTTCTGCAAAAATTGCTAAAAGAATAGATTTTTAACATTCTCATCACAAAAAATTAAGTTGGTGGGGTGATGGATATGTTAATTAGCCTGACTGAATCTATAAAATATAACTAGATCAAAATATCACATTGTACCCCATAAATATACACACCAAAGAGTTTTAATATAAACATTACAATATATTATCTTTAAAATCTTATCAAATTTTTGACCATTTGGTAGCACGTTAATTCTAGAAAATCCAAAAAGAATTAAAATACATAGCTTTATTTACTTTTTCTTTATTAAAAAACTTTTATTTTAGGCTCAGGGGTTTGTTACGTAAGTAAATTGTGTGTTGCAGGGGTTTGGTATACGGATTATTTCATCACGCAAGTAATAAGCACAGCACCCAATAGGTAGTCTTTTGGTCTTCACCCTCCTCTCACCCTCCACCCTCAAGTAGACCCCTATATATGTTATTCCCTTCTTTGAGTTCATATGTGCTCATTGTTTAGCTCCGACTTCTCAGTGAGAACATGCTATATTTGATTTTCTGTTCCTGCATTTTCTTTGTGTACGAAGTATAGCTAGCTATTCATTCACCTAGCAAACAAATTTTGAGAATTTTTTTTTTCAAGAACGGTGCTGGGGTTACACAAATATAATTAGATAGAATGAGTAACACTAGTAGCTGATGACAGAACAGAGTAATTACAATCGACGATAATTTTTTGTACATTTAAAAATATCTTGAATAATAGAATTGGATCGTCTGTAACATAAAGAAAGGATAAATGCTTGAGGTGATGGATACCCCGCTATTATTATGCATCGTATGCCTGTATCAAAATGTCACATGTGCCTCATAAATATATACACCTACTTTGATAAAAAATTGTCTTAAAAAGATCTGTTCTGGGTAGTAGCAGGAATTTATCCCAAACAGCTGTCAATCATGCTCAAGTCACAACAACAAAATGTGTAAAAAAGTAAGCAGAAACTATGGGGATGAAGGACCACTCATATGCTTACGTAAGTGTTGAAAGAGACATAACCAAAAATGACAAACAGGTAATATAAAAAGAGAAAAGTGAGCAAAGGCCCAAATGATGGTTGCAATAATGAAATCAGATTACGAAATGAAATGTGATAGGAACCCTAACGAACTATATAAAAGCTGAGAGGTTGAGTGTCATTATGAGTCCTGGGTCAGGATTTTTTAGAAAGATTCCATATTGATGAGAAAGCTATTGATGCTTTATTGTCTCATAAACAAAAGTGTGGCTAATCATGCATGCACAAATTAAGGCCATTTTTCATTCATGAGGATGGAATTAATTAACTGAAGTTAAGCAAGGTTTTCCATTGGTCTATTATGCATAGTTATGATTTGTATATATTCTCCATCCTTGATCTCAGAGAAAGTTGTTTCGTCACAGGACATCTCAAATTACAAAGATCTTTTTCGGATTTTTTTTTTTTTTTTTTGCATCCAGACTATTTCCTTTTGTAATGTACACCAAACAATGAACTCAAACAAATGCAAATGATCAGTTAAAGGGGTATGGTGTCTGACAGTTCTAAGGATAAAGCTCTATGGATAGTTGTAGCAATCTATAAAGCCTATTTCAAATATTTAATGCCCATGTATTTACACACAGTTGGCATCCATCATTATATACTCCTACATTATTTGCCTTAATTTGACTTGCCCTAGTAAGAGTAAGCATGTGATATCAGTCGGTCCAAACAGACATTGGGAAGTTGCCTCACCAAATAATAAAAATCAGAATTGAAACATTCTTTTCAATCGTTCTATTCTTCAGATGGTTCATTAATCTCAACTTCCATGACTATTTGTAATTCCAATCAGCAAGCAAGGGTAAATGTCAATTCTTGCTTTCTTAATTTCAGCCAGAACACCAACTTTTACTCCCTACCCCTTAAACCTTCATACTTGCTAATAATAGGAGAATAATTTTGACCTCCTTGATTTCTGATGAAAAAGCAACTATTAATCTTACCCAGAATCCCTTGTACTTCATAACTCACTTCCATCTTGCTGCCTTGAAGATTATTACTTGTTTTCGACTTTTTAACTATAACGCATCTAGTCTTGGATCTTTTTGGGTTCGAAGGCTTGGAATTTGTTGAGTTTCCTATATGTGTAGATTCATGTTTTTCATCAAATTTTGAATATTTTTGCCCATTATTTCTTTAAATTTTCTTTCTGCTGCTTTCTCTCCCCTCTACTTCTAGAAGTCTAATTATGTATATATTGGATACTTGGTGTCCCACAGGTTCCTGTGGCTCTGTGCATTTTTCTTCATTCTTGGTTCTTCTGTTCTCTGATGGATATTCCTAACTGACCCATTTTCAGGTTCACTGAATTTTTTTTTTTTTTTTTTTTTTGCCAACTCAGATCTGCTGTCGAGCCTCTGTGGTGAATTTTTCCCTTCAGTTGTTATAATTCTCCACCCCAGATTTTCTATTTGTTTTTTTAAATAACTTCCATCTTTTATTTCTTAGGCACTTTCCTTTCCTTTAATTCTTTAAATATGATTTTATTTCGTGTTTTGAACATATTTATAATAGCTCATTAAAAGACTTCGACTAGTAAGTCCAGCGTCTGAGCTTCTTCAGGGATCTTTCCTTTTGACTGCTTTATTTCCTGTTTATGGGGCATAATTTCATTCTTTGTTAAACAATGGATAAATTAAATAATTTGATGTGACAACTCTGGAAATTATATTCATCCCCTTCAGTGTGTGTTATGTTTTTGGTTATTGTTGTTGTTATAGAAGATGTATGTTTAATGACTTTCCTGGGCTACTTACATAAAGTATGTATTTTTTGTCATATGCCACTGAAGTCTCAGCTCAATTAGCTCAATGGTCAGCTAATCATTGGACACATATTTTCTTCACTGCCTTGGATGAATATATCTCTGCCTTTGCCAAGAGACTCTGTGTGTGCTTGAGAACACGTTCAAAGCTCAACAGATTATAACTCTGCCTTTGCCTTCACTCTTTTTGTGCAGAGCTTCAAGGTCAGCCAAACCTGAGAGATTAGGGCCTTCTCAGTACTTTGCTGGGCATGTGCATAGCCCTCCATATATGCACAACCTTTGATATCATCCAAAATATGCCAGAGCTTTATAAAGTCCCATATAACATCTCATTTCTCAGTTTTTCTTTTTAAGTTTTCTTGAGCAATGTATTATTTACTGTTACTGGTATTGCTGTTTCAGGCTGCTGCAAGGTTAAGCAATTGCTCCTGATTATTTTCAACAAACACCCCAGGGGTAAGTATTTTCCTGTGGAATAAACTTGGAATCAATTAAATAAATGCAAGCCAAGAAAATGGAGCTTTTCCAGAGAGCTATCAGATAGGTCAAGTAGTAATACTTCTCTAGGCATGTAATTTTTAGGGGAGTTTTGGACCAATTCTGTTCCTCTTGTTCCTGCTAGGTCAGTAGTTTTCATATACCATGTTTCCAAAGCTACTGATTTTCAAGGCTACCAAAGAGGTGGGGGTAGGGAGATATATAAACAGGGCAAGGTAAAATGCCATAATGTATTTGCTATTCGTAATTAGATTCAGCTGTTTTTCCTGAATAACAATTTATATTATTGTTGTAAGATTTTGATAAATTTTCTGAGTTCTGAAAAAGTTGAATTTTCCTATTTTTGTAAGTGTTCTTGTTACGAAAAAGCAGATTTTTGGAGGGCCTTACTATGCCATTCCAGAAGTATTTCTAGTTTGCTTTTTTATTTTTGTATTAGATCAATTTAGATTAATTTTTATTGTTCTTGGTGTATGGCTTTTTTAGGCACCTTATTTAATATTTTCACCATCATTTGATGTAGAAGTTAATTTAATTTAAAAAATTTTTGTGTATACTAATATAAAATATCATATATAAGATCTGATATTGTATGATTTATAATGAATATTGATTTTTTTACAATGACAGTTTTAAATATCCAGAAAAAAAAGCTTGACAATAGAATAATGAGATACAGCAAGGTCAAAAAAATTTGAAAGTGGCAAAATAAAGTTCAGAACATTTTGAATCATATAAAATAATAATATTCATTTTAATAGAAATATTTAGATACCTAGGGAAAAACACAAAAGGTAAAATAATTACTATGATGCATCATTATTTTTCTTGAGAAAATACACATCAAACATCATTTGGTAAAATGGAATCAACTACATGTAAGACAGAGTGAAAAAAATAATGAAGACAATGCTGCTTATCATGCATGAGGTAGGGATGGTAATATAAGTTAGTTCATGTCTTATAGCTGTTATTAGTTTAGTGTCACATTATGCTGCATCTAATTTTAGTGTTTAAAGACAGTGCTGGAAAACTCCATTTTGCAAGACCATTCTTTTCTATGTGTATGTGGTACATGTAAACATTCCTATTTCCATACAGAATTGCATATATAATACTAGATATAGTAGGTTGAATAGATACCCCCAAATCAATCTCCACCAAAACCCTCAGAATGTCACCTTATTTGGAAATAGAGTCTTTGCAGATGTAGTTATTTAAGATGAGGTTATATGATTATTGGCAGCGGTGGGAGCTCAAAATCCAAAGACTAATGTCCTTATAAGAAGAAGAGAGGACAAATAGGGATATGCACAAAGAAGAAGGCCATGCAAAAATGGAGTCAGAGGGTGGAGTGATGCAGATACAAACTAAGGAAAAATAAGGATTGCTGGGAACCACTAGAAACAAAGAAAAGAAAATATTCTTCCCTTTCATGCCTTTTTCAGAGGGAGCATGACCCTGATGATATGTTGCTTTTAGCCTTTTTGTTGGGAGCAAGCCCCCCAAAATCTGGCCATAAACTGGCCCCAAAACTGGCCATGAACAGAATCTCTGCAGCACTGTGACATGTTCATGATGGCCATAACGCCCACGCTGGAAGATTGTGGGTTTACAGGAATGAGGGCAAGGAACATCTGGCCCCCCCAGGGTGGAAAACCGCTTAAAGGCATTCTTTTGTTTTTTATTATTATACTTTAAGTTTTAGGGTACATGTGCACAACGTGTAGGTTAGTTACATATGTATACATGTGCCATGTTGGTGTGCTGCACCCATTAACTCGTCATTTAACATTGGGTATATCTCCTAATGCTATACCTCCCCCCTCCCCCCACCCCACAACAGTCCCCAGTGTGTGATGTTCCCCTTCCTGTGTCCATGTGTTCTCATTGTTCAATTCCCACCTATGAGTGAGAACATGCTGTGTTTGGTTTTTTGTCCTTGTGATAGTTTGCTGAGAATGATGGTTTCTAGCTTCATCCATGTCCCTACAAAGGACATGAACTCATCATGTTTCATGGCTGCATAGTATTCCATGGTGTATATGTGCCACATTTTCTTAATCCAGTCTATCATTGTTGGACATTTGGGTTGGTTCCAAGTCTTTGCTATTGCGAATAGTGCCGCAATAAACATACGTGTGCATGTGTCTTTATAGCAGCATGATTTATAGTCCTTTGGGTATATACCCAGTAATGGGATGGCTGGGTCAAATGGTATTTCTAGTTTTAGATCCCTGAGGAATCGCCACACTGACTTCCACAATGGTTGAACTAGTTTACAGTCCCACCAACAGTGTCAAAGTGTTCCTATTTCTCCACATCCTCTCCAGCACCTGTTGTTTCCTGACTTTTTAATGATCACCATTCTAACTGGTGTGAGATGGTATCTCATTGTGGTTTTGATTTGCATTTCTCTGATGGCCAGGGATGATGAGCATTTTTTCATGTGTCTTTTGGCTGCATAAATGTCTTCTTTTGGGAAGTGTCTGTTCATATCCTTCGCCCACTTGTTGATGGGGTTGTTTGCTTTTTTCTTGTAAATTTGTTTCAGTTCATTGTAGATTCTGGATATTAGCCCTTTGTCAGATGAGTAGATTGCAAAAATTTTCTCCCATTCTGTAGGTTGCCTGTTCACTCTTATAGTAGTTTCTTCTGCTGTGCAGAAGCTCTTTAGTTTAATTAGATCCCATTTGTCAATTTTGTCTTTTGTTGCCATTGCTTTTGGTGTTTTAGACATGAAGTCCTTGCACATGCCTATGTCCTGAATGGTAATGCCTAGGTTTTCTTCTAGGATTTTTGTTGTTTTAGGTCTAACATTTAAGTCTTTAATCCATTTTGAATTAATTTTTGTCTAAGATGTAAGGAAGGGATCCAGTTTCAGCTTTCTACATATGGCTAGCCAGTTTTCCCAGTACCATTTATTAAATAGGGAATCCTTTCCCCATTGCTTGTTTTTGTCAGGTTTGTCAAAGATCAGATGGTTGTAGATATGCAGCATTATTTCTGAGGGCTCTGTTCTTTCCCATTGGTCTATATCTCTGTTTTAGTACCAGTACCATGCTGTTTTGGTTACTGTAGCCTTGTAGTATAGTTTGAAGTCAGGTGGCGGGATGCCTCCAGCTGTGTTCTTTTGGCTTAGGATTGACTTGGCAATGCAGGCTCTTTTTTGATTCCATATGAACTTTAAAGTAGTTTTTTCCAATTCTGTGAAGAAAGTCATTGGTAGCTTGATGGGGATGGCATTGAATCTATAAATTACCTTGGGCAGTATGGCCATTTTCACAATATTGATTCTTCCTACCCATGGGCATGGAGTATTCTTCCATTTGTTTGTATCCTCTTTTATTTCATTGAGCAGTGGTTTGTAGTTCTCCTTGAAGAGGTCCTTCACGTCCCTCATAAGTTGGATTCCTAGGTATTTTATTCTCTTTGAAGCAATTGTGAATGGGAGTTCACTCATGATTTAGCTCTCTGTTTGTCTGTTATTGGTGTATAAGAATGCTTGTGATTTTTGTACATTGATTTTTTATCCTGAGACTTTGCTGAAGTTGCCTATTAGCTTAAGGAGATTTTGGGCTGAGACGATGGGGTTTTCTAGATATACAATCATGTCATCTGCAAACAGCGACAATTTGACTTCCTCTTTTCCTAATTGAATACCCCTTATTTCCTTCTCCTGCCTGATTGCCCTGGCCAGAACTTCCAACACTATGTTGAATAGGAGTGGTGAGAGAGGGCATCCCTGTCTTGTGCCAGTTTTCAAAGGGAATGCTTCCAATTTTGCCCATTCAGTATGATATTGGCTGTGGGTTTGTCATAGATAGCTCTTATTATTTTGAGATACATCCCATCAATACCTAATTTATTGAGAGTTTTTAGCATGAAGAGTTGTTGAATTTTGTCAAAGGCCTTTTCTGCATCTATTGAGATAATCGTGTGGTTTTTGTCGTTGATTCTGTTTATATGCTGGATTACGTTTATTGATTTGCGTATGTTGAACCAGGCTTGCATCCCAGGGATGAAGCCCACTTGATCATGGTGTATAAGCTTTTTGATGTGCTGCTGGATTCAGTTTGCCAGTATTTTATTGAGGATTTTTGCATTGATGTTCGTCAGGGATAGTGGTCTAAAATTCTCTTTCTTCGTTGTGTCTCTGCCAGGCTTTGGTATCAGGATGATGCTGGCCTCATAAAATGAGTTAGGGAGGATTCCCTCTTTTTCTATTCATTGGAATAGTTTCAGAAGGAATGGTACCAGTTCTTCCTTGTACCTCTGGTAGAATTCGGCTGTGAATCCATCTGGTCCTGGACTTTTTTTGGTTGGTAAGCTATTAATTATTGTCTCAATTTCAGAGCCTGCTATTGGTCTATTCAGAGATTCAACTTCTTCCTGGTTTAGTCTTGGGAGGGTGTATGTGTTGAGGAATTTATCCATTTCTTCTAGATTTTCTAGTTTATTTGTGTAGAGGTGTTTATAGTATTCTCTGATGTTAGTTTGTATTTCTATGGGATCAGTGGTGATATCCCCTTTATCATTTTTTATTGTGTCTATTTGATTCTTCTCTCTTTTCTTCTTTATTAGTCTTGCTAGCGGTCTATCAATTTTGTTGATCTTTTCAAAAAACCAGCTCCTGGACTCTTTGATTTTTTGAAGGGTTTTTTGTGTCTCTATTTCCTTCAGTTCTGCTCTGATCTTAGTTATTTCTTGCCTTCTGCTAGCTTTTGAATGTGTTTGCTCTTGCTTCTCTAGTTCTTTTAACTGTGATGTTAGGGTGTCAATTTTAGATCTTTCCTACTTTCTCTTGTGGGCATTTAGTGCTACAAATTTCTCTCTACTCACTGCTTTGAATGTGTCCCAGAGATTCTGGTATGTTGTGTCTTTGTTCTCACTGGTTCAGTTTGATCTCAGACTGCTGTGCTAGCAATGAGCGAGGCTCCGTGGGCATAGGACCCCCCGAGCCAGACGCGGGATATTATCTCCTGGTATGCCGTTTGCTAAGACCGTTGGAAAAGCGCAGTATTAGGGTGGGAGTGACCCGATTTTCCAGGTGTCATCTGTCATCTCTTTCTTTGACTAGGAAATGGAATTCCCTGACCGCTTGAGCTTCCTGGGTGAGGTGATGCCTCGCCCTGCTTCGGTTCATGCTTGGTGCCCTGCACCCACTGTCCTGCACCCACTTTCCAACACTCCTCAGTGAGATGAACCCAGTACCTCAGTTAGAAATGCAGAAATCACCTGTGTTCTGCGTTGCTCATGCTGGGAGCTGTAGACTGGAGCTGTTCCTATTCGGCCATCTTGGATCCACCCCCCTTAAAGGCATTCTTAAGCCATAAACAATAGCATGAGCGATCTCTGCCTTAAGGACATGCTCCTGCTGCAGTTAACTAGCCGAACCTATTCCTTTAATTCGGCCCATCCCTTTGTTTCCCATAAGGGATACTTTTAGGTAATCGAATATCTATAGAAACAATGCTAATGACTGGCTTGCTGTTAATAGATACGTGGGTAAATCTCTGTTTGGGGCTCTCAGCTCTGAATGCTGTGAGACCCCTGATTTCCCACTTCACATCTCTATATTTCTGTGTGTGTGTCTTTAATTTCTCTAGTACCACTGGGTTAGGGTGTCCCCTAACCCAAGCTGGTCTCGGCACTTTTAGCCTCCAGAACTGTGAAATAATAAATTTCTGTTGTTTTATACCACCCAGCTTGTGGCACTTTGTTACAGCAGCCTTAGGAAACAAACACACCAGTATTCTATATTTTATGAGAAATTTAAGGCATTCTCAAAGGTAAATTGTAATGGGCGCAATTTGGCACTATTTTTACCTTAGGCACTGACTTAAAACTGTCCCCTTACAAGAGCTAGAATGTGACTTCATAACACAAAAATATTATAGTTCTAAATTCAATAAAAAATTTAAACTATTTAAAATGAAAGTAACAAAATTTGATCTATATCACTGGTGATAAAGGAGAGGGAAAAGCTTAACCTCTACTCTCTGAAGTTTTGATAACTGAGTGTATAAAATAAACTAGTAGATTAATAGGAGGAAAAAACATTTTAATTATGTGGATATACGCATTGGAGTTACACAAAATATTGAAGGAAGAAAGGACAGAGGGCTGAAGTTTTTATAGCATTCATATAGGGACCTGAGGCTTCTGTGGGGAGGTGGTGACACATTATGGGAGGGTGAGAGGAGGAAATGCAGTGTGAACAAAGGTTATCTGGGTTAAGGGAAGGTATGGATCTTTAGTGTAGTCCTTGTGATGCTTCATTTTCCCTGGTTGATGAGATTCCAGAGAGGGGCAAATGAGTTCCTTTCAGATAAGAGAACTCAGAGAAGGCCCTTCTTTGTGTTGGCTGTTCCCTAAATTCTCTTAGATTGAAATAATCAGCATACCAAAGCAGTATGTTTTGAAGTGGTATGTCCTGGATTCCTTCAGTGATATCATTCAAATGCTCTCGCCTTCAATTTCTTGATTGAGAAAATGGCACATTATGTGGTAATCAATTATAGCTATTTCTCAATATGTGCAGAGAAGTTTGTATTAATTCCTCCTATGAAATTTAGTCTGTTACTTGAGGTTGTAAGGTCTTTAAGTCAACGAAACTTATTTTATTCTCTTTTGTGTCAAACAGAATAATATCTTTTCTGTGTTTCTCAAGCACCCAGATACTGTTTAAACGTTATTAGACTTTCAAAACTTTCTTGAAAGAATATCTGCTTAATGCAAGAGAAGTATTAATTTTAAAGCTTAAGAAGAAAAAAAAAAAGGACTGTTCAACTGTCAAAATCTAAATCTTACATCTTTGGGAACTGGAGCTCAGTGAGGTTATAGGCACAGTGAAGCTATACTCCAGGTCTTTAGATCTCTCATCCCATAAACATTGCTTTTCCTGTTAGAAGAGTTTCTAGCAGGCTTTGCACAATTGGCAAAATGGTTAAGATGGTAGGCTTCTATGGGCATTTCCTGGGTTCAAATCATGGCTCTGTCACATACTTTGTGACCTCAGGAATTAACATATTCTCCCTGGGACTCAGCTTCCTCATTTGTAGAATGGATTTAATAATCACAACCCACATCACAGGATTGTAAAGAGGATTAAATGGGTTAAGGCATATAATGGGTACATAATAGGGCTCAATAATGTTAGTGGCCATAATAATTACAATCAAACATTTGTTGTACCTTTGTAAATAGCTGCTATGTAACGCACTTTGTGATCTGATTTAGCGTATCTTTCCTTTACTGCTTCAGGTAGACCCAAGGTTTGTCAACCTAGGCACTAATGACACTCTAGGATGGATAGTTTTGGGGAGCTATCCTGTGCATTGTAGAATGTTTAGCAGCATTTCTGCTCTCTACCCACTATTTACCATTAGCACAACCCTTTCCCCCACAGTGTGACAACCAAAAACATCTCCTTACATTGCCAAATATCCTGAGGGAAAACATCACTTTTTTTTTTTTTTTAAGACAAGAGTCTCACTCTGTTGCCCAGGCTGAGTTGAGTGCAATGATGTGATCGTGTCCCACTACAGCCTCCACCTCCCTGGTTCAACCAAGCCTCCTATCTCAGCCCCCAGAGTAGCTGGGACTACAGGCATGCGCCACCATGCCTGGTTAACTTTTAATTTTTTGTAGAGACAGAATCTTGTTACGTTTGCCAGGCTGAACTTCAACCCCCTGTTCTCAAGCAATCCTCCTACCTTGGCCCCATAAAGTGCTGGGATTGCAGGCATGAGCCACTGCATCCTACTGAAACATCACTTTTGATTAAGAATCACTGTTCCAGCCTTCAAGTCCATTGAGAGTTGGTTTAATGTCACTTTGTTAACTTCCAGTTATCTGATTTCATGCCCCTGTATAAATACAATATTTTATAATTTGACATATTAAGTAATAATCAATGTGTGTCCTATTTGGAAATAAAATATTAGAGTATGTAATAAAGGAGATAAGCCACTACTATCACTTCACCACAACCTATATCTGGTACCTTGCTCAGTGCTTGGCATGTGAGAAAAGTTCATGAATGATGATTAAATGGAATGAATGTTGATGGGAGAAATTGTTCTCCTTATTGAAAAGAGTGAAACACTTCCTCCTGCGCGTTAAATCTTTATCATGTACAAGGCACTGTACTAAATGCCTTACATACATTATAACAACTCTTAATTACTCTCTAGTGGCAAAATTCCATTTTATAAAAAAGGAAACTGAGATTTAGTTCAAAGTCACACAACTAGCAAGAGACAGGAGCAAGATTTGAGTGCGTATCTTCCTAAATCCCCACCTATGTTTTTAATAACAGGATGCCCTTTGATACCATTGAGTTAAAATTAATAGTCCTAGAATGAATAGAATTACCTCTTATAGTATCAAGCTTTTGAGATTATTTCCTAAGACCATACAAGCATACTGGAAAGTTTTAAATCTGAATAAATACAATAGGAACTAATAAAAGCATCTGAGGATGGCTTTGAAAAACAATTTTACAGGTACAGATGAGGAAAAGCTATGAGGTAACTCCCCAAAAGCATTTATTCATCAGTTGCCAGCTGAGACCAACTTATCTTACTTGACATGCATCTCATCACCTCTACTCATGCTTGTAGATCTCATTTCAGAATAGTGTGTTGGCAGTGAAAAGTAAGTCTCAAAAAGATTTATGATGTCATTAATCAATACTCAGTGCCATAGAGCAAATAAACCACAAACACGCTGAATCTGCTAGCTCAGTTGTCTTCAATACTGTCAAGTCGAAGTGACTGAGACCTGTGTATGCTCATTGTAGGGTTGAGTGTGTGTACACAAGTGCACATATATCAATAGAATCCAATCTAGAAAAATTAAGAGCTATGGAATAATGAATAACTTACCACTCTTCTCAGACATTTCTGATCACAGTATAACTTCAGGACACTGAAGGGTATAAGTTATTCCCCAAATATTGCATTCCATTTAAGATTTTTTTTCTATCCCTATAGTAAATCAGAACTTGCTTATAAATAAATTACATTCTAGAATTCCATTTTAAGGCTTTTGTTTCTATGTTAGAAGACATTTTTCACTTTACAATGATAGGTCATTTTTACAATTAGTCTATACAACTCTATTTAAGTCTTAATGCATCTGACATATATATAGCATTATTTCAATTATAGCCAAATGTTTTGTTTTTATTTAACAATACATATGAAATTTTTGGAAAGCAGATTTTACTTCCTTAATGGTGATGACTCCACTGGAAGTTTCAGGGTCAAGGATTCCACCAGTAACACAGTGTAGAGGAAGATAATGTTACTGAACATCAATAAATTCTGTCATCTTTTTAAGTCAGGTGAAACTCATTAAATATCTATCCTATGTTGAACATACTGATCCTGTACTCTAGATGCCCCCAGCTTAAAACAGGGAGCTTATATAAGTATAGATAACTGCAGTAGAGTGAGTTAAGAATAGCATAGACTAAATACAAGTTATGAGTTATATAGAGAGGAGAGGGGAACATGGGGATGAGAGAATGGGATTTAGAAAGGGCTTCACCCAGGATATTTTTGAGCTGCATATATGAGCTCACATATGTAGGTCATATTTAGGAGATTTGATCTGGAAAACAAAAGACAGGTATTCTACTCACTCGTGAAATTTGATTAACTCACCTATAATTCTAATATTTCTCAGGGAATCTGGTTGTTAATCACATACCATAATTATGAGCTCTAATATTATAATTGCATTCCTTTTGTTTGAGTCTACAGCCTGGGAAATTATCTTTTGGAATTCATATAAATAAAACAATCATAATGGCCAACAGTTGAGCACTTACTTGCACATCGTTCTAAGGATTTTAGATGTATTTTCTCATTTAATTATCGCAACTTGCTTATGGGGTGAACTCTATTGTATTCATTTTTTAAATAAAGAAAATGACACACAGAAAGTTCAATAACTTTCCTAAACTGACAAAGATGGGATTTGGACCCAGTCTGTCTACTCCTAGACGTAGTTTTTGCTATAATTTCATACTGCTTCCAGACAATTAAAATAATAATTTAACTGACATTTAGTATTTTCCCTAATGGCTATTTTACCTGAATTCTAACTTCACATTGCCATCAAGGAGATTTAACCCAGACAGGTCTGTTAAAATTACCCCTGCCTTTGTATCTGCTACATAGCCCATGACCCAGCAATTCCACTTTTGGGATTATACTCCTTAAACTGATGTGCTGATACATTTAATAAAAGACATATACTCAGTGATCCACAGCAGCATCATTTGTAATACCCTCCTATCAGAAAATAACAAAATGCCTTTCCATATCAGAAAGTATAAATAACCTGTGGAACAATCACATAATGCAAAGCTTTACAGAAAGGAGAGTGAATGATTGACAACTATACTTAATATGGATGAATCTCCCAATGTTCAGCAACATAAATAAACACAAAAGTATATACACCATGTGAACCCCTGTATATAAAGTAGAAAAATGGGCAAACCAAACTATGTTGTTAAAAGTCAGAAGACTGGTTATCCTTGGTCAATAATGTGGCTGGAAGATAGCTTGGGGGTACTTTTAGGGAGACTGATAATGTAACTTTTATTAAACCTATGGGTGATGGTTATATGGATGTATTTACTTTGAGAAAACATGTTCTTCAATTATGACATGTATACTGTGCGTGTGTGTGTGTATATATATATATATATAAAATACTTCAATAAAATTTTCAAAAGTCAAATGACATAATGTGTTCACCACAGAACAAAGCAGCTATTCAACAAACATATATTGAATGGAGGAAATAAAGCTAAATATTGTTTTATCTAATAAAAAACTTTTTTTGAACATTGAATTTTACATATTTAGTCCTCCAATCATGAGTTTATTTAACTAGAATTTTTAGAATCTTCAAGTATTATGATCCAAGAATCTCTCCTCTTTAGTTTCCATCTGGGCAGTAGATAGGACATGTGAACCAGTCTTGCTGGTAAAACGGAGCAAATGCTCTAGGATGGGAGCAGGAGGAGCTGGGCAGTGAGGAGAGTTCTAGGAAACAGAAGCAGCAAAACAAAGTCTTTAAGGAAAACCTGGAGCCTATTTACTAATTGGGTTGTGTCCCCAGAGTCTCCTGGGAAATGATAAAAGATGGCCTAGCCAGGCATGAGTCTATAAAAGAGTGAAGAAGGCCTTCTTTGGCTATGACTACAGGGTCAAATTCAAGTGTGAAGGGCAGCAGTAAAAAGGAACAGTTGCAGTAAACAGTGGTTGCAGGCACAAATCAACGTTAACCATCTTAAATTTGGTTTAGTTCCCTTGTTGGTCTTTCCAACTGCACAAACTATAATCACCTTTAAAGCAATTGCAAAATCTGCAAGTATTAAAAACAGACATATGACTATATCTAACGTGAGGCAGTTATATGGCCATTTATTTTGTTATTCTTCCTCAGTAAAGCCTCGTAACAAAGTCCTTAGAATGTTAATATAAAATATTTAGAGGGGTCAAATATTTGCAGCTTTTAAGTATTAAGATGGGAATACTTGTCCTGAAGCACCTAAAACATCATTACAAGTAAGAAAATATTGGTAAATTATTTGTCACTTAAATTGTGCAGCCTGTGGCTTCCAGAGACAATGAAAGTTGAATAGCTCTTTTTAAGCTTGTATTGGGATCATCAGTCATCTACTCACTGGTAGAAGGTAAATAAGCAGACAAATGTCCTTTGTGCTAGTACTCTCTTATCTCCTTGTTAATCTGTAATTAGTCTAGGAAGCAGCATATATGATTTGGGATCAGAATCAGTTTTATCTCCAACATTAGAATGGTAAATCTTTTCATTAACAGAAACAGTACATGGAACAGTTATTGGACTTTTTCTTATTGGGTCACATTGGATATTTATTTCAGATTGCAGTTATGCATGGACGGGTATCATATGGTGCTTTGATGACCTTTAGAAATTCTCTTGATTAAACGCTGTTGTACTTCATTATGACATTTCTTTCCTTGTACTACCAGATTTGATGTGTATGGCTTAATAACGCAAGTAGACGTGAATGTTAATAACTTCACAATTCATTGCTTTGCTATTTTTTAATGCTCATGAAATTTAGAACAAGTTTCACTGGCTGGAGGCTTACATGAATCATATAAATTAGAGGGTAACAAAAGAACATATTAGCATTTGTTAGCCTAGATGCACGAATTTTGTACTAACCATTTTAATATGTACTACAACTTTTCCACCCTCAAGTTAAAAAGGCTTTCAATTTTTCAACCAACATCATAATTGAATTGGTTCTCTTTCTGCCTAAGGATAATGATTTTACACTGATGGAATCTTTATTAGATTCTAAGGATTATACTGATGCTACTGGTTTTTAAAGTCAAACAACTCTACCCAGGGAAAGAGGTATTTCAGTGAAATCATGAGCAAAAAAATGTAAAATTTGTCTTTTAGGGGTAAAATGCTTGTTTAATTATTATTGCAAAATAAGCTGAACTGGTGTCTGATAATTGATTCTCAGGAGAAATGGCCACATGCTGAGAAGGCTGTATAACCTAAAATTTCATAGAGCAAAATTGGCTCCAAACCGTGGCTATTTTTCACACTAGGTAGTGTTTTGTTGATTTTCTGATGAATGCACTTTTAAGTTGGTGGTTGAAATGTAATTTCATAAGATAGAACTTGTCTTTTGATAGCTGAGAATATTTGGTTTGGGTCAACTTAGTTATGTCTTGAAATGGAATTTGAATGAACTTTATATCAGGTTTTAAAATATGTCACATTAGATTTTCATTCTGAATAGTATCCTGGCAATGACCAAAGATAAGGCTTCAGATCCTCCAAAATTAAAAACTCTAAAACCATACACTAGACCATAAACTAGGTAAACCTTGTATTTTTGACCAATAGATCTGAAATCTGGAAATAAGAAAATATGTAGTACATTCAAGTAATTTTGATGAGTGCTTCCATATTTTATTAGATCTCTCTGTTGCCTTTGCTTTCTGGCTTAAATTTGGGAGAAGAGTAAAAACCAGGGTTGTTGGCCATAAAAGAAGACTTGAGAAAAAAAGAGAATAGCTCAAGAAAAAGCAAATTCTATGACTTTCTTGGTTACAACCACAGAAAGGTACTCTATCTGGACACACATGCTCTCTCTCTCTCTCACTCTCTCTCACATACACACATATACACACACACTCACACACCAAAGTCAGTTTGAAGGAAATAGGATAATCCACAGAATGAAAAGAATGACTTTTTCTCTAAAAGGATATGAATCAGGGTAATTCTAGGTTTTGAGATAGCACTAACTAATGGCATTATTTACAGGGTCACCATTGGAATAAATCAGTTTGAACCCTTTATTTTGTCCTCTACAACTAATCTAAATATTTAAATCCCAAGGAGAAAGAATCTAATTGACTTTGGTTGGGCCCAGTCCCACTTCTGGCCCAGAGTACAACATGGCATTTTGACTGATCCCATCAGCACAGCATGCTATGGAGACGGGGTAGTTCAAAAAGGGAAAATCAGGCTTATGTTGTCAGAAATAAAAGATAATAGATACACAACAGCCTAAAACTGCTGGTGTATACTACATAAAGGACATTAGACTAGTGGTTTCCATCCTGAGGCCCCTGTTAACACTGGGAAGTACTGCACTCCCTTTGGTTATTTTAAGGGTTTAATAGAAACTGTGTAATAAATGACAGTAGTGACATTTAAGAAAAACAAGATGTTGAATATTGGGAGAAGTTATAGTATGTCATTAAGAGTTCAGTTCTGCCCAGGTTTAAATCTCCTCTTCTCTTCTTCATAGTGACTTTCAAGTCATTCAGCCTCTTTAAGCCTTAATTGCCCATTCTTGAAAATAGAGATAATAATATGTGTGTTATCAGTGCTACAATAATTAAATGCAATAATGCATGTGAAATGCTTAGTATAGTACCTGATACAGAATAAGTTTTGATGTAGAAATTGAACATTTTGGTTATTTTCATTATTGGATTTGTTTTTCTTTTTTTTAAGATGAAATGACCTGATTCTGCATGGAGATACTTTTCATTTCATTCCAATCAACAATCCTGGGGCACTACTTTTCACTGGTTAATGCAACTTTGAAAAACAATTAAGCTTTACTTGCACTTTATAACACACATAAAAAAAACTTGGGGAATAAGTGGCTACCATATGAATATAGTAAATAATCACAAAATAATAAAAAAGCATCTTCCATGATGAAATGTTTGGAAAGCCCCATTTTAAGGTAGCCATCAGCCTGTTTTCCACCCAAAGGACTGAATTGCTTAAAGCAAGGAAGGATCAGAGAGTGATGCGGCATCAGGACTGCCAGAGGCAGCTGGCTAAGAATTCTCAAGTTTTCACTGAGGGCCCCTAAGACAACAGTCCCTGCTTTATTGGCCTGTTTCTATTTTGAGGGAATACAGTTCACTCAGACAGGAAGTTCAGCAGAACAACTCAGAAACACAGGAATGCATTATTTGTTATTTAACAAGTATGCATTTAGTAGCTACCGCACTCCCAGAATTATGCTAGGAACTGATAATTAAACAGAGAGCAAAATAGATATTTCTGAGTATATTATAACTTCTATGACTCCTACACAAAGTTATTACCTGGTAAGTTAGATGCAGTGTGGTAGAATGGTTTAGAATGTAGGCTCAGGGGTTGATTACTTGTGTTCAAATCTTGGCCTCACCACCTATTTATTAACTTTCTTGGTCTGCCTCACTTTCCTAATCTGAAAATGGGAATAATAATAGCATTCACTATTCTCGAGATTCAACAAAATGACAAAAGTAAGAATATAAGTGACTTTCTTACCGTGGCGCTAAGACTGTGAGATATGTCATAAGAACAGGAAAACCGGATTGAATAGAACAGAAGTAATAAGTGCGAAACTGTCTGGAGGGAGAGATCAGACCATACAAGACTTTTTTAGGCCATAATTTGGAATTATGTTTTAAGAGTAAAGGGAAGAATTGAAAGAGTTTTAAGCTAAGTGAGGAAATTGCCAACTCATATATGCTTATTATAAACATGATTTGGGTTGGATATGGTGGCTCACACCTGTAATTTCAACACTGGGAGTCTGAGGCAAGAGGATCCTTGAGCCCAGGAGTTTCAAACCAGCCTGGAAACACAGGAGACTCCCATCTCTACATATTTTTTTTCTTTTTTAAATTAGCCAGGTGTGGTGGCCCGTGCCTGTACTCCCAGGTTCTCGAGTACAGAGAGGCTGAAGTGGGAGGATCGCTTGAGCTCACAAAGTCAAGGCTGCAGTAAGCCATGATCATGCCATTGCACTTCAGCCTGGGTGACAGAGTTAGACCCTGTCTCAAAAAAATAAAAATAAAATAAAATAAATAAAATAAAAACACAATTCTGTCTGTAGTGTGAAAAATTGGGAAGATGGAATTCAGAGTTGTTAAAGGGAGATCAGGTAGGAGACTCAATAGTCAAAACAAGACATGATGATAATCATATTGATGGATTGTAGAGAAGAGATTATACAAAAATGTAGGAAATATGATAGATAGGACTTGATTTATTCAGTGGGTGGGGAGAGACTATCAGGTGTGTGGAAAAGTTCTCAGGCATCTGACAGGAACTACCAATGGAACCATGAACTAGAACGCAGTGGACATCTGCTCATTTTCTCTATCAGCATTAATTCCACTTTATTTATCATAAATGTACCTACATTTTTCTCTCAGGAGCCAACTCCTTCTTCATTCAGCCCAAGAGTGGATCATATGACTTTGGCTTAAACCAATCAGATGATCACATCTTAGCCTTGGCAACTGTCAAGGGATACCCATGAAACCCAATAAATATCGTCTTTCTGAGACTTCTAAGAAACTCTTTTATTCCTGCTACACCAGATGTAAACCTTAGTGGTTGTATATTATGGAGTTGTTATAGTATTTTTTGTCTATTGAAAATTAATCACTGAAAGCTAGCAAAGATTTTGGGGGAAAAATATACACATATGAACAACAAAACCATTATGTAATAAAGTGACTAACCTAGAAAAACCAAGCCAGACACTTGTGCATAGGTCTTATAACTGAAATCGCTTTAATAGAATGAATGCTCAGTAAATGATGCTTGACACTGCTCACAGATTAAATGCACACAAGGCCTTCACCTAAGACCAAACCCTAACCAGCTAACCGAAAGCCTCTACTTCCATTAAAGTCTTCAGAATTCTCTGGAGAGTCTCTATTAAGTCACTGAGCTCTTTATCCTTCACAAAATCATTAGATTTAATTAAATGTAATAATGATACAATTAAACTATAATTTAAGTAAGTAGTTGAGTTCTAAAGCATAGGAATCATGATTGAAGATTTAGATCCCTATCTACATAAAATATCTACCAATAAAATATCCAAAAGTACCATCTTCTAAAATTGAACTTTGATAATAGGCTAGGCTCTACACTAGGTATATTGCATCATTTTCTTATTTATTATCCCCAGTGTATTTTTCAGGTATGCATCATTAACCCTACTTTCAAGTCAAGGGACCAAGGTATAGCATTAACTTGCTGAGCTTGGAGTCAATTCTGAGCCTATCTGAATTAAGCCATCAGACATTTTCTACTGCCAGCCCTTATTCTAAGTATAGATATCTTTTGGTTATATTTGTATTTTTGATAATGAGTTTTTTTTGATAATGAGTTTTTTAATTGCCTATAAGCTCGAATTCGGCAATATGTTAGAAAAGATTTAGTTCTCATACTATTTGAGGCAGCCAAGTTAATTCTAGAAATATTTCCTAAATGGTTGAATGTGATCAACTCATTCTAAGGATGTCTACCTCAATGTAATTTAGAATAGTAAAAAGTCAAAAAGGAAATAAATATCCAAAGTAGAATTAAATAAATCAAGTTTTGCTTAATTACATAGTGGAATACTTCAAAGCAATTAAAAATATTTTCATAGAGGAATATTTAATAATATGGAAAATGTTTATGATATATAAAATGAAGCAGAACACTAAAAATTATGTATAATATACCATATAATCCTGTTTTAATGTATAGACACAGATTTTTGGTTACCACTAAATAAAGGCATTTTGGGAATTTCTTTGCAAAAGCTATTGTAACTAGAAGAAATAGGAAGTGAGCTTAAGCATAAAAGATGAATGTATTACAAGAATCTAGGAGTATCACAATGAAGTTGAGAGTGCAAGTACAATTGGGCCTCATGAGGGATGGGAATTAGAAAATGGAAAGCCTTCAGAAAACAAAGTAGTTATATTATTGGACTCTTCCTCTTTCCTCAAGGCATCCTAGTCAACTCTTCTGCTTCTCTGAAGACCTGCTTTATTATCTTCCCTTGACTGACATTCTTTGTTTCTGGGTACACATTGAAGATGTTGAATACCCCTGTATACCCAGGTTCACATGTTCTCACTTCCAGCAATCAGGAGGACTGACTAGCAATTCTGATTTCAAAAATGACAAGTATATTACTGGTTTACCTTGAGTCAAGTATCAACCCTGGTTCAATAAATGGTGACCATGGGGACTAGGTCACAAAGTTAGTGCCAGCTCCAGTGATTGGGGCTGGGAGGTCAGGGTCTGGACAATTACCCCACACAAAATTATTTTCTTGTTTTTGCGCTTGTATGCTTTTCTGAATTGTTTAATGTGAACACATTCCTCGTTTGTACTAATGTAAAATAAGACGTTATCAAAAATAAATTTGTCTTTTAGGTTGAGAGAAGCAATGAAGATACCAAATGAGCCTACCTATGCAAATAACAGAACCATGGGTTAGTTATATCCTGCTAAAAATATCATTTGAGGTAGAGAATACTCTAGCTGGGAACTCAATACAAATATTCGTGCATCACTATGCTCTCTACCCCTATATGTTTTATTGAAGATCCTCAAGTCGTAGTAGATTATCTATTGGGAGAAGGAAAGCTCAGATTTGGGGCCCAAGCGTGCAAAGGAACATATTGGGAGGATTGGGAACCCCAGCTTCATTTGTTACCCAAGAAAAGACAGGTAAGGGAAACAGAGGAAGCATGATGTGATGTAACTTTCACTACACTCCAGGAGATGAGTGGAGAGGAGTATGACCCACCGTTAGGAAGTCACTCACACCCACTGATTTTTAATTATGTAAAATGAATCAAGTTGAACCAGACATCATCTATAGCTCTTAAAAAAAACACAGTTCTAAATATTTGGTAAGAGTAATTCATAAAATAATGAGCTTCAAATATTAACTTGGTTGTTTACAACAGCTAAAATATACCTTTAAGCTATTTTGGCCTGTGTACTACAAAGGGATTTTCAATATTTGAGATCATGGTCATTTATTACAGAATAGGCCTTGTCATTCAGCTATGCAGTGCACTGCTATTTTAATGGGTTTTTAAATCCTCCTTCATGGTTCATTAACATGGATGGACATAACTGCAGAGGTCATAAAGCACAATAGCTTTTCTACACTTAGTTGATAAATAGGTCAATCAGCTTACCTCATAGAGAGAACAACATTCCAGATAAGCACAAATTGAAATTCACACACAACTAATTGTATTTGGGATGACCAATATGTCAACTCAAATATAATGTCCATACATTAAACTATTATCAACTATATGAAACTGCCTTTCCATTTTGGTTTCCTCTGGCTGCATGCTCCAATGCCCTCATGAAGAAATCTTCAAATATCTTTCAGTTGGAGAGATAGAGAGGGTAAGAAAACATAGTTTGCATATGCAAGAAATTATATCTTCATCCAAAACGTTGTTAGCATGAACTAATTCTCAATATGTCATAGTGATTATTCTATACTGCTTTTTCTACTGCCCACTGCATGATATTATTTTAATTTAAGGTCAGCTTGGTTCTTTTTTTAAAAATATCTGCTACATACCATAAATGCACTTGAATTCCTTTCCTGATAATCAAAAGTCTGTCAAAAGGTTGGCTGGCATTCAACTCTGATACACTGTTTGACATCATTCAATAATGTGTTGCAAACTGAACAAACAAGTGTTACTCTTTAGTCTACAATATATGTCAAAATAAATGGCTATTTCAGATCTAGTTTTCACTCAGTGACATTTCTATATGGTGTCATGCTTTTACTTATCGACCTTAACTTCCTTGAATGAGGAGCCTCAAGACCAAATATTAGCTCTATTGTTCGCCAGCCTATTTTTAACAAGTTGTCAAATCCAGAGATCCATTCAAAACAATCCCGTGAAACAGACTGCCATGCCCCATCTACTAAATTGCTTTAATTATCTTCAGCATCATTGGTACTAAGATGAGACCCTGTCTTCAAGTTTTTTATTTCATTAACCTCAGTTTACATTTCTATATAACGGGTTTTTTTTTTTTTTTATCATAGCTACAGGTTTCTGGATTTTTTAACGCACATTAACAAGGTTATGTCTTGGGATCATCTGAAATCATTAGGCTACTTAAATAGCCTAGGATTATTTACAAGTTTTCTTCATAACTTGCTTTATAGACTTTATTGTGGAGGCTTACAAAGGAAAGGATTAAAAAACTAAATTAGATGGATTTATGCTAGGCACTTAACTTCAATGCCAAAGTCTTCTGACAAATAATGCAACATTACTTCACCAACTTAGCCTGAATTTCTGTTTTTCTTAATTTCCTCTCCTAGCGCAGTTTGTGATAGTTAATGTGACAGATACTCAGTTACATCAATTATTCCTTTTTTCCTTAAAAGATTTTATAGACTTCCTTTGTAATGTAGAGATTTTTTGCTAAAGCCTTTGCCATCTTCATGCTACTTCTTTTTTTTTGAGATAGAGTCTCACTCTGTTGCCCAGGCTGGAGTGCAGCGGCATGATCTCTGCTCACTGCAAACTCCGCCTGCCAGGTTCAAGCAATTCTTCTGCCTCAGCCTCCCAAGTAGCTGGGACTACATGCACACGCAACCATGCCGGCCTAATTTTTGTATTTTCAATAGAGATGGAGTTTCACCATATTGGCCAGGCTGGTCTCGAATCTTTGACCTTGTGATCCACCTGCCTTGGCCTCCCACAGTGCTGGGACTATAGGTGTGAGCCCCAGCGCCTGGCCTCTTCATGCTTCTTATATATTATTTTTGTAAGTGGATCATGGTGGTAAGAAGAGAAAAGGTGCCTATTTGAAACTTTGGAATCTTAAACTAAAAAAAAGGAAGAATAATTTACATGGAAGTACCAAATATGAAGCAACTATGTCCAGTTCTACTCCATTCCTCATCCTATCCCCAAGGACACAGAATCAGTTACTTTTGATCATTTTAATCTTAGCTCTTTTAATGACTACTTCCAAGTGTCAAGTACGTGTCAAGTACCAAGTAGTACATTTATACTGATGTTGCTAGATTTATCAATGTCAAACAATATCAAATATCTAGTTAAAATATAAGAATGTAGCTCATTTGTTTCTTCTCTCATCTTCTCACCAACATGTAAGCCACACCATTAAGAGTATATCTAAGCCCATCTTTACCATCAGTGCCCAATCAGCTCATTGATTCATTTATCTGGTAATATGTATTCAACAATGACAATGTGATCAATTCATCTGATAACATGCATTGAACAACTACAATGCAATCAAACCTTTTATAGGTGCTGGGAAAATAGCAGTGTACTGAATACAATACACCCCGCCCTCATAGAACTTCCATCCTGATGAGAAGGAGGAGAAAACAGACAATAGATATAATACAACAGGTGTTGATAACAGCTAAGAATAAAGAAGTGAGGACAGTGTAAGGAGCTGAGAGGGACTAAGAGCTACCTAACAGAGGGTCATCCAAGAAGGCCTTTTAGATAGGGTAAGGCCTTTTCGATGCCTTTGGCAGAGGTTGGAAGATAAAGAAGGAGTGAGTCATGACAATATCAGAAGGAATATGAAGAACTACAGCAGAATCTGTTAGCCGTTGGTCTGCTGAAGGACTGGCAAAAAAGCCAGTGCAGATGAGGTACAGTGAGTGTAAAGAGAGTGGTGGAAGATGAGAGAGTTTGGGACAGTGGACAGGGACAGGGTTATATTGTAGATGATGTAGAGTCAAAATGAAGGAGATGTAAACTGAGTGAGATGGGTTTGCAGCAGCTTCATGTATCAGGATAAACAGAGACTGACATATCATCACACACCATGACCAGAGCCTGAGCTATCCCATCATGGCCTATGTGTTACATAAGCAACACTAGATTTCTTCTAATAATATCATACTGTTCTTAACAATGCTATGGAAGATTCACTGGAGTGGGGACAATGCAGTGATGAGAATAAAAGATGAGGAATGTATATTAATCTATGTGAGGTAGAAAAAAGCTTTGCACTAAGGCAGTGTACCAAGAAAAGTAGACAGACTTGAAATAAATTTCAAGAGAGAAATTGGTGGCTATTTAAATGTGAGGCTTAAAGGAGAAGTAAGACAAGACACTGATTCCAAAGCATCTAGGTATTGAAGGAAATAAAGAGGTTCAGTTGAAAAAGTCAAGAGAGATGGCACGTTTGCTGAGGTTTTAAAAAAGTTCATTATTGGACAACTTATGTTTTAGGTACTTGTTGGGTATTTGTTATCAGAACTATTATACAGTGTGAAATCCTTCATTACAGGGGGAGTGTTTTTTAAAAAATTCTTCTTTAGAATTTAGTGTGTGTTAATATTTGTTGGATTAATGGGTCTTAGTCAGTTTTCTTCAATTAAAAATAATTGAGTTGTTCATTTTGAAAAGGTGATAAGCTTAATACTAAAGGTTATATGTCAGCAAGTTGACAGTAATTGGCAGAACTCTTCTGGTCATTTACAACCTCTAACTAGTAGACACGTGACTTTAATATTCCATATCCTGTTGCGACATTTTATTTCACTCAAATAATATTTGAGGACCTATAATTTGCTGGATGCTATACCAGGTACAGGAACAAGATATTGTTTCAGTCCTATTCTGTGACCACAAGAAATGGTTTCCGTCCTATTCTGTGATGGCAACATATTTCTTTTAATACATTACAAAAGGATGAATCACGGCTCTACTAGCTACTGACTAAGCACTTTTTAAGAAGTACAAGAAAGGGCAATTTTAAAGTCATTTCCACTATTCTCTTTAATGTCATTAAATTTTTAAAACTTTAAAACCATTCCTCAGTGGGAAGCTTTCAAAAATTATTTCCCTTTCCTTCATTCTCTTGTACAAGGATTCACATCAAGGTCTGCAAATCCATGGCATCTTCCTTTTCCCACCCATGACAGAAATCACAAAGCTATCATAGACCACTTTCCAAATGAACCCTGGTATAACTTCAGAAATGTTTTTAAAGAAGGACACAAGATAGCTGCAAACAACAGTTTATTTTGAGTATATGAGATGGAAATTCATTGCCATCCAAGTTTGAACAACTGCTTAACAAAAGAGGATGTGAAAATAGGCTACATACCCATGAGAAAAGACACAACTCTATTAGTCATTAGGAAAATGGAAATTAAAGCCACAATGAGAGACCAGAGGCACAATAAATAACTCTGACAATACCAAGTGTTGGTGAGGATGTAGAACAACTGAATTTGTCACTGTCAATTGTTTCAATTTTAAATTGATTCAGCCACTTGGGAAAACTGTTTGACAGTATCTACAAGAGCTGAATCTATGCATCTCCTAGGGTTAAACTGACTTGAAATGTGTCTGTATATACACCAAAAGATATGTAAAAGAATTTTCATAGCAGCACTATTCAAAACAGCCAAAAATTTAGAAATGACTTGATATGGTTTTGCTGTTTTCCCACCCAAATCTCACCTTGAATTGTAATAATCCCCACGTGTCAAGGGTGGGGCCAGATGGAGATAATTGAATCATGGGGACTGTTCCCCCATACTGCTCTCATGATAGTGAATAAGTCGCATGATATTGATGGTTTTATAAATGGGAGGTCCCCTGCACAAGCCCTCTTGCCTACCTCCATGTGAGACATGACTTTGCTCTTCATTTACCTTCTCCCATGATTGTGAGGCCTCCCTGGCCATGTGAACTGTGAGTCGACTAAACCTCTTTCCTCTATAAATTACCCAGTGTCAGGTATTGTCTTCACTAGCAGCATGAGAGAAGACTAATACACAACCCAAATGCCCCTTTCACTAAATGAATAAATAACATTTTTACATTCATTATTAAATACATTATACCTAGATAATATCATACTATACATAATGAGAACAAACAAACAAAACTACTTGCAGCATGGAGGAATGTCACAAGCATAGTATTGAATGAAAGGAGCTAGAAAAAATGGAAAAAAAGGAATACAGGATATAAGATTTTATCTATGTGAAGTTTAATAAACTTAATAAAGTTTAAACTTAAAAGTGTAATAAAGTTTAACGAACAAAGCTAACCTATGGTGATAGACATTACATAGTAGTCACTGTTGAGAGGTTGTGACTAGGGAAGGATGTCACGGTTGATGAGAGCTACTAATGTTCTAGGTGATGGTGACATGAGTGTGCTCATTTTGTGGAAAAATGAATTGAGCTGTAGTCATATAATTTGTATGCTGTACCACATGCATGCTATTGTAAATAAATTTACTTAAAAAACTAAATACTCTTCAGCAACCTTGAAATCCTACCAACTTTGGATTTTCTTTCCCCATATGAACATCTAGCTTTCATGATGAGACATTGCTATAATCCACTGCAAGAAAGTTTAAAAATAAAATTTTAGCTCCTTTTAAATAAACTCAGTTTTCCAGTAAAATTAATTTTCTTCCTCCTTTAAATGGGCTCTCTTTACTATTATTTTACTTGATTTTATCTTCATGTCAAAATTTTATTGCAAAAATCTTTTTTAAAATAAGCTGAGTACAATTTTGGAATAAAATACTTTCAAAAAGAATAATGTATTCAATTGTTAACACTATGAGTCTGAGCATTTATTACAACACATTCATGAGCTGCAAAAAGAGCAAACTAAATAAAAATACACAGCATTCAGTTACCTTTTTTCGAATACTCTTTATTCTTATTACTTGTATAATTTGTTTCTTTTCAAACACTTTCCATACTGAGTCTTCTAAAACATTTGTTATTTTTGGCTGATTATCATTATTTGGATGATAAATATAAACATGTAGCATTTATTTGGTAAGTTCTCAGTTTCCCTTACATCATTTTTTGTATGTAAACTTGTTAATTCAGCCAGTAGCTTTGCACACACAAAATTAAAAACTGTTAAAAAGAGACTGGCCGGGCGCGGTGGCTCACGCCTGTAATCCCAGCACTTTGGGAGGCCGAGGCGGGCGGATCACGAGGTCAGGAGATCGAGACCATCCCGGCTAAAACGGTGAAACCCCGTCTCTACTAAAAATACAAAAAATTAGCCGGGCGTAGTGGCGGGCGCCTGTAGTCCCAGCTACTTGGGAGGCTGAGGCAGGAGAATGGCGTGAACCCGGGAGGCGGAGCTTGCAGTGAGCCGAGATCGCGCCACTGCACTCCAGCCTGGGCGACAGAGCGAGACTCCGTCTCAAAAAAAAAAAAAAAAAAAAAAAAAAAGAGACTATACCTGAGATGTTTTGTTTAATTCAATTTTGAAAACTTCATTCTTTTTGTTAACAATTGATGAAGTGAAGGGTGCGTGATCTCATTCCTGATTAAGATGGCATGAAGAGGGGGGCTGCTGGCTCTTGGGGAAAGGTCTTTTTGCCAAGAAAGAGACACTGGGAAAGATGAGGTTTGAAATCTTGGCAGCAGCAAGCAACCGTGAGATCAATCACAAAAAGCGAAAACTCATAGGCTTCAACTTTCTTGATTGTGATAAATAAACTTGTGACTATTCATATTTTTGTGGTTTACTTAATCTGTATTGCAGAACAGGATTTATAGAACTAGAATGATCAGCCATCACAAAAGAAGGGAAAGATGAAATAATTGGTGACATAATTGATCTAAGGAAATTGCCACACCTAGAGTTGACATATCACCAGGCTTCTACAAGTAGGTTCAGTAACAAATGTACTTATTCAAACAATTTTTCCACTGGAGTTATGTAAGAAAAATCAAAACATCCTAATGAATTTAGAGGGACAAATTCGTTTTCTTTTAGACTTTCTTAAGTACTCAGCACTCTGTACCAAACACGACAGGTGCCTAACGAATATTTGCTGAATTTGCAATTTGAGCTTCTGGCTCTTAAACTTATGTCTAGTAGAGTGGTGTCTCCCAATTTCTTTTTTTTTGCTAGCAACATTGCACCAGGAGGAAATTTATATTAAATTTAAATTATTTCTAATTAATTAATTTTAACTTAAATTTTATTTCTCCCTAAGGAGAGATTGTTTTTTTGAGTATAATATCTATCTTCTCTCCTTTAAAAATACATATGCTAGAGGATATCTAATTATGGTTAAATTTTTTTGAGGTTACACATTGCTTTTATTTTCTTTATCCTTTTTGGTTTCTCATAACTGTTTACAATTACCTTTTATTATTTTTATAATCAGAACAATGAACATCATTTAAAGAAAGAAAGCCATAAAAATGTTTAATCTAATGCAAAATATAATACTACATTAAATTACGCTTCGTTTGAATTTTTATCTTTGCTTTTCACACTTCCAGCCAATGCCACAGGCAGACCGGCTAGGGGCTTGGGAATGAGGATTAGACAGCGAGCTTGTGAAGTTGTATCATACCTAGAATACTGATTATCTCAGGATAACGAATGGAGTCTGCAAACCTCAGGGCTAGATAACTATGTCGGATGCTTATTGTTGCATCTTTTCTCCATCTGCTGATTTTTTTTTAAAGGCTATATCTTGGAGAGCATGGATTTTGTTTTATTTAAAGAGGAGCTGTTCCCAAATTGACATAGCTGACCGAAATGCTACAGTCAAGTAACTCAAGGGTGCAGAAGTTAAAGAGCAGGTGTGACTAGACAGACTGTTCTTTAAAGGACCTGAGGTTCATTCCTACACCACCAGCCTCCAAGTAGCCCTTGTAACCAAATGATAGGATGGCTCCTTGTTTCTTCCTTTTTCTCTGTTTTGTTTTGATTGAGATAGGGTCTTACTTTGTCACCCAGGCTGGAGTGCAGTGGCACGATCACAGCTCACTGCAGTCTTGACCTTCTGGGCTCAAGCCAGCCTCTAGACTAGCTGGGATCACAGGTGAGTGCTACCATGCCTGGCTAATTTATTTTTTTTATTTTGTAGAGACAGGGTCTCCCAGGAGTTCTAGACCAGCCAGTTGCCTGGGCTGGTCAAGAACTCTTGGGCTCAAGACAATCCACCCACCTCAGCCTCTCAAAGTGTCGGGATTACAAGCATGAGCAACCAAGCCTGGCCTCCTCTGGTTTAATACACCCTATATCACCTTTTCAGGGCTCACCCTCCTGTAATCTGATTTCCATCTGCATAAAAATGTTCAGTCAAACTATGTGTGTGCTGGTAGGAGTGTGTAGGGGAGAAGTGAATACTTCATTTTAATTACTAAGTAGTTCCCTGACAATGATGGCAGTAACTTCAGTTCATCCTTCTAACTATATGAAGTTCATTCTGCAATTCAGAGTAAATAGAACTGGATAAACATAAATATTTACAAGCTTATTTTGTCATATAGAAATATATATTATCTGGATTACAAGCTGTTTTGTGTATTTATCTTTAATTTGTATGTTTATAAGAATAAAGAATACACATTTGTAGCATTTTTTCCTTGTAGGTAGCCATATTTTCCCAAACTTGGTAGGGAAATTTTTATAATAAGATGCATTATGCAATATATCAGCAACTAATGAAGAAGAAATAATGATGACTGTACTGTAAAATGTATTAGAACACTAATTAGACTATAACAGAAATGCTTACTGATGTCTTTTAAACACCTGCTTGATAATTTCTAAGCTTGAGTGTTACTTCATTTAACAATGCATGCTTAATGGGGAGACAGAGTTAAGATTAAATAATCAACCCAGGACATCCCACCATGCTCCATGCTTTTAACTTTCTATCTCATACACAAAATTTGAGGGATGATAATTCCATTTACAGAGGAAGCAATACAATAGATTTATCTGTTCCCTCAAGGCAGATTCTAATTGCTATTATGAACTTCATTTCATACAATTGCAGAGCAGGTTTAGGAATGAGGGTATGGATAAAGATATTGGCAAGATGGTAGATGAAGCCAGAAGGGGAAGTCTGATTACTTCCAGGTGTGATTTCTCTGGAGTCCTCCTGATTGTTTTAGCCCATGTTTCTGTGTTCAACAGAAACAGAATTTCTTTGGGGTTTCCATCTTGGAGTGCAGTAAAGGATACCTGTTGTATTACCTCCTTCCCACACCATTTATTTCCTCCTATTTTCTGATGGGTGAATACAGTGAAAGCATCCATAGCAATAAACATGAAACCACTCAGAAGGACATAGTTGATGAGTGGTCACTCACTACTTAAAGAGTATTCCATGGGCCAATAACATTGACCTCACCTTGGAGGTCATCAGAAGTATAGGAATTCTGGCCCCACTCCAGCTCTGTTGAATCAGAATCTAAATTTCCATGAAGTCCTCAGATAATTTGCAGCCAAATTAATTCAGATGCACTGGCATTCTGCTACTGATGCCCACTCAGTCAAAGCTTTTGATTATCTGAAACAGTCTTGGGTCATTATAACAAATATCCCTTTATCCATTAGCTAGCCACAGTGAGCTTCTGCTACCTGCAATTAAGACTCCAGATAGCTTCATTTTATCTATTCGACCACTTTTATTTCATAAGATGTAATAAACTTTTAAATTTAATTTCCAAACAATTTTCCTCCCCAAATTAGCAGCAAAATAAATAAAGATTGAGAACTATTCACATTGGGGACCTGAAATGAAGAGTTATTTGTTGAGGTTTAAAGGGTGATTTGATTCATGCATCTTTGAACACAGAATAACTACTCATGTTCAACAGCTGACTTTATTTACAGGCAAAGCCTGTCACCACCTATAAAGGATGATTTTTAAAATAATATTATGCTGATAAATTGCAAGGAAAAAAAGAATGGAGAGAGAACTACAGATTAAGAGAGAGAGATGTATCATATTAAAATAAATGGGCAACACTAAAACTAAAGTGCCAACAGTTGCACATTTGGGTAATAAAAAAACTAATAAAAATGATTACTATAAGATAGGATAGTGGTTACTTATGAGAGAAAAAGAAGTTATAATTGAGAAGGAACATATGCAAAGGACTTTGAAGGAGCTGGCAAAATTCTGTTTCATAGCATGGAGGTAGTTACAAAATGGTTGGTGTGAAATAATTTTTAAGGCATACATTGGCTTTGTGAGGTCTTTTGTAACTACATTTTATTATAAAAATATATAAATAACAAAAAAAAGTCTTGTACAAAAGTTCAGTCCTACCCAAGAACTGAAATATCATTTGTTTTCTACAGATCAGGCTCTTCACAAATGTGTGTAGGACATGTGCTTTAGTTAGACAATATGAAAATCAAATTAAAAAGAAAAATAAATGCCTTTTTGAAAAAAAACAACACAAAGCTAGTTAAATAATAGACACGTTGTCAGGATTCATCATTCTGGATTCATGCTTTATTTATTCAATTTTTTAAGCAGTTCTATTTTCTTATCTTGTCCTAGCAGTAATTAGCTTAGTGCTTTAACATGGAAGCTCTGGAGGCTGGATGCCCAGATGCTAGTGACTTCAGTGTGTTAGTATTGAGCCATTTACTCATCCTCATCTGGGAAACAGGGGTAACCATAGCATCAACCTCAGAGCTTTTATAAGATATGAATCCAAGTATGAAATCACTGAGCCAATACCTGTTAGTTTTTAGGAAAAGTTGTGAAAAGAGCAGGGCTATTAGAGTCTAATGATTTGGACTGAGTCCCAACTCTTTGTTTAAGCACAGCAACTCATTTCTGCCTGATTTTATGAATAGCATAAATATTCATGTAGAAAAAGTAAACTTTTAAGCTGTTTTCAATTGTTTTTAACATATGGAACATAAATCAATATTCAAATTCCAGATTATCTTAGAATAATATCATAGAAGTTGAAGTGCAGGGCCAAGTCATTTGCACACAAGTCTTTTGAAATATACTATATATATCCAAGATTAGGTTATAAAGTAAAAAAAAATTGATCAAAATTGCCTTAGAATCTTGATAAATGTTGAATCTAGTTGATGAGTACTTGGGACCTCACTGTATTATTCTATTTTTTAATATTTGGACACTTTCATTAAATATGGATAAATGTGCCCTTTAAAATCCATTTTAGAAGGAACTTATTGAAGGAAGTCAACATGTTATCTTTCTAGAAATCCAACACAGCTAGTTTTTTCTACTGGGCTGAAATAGATCATTTTTTCTTTGTTTAAGCACCAGATAAAAAAAGGACTGATCAATCTGATAGGTAAAAAAATTGCAATTTTCTCTTTTAAAGTGTATTTCTCTGAATATTAATGAAGTTAGCCTTGTTACTTCTTACATTTATTAGTTCTGTGAATGCCTTCAATTCATATCTTTGGCATATTTTTATAGGGTCATGCATCCTTTTTATTATTGCCTCTAAGGATTCTTTATACATTATAGATATTAACTTTATTGTATAATACATGTGCCCAAGTGTTCTCATTTTTGTCTAATTATTAATCACATATAGAAGATGTTAACTTTTTTCCTATATATATATTTTCCTTTATGCTTCTTTCTTTGCCTTTCTACTTAGAAAACCTCTCTTTTCATATGTTATTTTCTTATTATACTTTTATGACTCAGTATTGTATAATATTTATTACAATATATATTTAATAATTTAGTATTATATTATTGTTTATTTAGATGCATTTTATGAAGTGGGGGGGTCTAACTTTGCTTTCTCCCTTAAGTAGTCAAGTATTATTTCTTCTAAAAATAAATCAATCTGTGCTGATGTATATGAATTGCCTCCTTCTTCATATTCTAATAATTACAAGACAGGATGCTTTGTACACATGGGATCACTGTGGTAGTTAACTATTCAAAAGTTGCTGACAGGCAGTTTTAACTCTGACACTGGAAATATTCATTTTTTAGAAAGAGATGCTATTTGAGAATGTCAAAGAAGAAACGTTTAAAGTTCCCTTTTTTTTTAATAAGATGTTTGGAAAGGAGAGAAGATCTAAACTGTCCTGTGGGCAGTACTGTTACCCTTCTCTTGTACCAAAAATATGTTTATAATACTACCATGAAGTCAGATTTATGTGCACATGATCTTGAAATAATCCAGAAATTCCCATGTGAGAAGCCAGATTTTCATTTTACTTTGAAGACAAAGCTTAAAAATGTAAATGGACTTAGAAGAGTTTACATCTTAACTTCAGTGAACAATAGATATAATACTGTATTAGTCCATTATCATATTGCTATGAAGAAATTCCCCAAACTGGGTCACTTATAAAGAAAAAGAGATTTAACAGACTCACAGTTCCACATGGCTGAGGAGGCCTCAAAACATGGTGGAAGGCAAAGGAGGAGCAAAGGCATGTCTTACATGGCAGGAGGCAAGAGAGCATGTGCAGGTGAACTGTCCTTTATAAAACCATCAGATCTCGAGACTTTTTCACTGTCACAAGAATAACATGGGAAACACCTGCTCCCATGATTCAATTACCTCCCAACAGGTCCCTCCCACAACATGTGGGGATTATGGGAGCTACAATTCAAGATGAGATTTGGGTGGGGACACAGCCAAACCATATCAGATACTGGTAAGATCTAACCCTGAGAAGAGGTATTAATGAATGATTGGGATCTGGTGCCTGAAAGGGCATTGTGCAGTTGGAGAGAAATTAAAGAGAGAGTGTAAAAAAGGGTTTCTATCACCAGTCTTTCTATACCCTTCATTTCTAGAAAGGTAATCATATCCTAAATACAATCTAGCTATCTTTCTATGAAAGACTGGCAAGTGAGTTTGTCTAGAGAAAGCAAAATAATTTTCTAGGTTGTACATTTCATTCGAACCTTCTGATAAAAACCTTAAAGGATGAATTGAGGAGAAAGAGAAGATAAACAAGAAGAGTTTTGAACTCAAGATGTAGCAGTGTACCACAAATACACATAAATTACACCTGTGCTATAGAATGAGCAACCCAAATTCCAAAACAAAAAATAAAACGACATGCATTGTTCCTAGATTCAGAGTGGTCAAAGCTTATGATTTATGGGGGACAGGGATAACATTTAGATGATTTAGGTTATAAATTATTCTGACTCCAAGGGATACAACAGTTCAGCAGTAAGAGAATAGCATCATGTTGGTGTGTATCCAGGGGCAGGAGCTGATGCTTTCCAGGGACACAATGACCTACACTGATACAAGCTGAATCTATCACTAGTTTAATATATGACTAAAGAGTTGAAACATCTTTTATGAAACAAACGATATTTTATTGAAAGAAATACATAAGTCTGTTTATTCTTAAGCAATAGAATGGTCAAGGGAAAATATATTATTTTACAAAGAAACAGAGTACTTTTCAATTCTATTTTTTTTTTTTTGAGACCGTGTCTTGCCCTGTCACCCAGGCTGGAGTGCAGTGGCATGATCTCGGCTCACTGCAACCTCCACCTCCCAGGTTCAAGTGATTCTCCTGCCTCAGCCTCCTGAGTAGCTGTGATTACAGGCACATACCACCACACCTGTCTAATTTTTGTATTTTTAGTAGAGACAGGGTTTCATCATGTTGGTCAGTCTGGTCTCGAACTCCTGACCTCATGATCCGCCACCCCCCCCCCCACATCGGCCTTCCAAAGTGTTGGGATTACAGGCATGAGCCACTGTACCTAGCCTCTATTTTTACCCTTTTAAATCAGCCAACCTCAAGCATCCTCCAATGCAAAATAGTCTCTTTAACAAGAACGTGAAACACAGTCAGTCCTGAATACATTCCCTTGCCAATACCCCTCTTTTCCTGATTTTTATTAATTCCAAATAATATATTATGTTTTCTAACCTATATTGCTCTTATTTTGGAAATGGACTCCTTTTCAGTGTATAATATTAAGTCAAATTTTCACGTGGCTGAATGCCAAAATCAAAGTATATTTATAAGACATAATCTAAGTGCAGCACTTTGTAGACTAAGTATTATACTGGAATTCTTAAGAGATAGCATCTCTATGGTGTTCACCACTATTATTAAGTGGTGTATGCTTTTGCTTTCCAATGTGGAGTTAGATAAAACCTCATTTGTATATTTCCCCCGCAGTGATTTTTATCTGCTTTTGTATTTGTGATGGTTGTTATTTTATTGTATATGTGTGTTTAATGATTTAATGATAATCATTAATTGAATAATGGCCCAAATCAACATCTCTAGACCTGTGCCCTCTTAATTTTAACACACATCTCAAACTGCTTGCTGGATATTTTCATTACATACATGTTTACCTAAAATCTAGCATGCTTAACACCAGTTTCACAGTCTATATCTCCATTCTACAAGCAAATTCCTTCTTTTAGTGGTTTTCCTTTTTGGTCAGTGATATGCATAGCAATGATTGGCAGCAGAGTCAGAACTCCACATTAGCTAAATCAACATCTTCTATATGTGGCTTGAAAATCTTTGTCTTAGTCCACTCAGACTGCTATAATAAAATACCATAAATTGTGTGCCTTATAAGGAACAGAAATTTATTTCTCACAGTTCTAGAAGGTGGAAAGTCTGAGATCAAGGCAGATTCTGTGTCTCATGAGGGCCTAGTATCTGGCTAAGAGACGATGTCTTCTGTCTATGTCCTCACATGGTGGAAGGGGTGAGGGGTCTCTCCAGGGCTTCTTTTATAAGGTCAGTAATCCTAATCAAGGAGATTTCGCCCCTATGACCTGATCACCTTTCAAAGCCCCACCTCCTAATATCATCATCTTAGGAATTAGGAGTTCGACTTAGAAATTCAGACCATAGCAGCCTTCATCATCTTTTCCTCTTTCCCCTTTCTTCTCATATGTGACTATCCTCTTGTGTTGGTTTTCTTTTTTTTAATTTTCTTTCTTTCTTTTTTTTTTAATTTTTTTTATTTTTTTTTTTGAAACAGAGTCTTACTCTGTCTCCCAGGCTGGGCTGGGGTGCAGTGGTGCGATCTCGGCTCACTGCAAGCTCCACCTCCTGAGTTAATGCCATTCTCCTACCTCACCCTCCAGAGTGGCTGGGACTACAGGCACCCGCCAGCTCGCCTGGTTTTTTGTATTTTTAGTAGAGACAGGGTTTCACTGTGTTAGCCAGGATGGTCTCGATCTCCTGACCTCGTGATCCACCTGCCTCGGCCTCCCAAAGTGCTGGGATTACAGGCGTGAGCCACTGCACCTAGCGGCTTTCCTTCTGTATATTTACCAGCCATGTACAAAGGGAAGAAATGACAATGAGCAGTGAAAACTATGCCTTTGTATGGTCCTATGGCCAACACCAGTGCTTCATCTCTCTGCTAGGGTCCTGAGGAAAGTTCTCATTCATTCTCTGGATTTCTATTACAGCACTGTTGTTAACACATTTACATATATATTAATGTTTTACATCACTTTCTTTTACTGACTTTTGGAATTTCATCTTCTTTTTGCTTAAAAATCGAGATCATCTTTATATAAATCAACAATTATTTTGGGGGCACATAACACATGCCCCACACTATAATAGACAAGGGTGCCTATCTCCAACAGAGGAGACTGAAAGGGCCTGCCTCTGGGAAAGAAAGAGGAAAGGAAGATTCCTGTGCTAGACACTGCAACACAGCAGATCCCTGATTACCATATTCTTACAAAACATCAGTGGTAGATATTGAATACATAACTAAGTACAGAAACCAACGAGATACAAAATAAAGTGACGTTTTGGTGAAACTGACAAAAAGACCATTCCTCCCTACTGAAATGTTAAGTTTTCCTAGTGGACAAATAAAATGACATTAAAAAAATTAATTAAGAAGAAAACTCAAGAGGTTATGTATTACAGTGCAGCTTTCAGTTCACATGGTTGAATATTAAAGAGGTGGGAGAAGCTATAAGAAAACACGAGTTAGTGAAGTCAGGCTCCTGTTTGCAACCCTAAATAGGGATTTTCAGGCCCTACCATAAGCAATTACAGAGACTTTACCTTGCCAGAGCTTGGGGGCAAATCTGCCCTTCCTACCCCGACGTGGTATACAGCCAGTGCACTGGGATCTCCGAAGAGAGTTGCAATCAAGGACTGGGGTTCCCTGGCCAGGCATGCTCTTAATATATTCACATCACTAGCCCAGAGACCTCATTCCTAGGTCTTCTTGTCTGAGGCCTTGAGCAGAGGTTCTCAACAGGTGTCTCTACTAAGGCCTCCTTACTGTAGTGGAGGGGGAACCTTGAAGACACTTTTCCCCAATCAGTCTCACCACCAAGTACTTTTCTACTCCTAGCCCTCCTCTGCCTTCCTTGACTTCAGGGTCTACAAAACTGCTGGAACCTTTTGTTCAGTGCTCCCTCAACAGTGACACAACTCCCAAGTCTATACTGATACATCTGACCTTTAGCAGACAAACAATTCCACAGAGGAAACAGAGGAAAAAGGAGCAGGATGAGTTGGTGCCTTTTCCTATCTTACACTCTTTGTTATACCACGGCAATTAGTGATTACAGGCTTACCGCTTCCATTTTTGGCTTGAGTTTTAATCAGCTTCTCCCAATATCTGGCAATTTAGTTTCCTTTCCCAGCTCAGGTGAGCCCCCAACAAAACAGCATTGTGCAGAGCCTACCAGGTGCCTTCCATGATCTAGTCTGTCCTTCTTTATTTATAAGAACACCAATTTTTACTCGGACACATGCCAACCCAACTAAAGGAGTGTATTTTCCAGCCTCTTTTATAGCTAGATGTGGTCATGTGACCAAGTTCTAATTGAAGTGAAAGTGTTATTTATATGTTACTGATGGAATCTGTCCAAAAGTAAGAGCAAGTTCCCCCCGCCATTCCCTTCCTCTTTCCTGTGGCCTGGAATGCAGACAGATAGGACTCTAACAAACCATCTCAGACCATGAGGTGACCAGCAGCAGGATAGGAAGGTCTTAGGTCCCTGTACATTTTCTAGAACTACCAGATCATACTTGGACTTCCTAACACTAAATGTTTTATGTGAGGGAGAAAAATTCTTTTGCTTTGTCACTTTTATTTTTGTTCTTTTGATAAGCAGCTAAAGCTGAATGCTAACTTATGTAGTCACCTCTAATTTTATTAAATAGTAGACTAAATAATCATAAATCTATGAGTAAGCTACATTTTCTCTTCAATGGTGAGTTGAGAGCAGCCAGCATTAGGGTAAATGTACTAGTTGTAACTCAAACATACGTTTTATACTCTTACAACAAAATCTCTCATCAATTGGTTTGTTTGGAGAATTGTACCCAGAAATAACAAAATGGCAAATACCATAGCCAGATCACAGTTACAGTGTGTGAGGAACACAGAACACTGATCTGAGAGCTATAAATCCCTGTTTTTGTATGCTTTAACACAAAGATCTTGGACCAAATATTGAACCAAACCTTACTTACCTCCTCTAAAACATAGGGATGATAATAAGAAAATTATTTAAAACATCAAATGCAGTCACTAGCACACTGAATGTGTTCAATAAGTATTTTCTTCCCACATTTGGCATCAAAATGAGGGCACTGATTCATCCTGCTTCAAACATGAGCTCGCCTTTAGATCAGGAACAGGAGCACCAGCAACTCTGGGAGCAGGGCTCATTTGGTCATGTGAAAAATAAAAAGGTACTATTCGTGTGATTTAGTTTGGATATTTGTCCCTACCCAAATATCATGTTGAAATGTATTCCTGTATATTGGAAGTGGGGTCTTATGGGAGGCGATTAAATTGTGGGGGTAGATTTCTCTTGAATGGTTTAGTACCATCCAATCGGTGGTGTCCTTGTGATAGTGAGTTCCTATCAGATCTGGTCATTTAAAAGTGTGTGGCACCATCCCCACCTCTGTCTTGCTCCTGCTTTTGCCATGTGACACAGCTGCTCTCCCTTTGCCTTCTGCCATGATTGTAAGTCTCCTGAGGCCTCCCCAGAAGCTGAGCAGATGCTGCCATGCTTCCTGTACAGCCCACAGAACCGTGAGTCAACTAAATGTTTTTTTGTTTTTTTTTAGTATACTTTAAGTTTTAGGGTACATGTGCACAACGTGCAGGTTTATTACATACGCAGCCATAAAAAATGATGAGTCAATTAAATCTTTATAAATTACTCAGTCTCGGGTATTTCTTTATGAAAGAATGGCTTAATATACCATGGAACAGATAATTACAAGGAGGCACATTCTGGGTGTAGATGTATTCAAAATGTTTCTCTTCCTCCAGAACCCCACAGTCTACCTCTAGGGTGAGAGCTTGGAGAGGGGCACTCAGCCATATTTCACTCTTGTCCTTTATCCAATCTGTACAACCACAGGGTAGGCCATGTCTTAGAATGATAGTAGTATAAAAACACATGGAAGGAGGAAGGTGTAATTTTCTATAGATAATGAGGCTCTGAGCAGACAACACTTTTCACAGCCCCCACCACAAACATCACAAGCTGACCACAGGAGCAATAGCTGTTTGCAGAAATAGAATTGGACTTTTAGAGTTAGAAGCGGTAACGGAAGTTATACAAAAGTGGAAAATGAAGCACATTCTGTTCCCTGTAAGAAAGCAAAATGTGGATAAAGGCCTAGAGATATAAATGCACCTAAATGTAACACTATAGAGGAGAACATATTTATAATTAAAAAGAAAATTGCTTAAAGGAACAAAGGCTTTTTAAATAAATACTCAAGAGTTTTCACACCCATTGTGTAATTGGAGCTGTGATTAATACTTCCAGATGAGAATATTTATCCAGTACTTTGTCAATGTTTGTTTTTCTATGAACCATTATAGGCTTGGACCTCTACCCTTGAACTTTTTATTTTTATTGCTCAAATATAATTCCTATCCATAAACTAAAGAGCAGATTTTATATAATTAGAGTATATCTTTCAAGAAGAGAAATGAATATGTAATGAGAGCATTTCAAAACAAAATTTGAGCTTGGGTAAGAACCAGTACAAACACACTCAGAACGTTTCTTTTTTTTTTTCCTTTTTTTTTTTTTTTTGAGACGGAGTCTCGCTCTCTCTCCCAGGCTGGAGTGCAGTGGCGCGATCCCGACTCTCTGCAAGCTCCGCCTCCCGGGTTCACGCCATTCTCCTGCCTCAGCCTCCCGAGTAGCTGGGACTACAGGCGCCTGCCACCAAGCCCAGCTAATTTTTTTTTTTTTTTTTTTTTTGTATTTTTAGTAGAGAAGGGGTTTCACTGTGTTAGCCAGGATGGTCTCGATCTCCTGACCTCGTGATCCGCCTGCATCGGCCTCCCAAAGTGCTGGGATTACAGGCGTGAGCCCCTGCACCCGGCCAACACTCAGAACATTTCTTTGCTGCATGTGGTGATGTTTGAATTGGGGATACCTATGGATAGAGAGATGATTGAAGTCTCACTGAATTCAGAAATGACCTGAAAAACTATATGTATCTTTTTCCTTTGAAAAGGATATGGAATCTAATCTTTACATTCTAACTATAATTTTTCAAGTAAGCTCTTTTTGAGGACAATATAATGACCCAGATTTTTTTTTATAGATATGTCCTTCCCAGGTGGAATGATAATCTGACTTCTGGAGTTTCTTTAAAAATAGCAGCACCATTTTACCTGCTTTCAAAAAAATTCAATTTTTAAAAAGTAAATTGAATATGAGTAAATGAATGTAAACCCAGGTCCTATTAATTATTCAGCCTTTAAAAATCTCTTTCACCACGTTAGTTTTAATGCTTTATATAAATACAGTAAACTACTGACACTCACAGGGTTACATTTTATGATTTTGGTAATTAGCAGTGACTGTGAATGTCTCGGATACATATCATTTGTGATGTTTTTGAGCCGTGCATTTGAGTTGCCTGCTGGGAGGTAGATACTCAAGAATAAATTACTGGCTAGTGCTTGAGCCCACTGATCGCTCAGCAGCCATGTAACTCACAAACACCTGTGCGGCTCTAACACTGTCAGAAGTGCTGATATGCTGACATGTGTGGAGTGAATTGATGATCGAATGCAGTGAGTCTAAAGCTGAGGGTGCATCCAAACCACCAGGAGGACTTCTTAAAACAGATTTCTGGGCCTTACCCCAGTACTTCTAGGTATAAACAGAAAATTTACATTATATTTCTACCAAGTTTTAAGGTGATACGGATACTGCTGGTCTGGAGACCACACACTGAGAGCTGATGATGTAAAAGATAATATCTATTTTATCATTACGAAATGATAAACTTTGATCAAAACTTCAAAATAGACTTTAAATTAAAATATTCAAAGTAAAATGTTCTAAACAAACAACAGCAGTCATTTTGCCAACAAAACTTGTTATGGATCAAGCAATTAAAAGGAATAGTCTGGGTCAGAACTGATATTTTGCTTACAACATTGTCTATGCTGTTTGTCTACATATAAAAACGCATCTGTACGGTTTCTTAAATAGCCACTTCACTGAGACAAGTGAGTCCTTCCCTTCCTGACTCACTCCCAGACTACCAAGCAATTCAGCACCCAGATGTTAATGCCTGGCACAGTTTGGAGCCTCCAGAACCTTACTGATTGATCACTGCCATTTTTTTTCTTTAACACAGAGTCTCACTCTGTTGCCCAGGCTGGAGGCACGATCTCGGTGGCTCACTGCAACCTCTGCCTCCCAGTTTCAAGCGATTGTCCTGCCTCAGCCTCCCAAGCAGCTGGGACCATAGGTGTGCACCACCATGCCTGGTTAATTTTCTTTTTTGTGCCTTTAGTAGAAACAGGGTTTCGCCATGTTGGCCAGGCTGGTCTCAAACTCCTGAGCTCAGGCCATCTTCTCGCCTTGGCCTCCCAAAGTGCTAGGATTACTGGCATGAGCCACCATGCCTGGCCCCCACTGCCATTGGTTTTAAACAGCAAGGCATAATAGGAACAAGAACCTCTCTGGCCCAAGACTTGTCAGACTCCTCCATCAGGAGGCATGTGGAGAGACAGAATTAGGATTACATGTGATTAAAGAAGGGAATGGGCATGCTTGTGTGTGCACTTTCCAATAATGGCAGCTTTCTGCCATGGAGTGATTTCCAGGTGCTGTGAAATTTTGAAGTTTTCAAAACACTTGGCTTAGTTAGTTTATTTAGACTAGAAATAAATCTGAAATGGAAACTTCACCATTAATTGAAGTGCACCTGGTTCCAGAGTACTCCACCTTAAGCAAGCAGAAGTGGTGACAGCCAGATTAGGGTTGAGGGAATTGGGAAGCCTGCATATCAAAGACTCAATTAGACAAACACATCAATGACATTTTGAAAGTTGTCTCATATCAAAACATATGACATCATAATAAATGCACAAGACTTTATCACCACCATACGTTTTCCTATATTCATTGGCTTTCAAGATGTTCAAAGACAGCCTTAAAACAGATATGCAGCGGAATGTCTTAGTCAAATCTTTGACACATTTTTTTTTTGCATGACCCTGTTGGCTAAGTTCTTCATGTGTAAACTACTCTAAATTTAATCATGTTTCCCATTTAGTCTTTAGAGAAACAATTGGTGTATTTCATAAAAAGCACCCTACCTTTGAAGCTAATGATCTAAAAATCCTTATCCCATTCTCTTTCTTTTCTCACTCATTTATTCAACTATTTTAGTACCTATACCAGGCACCTGAGTAGGTACCAAGGCTACAATATGAACAAAATGTAATTATTGTCCTCATGACACAAATAATATGAGGGGCAAATACAGGTTTCCAGAAGGTATAAGAGTGGATTGTTTGAACCACAGAATAATATAGGGAGAAGGAAAGCAGGAAAGAAGAACTTAACATAAGAAACTGCTTTGCATGGTGGAGGAAGAGGGGGCTGTGTGGCTGGAACAGAGTGAGTAAGGAGGAGGGAAGGACACAGAAGCCATCACATTGGTGACCTTGTCAAAGATTTAAAGTTTACATTAAGAATAATAGAAAAGATTTGAAGGGTTACAAGTTAGGTGTGGTATGAGCAGATGTGATTTTTAAGAAGATCTATTTGGCTATGATGTGGAGAATGGATTGGAGAGGACTAACATGGGAGGCACCAAACTATTTCCATATTTCAGGCCAGACATGATGGTGGTTTGCATTAAAATGATGATAGTGAACATGAAAAAATGGGGGCAGATGTGATATCCATTCAGAATGTAAAATCATCAAGATAATTTGGTGGTGAAGTGAAGATGAGGGATGAGATAGAGGGGAATATCAAGGATATGAATGGTGGTTTACATACTCCAAGCACAGGGACGAGGAAGATTATGAGTTCATTTTCAGTTTAAGATTCCTCTGGTCATCTAAAAGAAGGTATCAGAGAAATTCAGGTCTTTCTCTCTATAAGTCTGAAGTTCAGAAAAATTGACACAACTTTTAATCATGTTGAGCATTAATATCTGTAAAGGCCACATAGTACTATGGTTATATTAGGCTTTGAAATCAAAGACCAGGGTCGGGGAGGACCAAAAAGACAATAAATCCCCCAAGAAAGGCTGAGCTTTTGAACTAGCCCTGAGAATTTTTTTTTTTCTTTAATGGTTTTCTGGTTCTAATCCATGAGTATTCACATACTGACATTATAGTTGTCGTGGTCTTTATCTTGAAACCGAAAGAAGTAAACATAATAGATTTTCATTTGGCTCTGCCCAGATGACTAACCAGAGACTAGATAAGGAGACTAAACTGAAAGGAATCAATAATCAAAACAAATAGCAGCTGAGTTTTACTCTGAAGACCTCCTCATACATTATATTTTGTTTTTTAAATCTAATTATGTGGCACCCTAGTTAATGATTTCTATTGATTAACCCTATGAAATATAATTCTGATTTTAGCAACAATCAGCTCTATAACAATGTCATATCCTAATGTGTTTGCTCAGAAGGTGTCGTCAGCAGAGCCAGTGAGTCGTATCTACAAAACCCACGTTTTTATGACAGTTTGAAGCTATCAGCAAAATTCTCAGAATATCATCTAGGTACCAGAGAGAATCCATTTCATGCTAAGAAAATTGTTACTTTTAAAATATTTTTATATGGGCCTTGCTTTTCCCTCTACTAGCTTGGGAGATATTCCCTTACTTTTTCCTGTACTAGCTTGGGAGTTATTTTCTCCTTCAGCCAAAGGAAGTATAGCTTCATAGCAAAGTCATATTTGGAAAAGAATATTTTAATGTAAATTGCTAAACTGGCCATGATTAACAAAACATGTTTCTATAATATGGAAGATAATACTCCTTATATTTTAAGCCCTGATTGGAAGAACTCATTCTGCCTTATCACTTATAAGACCTACACTTAATAGAGAACTTACCATATGTATTTGTTCGTTCTCACACTGCTAATAAAGACATACTCAAGACTGGATAATTTATAAAGGAAAGAGGTTTAATTGACCCGCAGTTCAGCATGGCTGGGGAGGTCTCAGGAAACTTACAATCGTGGCAGAAGGGGAAGCAAACATATCCTTCCTCACATGGTGTCAGGAAGGAGAAGTGCCAAGCAAAAGGGAGAAAAGCCCCTTATAAAACCATCAGATCTTGTGAGAACTCACTCACTATCATGAGAACAGCAACATGGGGGTAACCACCCCATGATTCAATTACCTCCCACCAGGTCCCTCTCATGACATGTGAAGATTATGAGAACTATAATTGAAGAAGAGATTTGGGTGGGGACACAGCCATACCATATCATTCAACCCCTGGCCCCTCCCAAATCTCATGTCCTCACATTTCAAGACCCAATAATGCCTTCCCAACAGACTCCTAAAGTCTTACCTCATTCCAGCATTAACTCAAAAGTCCAAGTCCAAGGTCTCATCTGAGACAAGGCAAGTCCCTTCCACCTATGAGCCTGCCAAATCAAAAGCAAGTTAGTTACTTCCTAGATACAATGGGGGTACAGGCATTGGGTAAATACACCCACTCTTAATGGGAGAAATTGGCCAAAACAAAGGAGCTTCAGGCCCCATGCAAGTCCAAACTCCAATAGGGCAGTCATTAAACCTTAAAGTTCCAAAATGATCTCCTTTGACTCCATGTCTTACATCCAGGTCAGGCTAATGCAAGACGTGGACTCTGATGGCCTTGGGCAGCTCTGTCCCTATGGCTTGGCAGGGTACAACCCCTTCTGTCTGGTTTCACGGCTGGTGTCGAATGTCTGTGACTTTTCCGGGCGCACGGTGCAAGCTATCAGTGGAGCTACTATTCTTGGAACTGGAGGACAGTGGTCCTCTTCTCACAGCTCCACTAGACAGTGCCCCAGTGGGGACTCTATTTGGAGGCTCTGACCCCACGTTTCCCTTCTGCATTGCCTTAGCAGAGATTCTCCATGAGGGCTCTGCCCCTGTAGCAAATTCTGCCTGGACCTCCAGGCATTTCTATACATCCTCTGAAATCTAGGTGGATATTCCCAAACCTCAATTCTTGACTTCTATGCACCCGCAGGCTCAACACCATGTGGAAGCTGCTAAGGCTTGGGGCTTTCACCCTCTGAAGCCATAGCCTGGACTGTACCTTGTCCCCCTTTAGCCATGGCTGGAGCAGCTAGGATGTAGGACACCAAGACACTAGGCTGCACACAGCAGTGGGAGCTCTGGGTCTGGCCCATGAAACTGGTCCTTCCTCCTAAACCTCCAGGCCTGTGATGTCAGGGCCTGCTGGGAAGCTCTCTGACATGCCCTGGAGACATATTCCCCATTGTCTTGGCAATTAACATTGGGCTCCTCATTATTTATGTAAATTTCTGCAGCAGGCTTGAGTTTCTCCCCAGAAATTGTGTTTTTCTTTTCTATCACGTTGTCAGGCTACAAATTTTCCAAACTTTTATGCTCTGTTTCCTCTTGAACACTATGCTGCTTAGAAATTTCTTCCTCTACATACATTAAATCATCTCTCTCAAGTTCAAAGTTCCACAGATTTCTAGAGCAGGGGCAAAATGGCACCAGTCTCTTTGCATAGAAAGAGTGACCTTTAATCCAGTTCCCAACAAGTTCCTCATCTACATCTGAGACATCTAAGCCTGGAATTTATTGTTCATACTGCTATCAGCATTTTGGTCAAAGCTATTCAACAAGTCTCTAGGAAGTACCAAAGTTTCCACATCTCAGACTTCTGAAACCCCCAAGTCTTTAGGAAGTTCCAAAATCTCCCACATTTTTCCTATCTTCTTCTAAGTCCTGCAAACTGTTCCAACCTCTGCCTGTTTCCAATTCCAAAGTCAGTTCGACATTTTCAGGTATCTTTACAGCAGCATCCCACTACCTGGTTTACTGTATTAAGTCCATTCTCATACTGCTAATAAAAACATACCTGAGACTGGGTAATTTATAAAGGAAATTGTAAAAGGTTTAATTGGCTCACAGTTCAGCATGGCTAGGGAGGCCTCAGGAAACTTACAATAATTATAGAAGGAGAAGGAAACACATCCTTCTTCACACAGTGGCAGGAAGGTGAAGTGCTGAGCAAAAGAGGAAAAAGCCCCTTATAAAACCTTCAGGTCTCATGAGAAATCACTCACTACCACCAGAACAGCAGCATGGAAGTAACTGCCCCCATGATTCAATTACCTCCCATTGGGTCCCTCCCATGACACATGGGGATTACGGGAACTACAATTCAAGATGAGATTTGGTTGGGGACACAGCTAAACCATATCACCATACATAGTCAGCCCTCCATATTCATGGGTTTTTCATCTATGGACTGAACCGACAGTGGATTTAAAATATTCAAGAAAAAACTTTTGTCTGTATTAAACATGCACAGCCTTTTTATTTCTTGTCATTGTTCCCTAAACAATACAGTATAACAACTGTTTGCATAGCATTACATCATATTAGGTATTATAAATAATCTAGTGATTATTTAAAATACATGGAATGTTGTACATAGGTTATATGCAAATACTACATCATTTTATATCAGGGACTGGAGCATCAATGGATTTTGTTATCTGAAGGATATTCTGCAACCAATACCCTGAGGATACTGAGAGACAACTGTACTTACTTTACATTATGATAAATAATTTGCAGTGCGTTGTAACTTAATCCTCAGCAACTTTAAGAAGCAGGTGCTATATATATATACATATATATATGTATATATATATAAACTTTTATATTATAAATATATAAGCATATTTATATTAGACACATATAATATATATTTGTTTATTTTAATAGTCAAAAATTGAAGGTTAATTTATACTAAAGTGTAAAGGCCAAGGTCAGCCAGTTGGTAAGCAGCATTTCAGAGACTTGAGCCCTAGAAGGTATGAACCCCAATCTGAACTCTTGACTACTAAAAAATGGATACTTTCTGAATCCTTCTTATCTTTGTAAGATTTCACAATGTTCATGGCATAGTTTAGCCTCAATTAAACTAAAGATTTGAATTAAGAACCCAAACCTCAAAGGTCACCTTCAAAAAAAGCTTTCGTGTATGATATTTAGTACTTGGGACACAAGTAGCTTGCTCTCCAAACATAGAATCACTTTTTCAGACTGAATACAACTACTGAGAATTACAGCAGCTTGTTCAGCAGCAGCATCTACTTGCAGTGAAATACTTGTCTTTAAAAATGATCAGTTCTCCCAGGTATCCAGTTCATTTTCCAACTGTAAATTATTTAGAAAGCCATTACCTATGCAGTTCTAATAAATCCTATGGACTATTTCTCATGATATCGTATTTGTATGAGAATGTGAAAATCTCCATCTTCTTCCTCTTTTGAGCCAAAATAAAATACAGCAAAGCTACTGAAAACTTATATTAAAGCACTGGAATTATGTTTCCAAAAATAATTTAAAAATATTCAAATAGAGTCTCTTTGTATGTGAGTGAAACTGATTAACAGCCTAACTTATATTTGTGGGCCAATAGAAATGTCAAACTGATGGCACAAAAGGTTACAAAGTAGGTGTCTACTTATTTTCACGTGAAAATCATACCACTTACTGTGTGTATATTGTTTTAATGCACATCTCTTTCTTAATGAGTTCTGAGTAATAAAAAGAGAATTATATTAGAAATTTCACATGGAATTATGTAATGCAATGAACAGGGCTTGGATAAGATTTCTCTTCTATTGAGGAGACGAAGTGTGTAATTTACTGTAAACCTGGATATTAACAGCTCCTATATCTGGAATGAACAGCCTTAGCTATAAATGAAAATTTCATAGAAAGATAGTCTAGTTTAAAACATTGTTCTCAGAAGAAGTTGGGAGAAGGGGCAATAATATTTTTACTCCGATTTGTGCTTTACCATATGTGGACATGCTAAGGATGGTTGAAAATTTTTTAAAATATAAAACAGCAGAGATACACCTAAAGGGCATCATTCGTTCTCCCTAGCACACAGAAATTTCAGCTTCTTCTTGGGAGTCCTTCTCCCCCTTTGTCTTAATCGAGATCCTTATGTTTCAAAGCAGGCATGCTGAAATCACTCAAAAACCTTCTTTACAATACCCAAGAGAATATTGTCCAGCTAAGTTTTAAAGAGCCTCAAAAGTCCATTCTAGGGACTTAGTTTAACAAAGTCTTTATTATTTACAGCCTTTAGATATCAGGGAGTTTGACAAGTGAAGGGTGTTAAGAAGGAAACCATTTCTCAGATAAATTAGCCAGTGAATCTCAAATATCAGTTCCTGTAAAGAAACCCTGCTATTCTTTTTTTTTCCCTTTTATTATTATTATTATTATACTTTAAGTTCTAGGGTACATGCGCACAATGTGCAAGTTTCTTACATATGTATTCATGTGCCATGTTGGTGTGCTGCACCCATTAACTCGTCATTTACATTAGGTATATCTCCTAATGCTTTCCCTCCCCCCTTCCCCCTTCCCCCCACCCCACAACAGGCCCCGGTGTGGTGTGTGATGTTCCCCTTCCTGTGTCAAGTGTTCTCATTGTGCAATTCCCACCTATGAGTGAGAACATGCGGTGTTTGGAAACCCTGCTATTCTATCTTGCAGTTCTTTCTAATAAGAAATCAGTTGATTACTTCATTGAAATGAAAACTTATTTACAAAATTTTGAGATTCCTTGAGGGTGCTGTCCTCACTTATTTGTGCAAATAAACACTATGCATTAATCTGTTATATTCATTTTCCTACATTCTGTTCTATACTAGCATCCTCAGAAACAAAAGGGACTTCAATATTTGAACAGCACTTGGGACACTTAAATAAGTATATATTCTACAATTCAAAAAATAAACATCCTTTCAGTTTGCTTCCAAGATCAGCTGATTGGCCTCACTTTCCTCATGATTAACTTTAGGATGGTATGGCTCTTCCTTTCCCTTCTAAAATACTTCAGGCCCAAAGTGATCAGGTAGAGGTGAGCAAGGTTGGGGTCAGAAGTGTGGCAGGCACTGTGGTGACCAGATAAAAAATGAGGAAGATGTCTTTACCGTCTTCAAGAATAAGTGGTGTGGTGGAGCAGGTAGCCTAGCATGGGGTGTCAGAGTTCAAGCAGAATGCAGAGGCTACCCAATGTGGGATGTTAGAGCCCAAGAAGGGTGTCCATGTGGGAGATGATCTTTCACAGGGTATCTGAGCCTAAGCAATGTGAAGGTGTGTGACTGTGTCACTGTATGTTATCTGACAGATGAGTCTTTATTGAGTCTTAGATTTTCCTGAGACCTGGTGCATAATTATGCATCATAATTTCAAGTGCATAAATTAAAGGCCCAGTTTACCTACCTGAAGACTAGGAGTCATGAACCTAGGAAGGGTAAATACATGGGATAAATTTGATTCATTGACAACAGTGGCAGCAGACCATCTTTACCCTCCATAAAACATAGAGGAGTAAATTACTGTGTCTTATGGGGCTAGCTCAGGGAGAGCAAGAATGGGAATTACAATAAGATGAACCAAAAGATTATTATATGGTGAGCTCTGATAAATTCTTCATATATTTTGTCTCAAGTCTCACAGCAACCCATTGTAGCTACTGGTAATAAGGATATCATAAGACCATTTTGCAAATGAATACTGCAAAGCTTAAAGTTTAAATATACTACTTGATGGGGCCTTAGGCAAGTATATTATAAGATTAAAGATCTTTGATTTTGAGTCCATGTTTTCATCTTTTATACTCCCTCCATAAATGAAATTTATATGTTATAATGCACATATAACAATCAGCTGATCTTGGAAGCAATCTGAAAGGACGTTTATTTTTTGAATTGTAGAATATATACTTATTTAAGTCTCCCAAGTGCTGTTCAAGTACTGAAGTCCCTTTTGTTTCTGAGGATGTTAGTATAGAACAGAATGTAGGAAAATGAATTTATATGTTATAATGCACACTATCTTATTAGTAAAGATTAGCATTCTATATTCTTAGAAAATCGTGAAATGAAATGTTTATGGCTGAAAGATAATTAAACGTTTTCTAAGGTAATGAGTTACTACTTTTATCCCAATGATGACAATTTATACATTTTATAAGTAAGGTGAGTTTAATTGTTCTTTCTGTTTTTCTGCTGGCTTTCATTATGGTGCCTTGTTTCCTTATAATATGTCTATTGATTTTTAACTGTCTGCTTCCCATTTTGCCTTTAAAGTTACATATGAACTTCTTTGAGGCACTGGAGGAAATAGAATTCCTCCTGGGGGGACTTGCCGTCTAGTTCTGGTGGAAGTCTTACATGCAGAGAAACACTTAACAACATTTACATGTAGAGGAACACTGGAAACACTTAAATCTAAATCTAAACTCATGGTTACAGACCAAAGAGTATGAATTTATGTGGGAAGCTATGCAAATGGCAACTTGTGTGCTTATTTATTTTCAGGGGAGGTATTTTACTCCTCCAGTCAGTACCAAGTTTGGAGATAGGTAATTTCCCTATTTTCACTCAGGTACACAGTTATTCCTAATTCACAGTTATACGGAGAGCATAGCACTTTTGAGTCCCTGCCGTTAAGAAAAGAGGAACTCTGCCTTGACTTTCCCACTTTGATTCAGCCTTCTTAGGATTTTTTTTTTTTTTTATGACCCAGCACCCACTCCAATCCCATGAAATGCCAACAAATGATACTTAGTAAAACTAGGATTCTCACATGCCCTCAAGATAAAAGCTGGCCTTCACTGTTAGTATTATTCTCAGGTTCTTGTTTTCACTCAGCTGTCGGCCTAAGTTTGGTATTTTCCTGTTAGACTACACATACATTTCTTTATTTTTTTATTGTTTTTAGCAGAAGGGTTGATCATAACTGCTTGATATAGTTTGGCTGTGTCCCCACCCAAATCTCATCTTGTGTCCCCACCCAAATCTCATCTTGAGTCATAGCTTTCATAATTCCCACATGTTGTGGGAGGAACCTGGTGGGAGGTAATTGAATCATGGGGGTAGGTCTTTCCCATGCTCTTCTCATGGTAGTGAATAAGTCTCATGAGATCTGATGGTTTTATAAAGGGAAGTTCCCTTTCACATGCTGTCTTGGCTGCCACCATGTAAGATGTCCCTTTCTTGCCTTCTGCTATATTTGTGGGGTTTCCTCAGCCATGTGGAACTGTGAGTCCATTAAACCTCTTTGCTTTATAAATTACCCAATTGCAGGTATGTCTTTATTAGCATTGTGAGAACAGACTAATACACTGCTCTACTGCCACATTGCTAGAAATGGAATCCACAAGGTAAGTTGAACACTATTTTTTCAGTTATTTAAACTTTTGAGTTTGGTGATATGCATTGCTAATTAATTTGAGGAAAAACCTATTACAGATGAAATAGATTATCCTGCCATTTTAAGCTTAAAAAAGAAATTTAACATATTAAGCTCTTCCCCCTTCTTAATGTATTTCTTCTTGTTATTGAATGAAGATCAATAATTCTCTCCTAATATTTTGAAGAGATCATCATTTATTGACAGGCCTACATGGAAACTTACATTTTATGCTAGTTTTGATATTAAAAACTCTGTAAACTTGGAATATCACATAATCCAACTGGATTACACTTACAAGAAATTAATAACCTCAAAAAAGAAGGTTTTGTGTTTCTTATAACTACTTAATCATGGACAGGAACAATACTTGGATGTAAAGATTAACCACGAAGAGCCAGTTTCAGGACTAAAATCTCATTTGTAACCATAAGATCCCTGAGTATGTTGATTTTAAATCAATGCATCACTTCGTGACAGATACTCCCCTACTTATAATTCTGGTGTCATTTGGTCTCGTAAGACCTGACCTAAAGTTGGTGATGCTTATTACATTAAAACTTTCCAATGCCACTTGGAAAAAATTAAACTATGTTAGTTAATTAAAATATGCACTATTTAATATGGTGCTTCAAATTATTACAGATACTTGACAGGTATACCAGTTGAACAACGTGTCTTCTGAAATTCAATGAGTGAAGCTGCTGCTTTTTTTAGTTTTATGCATAATTTTGCACTTCATAAAGGAAATACATTGGAATGTAACATGAGATACCCTATAGTTTATTTTTACTTTTACTTGTTTTGCATAAAATATAGGTTTTAAATAAATAATCAAGTCTTCCTGTTTCCATCCTGATGAAAACATGAAACAAATTGTCTCTTGTTTGGTTAAGTCCTGATACAAACTGGAAGGTAAATGCACAAATGTTTGATTATGAGTTTACAAAAATGTTGAAGTGGTTCAGTTAAGAGGCTCCATTGATTGGCTTTGTGATGAAACTCACATATTAAACAATCATATAAAAATTTGCTTGAAAATAATGATGTTGACTGGCACAATGTCTGGCATATAATAGCACTAGTATTTAATCAAGCATGTATTGAATAGATCACTAAATGAATAAACTATATAATGGATTTACGATTTTAAAATGTCTCAATAAATTTCTAATAGCACATTATCCTTAATTCTATTAAATCATCAAACAGCTGATTTAGGTCAGAGCTTTTAGTTCTGTTGATAGACTCAAGAGGACCCCTATGCCCTTGGAAATTGTGTACCAAATTAAATGACTTAAATGTATTTTTCCCTCCAGGGAAAAAGTCATTGCTTCCATAAGATCCTTAAAGAAGAATAAAGGTTAAATTATACCACTATCTTAAGCAAAAGTAGATTTATTATTTTAGATCAAGGTATTTCTCTAAGCAGTATGTTGTCTTTTCCTACAACAATAAGAAAAGCATACCCTGACAAAGACAAGTCTCAGGATCTCAAAAGAACAAAAGCCTTATTATGCTCAACCATTACACTTCCTGACATAACAAAACCTCGCAGGCGTGTAAACTCCAAAAGGCTAGGACTTTCTTCTGCCTGTTTACTGGCTGTAATTCCCAGCATCCAATGTGACACCTGGCATATAGAAGGTGGTCAACATTTGCTGAGTAAATGAGTTAAAATTAAAATGAACATTGCTGTTTCACAAAATCAAGAGTTAGATTTCTTGGTTATATTTCACCAACTCAGTGATCTATCATTATAAATACTTAATAAATCCAAAGTAGAGAATACCAATTCAATCTCCTCAAAAAATACAACGTTATATAAATTTTAAATTTTATATTAGAATCATTTTACATGCACAGATTTGTGGAAATGCCCATAATGATTACATTCAAAAATATCCAAAGCTATATATATTTTTTTGAGATGGAGTCTCACTCTGTTGCTCAGGCTGGAGTGTAGTGGCAGGATCTTGGCTCACCACAACCTCCACCTCCCAGGTTTAAGCAATTCTCTTTCCTCAGCTTCCCGAGTAGCTGGGACTACAGGTATGTGCCACCACACCTGGCTAAATTTTGTATTTTTAGTAGAGATGAGGTTTCACTATGTTGGCTAGGCTGGTCTTGAATTCCTGTCCCCGCCCACCTCAGCCTCCCAAAGTGCTGGGATTACAGGTGTGAGCCACCGTGCCTGGCCCAAAAGCTATTTTTTTTTTTTTTTTTGAGACGGAGTCTCGCTCTGTTGCCTAGGGTGGAGTGCAGTGGTGCGATCTTGGCTCACCGCAACCTCCACCTCCTGAGTTCAAGTGATTCTCCTGACTCAGCCTCCCGAGTAGCTGGGATTACAGGAGCACACCACCACACCTGGCTAATTTTTGTATTTTTAGTAGAGATAGGGTTTCACCATGTTGGTCAGGCTGGTCTCAAACTCCCGACCTCATGATCTGCCTACCTCAGCCTCCTAAAGTGCTGTGATTACAGGCATGAGCTACCGTGCCCAGCCCAAAGGCTATTTTTTCAATAAACTATTATAATTTTTAAAAATCTGACTGGTATATAGGAAGAAGTATGAAGAACTTTGACTAAGCAACTCCCTATTTATAACTTCTTTGATATTATATTCAAGTTTGAAATCAAAATTTGAATAATATTCTGATTTGCTCTATTGAATAGTTTCACACATACAAAGTAAAGCTAAAAGAGTTACATATTTATTTTATTCATCCATTAAAAACTTAGTATGTGCTGTGAGCACAATATGTTAGTGAGGAAGATAGAAACTGATGGACCTTACATTCAAGCAGGAAACAATTGAGAAGTCCTGGCTTTTGATTTGTGTTTTTCTTCTAAGAAAATTAAATCAAAATTAGTAGGTATTTTAACAGAAAAAAACAAAATCAAGAATTAACAATGATCAGCCAGGTGTGGTGGCTCATGCCTGTAATCCCAGCACATTGGGAGGCCGAGGCAGGTGGGTCACGAGGTCAGGAGTTCAAGACTAGCCTGACCAACATGGTGAAACCCTGTCTCTACTAAAATTACAAAAATTAGCTGGATGTGGTGGCAGGCACCTGTAATCCCAGCTACTTGGGAGGTTGAGGCAGAGAACTGCTTGAACTCGGGAGTTAGAAGTTGCAGGGAGCTGAGACTGTGCCACTGCCTCCAGCCTGGGTGACAGAGCGAGACACCATCTCAAAAACAAAACAAAACAAAAAAAAGAACTAACAATAACCAATGCATTTGCATTATTCATTATTCCATATTTACATACTAATGCAAATTTAAACTTAGAAGGGCACTTAGGGTGATCTAATCCAATATTCATTTGACAGATGGGAAACCTAAGACGGAAGCCGTGAACTGCCTTGTCCAAGGTAAAAGAGGTAAGGCATGAAACCAGAAGTCAGGACAGACATACATGTTTTCTGACAGGGACCTCAGAGAATACTTCCCTATAAAAGGAGAATTCATTTGTTCCCCTTGATAGTTAAAAAGTATTAATTACATTAATTCATTAGCTATATTTAAATTCCCATATAAAGAAAAAGACATAATATGCTAAAAACCTCAGAGCAGTCAACTAAAATGTAAGATGTAGGCCTATGTGTACTGATATTGGATGAATTTTAATAAACTGGGATGCTAGTGGTTCTAAGGAAATCCCTTAATAAAAAACAAACTGTGGAAAATGGCTAGTTGGCTAAAAGGTTGATGGAAATATTTTGGTGCAATCATTTTGGAGGGTAATTTGGCAATACCTAGAAATATTAAATATATCTATTTTTCAAACTTATAATAATCTCATTTCTAGAACACAAACCTACAGACATGCACACAAATGGACCAGGATACTTACAAAAATGATGCTTGTAAGTGGGAGGAGAAAAGGCAAATGACTAGATTTACTAGATTTTTAGGATTATAGAGAAGTAACAATCTGTACATTTTCTATGAATTCCCAGCACCACGGATGCGTCTGATATATAGGGGTGCACAATAACATTTGGTTTAAGTAATTTTTCAAAAGCACAGAAACATATGTGTGCACACAGAACTTCAGTAAATGTTCTTGATCAATTCGTTCTAGCCTAAGGGTACCTACTTAACCTACTGGGAAGCACTACACTGTAATGATTGAGGGCAGACATTTGTGATGGGCATCAAAAGCCTACATAAATCTAGATACAGGTTGAGTATCCCTTTATTAGATTCTTGGGACCAGAAGTATTTTGGATTTTTTCAGATTTTGGAATATTCACATGTATACAATGAGGTATCTTGGGGATGGTGCACAAGTCAAAACATGAAATTCATATATGTTTTATATATACCTTATACACATGGTCTGAAGGTAATTTTATATAACACTTTAAATAATTTTTTGCATGAAACAACGTTTGCGGCAAGTACGTGTATGAGGAATTTTCTACTTATGGTAGGCACTTGAAAAGTTTTGGATTTTGGAGCATTTTGGATTTCAGATTATTGGATTAGGGATGCTCAAACTGTACTTACCTAGGCTGTAACACTCAACCACTCATGACCTGCTTTCCTTTTGTTTCTTTTTTTAAAGGAGAGATAACATAACCAAACTTACTAGACTCTTTTAAGGTATTATTCTAACATCAGGAACAGAACGGTCATCTCCATAATCATCTGTATATGCACACAAGAGTCACAAACTCAGTTCAAACATCATTATTCTTGTCCATAAAGTGGATAAACTATTGGCTACATTTTGTCAGGCTACAATGGAGCTCAAGAGAAATATTGCCTGTAATAGTCCTTTGTGTTTCACATTATTATAAGGTGGTATTATTTAATAATTACATTTTAACAGAAATCTTGGAAATTTTTAATTGAAGTACATAAGTGATGAATATAATTTGCAGTGGGTTGTGACAGGGCTATTGAAGGACATAATCTTTAGTAATAACCAATGTATTTAATAGAAAATACTAAGATGTCACACATCTACTGTGGAGCAATTCCAAAACTAAAATAATACATAGAATAAAAAGTCAAAATTCCTTCCTTCCCTCCTTAAGTACAGCCATTTATTACATTTCATATATTTTTGAGGCATATACAAACATTGACTAATATTGACCAAATGAATAAGCTAAATTGACTAATATTGGGGTTTAATATGTTAAAAGAGGCAATAGTTCATGTTTTGCTTTGCAAATTGAAGCTTCCATAGCCCCTGAAATTATGTGATAAACATCTTGGTTTTCACAAGCTATATTTGTCAACTTGTGTATATTCTTGTAATTATATAGTCTAAAATGAGAAACAGGCTTAAATTTATTTAGATCAGCAATCATCAATTTTTTTCTGTAAAGGGCAAGAAAATAAATATTTTTGACTTTGAGGGTCATATGGTCTCTGTTGTAACTAATCAACTCTGTCATTGTAGTACAAAAACAGCTATAAACAAATGGGCGTGGGTGTTTCAATAACACTTTATTTACAAAAACAAGCTGTGGGCCAGACTCCCTGAAGTTTTCTGAGCTTTACTTTAGATCACTGTTTAGCATCCAATGCTAGTGCCATAGTTCTGTAAGCCAGACAGCACTTATATGGATTTTATAACCTTATGCAAACTCATGCAAGTGGGAAATTTTACGCACAACCCTTCATTTTTAAAGGTACACAATTGTCAAATGATGAGTTAACCACTGTTGTAGGGCAAATGAAAGGCATCTTGAATACAACTGGTCCCTATGGATAGAATTCTATTAGAGAGAGTGTTACTTTATAAAGAAAAAATAGCGCATTAGTTACTCTTCATTAAATGAAAAAACAAAAGCTGCTCAGGAAATATTAAAGCATGGAGAGACTGAGTGAAAAGAAAAATAGATGAGCTATGGCAGCAAAAAGAACCATTTCAGTGCATTTTATTGATCATTAACCTTTAGCTTTAGGAGGCATTTGAAAACAACAGAGAAGCATGTTATTGGCTTGGCATGAAACTTCTAACGATGCATGAGAATATATGCTCAAAAATGTCAAAGGTCACTAGAGAAATCACATATTGACAGATAAAATGTTTTTGATATTGTGTAATACAGAAGTAAAAGGGCAATCAGCTATGCCTTCTGCTTGCTGGCTTGTGGAAATTTTGCAGTATTTAGTAAAGTTAAAACTGAATGTGACTCAATATAATGCTGGGCTTCTCCTTTCTAGATAATGATACAAGATAAAACTGATAAAATATCAATGTCATGGACATATTCTAAATCAAGGATGCATTTAAAAATGTCAAGAATTAACTAAAATGGTTATATTAATGATGGTTCAACTATTTATCAATTATAGACTAATGTCAAAATTGGAGGACCCACTCACTTACAGACAGAGATATATATAAAACATTCCCCTTGTTTTACTCATTCTGTGACTGCAAATGTCTAAAATGTGTCTGTATTAATCTGTTCTCATGCTGCTAAAAAAGACATACCTGAGACTGGGTAATGTATAAAAAAAAGAGATTTAATTGACTCACAGGTCAGCATGGCTGGAGAGACCTCAGGAAACTTACAGTCATGGTAGAAAGGAAAGGAAACATGTCCCTCGTCACCCCCACGATTCAATGACCTCCCACTGGGTCCCTCTGAAGACATGTGGGGATAATGGGAACTACAGTTCAAGATGAGATTTGGGTTGGGACACAGCCAAACCACATCAGTGTCCATGAGTGGTATCTTATCCTAGCTGTTAGAAATATTAGGAGAAATTCACTGGAACCTTTGTTTTTCCCTACAACAAAACATCCTACAAATAAACTTAAGAGGTATTTGAAAAATCTACAACATTTTCTAGGATTACATATCTTTTATACATTGCCAAAAAAAGCACTGATATGCTAACAATTCTACCACACTTGGAAGTATTATCCACATAAGAACTCACCTGGATTTCTTAAGCTGCTTTATTTAAAAAATAATTTGATGATATCTTTTAAAATAAACTTAATTTGAAAAATTAAGTTGTACGGGTATATTAATTTAATAAAGATGAAAATTAACTTTAGACCAAAAATGTTAACTTGCTATAAAGGCAGGATAAATTTCTAGATTTTTGTTTAAAATGGTATACAATCACATAAAAAGAAGGCAACGTTTATAACTGGTATAAACCACAAGACCAAGTATACATTAAAGGGAAATGTCTTTGTGGATTATCCTACAGGGATTTTTTTTTTAATGATCTAAAATGAATTAGCTCATAAGTTTTACTTTGGGCTGCCAAGCAAACACAAAACAAAAACAGGGTAAGTTGGCATACTTTATTTCTGGTTTCTTATTTATTCCCCGTTAAATTCATCAATACAAATGTAGGGGAAGAAAGGGGATAATATCTTTTCTCTTCATCATTAGATGGTCATGGCTGACACCTGTATAACAAAAGACAGGTTAACTAGAGAAATGTGTAATGAGAAAGAGAAAGAGAGAGAAGAGAGAGAAACTGTCACATTTTAGCTTGTTTGCTGAAATCTCCCATCTCCCCTGACTTTCCTCCCATTGCCATTATTAATCCACTTCTGTTTATATTCTTCAATAGTCTATAGTTATTCAACTAATTTTTTGGTCATTCGTTTAATGCCTGTTACTTATGGAATGGAAGCTCCATGAAGACAGAAATGCAATTTTTCTTGCTAATTGTTATATCCCAGTACCTAGCACAAACAGCCATCCACAATAGATAATCAGATATTCATTAATAAATGAGTCACAGATGAAGGATTATAGTTCTGCAGAGCCAAGGATGATATCACAACAATATAAAGTCTACACGTGTGCAATTACACACATGCTTGCACGCATGCACACACACACAATTTTTTTTTTTTTTTTTGAGATGAGGTCTCACCCTGTCAACCAGGTTGGAGTGCAGTTGTGCGATCTTGGCTCACTGCAACCTCCGCCTCCCAGGCGTCAGCAATCCTCCCACCTCAGCCTCCTGAGTAGTTGGGACCACAATTGCGCCACCATGCCTAGCTAATTTTTGTATTTTTGGTAAAAACAGGATTTTGTCATGTTGTCTAGGCTGGTCTCGAACTCCTGGGCTCAAGTGATCTGCCCACTTCGGCTCCCAAAGTGCTAGGATTTATAGTCATTGAGCCACCGTGCCCAGCCAAAAGATGAGAGGTTGTTAACCATAGAAGGAATTAAGACTAAGCTTCCCAAATACAGACACCACAAAGCCACACTAGATGTTTTATGATCAAAGTCCCATGTTCTTATTATTTCTTGAAAATATTATATGGACAATGAGACATTAAATATAGGTAAGACAACGTACAGGTAATATTGCAATGATGAAAATGGAAAGATAAACAAATCTTTTGTTTATGCTAAAAAAGCATAGGAGAGTCTAAGAAAAGAATGGGTTTTTCTGTAACTTGTTTTCTCTAATCTTGATAGGAACCTGTTCTGAAGCATCCTCTATCAAAACATCAAGTCACAGTTAAGAACAACTATTTACTGAGCTCCTATACATGTCAGACTCTGTGCTTTGTGCTTTACATGAATTCTGTGTGAATTCTCATAACTTTATTGAATTGCTATGGCTATTATCCTCATTTGGAAGATTAGGGAATCTAAAATCATTTACCTCAACAGACCACAGAAACAAGAATATTTCAGCAAGTCATATCCTGGGCTTATTTTTAAAAGACACTGTATATTTTACCACTGTGCTTAATCATTCATGAATCTTAGTTTAACTTCTGTCTCTTGTTGGAGGAAAGAGAAACTATGTAGTGCCTGTTTAATAAAGAGAAAAAACATCTTTCCCCATGATTCATGCAGAAATGTCAGTTATTAAAGATGAGTATAGGAAGCAACAGAAAAGATGACCTCTGACTGAATGATGGAAGAGAGTGATCTGGAACTCTCATTCATTCATTCATTTTATTAATTTTTAATGTATTCATTGTCTACCAATTACCAAGCAGTATGCTATATGCCAGATATACAAAGATGAAAAAAATGCACTCTCTGCTCTACGGATAGTTACTGACATTTGAGTAGATAGACAATCCAATAATCAATATATGCTCCAATAACTCTTATTATAGATGGTATTTATGGAATGCTTTTCAAGAGTTAAATATATACCCAATTTCTAAGTAAACAAGGCAGTGCAGAATAAACCATCATCAGATGCTTTTATGAGCCACTAGTGAAATGTTAAAGGCACAATTTATTAAATAAATAAGGACTACACATTTTGGTATATAAATACATAATAGAAATAAACTTTTCAAATGTAAATAGAAAAATCCATATTACCATGAAACAAGAAAATATATTTTAAGGTTTGGCTGTCTACAAACCTATTTGGCTTCCCCAAATCATACATTGTTAATTATTATTGACATAAAGCTGTCAGATTAATGCTTGTTCTCATGCCAAACTTCATCTCTGATTGTCTGAAGTTAATTCCTAGGTGCCACTGCCTGACAGATAGTTTCAACTTTCACATTCTCACAATAAAGAGACAAGTTTACTCTTTTCCAGCACACTATCTAAATTTGATTTCCAATAATTCTTAAGGATAAAATTAGCTTTTAGACTAGATAGCTATGCAATGTCCAGCATATATACACAATATACTTGACAATTGTTTTGCAAGCCAAGTGATATTTTTACACTGACAAGTAAAATTTAAAGAAGCTTTTCAAATTAACATTGCCAGAAACATAAGCACATGCTGTAGTCGTAAACACGAACACTCAACAAAAGCATTTCCATTGTCTTCTATGTCACCCTAGAATTTAGAAAAAAAAAGAAAAAAGCATTTCCATTTCTGAAATATTTTTAATTTTTATGTAAGACATTTATAGTCTATTTCTACTTGCTCTTTATTCAAATATGTTTTTCTTCTTTGCTATGTCTTTAACATCCTCTTTTCCATTTCAGTTGTGTATATTTTACGCTGTCCCAGATCTTTAGAGATTAAAGCTTAAAAGTTAAAGAATCTTTTTGGAAGAAAGAAAGGGTAAGTAAAACAAAAAAACATTTTCACAACACTCAAATTTTGTATAACACATCTTTTCCTCGTGCTTTATCCAGCAGGCTTAATTTGATTTCAGGGCTTCCTTGGAAGCAAGCATTTCAGAATGCCTCTGACCTGTTCTGATTAACCACCAAATATTTCCAAAAGAAAATACTGCATTTGCCTCCTTTGCCTAGAGATGCAGGTCTGGCTTGTGTTTTATTATATCATTCGGATTATTCGGATTCAGAGCCTGTCATTGTCCTTTTTTATTTGGGTCCAACAATGATTTAAAATTAGAAAAGGAAAAATTTCTGCTTGTATCATCAAGCATTTGTATGTGTAAACCAATGAGGAAACCCTGTATTTTAAGTCTTATCTTAGTCTACCTTCTTGGCTCTAAGGACTGAGGAGTACAAATGTTTTGTTTTGTCTTTTCCTTAAGACTCTCGCCTTGGTTGGCATTATTTCACCTGCTGCCATGCTTGTAGCCCCATAATAAAAACAGGCTCAAGCCAACCAAGAGGAAAATGTTAAGGAATTAGAATCTAAAATATAAATCTGAGATGAGGTCTACAGTCTTCGTTTGTTTGTTTGTTTATTTTTGAGACAATGTCTTGCTCTATCACCCAGGCTGGAGTACAGCAGCATGAGCATGGCTCACTGCAGCCTCTTCCTCCTGGGCTCAAGCAATCTTCCCACCTCAGCCTCCAGAGTAGCTGGGACTACAGGTATACACCACTACGCCCAGCTAATTTTTTGTAGAGCTGGAGTTTTGCTATGTTGCCCAGGCTGGTCTGAAACTCCTGGACTCCAGCAATCAGCCTCCCTTGGCCTTCTAAAGTGTTAGCATTACAGGTGTGAGCCACTGCACCTGGCCCGGTCTCTGGACCATTGATTCCACCTTTTAGAGTGTGGAGTTTGACTACCATATGAGACTTCAAAACAGAATGGGCAAAACAAGCTTTGTGACTCAAACTCTTGACTCATGCTAAATATGTGTATGGGCCAAGAGAAAACTGCCCCTTTACCTTCTGAAGGTTCACGGAAAATCAGCTGACAAAAGGCAGATTAAGAGGAAAAAAGGCAAACATATTTATTAACGTGCATGGCATGAAAATCACAGAGGGATTGCCCTGCCATGCACTGGGGTACAGATGGTTATATACCCTATTTCTGAGGGGAAACAGAGACTGGAAGAGTTAATTTTAGGGGGAAAATAAGTAAATTTTAAGGGAGCTTAAGGGACTTAAGGAACATACAATGGCTTGAGACAAAGTCTCTTGGGCCTGCGGAGTAGACAATGGTTTGTGACAAAAGTCTGTCCAGATGCATTGACAGATTTCAGTCTTCCTTCCTGTGATATGAGTTCAGATAAGGAAAACTCAGAGAAGGGACCAAAGGTAATTGTTTTCTTCTGTGGTGGATCCAGGCTTTAGGCAGATAAAGGGAACCTCAGAGTACAACTTCATCCTGTGCTTCGGGAGACACCGAGGATTGAAAGGCAGGAGGTAGGGTATGTGGGGCGGTTGGGGTGGGAATTGTTAGAGACCTTTATGCTGCTTCTTCAGTTCAGCATGTCAAAGCATCATATTTTAGGGTATCAGTTTCTGAGCCCCAACATTAGCATAAAACGTTTAGGGGTGAGAGAATAGAGAACTTTTTTTAGAGGGTTTGGAGTCTGGCTCTCATAACCATTCCTCTCCCCCTAGTTAGGAAGAAAGTGGATTTCTTTCCCTTCACCTCAATCTGAGAGAGAAGCTTCAAACCACTATGTGTACCACCTGTATTTTGACATCCCAGTGGATTAGTATGTATTTCCTATATGAAGCTATATGTATAGGACAAATAGTCCAGCCAGCCTTTTGGAGTTGGAATAGAATAAAAATCTGCTGCTGCTGTATTGGTCTCACTTGTAAATTTCGAGTTTGTGAGGCACTGCATACCTAAGTGCATTGCTTGGATACAATGGGGACTTTGTGAGAAAACACATAGTATCTTTAATCCTATCTCTAAATGCCACCTGAGGAATCAACAAAGCTCAGCAAAAATACGCTGGATGAATAGATCCAAAATGTCTAATGGTGAGGAGGACAAAGGGACCGCGGAGTTCCTTAGTCAAAGTATTTAATAACTGTTCCCTATATAGGGTGGTGAGTAGAATGATGTCTCCAAAGAACCCATGAAAGTGACCTCAATGGACTCTCCTTGGTCCTTGACATTCCCCCAGCATGGTGACTCTCAAGACAGTCAGACATCTTATATGGCAGTTCAGGGGCCCAAGAGACCAACATGGGAGGTGCCAGCTCTTTTAAAGGCTAGGCTCAGGACTAGCTAGGCTAGGCTCGCATCACTTTCATCACACTCCATAGGACGAAGCAGCTGCTGGCCAATTCAGATGGAAAAGGAGGGAAATGATGTCATCTTCTGATGGGGTCGTATCAAGAATTTCCAGTCATCTTTAATCTGGCACAGTCACAAATTGAGGAAACAAATGCCCAGCAGGTACTGATATACTAAGTGCATTCCTTTGTCCTCACCCCTTTTCTGCTGAGAAGCTATGATTAGTGAGAGTAATTCCAGATGAAGGAACAGGAGAAATAGTTAAGCCCACCTCTCCCAATGAGATTGCCAGACTGCAAAAGACCTGAGCTGAGAGAGGGGAGGAGCTTTGTATTGTTTTGTTGGGAGTAATTTAGGCTAGAAGTTATTTATGGTCTAGAACACTTAAAAGTGACCAGACATATCACTGGACTTGCCAGAAATTTTATTCAGAAGCAGAGAAACAATTAACATCATGAAGTACATTTAAATGGGTGGTGAGACCAAAAAACAAAAAGATGCTTTATGCTTATATCCCATGAATCTTGCTTATTTATCATAACTTTGTAATACTGTTACACCACTTTTTATATACACCTAAGCAAATAACAAAGTATACAATGCATCATTTTAATTAAGGTGAATGCTTTAATAGAAGTAGTTTGGATAAGGCAAAATATACCTTAGACTACAACTCATAATCCCAATACAGCCATTCCATACCAGAAGTAACCACTAATACCAGTTCAATGTATTTCCTTCCAGACTGTTCTAACTATGCTTTTTTTACATGAATGTATACCTATGGGGATATTATTTAAAGCTATCACATAAATGGCAACATATTCAGCTTGCCTTGCTTACTTTTTACTTGCAGATTTCTTTTAAACGTCTGTATATTAATCCATAGCATAAATTTATTGTCTCATATTTGATCTTTTCCCTTTTTGAGGAATTTAGATTGTTCCCAATAGTTTTTCTCTCACAGACAATGATGCATTAAATATCCTTTGCATACTACTTAGCACAAATTTTGTTGTACATCTCACAGTTTTTAAACTCTTAAATCTAAAAAGCAGTGTTTTCATTAGATTCATTCCTTTATAGATCTTAATCCTGATGTCTGATTTTACTTTACATGTTATTTTTCTTATTAAATATACTTGCCCTGTTTTATATACTTTTCACTTGTTTGCTTTTTAGAACATTGGATACCAAATCTGACTCATTAGCTGAAAATCTGTAGACGTTTTGCCTCAACCTGACAAACTTTGATTTAAAATAGCTAGGGAGGGGTCCAATTTTGATACTTAGAAAGGTTTAAAAAATTCTAATATAGACAGAATACCTTATCACACATTCCTCACTCTTCTGTTAAAATTTTCTTAAAGATAATTCTCTGAATAAGGCATTTCCATGTATACTCCAGTGTCTACCATGCAGCAGTACCCAGATCATAGCCTTTGATGTCCTCGTATAGGAAGTTGTAGGACAAGCTGGCATTTCTAAACCTCTGCGACAGCAAGGTCACCCATCTATCACAAGCAACTGTGCACAGGGCTTCTCTGGGCCTAGAGAACATTGGACACTCAAGAAACTACCAAGGAAAGTGGAGATGTTAGTCAGAGGGCACAAAGTTCAAGTAGACAGAAGGACTAAGTTCTAGTGATCTACTGTACAGCATGGTGACTGTAAGAATGTTAACGTGAGTGTACTGTATATTTCAAAATTGCTAAAAGAGTGGATTTTAAATGTTCTCATTACAAAGTAGTAAGTGTGAGACCTGATAACTATATCAATTAGCCTGATTTAATCATTCCACAATGTATATATGTATCAAAACATCACGTTGCACCCCATAAATATGTACAGTTATTTTTGTCAATTAAAAATAACAAACATTTAAAAAGAAAAACAGACTCAAAACGTGCTGCTGGGAAGGACTTCAAAGACTTTCTATTTCCAGGCAGCTAGTTTAATGGCTAAAAATTTTCCCGGAATTTTCTGTGTGTAGGAAAGTGACTAATTGTTTAGGAAGTGACAATGGATCTGATGTTTGTCCATGAAAAAGAAAAATGATCAGATCGATATGCTTCATTAAGGAACTTTTCTTCTTGAAATCACAATGTTGAGCTCAAACTCTGTTTTCATATGAGTCTAGCTCAAATTTTCAAAAACACCCCACAAATATAAATAAGGCTGACTCTGTGCCAAGATGTCATGCATGTTTTACTCATGAAAATGTGAGGGTATCTAAAACTCAAGTTTACTCTTTACCTACAAAGGCTTTACAACAACTAAAGCACCGAGATCTGAAGATGCTATGACAGATGAGGGAGAAAACTGTCTAATGTTTTCCTATGCACTTTTTTTTCTTTTACAAATATCACGTAGTCTCAAGGAAGAATAACTGGAGTTGAATGCTTGGGGACTCATGGCCCTAACATTATTTATATATGACTATTTGGGGCACTTGTTCCTGAGGAGTAAAGGAAAGAAGGCAGTTTCTCCTTTTTGATCTCCCCTCTGAACCTCAGAAAAAGCTGTGGGCATCTCCTTTCAATCTGGCATTTGCTGTGTCAGTTTTCATCTTGAGTAGCAAGCAAGTCTACTAATGGGATAAATGAAAATGACATAAAATACAGAATAAGATGCACAAAGCATTTGAAGTATTAAGAATCTGGCACCAACCTTCAAATTCCTGCAATATTCTGAATAATGAGAGACAAACAAAAATCAAATAGAAGGCTGGGTGCAGTGGCTCAGCCTGTAATCCCAGCACTTTGGGAGGCCAAGGTGGGCAGGTCACTTGAGGTCAGGAGGTTGAGACTAGCCTAGCCAACATGGTGAAAACCAATTCTGTTAAAAATACAAAAAATAGCCGGGTGTGGTGGTGGGCATCTGTAATCCCAGCTACTCGAGAGGCTGAGGCAGAATTGCTTCAACCTGGGAGGTAGAGGTTGGAGTGAGCCAGATTGAGCCACTGCACTCCAGCCTGGAAAACAGAGCAAGACTCCATCTCAAGAAAAAAAAAAGAAAGAAAATTGAATGTAAGTATGGAATATGAGGGCTTACTTGTCCAGGTGCTATCATAATAACTTTATATATATTATTTACATATATTATACTCACTCTCTCATATATATTCATATGTATGAGAGATTATATATATGTGTATATATAAGAGAGAGAGAGAGAGAGAGCAATTATCACACAACAGAGGCAGATACTTCTCACTTACATTCTATATGTGAGGGAAGAAATTTAAAGTGGTTAAGTAACTTACTCTAAAGCACAAAGCAAATGAGTGCTATTCCAGCCAGCTTTGCTGGCTGATTCCAAAGCACATAATCCTTTTTTTTTTTTTTTTTTTTTTTTTTGAGAGAGAGAGTTTCACTTTTGTTGCCCAAGCTGTAGTACAGTGGCATGATCTTGGCTCACTGCAACCTCTGCCTCCCGGATTCAAGCGATTCTCCTGCCTCAGCCTCCCGAGTAGCTGAGATTACAGGCGTGTGCCACCATGCCTGGCTAATTTTTTGTATTTTTAGTAGAAAAGGGGTTTCGCCATGTTAGCCAGGATGTTCTCAAACTCCTGACCTCAGGTGATCCGCCTGCCTCGGCCTCCCAAAGTGCTGGGATTACAGGCGTGAGCCACTGCACCCAGCCCAAAGCACGTAATCTTAATCATTCCCTAAACTCTTCTCTGTCATCATTCCTAAAATCAATTTATGTGTAACTATCAAGACTAGAGTGCTGAGCTCACAGCTCTGCATAATTTCCTTACCACCAATATGTTGTTCAGATCTGGAAAATCTTCCCCCAGGCAAGTTCCCATCTGCAGCAAGTCACTGCCAGTTTCTTGGGAGCATTCTAAATTCCAACTTCTCTCCTTAGCAGCTGGGGCTTATCCAGCATCAGAAACACCTGTAGCCTGCTGGCTACCTTTTAAACAGCACGGTGGCTGTAAACAGAATGAGCTCTGCAGGACTTAATGAGTCTCGTGTGTAGAAGTATGAGGATGTGTTACTTTAAAGAAAATTCTCTTCGAATGACTTTTCAGTGAAAAGTGAATGTCAATGAAAACGAGTGAAATATTTTCAATCATTACTACGTTGGAGAATAGAACTTCCACTTATTTTCCCCTTTGCCTTTTCTTTAGACTCAAATCTTGACCCACATCCATTGTTTTCTCCCTCTTAAGATTAGTTCATTACTATGAAATGAATCTTCTGAGTGATGGAAAGAGGCAACCAGATTCTTCCTCACTGCTTCCCCCAGATTCTTTTCACATTTCTTACCATCTCCTCTTCTAGAAAAGGGGCGGCAGAAGGAAGAAATGGGCTTTTCCTACAGAAAGGGCGTGATCAGAGGTTGCACAGAGACAAACTGTGTTTAATTTTTGAAGGGAGATTGCTTTTGTTCATATGGTAGAAGCCAAAAAGATCACCTTTAGAACTTCCAATCCCAACAGGACCTTGTCAGTCACTCAAGGGTAGTAGCCCTGGCAGTTTGAGGTAAACTGCTCCAGGTAAGAACACGAAAACAGCACTCTCTTCTCAAAATGGGGGCACCTATTAGACACTTCACATGACTTCCTTTTACTCAATGTATTGCTCTGTGCCAAGACTCTGTAAAATTCCTCAGCCCCTCAGGTTCTTCAGACCAGCATTCAGAACTACTCTGCACCCTAGACCAGACTTGCCAGGTCAAGTGATTCTTTTCAGTTCCATTACTATAATTCACGAGGGATACTTCAAATCATATAAAGGCTTTATTTACTTAAAGGCAGAAGCATTCCTAAAACACAAGCAGCGCTTTTAATCTGTGATCAAACATCTTTCTAAATAACGTCCTTCTGAATAAGATTGCTGGCTATCATTTGTGGCAACATCATCAGATGTTGGCCATCTGGGTCCTGCTTTGAGAGAATAGGGTTACAGCCCGTATAGACTGAGCTCTTTTGTGTGCCCAGCATTGTGCTCAAAGCTCTATAAACATACTTTAGTCCTTACAACTACTTGGGCATACACACACACATGCACATACGCACACATGCACACACACAAATATATATTTTTTGAGACAGGGTTTTACTCTGCCACCCAGGCTGGAATGCAGTGGTGTGATCACAGTTCACTGCAACGTCTGCCTTCCAGGTGCAAGCGATCCTCCCAACTCAGCCTCCTGAGTAGCTGAGACCACAGGTGCACACCATCATGTCTGACTAATTTTTGTATTTTTTGTAGATATGGGGCTTTGCCATGCTGCCGAGGCTGGTCTTGGACTCCTGAGCTCAAGTGATCAGCCTGCCTTGGCCTCCCAAAGTGCTGGGATTACAGGCATGAGCCGCCGTAGTTGGCCTGGGCATATGCCTTTTTCACCCTCAAATTTCTCTCTAGCCCCGTTCCCCTGCTTTATCACTAGAATGTAAGGTCTCTGAGGGAAGGAGACTTGTCATGTCTCTAGTCCAAAGATGAGTGATTCATCTGAAACTCTGGATGAATGAACTATCCTTTCAGATGGATACTGTTATTATGTGTATTTGACAATAGACCCTTAAACAATGATTCAGAATTTAAAGCCTAATAACGATAATATTATTAAGTTAGACAATGCTATTGAGTACCCATGAGCCAAGCTATGATAAAAGTTTTCTGTGATTAGATCATGTAATTCCTCATGACAATCCTCCAGGCCAGTTCTTTTTATTGGTGCCATTTTAGAGATGAAGATTCTTCGTCTTGGAGGAATTCACCTGCTTTCCCAAGGTCACACAATTATTTAGGGACATGGCTAGGATTCCAATCCACATCAATGACTAGGAACAAATTTGTCAATTTTCTCAATGCAGATGGCCTATATTTCAAATAAATTTTATAATGCCTCTTATTCTGTTAATCATCATATCTTATTATTTCTAGAGGCAGCACAGAAGGAAAAATTAAGCAAACAAAATAAGAGACAGTGAGAGAAAACAATGACAAATCCACAGGTTTAATTCAACAAATATGTACTGAGCACATAAAGATGAGTCCTGCACAATAAGAGTACTGTGCCAGGGATTATGATCCCAGTGAACATTTCACTGCACGATCTTTAAAATTTAGCTATGGATGGGAAGCCGATTTTGCCTGGATGCTTCAGAAATGCCAGTACAGTCATCACACTGAATGGACATTTTCCACTTCCTCATTAGCCAGTCTAGATACACATTCTACATTAGCTTTGTGTCTGTCACATTCTACTGTCAAATGCCAAAGTAAAGCCACTAATTTGCCATCCTTATCATTAGTCTCTGTATTTTCCAGGTAATGTCCAATTATACAGCACCTCATTCTTGCTCTTCCTCACAGTATTCATGATCAAAATAGAATTCCCAGGCTCTAAGATAATTTCAGCAGGCAGAGTAAGAATAAAGAATAAGAACAAAGACTGACAAATAATAGATGCGTTATTTACTTACAAGTTTAATTCAATATGCATGCATTAATTCTCCATGCAAGTTCAAGAGGTAATTATCACCTACAAGTAAAGCAAGACATGTTAAATTAGGGCACTGGATTCAAATAAAAACAGTAGAAAAACCTAACAATTTAAATGAACCATATCCCAATCTGTTTACATATTTTCTTTCAAAAGAATGGTACAATTTACTAATTGCTAATTTTGTAATTGCTGCTGTGGGTTGATTTTACCTCCAATATTTACTGAAGTGTATCCAAATTATAATGAATATCAGTGCAATTTTCATTTATAAAAAGGGTAAAATACTTCAGAAAAAATGAACCCAATTAAGATTAATTTTAAATAAAAAAAGCCGGCACTATGAGAATATGAGACAGCAGGGGGGATTTTAATTAGGAAAAAAGAACATGTAACATCCTAATCATTTCGCATTTTTTTATGTCACTGAATTAAGCTGTTTGGTTTTCATTGAAAATAATGAAACTATTGAAAATCAACACACAACATGTTCAAAATTTTTTTTAAATGTATAATGAAAATTTAAATTTTTGTATACTATTTATTTAAAGAATTCTGGATCTGAGTCAGTTTTATCTTGGATAGCTTTTGGTGTAAGAATTAGAAAATATCAAAATTTACAATAGCCGAAGGAAGTATTCATGTATTTTTAGTTCCCCAATTTAAAATATGATAAATAATAGAACAAAGTACACTGCAAATTGATACTAGAGATGCCTACTCAGAACCTCTAAATCTGGTGAATCTGATTTCAAGCAGGATTAAGAGTCTAATCATACATAGAGCTCAGAGGTTGCAGCCAAAGTGTGTAGGTTAGAATCCCATTTCATTACATCCTCGCTAGGATGTCCTTATGCAACTTAATTGTCCTAAACCTGTTTCCTCATCTGTAAAACAGGCTTGATAATGGACCCTAACTAATGAGATTTTTTTAATTTTAGTTTTTACTTTTTATAGAGATGAGGTCTCGCAATGTTGCCCAGGCTGGTCTTGAACTCCTGCCCTCAAGTCACCCTTCTGCTCTGGCCTCTCAAAGCACTGGGATTACAGGTGTAAGCCACTTGCCCCCCCCCCCCATTAATGAGAATTATTGTGAGGATTAATTTAGCAAACACAAAGTGCTTATCTCAGAGTCTGGCATGGAAATATATGTTATTTAATATTATCAATGATATATTTCAATGACAAAATAATCTGATTCCAGAATCACTTTACCCTATCTCCTAGGAACTCCTGGAATCATAGTTTTCTTCTCAGCAGAATGAGATCTAAAGAGAGCTTTAAAAATTTAAAAGCAAAAACACCTTCAGGGGGATGTCTCATCTTCCATTGTATCTATTTGCCTACTGATGGGAAGATGATAACTCTAAGCATCCACACACATTTCATTTACTGCCTCTCAGCCCTTGACGTTGGTAACACTAATCACTTCAGTTCACAAGAGAACACGTCAGCACAGAGTTTAGCACTGGCTGGAGATCTGACCACCGTGTGAGGAAAATTCTAGGATGGCCTCCGTTCTGCAGATAGGGAAACTGAGGCTTAGAGAAGCTATGGAACTTGAATAAGATCACAGGGCCAGAAATGGGCAAAGGTGTTATTTAGAAAGCAGTATGATTCAAAGCTGACTTTCTGATTTTGCCATGCCAATCAGCCCTGCCTTCTGCAGGAGAGAGGACATTGGCACTGTTTCAGTGCTATAATGTTTCTGCATATTTTCTGGGCCATTCCCCTCCATTACGGTGTATTAATGCAGCCATTACCACTGGGTTTAAATCTAGAATCACACACATCCACACCCAGATACAACCCCTATCACATAGTTTTCCCACTTAATTTTCCTGCCTTTAAACAAATCTTTCAATTATCATGTAAGAAAATGATTGATATTTTAGCTGTCGTTCTCCTTACATCAACAATAACATTTAAAACTGCGTAATTAAAAACATCTTCTACTAAAATGTTTCAAATATTTAGAATATCTACCATAAGGATTATTTAAAAGCGAGTCTCTAACATTGATACCAATGAGACAGTCTATGAACAACTTGATACATTGATATTAATTTTAAGAAAATACTTGTCAAAAATGTGGGAGTAGACATTTGTAATCAAATAAAGTCAGACAAAATTAGATACTATAATTCTACTAGGTGAATTTTCTGCTTCCCCATTCTTCCACTTCTCCCCACAGCTGAAATACCTGTAATGTACAGGTTATTGTCTCAAATTGCTGATTTTACTAAGTCAGTAGGGCATAAAAATATTTTTAAATATCCTGTTAAAAGATGGAAAAGTTAAACGTTGGCTGAAAGGTTTAAGAAATGATAGCCTTAGCATAACTATTATGGTAGTCTCCTATTCCCCCTGTAGACATTCTTCTTTGACCATACCGCAATTAATACTGCACACTCATTTGCTTGTTATAAATTTTATTAGAATAGAAAATAATACATACAGATAACCATAGGATACACACACAGGAATTGAAAGATAAATTTTATACTTTTCAATATGAAACAAAGTGCATATCTCATGGAGATATATTGCTAGAAACAACATGAAACAATAGAGCAATCATCTTGAAAATGAAAAGTATAGGAACATATAGGAATTACTAAATAATAAAAAGGTCCAACTTCATTACATGTAGCATAAAATACAAGTATTGGAGAAAGTGGAAATAACAATGGTCATATGAAATCTACTAGTCATTCAGATTGTTTCAATATATACAGTATATGCGGACCTTATAGAGAAAGTTATAAATATTTATTGTTTTTGTGTATGATGACTTTATCTTAAATGTAATCTCTAAATGTAAAATAGTGCTTTATGGTGATATCAGAATTTCCCTAATTTTTAATCTTTCTTGTTATCTGAACTGTTTTCTAATTCTGATATTGTTGGAAATGTGAACAAGTTTCTGCAAAATGTGAAATTGGTAGGAAAGAGGTAAAAAACTGATTTTGCAATGTTGAAAACTCAATCTGCTGATTTTAATTTATTCTCTATATATTGCTATGAAGTCACGTCTTCAACAATTTTTTGAAAACCACATATTGAAAGACTGAGTCATACATATCAAAGTCAGCAGCATTGCCTTGGTTCTATTACAAATTTAACTCAGGAACTAAAAAGCCTGCCAGACTCACTCAGATAGATGGTGGGATTTCATTAAAAAACCATCTCTGCCATCCAAAAAGAGAGGGTCCCTTAATGGAATTGGAAATTGAAATGAGGGATTATGTGGATTTTGTTTAATATTTGGGTTGAGATTCAGGTCATTCCTGATTTTTTCCTCTAGGTTTTAATAAAACCTGAAAGCTTATTCATAGCTGTGAAGGAAACAATTCCTTTTTTAATTTAAAAAAACTTTTTTTTTTTGAGAAAGAATAAAATGTGATCATTTGAATTTTGGAATATAACTGAATGAAACAGAATGAAGCTTGAAAATCTGGCTGGTCTTCATGACTTTTATGTGATTAAATAAATTCATGCTAATATTTTGCATGGGTCAATTGCATTTGGGGTGACAAAAGCACTTTCATACTTCAGTCTTTATCTTTTAAAAACTAATTCATGGGGCAAAGTCTGATCAGATAGGTATTATTATCTCCATATTTTATAGAGGAATAATTGAGAGGTACAGATGGCAAAGTGATTTGTAAAGTCTTACAACTAGTTAGCAGCATACCAAACCAAACATCATTCTTCTAAGCCCCACAGTAGCATTTTCCAACAATGCTCTTTTGAATCACATGCCACTCCTCTCCAACAAAATAATTTTTAAAATGTATTTTTCATCCTTGGGGACTTAAATCAGCATTTCAAATTGATACTGGTTAAGTCTTCCAAATAATGCTATTATAATGGGAAAATAGCATTTGAATTAAATGAAAGAGTTTTTCAATGTAAAAAGAAATTCTCATGCGTGTGTGTGTACATGTGAGAGTGTGTGAGTCTTTATCCATAGGCAGTGCTTAAACTCATAGTTTAAGAACATTTATATCAAAAGTCTGAAGTATGTAATATGTAAATTCCTTTGGTTTATCAAGTTAATATTAAGGCATTTCAGATTCCCCTAAAAGGATTTACTGTTTTTTTAATTATATTCATATTTACCTATAATGAAGTAGAAAGTTAAAAATAAGAGTTGAAAAAAACATGCATAATCACTGCATTTCATGAAAGCACTTTTTTTGGTAACCAAATAACTTTCCAATAAATAATAAAAAGGAGTTAATATCACCACAGGACATATACAATTAAGAACAGTACTATAGGCATATAACTTGACATAGGGTGGACATTCGAGATGGCTGAAGTGGATCCTCTTGCATCCATACCTGTCAAAGTTGATGAAGAGCTCATTAATAAGGATTGTACCAATATGTAATCAGGGTGCTAGAGACTGGATATTTGTGGTGTTCCCCCCAAATTCTTTGTTGAAATCCTAACCCTCAATGTCAGAGTATTAGGAGGTGAGGGACTTCGAGAGGTGACACTGAATCTGCCAGCAATTTGACCTTGGGCTTCTCAGACTCCCCTCCAAAACTGTGAGAATTAAGTTTCTGTTGTTTATAAGCCACCTGTCTAGGTAGTTTTGTTAGAGAAGCCAAAAAGGACTAAGACACAGAGCAAAGGCAATACCTCTCCTATCAAAACCAAATCACTACGTGAACCTATCCTGGAACCACCACAAGTTGTTATTAGCCTTCATTTTATTTATCAATGCAGCATATACTAGTTGCCAAGAGTATCTATAAAAACAGTAATGTGTTTAAGTTTTCTTAAATGATACCAGGCTTTGTTCATCTACTATTATTTAACTTTAATTGAAATGGGAAAAACAACTTAATCATTTTGAAAACAATTATACTTGATTACAAACAACTTTGAGATAATTCAATGGTTTAATTAAGAATGCTTCATTGGGTAAGGGTTTGAAGGGTCTGTGCTTGTTTCTATTTTATGCATTTCCAGATAAATTATTACACATAATATAAAACATAATCTTTTTAAAAGGCAATAAATAAAAGCTTCGTTTTCATAGAGATGGCCCTGTGTGGTCACTTGCAAGCTCAGCAAGACAGCAGATGTCAGATGAAAAGGCTACTCTTGACTCAGCAGCCCTAAAATGCTAAAATAACATCTGTCCCTGCAAAAGCCTAGAACATATTTCTTTTAAAATTGCCACTTTGCCCATATTGTAATGTTAACTCCATGCCTTGCACCATTCAGGGAACAAGAAGCACATATTCATTATTTCAAAACCTAAATTAACAACAATAATAAACTAAATTTAATTTCTACTTTTGCTCTATTGAAGTGCATACAGTTTTAGAGAGTTCTGTAGTCCAAGATGGGTTCTGCAGACTTTTACTTTGCAGAACTTAGTTCTGCAATAAGTAGTTCCTGTTTTCTTAGTGTAGCTTTGTTTGTTTTAGTCTAAGTATGGCAGCCTTTATGGTTTTACAGAAAGACAGAATTTCTCTAAGTTTTCTATTTCCGTTTCTCTTCAGTTACTAATGTCTGCCATTTTGTTTTCCAAGATTAAAGACAAAAGTTTCAGTCCTGATTACCCATGCTAAATGAATGGAAACAGGGAACAAAGTCATGTCACTAAGAACTATAGAATAGCATATGAAGTCAAAATGGACTCTACAATAGTTAAACTGAGGCCAGAAAACTCCAGACCTGGGATTTAAGAGTGAGGATAAAATTTATTCTAGCATTGGCAGTTGATAAAATACGCAAACCAAAGTCTGTTTCCAACTCTAAACATATAATTTCTATAGTAAAATAGGTTTTACTTGGATTTGGAGAGGAAAAATTCGTATGAACCTCCTTGGAAACTAGGAGAAGAATTTTTAAGGAGTCTTTTAGTTTGGCACAGGTAAGTGGTTTAGGACTTTGACAATGTTAATCATTCTATTTAAAGAATTGATAAGATTTATCTATAATTTGTAGGAGGCAAATAACTAGACTATTAAAGATCTAAAAGAAATGATTAGGGAATTCTGCTTTTATAGGAGATCCAAAGGCAAATTTAAGTAAAACTCAGAATAAGGAAAAAAAATCAAATTAATGAAGTTTTGCTAAATATTTTTTGACATCTTTTCTTCACACCCTCATACTTTTCTCCCTATTTTGCACCACTCTTGAGGGGTTCCTCTTGCCCACGTCTCACCTGCCAAAACCTTACCGGCATTTGGATGTAAGCCTTGCTGGAAAGAAAGAATGGACAGAGGGATACTGATTGACTCACTATGGCGGATAGTAACACTGATGTCAATAAAGTAAATAATGGCTTCAACCAACTTACTGGTTATTCGTGGAATCCTGATCTGTTCACTACTGGTCCCATCCCCTCCATCTGTTGTGGCCTTGACTTCAATAATGTAGTCCTCTTTAATGGGCAGCACAAGTTCAGCTGAAGTTTTATTTGTGTTCAGTACTTGTACGTTATTTTGACTGCTAGTCCTATAGAAAACCTAAAATGCATGAACAAATACACTTACTTGTTATATTGCCCATTTTTGTTTTCTTCATAGAATTTGTCTCTCTGAAATTAACTAATTTTGTCCTTCTATATCCACTAGAATGTAAGTTTCATTCATGACTCTAATTGTAAGTCTTAGATTAGAGGTTAGCACATGGCAGAATCATCAGGTTCTCAAAATCAGGGAGGCTTGGGAAGAGTGAACTTCTCCCGTGGAAAAGCCCAGCTGGGCTGCGTATTTATGAGGCTGGAGAGATAAGGCAGGGCCATAGTGTATGGACCTTGAATGCCTGGCCATGGAATCAGAGCCAATAGTTTTATTTATTTATTTTTAAGTAGTATATAGGTCAGCATCAATAGTAGCAAACTAACACACAATTTGGAGACATTGTGTCCAAAATTCCCACTTGAGCAGAATTCTTTCACTTGAAACCATATTTAAGAAGCTATTTTGAAAAATTACCCATTTTATGGAAAGCTTGGTATCTTTGTCAAAATTAGATTACAGAAACCATATCAATATATAGAAAAATTCACTTATACCTAGCTTCTCTTGAAAAGTACTGCCAAAATTACGAAAATGAAGCATTGCAAATGAGAAAACTTACTTTATATCCTGTTACTTCTGACTCATTCTCCATGGCTTTAACTTGCTCCCAATTAAGTAACACTTTAGTGTCTGTGGCATTCCAAACAACATTTCCTGGTGGCTGACTGGGAGCTTGAAATGCAAAATGAGAAATTTTAAAACAGATCGAAGTACAAGTGATATTTTACACGGAGGAGATGGCGGCTATCATAGGAAGCTAGTGGAAGTAGAACGGGATGCCTTTGGTAATGCTTGGTGTAATAGATGAAATCAGAAAAAAATAACAGAGTATATAAATTTCCTTTTTTTAGAAAGGCATTTCATTCATACACCAAACCCCCGTGACACGTAATTTATTCATGTAACAAACCTGCACATGTACCCCGAATCTAAAATAAAAGTCCCAAAAAAGGCATTTCAATTAATGTGTAAGATAATTCATTTTATCATGCTCATCATACACTTTAGAGCATTTCACACTTACTGTGTCTCGTTGAAAACACGTCGATGGGGGGGATAAGGAAATTCCTCTATCTACCACTAGAGGGCTGCTTGTTCCTAAACCAAGAAAGGAAGGCGGCGGGACTTATTTTGACGCATACAGAGGCTGGAAGAAATTGCCAAATGGACAGATTAAAGTTCTGTGAAATGAAGTGTATATGATTTTGGAGCCAGCCTTGTATGATAAGATGGGCAAAATGTGAGGCAATCAAAAATAAGAATTACTTAGATTTATTCCCATGGAGTAATAGCTATACACATGAAAAATTGCAAGAGAGTCTATATTTTAAAAGTCTTCGTTTTCCAGGCTTAAATCAATTTTTGAGAAAAATAAGGCAAAACGCTAAAAAGTTAATGAGGATTCCATTAGAGGATTAATGAAACTCTCTGCGGTTTCTAAACTTAGATTCATAATTTAGTTCCTTTTCGTGAACGCTGGACTGTAAACTAATGCTAAGGGGTGAGGGTGTTGAGGGATGGCCGATAGTATTTGTCAATAGCAACACAGATAGGGCACTGGAAAAATCAGTTTCTTGTCAATAACAACAACAAACATAATATTATTCATTCAACAACAGCATCACAATTGCCCTCAGTGTTATATTTGTAGATTTAACCACAGAATGTGATTTGGCTAACTGAATTTGTAATGGAAAAATGATATAAAACATTAGCTATCCAGAGAAATTTCTAAACATCATTGACTCATGCCATAGGGGAAATACAGCTGAACTTACAGATAGGAAGAACTCAAATACATTTATGAGTCTAATGACACCAAACGAGATTGTATTCCCTGTGGATTTCTTTTGCTTTTTGTCTCTTTTAACACTATTCTATGTTGCCTTTAAAATTCTGTGATGTGAGTATTCACAATGAGTTTAGGTCAGCTAAGATTGTCTGAGCTGCTGTGCTCTGCTAATAACAACAAAAAAATTATAGCAGCTGCTTAGGGTTGAAATACTAATGACCATGTTCTGGTTACTCAAATAATATGAATGTACAATTTTTAGGACAATTTCCCAAAGCCAGTGATACCCTGTGGCCTGACAGCACTATAAAAGGACAGGTTTGGTTTGATGCAGCTGAGCTATACTACAGCATGGTTTGTTCTAACAAAAGGTGTGTGTTTGGAGGTTACAAAAAGTTTGAGTAATTTTGGTTAAATCACCTATACCAACATCAGCCTTCAGGGAGAAATGACTGCAAATAGAACACTGGGGTTTATCTTGTATGAGTCACAACATACGTGGGCTGAATGAGTTCAGCCTGAAATGAATACTTTTTGAAATGACAAAAAGAAAAAAAAAAAACAAAAAAAAAGGAAAACAAAAAAGAAATAATAGGGTCTAACTTTGTTCTTTTTGAATCATATTACTGTTTTCTAAACGTCAGTCATGTATCATTTTTGTCATGTTTTGCTATTTAAAAAAATAACTTGGTTTAAGAAAAATTAAACATCTATTTTACCTTCATCTCAATAATATTCACACAATAATTAGCTTGATGTGCTAGTTACATTTTTGGGCACTCTCTAAAATAAATGAATTTAATGCCTTATATAAACATTCTAAATTTTTATAATGTTCGCGAACTACCTTAAGATCATCTCTTACCACCACTGGTAAGAATGACAATATTTGGGAAATTTTGGACCAGAGAAACTTTCACCCATGTTCAAAATGCTATTATTAGTAACTAATACTTAGTACACGTCTATAATATGTTAGGGATTACAGAATGTGCTTTAATATAATTTACTTAATCCTCATTATATTGCATTGTAATAAAGCCCATTTCTGTACATACATAATCTGGACCCAGAGAGTTAAAATTTAAAAAGATTGTATAAGCATGTTCATGACAGCATTATTCAAAAGATGGGTGGATGAACAAAATGGGGCATTTACCTATAATGAAATATTATTCAGCCTTAAAAACATAAAATTTGGACACATGCTATAACATGGATGAACCTTGTGGACATTATGCTAAGTGAAATAAGCCAGACACCCAAAGACAAATACTTTATAATTCTACTTATTTGAGATATTCAGAATAGTCAAAAATTCACAGAGACAGAAAATAAAATGCTGGTTGCCAGAGGCTGGTGGAAGGGGAAATGGAGAATTGCTTAATGAGTACAAAGTTCCAGTTCTGCAAGATGAAAAGGGTTCTAGAGATCTATTGCACAGAAATGTAAAAGACTTAACACTACAGAACTGTATGTTTTTAAATGTTTAGTATGTTAAATTTTATGTTATGTGTACTTTACTACAATGAAAGGTTTAAAAAAGCTTGCTAAGATACATGACTAGTGAGAAGTATTATGTGGATTCAAACCAGCTCTGTTTAAGTCCTCTGCACCTTGAGAGGATTATGCTTCTCTGCCTAGCTCTCACTGATGTTGGCGTTGGCTATGGGACTTGTGGTTCCCTGCCTGTAAATAGGCATAATTCTCCTTCTCATTGGCATCCCATAGATATGGGACTTCACCATAGGACTTGCCTCAACCAATGGAATGTGGGCCAAAGGGAAATAGGCCACCCCCAAGTGGCAGCCATAAAAGTCATTGAAGAGTATGGTTTGCTTTCCTCTCTTTTCTCTTTGCCATGAGATTGCCAAGTCCCAGAGATTGGCTGCTCCATTATTCTGGGTTCAGGAGTGGAGACAGAATGGGAGACAGAATGGATCAGATCTGAATCTCACTCATGATGAACATATAGTATGAGTTGAAGAAAAAAAAGTATAGTTTTAGGCCACTGAGGTTTGGGGATTTGAGGTGCCTCAGCCTGGACTAGCCTAATCTGACATAGCTATTAACCAGTAGTTTAGATAGCTCTGAAGCAACACAATGAACTTTTGTAAAAGTATGGAGTCAAGTAGTGAATTAGGAATGAGCAGGGGATAGTTGATAGTGTAACTTCTAGGACTTCTAATTTTACTTTTTGTATTTGAACCTGTGTGGAAGTGCAACCCAGAATAGGATGATTGAGTTCCAAAATTTACTGGACCTAAACTGGTAAGTAGTCTACATTTTGAAATTTTTTGGAAATCGTTTGTCAACGTTCATATCCTATAGGTTTTTCCTGTCAACCTCTACTGTTGGCAGAATGCTAAATTAGAAAAAACTGGTAAAAAACTAATCCTAGTAAAATGATGACATATCACTAGATTTATATCACAACACTAATTGACAGGATACACATAATCATTTCAGTAATTTTAAGTGTTACATAAAGAAATAACTTTCTCTCGAGAGGTTTTTATTATTGTTGTTCCTTAAGCATCCATCATGATCCTCTGTGCACTTGATTTTCAGACTCCTCAACATCAGCTTCATAGATTTTACTTACTCTGCAGATACTTGCCTGAAAACAAGTGATTACTATCATATAACCATGATTAGATGAAACTGGGAAGGTGGGAATATAAGACATGTCTATCCACAGGAAAATGGCTAAATAAATTGTGGCGTTCATCACAATGGAATATCATCCACGGGCAGTTACGATACAGTATACAGGTAACAAAATACACAGCATAACCTCCACTGTATAAGAGAAACTTTTCATAGAACAGAAGTCTGGAAGGAAAGACAAATGATATTAATTATGGTATTTCTGAGTGATAGGATTATGAGTGAATTTTATTTTTTCTCTATAGACTTTTTCCCCCAAATTTTCTAAAATAAATGTTTTCCTTTATATAATACAAAGTAGAGGTTGTTAAAGAATATTATTGCCTGGAGCTTTCAATGGTGATGTCTCATAGTGGTAACAGTGAAGCTGGCATTTACTTTCAAAATATGAAATTTTAAGAACATATGTTTGCTGTGATTAATTATACAAAACTCAGTATGTTTCTCAACTCTTTTTCTTGGCCATCTGATGGTAATGAGATGACTTACCTGATAAAAAGTTGTTATAACTAGTAGCTAGAAGTTACGCTTTGCACTTGGACTTCACTTAAGATAATTATTAACATTTGTAACTAAGCTGCTTAAACATGTGGTATTGTGCAACGATCATGTAATCAAAAACAAAAGCCAATTATGCACCCCCCCAATAGTAAGATACGGTTGTTTTGGAATCACTGAAAACTATTATAAATGGATCTAATTTCTTATCAAAGGAAATTGACACAATGTTTTAAAACACAACAAAATCATCTACTTTTTAACTCGTCTGAAACCCAACCTAGAACGCCAGGGAAGGTCTTTCTTTGATTTTTGGTTTTCGACGTCTAGGAATTTCCTTGACCAAAAGTTCTCCTTTGCATAATAAAAATATGTGAGATTATAAACTATAAGCAGAACACTTACAATTGTCTAGAGCAGGGGTGTCCAATCTTTTGGCTTCCCTGGGCCACAGTGGAAGAAGAAGAATTGTTCTGGGCTGCACATAAAATGCACTAACGATAGCTGATGAGCTTTAAAAAAAATCACAAAATAATCTCATAATGTTTTAAGAAAGTTTATGAATTTGTGTTGGGCTGCATTCAAAGCTGTCCTGAGCCACATGTGGCTCTCTGGCTGTGGGTTGGACAATCTTGGTCTAGAAGATTCACAGGCAAGTGGGGCAGATTTTCAAAAAAGTGCCAAAACTCTTACAAAATAAAGTTCATAAGTTTTACACATTTAGTCAGAATTTTTCCTGATTCTATATTAGCAGAAAATTCCTGTTTGAATACTGGTAAAGTTCAATATTATATTGTTATGTTTCTTCAGAGCTTACAAAACTAGGAATAACTTTGCTGAAGCCCATAGATGGGGGAAAAAAACACCCTCCTGAATCTGAGGAATGCACATTGATAGGCTTGTATTGCATTATATGTGTGATTTATGGTGTGTCATATACAAACATGATTAGATCACATGCACTGGGGGATGTGATGCACAGAAAAGCCAACAAATAGCATTCAGTCACCTGCAGAAAAATTCCCTTGTAATCTTCCCATAGCTTGAAGAGAAAGTTAGATTTGGGAGCCAGTAGGTCTTTAATATCCCCTCTATACTAACATCACAAACAAAGAGGGAGCAGGTTTGGAGGTTTCAACAGGCAAGAATATGTTCCTAGTATTTAAAAAGGAGGGTGGTCTATTTTTCATTCTACTTATTATTATTAAACTTACTATTTGGTTAGCATCTATTTATGGCAATGATGCTGGTTCTACATTGCTCAGATAAAAAGCTAGTTTCCATTTTTTTAAATTTATCTAAGTAAAAATAGAAGGTCAATTTTTAAGAAAAAAATAGTAGATATATATTAATAGAAAAGGTTGGAAAAAATGGCAAAATAGGTGGATCACATATGAAATTTGGAAAACTTTGCAATAATGTGTATCCTGAGCCAAAACCCAGACTGGACAATTATACAATTAAGTCATATATATAAAAATTTTAGAACTTCCAAATTCTGTGTTTGAGGTAGCAATAGTCATTTAATAAAAACCGTCTGAAACATTCAGACTCATTCTTTCAGTGCTTGCCTTATTCACATTTCCTTTTCACTTCCCCAAGACACACCTACTTGGAACAGATCCTGGCAAACGGGAGGCAGGCCTAGACTGCAGCTCCGACTCGGATGGACAGAGCAGTGTGTGGAGGCTTGCATTGTGAATTTTAGTTCCAGAACAACTGCAGGAATAAAACAGGAAACCTGAGAGGACCCACAGACCCTCTGAAGGAAGTGGATTGCTCCTGCAAGACCCAGGAGACACCCCAAATACTGTGATTGCTCAAACTGTGGAAGTGGGAAAGGGAGGTCCTCCACCCCCAAACACATACCCCCACTGGGGAAACTGAAGGTCTAATTTATGGGAGAAGATTCCGACCTTACCTGGAGCTGAGAGCTGAGTCAATTTAGGAGCTGAGTGAAATACAGGGGTAGAAGAAGCAGCGGGAAAGGCCCTGTGAGTTCGCTGGGTCCCCAAGCAGGCCACTCCTGCCTGGCATCACAGGGATCCTTCGGGAGGGTGGCCAGAGGCACGAGGAAACCACCACAAGAAGGAAATCTCCAGCTGAACTTTGTAACTATTTTAACTGGTTGAGAAGCTTCCTGGCCAGAACCTGGGGGAGAGAGTGAATCTGGCGTGCAGACTTTATAGGTGGAGGAAGAATTAGAGCCCTTTTCTTTCCCAGCTGGGAGGTGGGTAGCCTGGGGAAACTTCTCAGCCCTGCCTGCCCACTGCCTGGAAACGGACTTTTTTGCTGTCAGTGGGGGCACAGTGGGAGTGAGACTGGCCCTTTGGATTGCGTGGGAGCTGAGTAAGGCCTGTGACTGCTGGCTTTCCTTCACTTCTCTGACAATCTGCATGACTCTGCAGAGGCAGCCATAATCCTCCTAGGTACATAACTCTATTGACCTGGGAACCTCACGCCCATCCCCCCAGCAGCTACGGCAAGACCTGCTGTAGGAGGAGGTCAGACACACTTAGTCCTGCCCCCACCTCATGGTCCTTCCCTACCCACCCTGGTAGCTGAACACAAAAGGCATATACTCTTGGGAGTTCTAGGGCCCGGCCCACCAACTGTTCCTCTCCATACTACCACAGCTGATGCTCTCTGGAAAGCGCCACCTCCCAGCAGGAGGCCAACCAGCACAAAAATAGAGCATTAAACCACTAAAGCTAAGGGCCTTACAGAGTCCATTTCACAGCCCCGCCACCTCCACTGGAACAGGTGCTGGTATCCATGGCTGAGAAACTCATAGATGGTTTACATCATAGGACTCTATGCAGACAACCCCCAGTACAAGCCCGAGCCTGGTAGACATGCTGGGTGACTAGACCCAGAAGAGACATAAACAATCACTACAGCTTGGCTCTCAGAAAGCCACATCCATAGGAAAAGGGGGAGAGTACTACATCAAGGGAACACACTATGGGACAAAAGAATCTGAACAACAGCCTTCAGCCCTACACCTTCCCTCTGACAGAGCCTACCCAAATGAGGAGGAATCAGAAAAACAACTCTGGTAATATGACAAAACAAGGCTCTTTAACAACCCCCAAAAATCATACTAGCTCACCAGCAATGGATCCAAACAAAGAAGAAATCCCTGATTTACTGGAAAAAGAATTCAGGAAGTTAGTTATTAAGCTAATCAAGGAGGCACCAGAGAAAAGTGAAGCCCAATACAAGGAAATCCAAAAAATGAAACAAGAAGTGAAGGAAGAAATATTCAATGAAATAGATAGCATAAATACAAAAAATTAAAACTTCCAGAAACACTGGACACATATATAGAAATGCAAAATGCTCTGGAAAGTCTCAGCAATAGAATTGAACAAGTAGAAGAAAGAAATTCAGAGCGTGAAGACAAGGTCCTCAATTTAACCCAATCCAACAAACACAAAGAAAAAAGAATAAGAAAATATGATTGTCTCCAAGAAGTCTGGGATTATATTAAACAACCAAACTTAAGAATAATCGGCATTCCTAAGAAGAGAAATCTAAAAGTTTGGAAAACATATTTGGGGGAATAATCAAGGAAAACTTGCCCAGCCTTGCAAGAGACCTAGATATCCAAATACAAGAACCAGAAACAACACCTGGAAAATTCATCACAAAAAGATCATTGCCTAGGCACTTTGTCATCAGGCTATCTAAAGTTAAGGGGAAGGAAAGAATCTTAAGAGCTGTGAGACAAAAGCACCAGGTAACCTATAAATGAAAACCTATCAGATTAACATCAGATTTCTCAGCAGAAACCCTACAAGCTAGAAGGGATTGTGGCCCAATCTTCAGCCTCCTCAAACAAAACAATTATCAGCCAATAATTTTGTATCCAGCGAAACTAAGCATCATATAAAAGAAAGATACAGTCTTTTTTCAGACAAATCGCCACGACAAGAACTGCTAAAAGGAGCTCTAAATCTTGAAGCAAATCCTGGAAACGCATCAAAACAGAACCTCTTTAAAGCATAAATCTCAAAGGACCTATAAAAAAAAAATACAATTTAAAACATAAAAAGCAAAACCCAAAAACCAAGGTACACAGGCAACAAATAGCACAATGAGTGGAATGGTACCTCACACCTCAATACTAACATTGAATTTAAATGGGCTAAATGCTCCACTTAAAAGATACAGAACTGCAGAATGGGTAAGAATTCACCAAACAAATATCTGCTGCCTTCAGGAGACTCACCTAACACATAGGGACTCACATGAAAACTTAAAGTAAAGGGCTGGAAAAAGGCATTTCATGCAAATGGACACAAAAAGCAAGAAAGAGTAGCTACTCTTATATCAAACAAAACAAACTTTAATGAAACTGCAGTTAAAAAAGATAAAGAGGGACATTATATAATGGTAAAAGGCCTTGTCCAACAGGAAAATATCACAATCCTAAACATATATGCACCTAACACTGGAGCTCCCAAATTTATAAAACAATTATTAATAGACCTAAGAAATGAGACAGCCACACAATAATAGTGGGGGACTTCAATACTCCATGACAGCACTAGACAGTCATCAAGACATAAAGTTAACAAAGAAACAATGGTTTTAAACTATACTTTGGAACAAATGGCCTTAACAGATATATACGGAACATTCCATCCAACAACCACAGAATACACATTCTATTCAACAGTGAAGGGAACTTTCTTCAAGATAGACCAAATGATAGGCTATGAAATGAGCTTCAATAAATTTTAAAAAATTGAAATTATATCAAGCACTCTCTCAGACCACAGTGGAATAAAACTGGAAATCAATTCCAAAAGGAACCTTTAAAACCATGCAAATACATGAAAAGTAACCTGCTCCTGAGTGATCATTGAGTCAAAAATGAAATCAAGATGGAAATTAAAGAATTATTCGAATTGAACAATACTGACACAACCTATCAAAACCTCTGGGATACAGCAAAGGCAATGCTAACAGAAAAGTTCATAGCTCTAAAAACCGACATAAAAAAGACTTAAAGAGCACAAACTGACAATCTAAGGTCACACCTCAAGGAACTAGAGAAACAAGAACAGACCAAACCCAAACTCAGCAGAAGAAAGGAAATAAGCAAAATCAGAGCAGAACTAAATGAAATTTAAACAATAGAAAAATACAAAAGATTAATGAAACAAAAATCTGGGTCTTCAAAAAGATAAATAAAATTGATAGATCATTGGCAAGATTAACAAAGAAGAGAGGAGAGAAAATCCAAATAACTTCACTAAGAAATGATACGGGAGATATTACAACTGACACCACACAAATACAAAAGATCATTCAAGACAACTAGGAATACCTTTTCTCACATAAACTAGAAAATCTAGAAGGGATGGGTAAATTCCTGGAAAGATACAACTCTCCTAGCTTAAATCAGGAAGAATTAGATACCCTGAACAGACCAATAACAAGCAGTGAGACTGAAATGGTAATTAAAAAATTACCGACTAAAAAAGTTCAGGAGCAGAAGGATTCACAGCAGAATTCTACCAGACCATTGGAACCAATCCTGTTTACACTATTCAGCAAGATAAAGACTGAACCCTCCCTAATTCATTCTATGAAGCCAGCATCACCCTAATACTAACACCAGGAAAAGACATAACCAAACAAGAAAACTACAGACCGATATCCCTGATGAACATAGATGCTAAAATCCTTAACAAAACACTAGCTAACTGAATCCAACAACATAACAAAAAGATAACCCACCATGATCAAGTAGGTTTCACTTCAGGGATGCAGGGATGTTTTAAAATACACAAGTCAATAAATGTGAAACACCACATAAACAGAATTAAAAACAAAAATCACATGATTATCTCAATAGATACAGAAAAAGCATTCAACAAAATCCAGCATCCCTTTATGATTAAAACCCTCAGCAAAATCAGCATACAAGGGACATACCTCAATGTAATAAAAGCCATCTATGACAACCCCACAGCCAAATTATACTGAATAGGGAAAAGTTGAAAGTATTCCCTCTGAGAACTGGAAAAAGACAAGGATGCCTACTCTCACCACTCCTCTTCAACTTAGTACTGGAAGTCCTAGCCAGAGCAATCAGACAAGAAAAAGAAATAAAGGGCATCCAGATCAGTAAAGAAGAAGTCAAACTGTCACTGTTTGCTGATGATATGATGGTTTACCTCAAAAACTCTAAAGAATCATCCAGAAAACTCCTAGAACTGATAAAATAATTCAGCAGTTTCCAGATACAAGATTAAGGTACACAAATCAGTAGCTCTTCTACACACCAACAGTGACCAAGCAGAGAATCAATTCAAAAACTCAACCCCTTTTACAATAGCTGCCAAAAAAAAAAAACCACTTATGAATATACCTAACCAGGAGATGAAAGACCTCTACAAGGAAAACTACAAAACACTGCTGCAAGAAATCATAGATGGTGCAAACAAATGGAAACACATCCCATGCTCACGGATGGGTAGAATTAATATTGTGAAAATGATCATACTACCAAAAACAATCTACAAATTCAATGCAAATCCCATCAAAATACCACCATATTCTTCAAAGGATTATAAAAAAAACTCTAAAATTCATATAGAATCAAAAAAGAGCCCAGAAAGCAAGACTAAGCAAAAAGAACAAATCTAGAGGCATCACATTACCTGATTTCAAACTATACTATAAGGCCATAGTCACCAAAACAGCATGGTACTGGTACAAAAGTAGGAGCATAGACCAATGGAGCAGAATAGACAACCCAGAAGTAAACCCAAATACTTACAGCCAACTGATCTCCAACAAAGGAAACAAAATCATAAAGTGGGGAAAGGACCCCCTTTTCAACAAATGGTGCTGATATAATTGGCTAGCCACATGTAGGAGAATGAAACTGGATCCTCATCTCTCACCTTATACAAAAATCAACCCAAGATGGATGAAGGACTTAAATCTAACACCTGAAACTACAAAAATTCTAGAAGATAACATTGGAAAAACGCTTCTCAACATTAGCTTAGGCAAGAATTTCATGACCAAGAACCCAAAAGCAAATGCAATAAAAACAAGGATAAACAGCTGGAACTTAATTAAACTAAAGAGCTTTTGCATGGCAAAGCAACAGTCAGCAGAGTAAACAGACAACCTAAAGAGTAGGAGAAAATCTTCACAATCTATTCATCTGACAAAGGACTAATATCCAGAATCTACAACGAACTCAAATCAGCGGGAAAAAAAAACAAACAAAAAATCCCATACAAAAGTGGGTGAAGGACATGAACAGACAATTCTCTGAAGAAAATATACAAATGGCCAACCAACATATGAAAAAATGCTCAACACCACTAATGATCAAGGAATGCAAATCAAAACCACAATGCAATATCACCTTACTCCTGTAAGAATGGCCATCAATAAAAAATCAAAAAACAGTACACGTTGGTGTGGATGCGGTGATCAGGGAACACTTCTACACTGCTGGTGGAAATGCAAACTAGTACAACCACTGTGGAAAACAGTGTGGAGATTCCTTAATGAACAAAAGTAGCACCACTATTTGATCCAGCAATCCCACTACTGGGTATCTACCTAGAGGAAAAAAAGTCATTATACGAAAAAGATACTTGCACATGCATGTTTATAGCAGCACAATTCACAATTGCAAAAATGTGGAATCCACCCAAATGTCCATCAATCAACGAGTGGATAAAGAAACTGTGATATATATATACATATACATACACATACAAACACACACACATATGATGGAATATTACCCAGCTATAAAAAGGAATGAATTAACGGCATTCACAGTGACCTGGATGAGATAGTAGACTATTATTCTAAATGAAGTACCTCAGGAATGGAAAACCAAACATCGTATGTTCTCATTGATATGTGGGAGCTAGCTATGAGGACGCAAAGGCGTAAGAATGATACAATGGACTTTCGGGACTTGGGGGGAAGGTTGGGAGGGGGGCAAGGGACAGAAGACTACAAATTGGGTGCAGTGTATACCACTTGGGGGATGGGTGCACCAAAATCTCACAAATCACCACTAAAAAACTTACTCATATAACCAAAAACCACCTGTACCCCACTAACCTATGGAAAAATAATAATAAAATAAAAGTCAAACAATTGAACTCATGGACATAGAGAGTAGAAGGATGATTACTAGGGGCTGGGAAGGGTAGTGAGGGGTTTGGGGTGAGGGGGATAAGTGGAGATTAACAGGGACAAAAAAATAGAATGACTAAGACCTACTATTTGATAGCATAACAGGGTGACTATAGTCAATAATAACTGTACATTTTTATATAACTTAAAGAGTTTAATTATATTGTTTGCAATTCAATGGCTAAATGTTTGAGGGGATGGATACTTCATTCTTCCTGATGTGCTTATTTCACATTGCATATCTGTATCAAAAGATCTCATGTACTCCTTAAATATATACACCTACAATGTACCCACAAAAATTAAAAAACAAATAAAAAAAGTTGAATTAAAAAAAAAGCATACCTACTTGATTTCCTTACATTCAGGTAACTGATTTTGGCTCCACTTACATGGATGAGCATTTCATTTAGAAAAGCAAAGACTCAAATGCAAAAGTGATTGTATCATTTGGCATTCTTCTTTTTCCCCAAGTATACTCACACATATAATAATTAGCAAAGGCATAAAAATATAGAATCCCCTTGTTCCAGGGGAGTCTGGGCATGTGTTTCAGGCCAGGCTGGTCCAGTTTTTCTCACAACTGGAAACAACAGTTGGTTGTTTGCCCAAGATGAATCAATGAGAAGCCTACTTAGCTCTGGGTAGAATAATCAGAAAGAAACTGCCCACCTTTCCCAGTGTGACTGGCCAAGAGACAACAGTTCTCTTGAGGTGCTGGTGGCAATCTTTCTGCCACGAAGAGAGAACTTGGTTAGAGTGATGCTGCCATGGAGCAGAGACAGTGATGGAGAGAGTCATTGTTCAACAAATACTTATTGGGCACTGACTGTGATTACTTAAGCACTGGAGTAGAGCTCTGGGAAGAGAGCAATGATCAAACCAGGCCATAGCTCTGCCCTGAAGGGGCTGACACTCCGGCTAAGGCAGGACACAACGATGTCCTGGGGACACAGTGATGAAGTGAGTAGCCATGAGATACAGTACATGTGGTGGCTCTGAGGCTATGCACAAGGATAAAACAGGGAAGGAGACAAGAGCATCAGAAAAGGTGGAGCTGCAGTCAGGTGGCACCCAGGTGATATCTGAGTGACAACGTGGAAGAGATGGGGGAGTGCATTATGTGGGTATCTGGAGGAAGAGCTTTCGAGATACAGGAAACAGTACATGCAGAGGTCCTGAAGTAAAGTGGAATGAGCAAGGTGGAAAAGAATAGGAAATAAGTCAGAGCAGAGATTGGGGAGTGGATTGTATAAGGCCTCATTGGGCATTTTAAGGATTTAGCATTTACCTGGAGTGGGATGGGAAGTGACAAAAAGGTTCTGAGCAGGGAAGTGACATTATCAGGATGTCAAGGCAAAGGCAGAAACAGGATGAACAGTGAGAGGCCATTGCCCTGATCTACAGGAGAGAGTTGGAGGCAGCTTGCCTTGATGTGTCAGCAGTGTAAGATGTGGTATATTTTATTTCTTTATTTTTATTATTATTTTTTGAGACAGGGTTTTACTCTGTTGCCCACGCTGAAGTGCAGTGGCACAATTACGGTTCAGTGCAGCTCTGATCGATCTCCTAGGCTCAAGGAATCCTCCCACCTCAGCCTCCTGAGTAGCTGGGAGTACAGGCACACACCACCACACCTGGTTAATTCTCTTATATTTTTCTCTGTCTCAGCATAGTGAGACAGTGTCACTATGTTGCCCAGGCTGGTCTCGAACTCCTGAGCTCAAGCAATCATCCCACCTTGGCTTCCCAAAGTGCTGGGATTATAGGCGTGAGTCCTCGTGCCTGGCCAGAAGTGGTAAATTCTTGATAAATCTAAAAGTAAGATTCTGGATCTAGCGTAGGGTATGAGAGAAAATGACTCGAGGGTGACTCTGAGATTTTTGGCTTGAGAAACTGAAACATTGGAGTGGAATTTATGGAAATGGGGACTATCACAGAAGAGAGAGGATTTAAATGGGTTGGAAGGAGAACCAATAATTCAGTTTTATTAAATTTGAGATCTTATTACATGATTGTGGTGAATGTTGTTTGAGTGTCTGGATCCATTCATACTGAATGTCAGAATCACCACTTGACTTTTTGATTATACAAAGCAGAATATTTATCCTACAGATTATCTCTTGCAAACTCAACATAAAATTCTCAATGTTTCTTTTTAGAAACTAATGCAACTTATCATTTTTAAGCCATCTGCAAATTTTATTCATCAGTCCCTTGAGATGAAAGATGCTGTTAAGAGTTTGCTCTCTTTGGTGGCAAATGACAGAAACCCATCTTAGATTACTTAAAGAGGCTAATTAGTGTTTAACTTAAAAATGCTTCTAAAAAACACAAGTATTTGGATATCAAAAATTAAGTGTTTAATGGAAGCTACAGTACTTGAGAATCCTTGTGTTATTTTACATTAATCAGAAATATCATCTAAAATCTGTACTGATTTAAAGCCTTGCATACAAAATTCCATAATGATGAGTACATGAAACTTGCACATTTTAAGTGAGATGGTAAAGAACTGTAGCATGTTTTGAATTTGCAATGTGCAGTCAAGAGGAAGTACATTTGATTAATAATAGTACTTGAGGTTTGGCTTGCTTCTCTAAGTTTCATTCATCCATTCAACATTTAATATGCTGCTCCTATGTGCTGGGTTTGTGCTGGGCACTGTGGCTGGGTAAATAAGACACAGAAGGACTCTTTCCCTGTAAAGTTTAGAATCCATAGGGGAAGAGCGATAGCAAGCAGGTAATCAAAAATGTTATTTTTGCTCTTTATGCCAAGGCAGACAAGTAATTCTCTTCATAGTGATAATCACAAGAGCCTTACCAAAATTTTAAATAGGATTTGCAGTTAAACCATGTCAAAGCTTAGGAAGACTATTTAGAGCTACCAGTAACAATATTATTAATGGCTCTAAGAGATTCTGTTTTACTTGAAATTTTGGTACATATTTAAAAATTATTAACATAAAATTTAAAAATTAACATATGTTCTTTATATGCCATTTTAGGATGACTGGGGATTTTAATGATCTATATGAATTTCCCACCCAACGTAGGAAATTGTCCTTAATAACATCTACAGATCAACCTAAAGACTCTAGATGAACTCCAGTTGAATAATAGCAGAACATTGTTTTTGAGAGATTTCATTCAGTTGCTGGATTTCCCATCAAACTAAAGCTCCATGAGCAGAGAAGCCATGACCACCTGTGATCATCTTACCCAGTTCCTAAGCACAGAGCAAAATCACAATAAATAAAGGTATTAAATGAGTGATGAAATTCTAACAATATGGCTGAAAGAGAGGATACCATAGTGGTTAAGACTATGGATTTGGATGCCCATCCTGTTACTTACTCTGCAATGTCAGTACCATTATATAACCTCCATATGCCTCAGCTTCCTCCTCTCTAAAGTAAGCATGCTAATACCTTCAAGTCATGACATTGCTGTGGGAATTAAGAATCAATACATGAAAATTACTTAGAACCATGACCGGAAATTGCTCAGTAAGTGTCAACCATAATTATCAGCATCACTGTTTTGTGCAAATTTCTACTTCGGATTGGGCGTTTATATGCTATCCCTAAATTGTAAAGGGATTTGGCTTCTTTTTAAAATTTTCATTCATTCATTGTACATTATCATGACATTTCTATTGATTTCTAATCAGTCTCTTCCTTCTGTCTTACTAATCCACTAAGTTCTTCACTGATTCCACCATGATGTTACACTGTCTTTTACTATCATAATTTCCTAGCAAGTAATCACATCAATTATTAAGTCAGAGAAAAGAGCCAGACAAATTTGTTTGCATATATTTTTGCAATCAGAATCTTTGATTGATGCTGTGTTTGGAATATATAAATAATGATGTATATTTAGACCATATTGATTCAGTAAGAATTGTTGAGAAAACCAAACATATTTAGTAAAGAGTTGTAAATACAGAGTTTTTTTGTATCTGTATTTCCAAACCCATGTGCTCTTTGGTCTAACAGCAACCAAGTGGTATGAAAAACAGGTAGATTAGACTTCCTATAATAATTAGATAAGGATCATGTTAAATTGTTACATTAGTCGGTTGCTTACAAATGGGTCTTGCTATAGAAATTCAAATGGTTTCTTGCTAAATTTGTGCTCTGCAATGCTCATTGTACTAGCCAATTGTTAGCCACACTCTTTTTTCTATACCTAATACAAAGATAAACACACAAACTTCTTTAATCAAATTTACACGTGCTAATTAACATCTAAAGTAGCAGAACTGTCTTACATTACTTTAAGTTAACCATAAAAAATGCTAGCCAATCATATTCAACTTTATATTATTGAAGTTCTTTGCAATTTTAGACAAAAAAGTATGTTTTCAAAAAAATTGGAAATGATATGGAAACAGAAATGCGTCAATGAAATTAGCAACCAAGCATAAAAATTGTCTCATTCTTACATAAAGTTAGTTAAGCAAACATTTTTATTAAATTAAGAAATTTGAAAAATAAATTAAGAAAACAATTTTCTGCAAGTAAAAGTATGGTATCACTGCGCGTAAGTTACCTAATCCTTTCAAGCCATACTTCTATCACCTTTAAAATAGAGATAATAATGGCACCTACCTCTTGGGAGTAGTTATGAGGATTAAATGTGGGAATGAGCATAAATTACTTGGGATACAGAATGTTTTCAATCACTATTAGCTAAGATGAGGGCAATGACAATAGTAACTTAAACATTTGCATTGTAAGTACCAATAAAACAATAAAACACAATGATTAAATGTATACTATGCTATTAGATTAACTGAAATATGTGTGGAACATTAGCAAATTGTAAATCACTGACTTTCTTGTAGACTAATATAATTGTAACTCATGATTGCAGCTGGCGAATTTACCTGTGAATACACAGCTAACAAAAACTCAGCTTTGAAAGCAACACTGACAACTCTGGTTAGATTTTTTAAAGTATCAACACATTCACAGGACCATCATCTTTTGCTGATAACCATTTAATGCACATTGCCATTTTTTGTATGATGGAGGAAAGAAAGATAAAGAAGGAAAAATCACTCCTGATTCTTCGGCATTAATTTTAACTTATTCATGCTTATCAGAAATCCTCAAGCTTTGGGAAACTAAAAATACATGAAAGTAAACCCAACTAAGCTTATCATATTTTAAAAGAAAAGGGGATAGATTTAACCTAACACCCCACACTAAGATTTTTTCAGAAGGTGCACGTTCATTTTCACACTCTACCTAAAGATTTAGGGATATCATGAGGACAAGGGTTTTGGAGTTGGGTTTTGGAGTTAGGTTTTGGAGTTAGGTTTATATAATCTAGTGAGATTAATGACTTGGGTTGTCCATTTCAAATAATAGAGAAGGCTATCCTTTTTAATGCAAACTATTTTCCGTACCATTCAAAGAAATCAGAATATACTTACGCGTTTTCTTGGTGGTTACATTAACTGTGGCGCTAAAAGGCCCAGCGCCGGCACTGTTGTAAGCCCGGACAGCCGTGTAATAGGCCAGGTTGCTCTTCAGGCCCCGTAGTCTGGCTGATGTCTCATTTCCTGCCACTTTCATCTTACTGGATGATTCCTCCTTTCCACCCCCATTCCAGTACCGCACCTGGTGGGCGGAAGACACCAAACATGTGAAGGCTTAAAAAATTCTGCCCTTTCCATTAAGTGATTTTCATTAAAATGGGCACTGACTTATTTCCTGATTTGTTCAACCAATATTTACTGAAGACCTACTATGTGCTAGGTGCTGCATTAGGCTGTGTGTCACAGCAGTGAAGATAGAGAAAAGGGACTCTAGGAGGAGAAAAATAATGAACAAATAAATATATGAACCAGATAAATTCAAACAGAACAAATGCTGAGCAAGCCAGACTATGAGATTATAAGTGGGAGAATGAAGGGGAGATATATATATATATATATATATATATATATATATATATATATATATATAAAATTAAAAATAGGAACAAAGTGTTACCATTAATATTGCCAATTTTCTGTAAGTATTGCTGTGTTCTATACAATTTTGCTCAAAAATGTTTACATAAGGCCAGATCATTTTTTAAAAATGTGGAAAAGTCAAGAAAGAAATAAAAAAGATGACATCATTTTCTTTCTTAGTTGTGTTTTGGATTTAAATAGTCAAAGTACTACAACTGAAAGAACAGACTATCTCTATGCTAATTTGGATTTGATAGGCACAACTACAGTACAGGGATGGAGAAGAAAAAGTGTCTAGTCTGAAGGAACCAAATTTGGAAATGTAATTGTTCAGAAAAGAGTGAACGTAAGGTTGACAGAACATGAAGGTAGCATCTACAGAAGATAAGCAGAGAGACAAGTATTACAAAGCATACGAGGAACCCTGCTAGCAAGAAAATGTCAGCAGACCCAACCAGTGGAAGATGAGCTGGAATACGCTGATCTGAAACAAATTTTAAAATAACTGTTTAACATGTCTAGATTTACTAAAGAAGAAACTGAATCTACTATGCAATGACAGAAGATTTAAAAAAAATCAGATTTGAAAAATAATATGCAGGGCTTATAGACCTAAAAAATTACAATTATTAAAAAAATAAAATCAATGATAGAATTAAGCTGAAGACTTATGGTGGAAAAGGGAACTAATTAACCCAGAACAGAGCCTGTATAGAGAAATAAACATTACAAAAGCAAAGTTAAGGGACACTGAGGGTAGAATGAAAAGTTCTAACTGGAGTTCCAGAAGGAGAGACTGAGGAAAAACCAATATTCAAAGGGAAAAAGGCTGATAATTTTCCAGAACTGAAGAAACGCAGCAATTTTCCTATTGCAAATTCACTCTGAGTTTAGAGTAGGAAAAATAAAAGGCAAATCCACTCCAGGGGAGAGGGTTGTTAAGACTGAATTGTGGTTCTCAATCATTTTTCATTGCCAGACACCTGAGAGATACAGGCTATCTTCTTGAGCAGTCGTGAGTGACTATGCCTTGGTTTGCCAGTGAGGATGTGCACCTGGGACAGGAATTAACTGCATTTCCTCACCCAGCAGACAGCAGGAGGGAAAGGATGTTAAGGTGGATTCACACACCTGAGGCAGGGGCTTGTCTGTCTTGGTTATCACCATATCTTTAACTGTTCGCAGCAAAGCCTGTACATACTAACCATTAACTGCTGTTGAATTGTTGAATGACCTGAACATAGTTTAAAAATGCCTCCCTCCTTCCTATGGCAGAGATTCGCCAGGCTTCGTATTCAAGTCTCAATACTGTATTCATCCATGAGACATCAAAACTCCAATTTCTTGATGAGGCAATACAATTTTTTCCTTCAGAATCATAAAACCATTTCACAAACCAATATATTTTTATTTGGGTAAGTAAACAGAAACACAGTTGAGAAATATCAGAATTAAAAATATCCCTATTAGTTCCAGTAATTTGATTTTTCCATAAAGAATGTTCCTATTGTGAAGAGTCCTTAATACCACTGCAGCAGAGATTTCACTTAATTTAAATTTAAAAATGAAATGCAGCTTATAAAAATAATCTATTAAAATGGCATTGTTCAGCCATTAAAGAATAGGTATTATATCAGAAATACTCTTTTAATAGACAAAAAGAATTATGTTCATACTAATAGATTTTCAAAGACAAATATTTTAACTTAGCAGTTAGACCAGACACATTTAAATAAATAAAAAGCAGGTAAAAATGCATTAAAGGTCTTTTAGGAAGACAACTCCAGATCTGTCTTCCACTCTTCTTCACTCTGCTCTCAGTCCCTAGGAGAGCTGACTGGTATGAACTATTGTCAGTCTGGCTCCTTTGCCCTGTGGCTTCTCGCTGGGTGTAGGTAATAGGATGCTGGTGATGGGAGGGTGGAAGGAAAGAGAGGCTGGGATATTTATTACCCTGCATTCCCCAATGCTGAGCCACCATTTGGTATGGAATATCTTTGCCTAATAAAGAATACAGCACCATTTAGGCAACCCTCACTCACAAAAGGCTACTGCTATGGCTCTCTCCAGTAAAACCAACCCTTTGACCCTCTTCAAAAGTCTGCATTATACTCACTTGAATGCATTTTTGCCTGTCATATTTATTTCAGTATGCCTCAATTGTCTGTATCTTATTTTCCCATGTGCATTCAACTTGTGCTACAGTGAATTCTTTGCCCGATTGCAGGGAATTAGACCTAATGCATAAGTCTTTTTTTTCCAGTGACATTTTCATAGTCTCAAAAAAAGTACTCACATATTTGACATCTTTTTTCTTTTCTTTTCTTTTCTTTTTTTTTTTTTTTTTGAGACAGAGTCTCACTGTGTTGCCCAGGCTGGAATATAGTGGCACGATCTTGGCTCACTGCAATCTCCACCTCCTGGGTTCAAGCAATTCTCCTGCCTCAACCTTCTGAGTAGCAGGGATTATAGGTGCCTGCCACTATGCCTGGCTAATTTTTGTATTTTTAGTAGAGACAGGGTCTCACCATGTTGGCCATCCTGGACTCGAACTCCTGACCTAAGGTGATCCACCCTCCTCGGCCTCCCAAAGTGCTGGGATTACAGGTGTGAGCCACCACGCCTGGCCTACATCTTTTTTCATTCTAATTCAAATATCAGGAACACATTCCGTACAGCTGTTTGGAACAGGAGGCTGGAAGAAGGCATCAATGAAGTTTAAGTTTGGCATTCTATTATGGCACATTAATTACATTCTTCTGCCAAACTTAAAAAAAAGACTGATTCCTCCAAAATATGCTAATCTGTATCATTTCACAAGCGTAGACTTGTTTTAATCATTTATCAAGGTCATTCTCCCAAATTTGGTTCTTTCAAAACAGAGAAGGACTTTAAAAAAATGGACTGTAGATACTGCACTAGAACGTGGGAGCTTTCATTCCTCAGGCACCCAGGATCCATGAACTTAAAGCCTTCTGCCTCTCTTCATCATGTCTGTATCTCTTGTTCCAACCCAAAAGGGCACCAGAAAAGATCTGAGCCTGAGTGTAACGGCTTAGCTGATGAAATAAATTGGAGCCCAGGGAAATGAGCTTCTCAACTACTGCTTGGTCAAATCAGAAAGAAAATTAGTCTAGATGCTAATGATGATGTGTGCTCAGCATGCCACATGGCACATGATCAACCCTCACTGAGATGAGAGAAAGGAAGGAGCTATTAACAATTTTAAAGCCAAACTGGGGAAACTGCAACCCAGAAAAGTTAGCCACACGACTGATAATTAAATACTCTGCCAAGTCCTTCTCCCCCAACCAAGGTTAATTTTTAAATCATTACTGAAACTAAGAAAAGACATATTTTTATCTTGGTGTAATTACATAAATTATTTTGTAAGATTTTCCCAATTAGTACTTCTTTCAGCTTGTTTCCTTTTTCTTTATACTTACCAAGCATTTGGGGAAGAAATGTTTAATCGTTGTTTCCTTTCAATACTGTATTCATGCTACATTTGGACATTCTATTTGCTACTCTTTACACAAACAGGCAAGCGGCAATGCATTTCAACCTGTAATTAATTTCAAGAAAGTCCCATTTTCCCATAGCTCTTCTCATCTTTCTGTGCCCCACTTTGATGGCAATATCAGCATGCATTAGAAATGGTGGCCACTGGGTCCCACACTGGGATTGTGCTACATCACTATATATTACTTCACTGGTTTGCTTTTTTTTTCTTCAGTACAATCTCATCCCAAAGCCCAATATTCAAAACAGAGAAAAGTGACAGCCCTAAGTCTCTTTCGGCCATTTTGACAATAGCTGCTTTATCTCATTTAATTTGCAAACAATGCTGTGAGTTATTATTATCTCTATTTTAACTGAGCCTTGGAGAGCTCGAACAACTTGCTCAAGGCCATACAGCAACAGGGTAGCAGAGCCCAAACTGCAGTTATTCAATCAACATATATTTTTTGCATGCCTCCTGTATGTCAGATACTACTCCAGGCACTTGGGATAGATCAATGAGGAAAAAGGCTGAGTTACCTTCTCCTTGTAGAGTTTGTATTCAAACTAGCAGATCTGAACACAGGTTTGTCTAATTCTAAAATGGTGTGGACTTAACTAGACACTGTGACGGTTCTATGAGGATTTTTAAATTTTCTGTCTTTCAGTGAAACTCTCTTTCTTGGTGTGACCAATAATGGTGTAATTCTCCTTTCTTATAAAATATCCTTATCTGGATGACTTCTTATTGACCTAAATTTATATACAGTTATGTGTTACGATGACAGGGATACATTCTGAGAAATGTATCATTAGATGGTTGTTGCATTGTGTGAACATCGTAGAGTGCAATTATGCGAACCTGCATGGTATAACTTACTACACACCTATGTTAGATGGTGTAGCGTAGTGCTCCTAGGCTATAAACCTGTACAGCATGTTACTGTACTGAATACTGTAGGCAAGTGTAACACAATTGTACATTTTTGTATATTCAAACATACATAAACATAGAAAAGGTAAAGTAAAATTGTGGTATTGTAATCTTAGGGGACCACTGTTGTATGTGTCATCTGTCCTAAACTGAAATATCATTATGTAGTGCATGACTATATTAAAAAATCAACATCTACCTGCCTTAAGCTGTTCAACAACCACCAGTGACTGCTAGCACTCTGTTCGGTTTGGAATCCCACAAGCCATTCATGTATATTCTTCCATTTATTTTTCTTAACTATTTTACAAGTTACGACTAGGTCAAGAATTATGATCCTGTCATGATTTCTGTAAAGGACAACATTGTTCATGGTGAGTGTGCATGTCAGTCTCTCATCTGAGGACTGCCATATGTGTTCATTTATTTTCTTTTTTTCTTTTTTGAGACGGAGTCTCGCTGTGTTGCCCAGGCTGGAGTGCAGTGGCGTGATCTCGGCTCACTGCAAGCTCTGCCTCCCTGGTTCATGCCATTCTCCTGCCTCAGCCTCCTGAGTAGATGGGACTACAGGCACCTGCCACTACGCCCGGCTAATTTTTTGTATTTTTATTTATTTATTTATTTTTACTTTTTTACTTTTTTATTTTTTTTATACTTTAAGTTCGAGGGTACATGTGAACAATGTGCAGGTTTGTTACATATGTATACATGTGCCATGTTGGTGTGCTGCACCCATTAACTCATCATTTACATTAGGTATATCTCCAAATGCTATCCCTCCCCCCTTCCCCCACCTCATGACAGGCCCCAGTGTGTGATGTTCCCCACCCTGTGTCCAAGTGTTCTCGTCGTTCAGTTCCCACCTGTGAGTGAGAACATGTGGTGTTTGATTTTCTGTCCTTGCAATATGTTTGCTGAGAATGATGGTTTCCAGCTTCATCCATGTCCCTACAAAGGACATGAACTCATCCTTTTTTATGGCTGCATAGTATTCCATGGTGTATATGTGCCACATTTTCTTAATCCAGTCTATCATTGATGGACATTTGGGTTGGTTCCAAGTCTTTGCTATTGTGAATAGTGCCACAATAAACATACATGTGCATGTGTCTTTATAGCAGCATAACTTGTAATCCTTTGGGTATATACCCAGTAATGGGATTGCTGGGTCAAATGGTATTTCTAGTTCTAGATCCTTGAGGAATTGCCACACTGTCTTCCACAATGGTTGAACTAGTTTACAGTCCCACCAACAGTGTAAAAGTGTTCCTCTCTACTAAAAATTTTTTGTATATTTGTAGAGACAGGGTTTCACTGTGTTAGCCAGGATGGTCTCGATCTCCTGACCTCATGATCTGCTTGCCTCGGCCTCCCAAAGTGCTGGGATTACAGGTGTGAGCCACCGCGCCCAGCAGTGTTCATTTATTTTCTTTAAATAAATTTGATCAAACATTGAATTCCATATCCTGCTCAGCTAATGGGAGATTCAGCCACAGTCATTCCTGTGGCTCCCTTCCCAAAGCCCCCAAGATCACTTACTTTTGTGTTTGATTTGAGCCCTTTAATTCTAGCAGCTGGGGGCCATGTTTGGTGAGTGAGAAATCACTGCCGAGTGTGGGAAACACAGTTGTTCAATCTTGCCGTCAACCTGGGCACTGCTTTAGAAAGATGTAGCCCCCAGGAGGCTTTGTAAGCTTCAGACATTTATGTCTGCCAATGTCATTGGAAATTTCTCTTCTATGTTTTCCTCAGTTGCAATTTTCCTCCTGTGACCCTCCAAGAAACACGGAACAATCTGCCTAATGGCCTGAAGTTTTGAAACAAAGCTAGGAAGGGAAGTGTCTTGCAGGCAACTCCTTTTGATAGCTTTTGGCATAATCCCTTGAGTTAAGGGAGATTACTGTCAATTATTTGCTACAGAATATTTACTGGAGAGAAATAGATACATTAATATCTCAAAAATTCTTCTGAGGGATGTCTCACACCTACTGACTGTTTATTATGATGAGCCAGAAACTGGCCAGGTGCAGTGGCTTACGCCTGTAATCCCAGCACTTTGGGAGGCCAAGGCAGGCAGATCACCTGAGGTTGAGAGTTAGAGACTAGCCTGACCAACATGGAGAAACCCCATCTCTACTAAAAAATACAAAAGTTAGCTGGGCGTGGTGGCGTGCACCTGTAATCCCAGCTACTAGAGAGGCTGAGGCAGGAGAGTTGCTTGAACCCAGGAGGGGGAGGTTGTGGTGAGCTGAGATCATGCCACTGCACTCCAGCCTGGGCAACAAGAGCGAAAACTCCGTCTCAAAAATAAATAGATAGATAAATAAATAAAGAGCCAGAAATTATGAGAATCTCATTACATACCTAATCTTATCCAATCCTCCCAATATCCTAATGAGGTTAGGCCTATTATTGTCCCCATTCTACAGGTGAGGAAAACGAGGATCACAGAGTTTATGTAATTTTCCAAACACAGCTGGCAAGTGGTAGAATTGGGATTTGCTATGGGACTGGCCTCAGAGCCACAATCCCTTACAGCTGTGCTCCTTCCAGCCCCTATATCTTTACCTCCATTGCCAATGCCACTGCCAGTTCTTTAACCACAAGGGAGCTACTGTTGGCTCCCCATCATCTTTCATTGCTTTCATCTATTGTCATGGAATTAAAGGAATCTTCCATCCAGCTGTTCCTGGCTTCCTTTAAAAGATGTGCATTAAGTTGTTCTCCTGTATTTATGTGGTGTTTTACTTCTTCATACTCTCTCTTCCTTAAGTCCAGACTATTCTGTCTCTGATCAGGCTTCTCTGTCAAGACCAGTGTTTATTATGTTTAACTGTGCAGGAAGATGTTTCCTTACAGATAGTTACTAAAAATATACACTAACAAGACCTAGTCCTAAATGTTTGGATTGAGTGGGTCCTGGGAGAGCTGTGGGAGCTCAATTTTAACAACACCTTCAGGTAATTCTGCTGTAGGGGGTTCACAGCCCATACTTTGAGCATCATTGCTCTATTCCCTATCCTTTCTTTTCTTAATTTTTTAATATTAATTCAAGTCGATGCTTGTTTGGTTGCAAGGAACAGAAACTCTTTCAAGGCAGTTCAAATATAAGGAGAATCTATTAAAAAGAAGGGCAAGGTTACATTATGAAAAAGAATAAAGCCAAGTCATATGATAACTGAATGACTGTCAAAGAGCTACTTTATTCTGGCTGCCCCCACTTTTTTTGAGATAGAATCTCAGTCTGTCATCCAGGCTACAGTGCAATGGCAGGATGACGGCTCACTGAAGCCTCGACCTCCTGGGCTCAAGCAATTCTCCCATCTCAGCCTCCCAAGTAACTAGGACTACAGGCATGTGTCACCATGCCTGGCTAATTTTTGTATATTTTGTTGAGATGGGGTCTCACTAAGTTGCCCAGGCCAGTCGTGAAATCCTGGGCTCAAGCAATCCTCCTGCATTTGCCTCCCAAAGTATTGGGATTACAGGCGCAAGCCACCACACCTGGCTTATTCTGCCCTCTTGCAGGTTCCATGGGCCCTTGTCTCCTCCATTCTTTAGGGATGCATGACAGTGTATCTCATCTCTGCAGATTAGCTTTGTCCTGCCTGTCCATGGCCTTAGTTTGAGAAGTCTGAACTGAGCCCTAAATTTGACACACTACTGCATTACACTCACTAACTATAATCTCTATAATTTCTTATATAAATATCTCAAACAAGAATCTGACTTGCTAGGCTTCACAGTCCACAGAGCATTTACATTTGATCAAGAGACCACCCTGGAACCCTCATTTGAAGGTGTGTTGGCAAGTGGAGGGGTATGTGGCCCTGTGATGCAAACCTGCCTGTGTAAGCCTGCCACTGAATCAGGAGTTACATGCTTCCTCAGGGAAGCTTGGAGGGAAGCTTCATAAGAAGACAGCTGTGGGTAGGATGAAATCACAACTATGAATCCCACAATGTCATTGCTGGCAAAATCTTTGAATTGTATTTATCTTGCCAGTTCTCAGCTCTACTACTCCCAGTTTCCTCTAACTGCTCACTACTAAATAGGGGACCCAGTTCAAATGGTTCTTCTTAGCCTTTAAAGCCACCTGTGACCTGGTCCTCCCATGCCTATTTGAAGTCACCTTTCCAAACAGGAACCTTTGGCAGGTGGGCCTCTACTCCTCTGCTTTTCTATCATGCCTTGCCTAATCCAGAATGTTTTCCACTCCTTCCACCTTTACTTACTTTGCCTTGAAAGTCCTGTTAAGCCTTACTACCCTTATGAAGACTTTCAGTATGTCCCATCCTTCTTGACAACACAAACATTTCCTGTTTTGGGTGACCTAGTCAGACCTTCATTATATTTGGTCTTACATTATCCTCTGTTTCAGATGTTTCGTCCTATTTCACTAAACAGAGAGGTCTTTGAAGGCTCAAAATATCTTACAGACAGCTGGCTTCTCTAGAGCCTATAAAAGAACCCCACAATGTAACAAAGCCACCAAGAAAGTAAGACAAAGAGCTGGAGGACAGTGACTTCCTGTTGATGAAAGTACTCTATGAACTTGATACTGCAGTTCAATCTCACCCTTATTTTTTAGTCAACTCATCTAAAATATTTGGCCCACGTGATACGTGATTTCCTTTCATATTCTTTTTTTATTCCTTTTCTACTCCAACTAATGTTATTTTCATTCAACTGGTTAAATTCAGTATACATGGAACATCAGATGAAACAATGTGTTGATAAAAAAATTTCGGCCAAAGACAGACTTCAAATAAGAGGTCATTGTTAAGGGTTTTAAATTCAAGGAGACAAAGTGGCACGGTAACACACATACACAATTTAATCGGAAAAGAAATTACCTCATAGCCCAGTAAATGTCCATTGCTCAACTTCCAAGGAATGGTGTTCCATGAAACCTCAATTTCTGAGGAAGATAGGCTATTTGCAGAGACTTGAGATGGGGCCACTGTAGGCTCTGTTCGGAAACAGAAATTGAAATATGATGATAATTTTGGCAGTTAGTTTAAAACACAGATTAATGTTCTTATTTTTATAAAAGCATTTTAACGTATTTGAAAATTGTATGAAATATTCTGGCACCATATGTTGAAAATAGAGACACTGGTCCATTTCCGTTTCTTAGGAAAAGATGGCATCATAGCCAAAGGCTTTTCTTTGCTAAACAGCTGTGGCAACCTATACTTTCCTCCCTTGCACCTCTTTCTTGGCATCTTCCTTATCTTCCTTTTTCTTTGCCTGTCTTCTCCTCACCTTGTCCTTATTTCCTTCCCTTCATCTCATTCCTACTGCTTGGGAACTTCTCTGCCCACAGACGCTACTTAGTTTTCATTTTGCCAAACAAAGGTCTAGGTTAAGTAAAGCTCATTTACACAATAAACACTGAGTGAGTACCCTGTCTAGAGAGGCCTACAGAGACAACTGAAATGTGGTGGATGGCATGCTCTTTTGAAGGAGTAGATAGAAATGCAGGTGGCTTATCATATAGCAAGAAGATTCCCCTTTGTAAAAAGCACTGTTGAGATTCTATGGGGTTCACAGTGGTTCTCCCTTCTCAGGGCCCAGCTCTGAGCAGGAATCTCCCCTCCCTCAGGTGCATTTCTCTGTCAAATGATCCTGCTTCTCAGACAAGGATCTTGCTTGATGCTAAGACGAATTCCTGGTCTAAGGCTGGGCCCCTTAGATTTTCTCTCCTGAGAATTTGAAACTTGGTTTGGAGAGTCGAGGAGTACTTGGAGCCCACTGATCCAGTGCAGGTGCTCTAGAAGAGCAGAACCATTTTCTGAGGTTCCAGGGCTTCTCTGATTGAAGATCTTTGTGAGGTTTGCTGCATAACTCTCCCTTGGATTCACAGAGACACCCTAGTAGATTTCACAGAAGTCTTTTGCTTCTTTCTTAGGTAAGCCCGATTCATTTTTCATGTTTGAACAGAAAGACTTTTAGCTAACTCTGCAGCAGGAGCAAAAATGATAAGAGGAGAAGAAAAATGAGGGAGGCAACAATGCGTAAGAGGCTGTGGCTGCCCCTCTTTTCCAGTTGCCAGCACCTAGGTCCTGGATGCACAGGTAAACAGTGTCCGAAAACTCCCTGGATAATGGCCATCACTCCCCAGACCCCTGACTTGCCCTTGCAATCCCTGGCAGCTTTTAGAAATGAGGTCTGGCTATGAATTTAAGACTCTTCTGCAAAGACTTGTATAACCCTTAAAAAAAAAATCCCTCTCAGAACTCAACCAAAAGTGAGAACACAAGAATAGGGGCGGGGAGCCGAAGAAAAATCAACTCTACTTACTATTCTTAGGAATGACAACTGCAGGCCACTTTTTGCAACTTACTGTCAGGTCTGGAGGGTAGGGGAGACACTGATATATTTCGTGAGCTCAGAATGGTTAAGGGCAAAGGCCCTTGGTTAAAATACTGGCTGTACCACTTACTATTAGGAATTTTGGCAAATTTATTACTCTCTTTCACAAGGCTTCCATTTTCTCATTTGTAAATGGGAAATAATAGTGCCTATATTTTTTATTTGAAATATCAAATTAGGTAATGTCGGGCAAGTAGTAAAACTTCAATACATGTTAGTTTCTGCCATTTTTTTTTTTTTTTGTAGAACTACATGAGATAGCCAACAGTTGTTGCTGATCTATGAAATGGCAATTTTGCATAATTCTTTTACCTTGATTATTTTCTAAAGCGGTCATGAGACAAAATGTAGATGTCTCAATATCTGAGACAGGTATAAAAGAAAGGCAAAGAAACAGAACGGGTCCAGAGTGAAGTATGTCTGTATCTCCACCAGCAGGTTCATATCCCTCAAACCTGCACATTGCATGTCTGTTGAATGAGATACCGCTGCTCCTGACTCTTCATCCAGTAACATCCTTTTCTCAGGCCATGGGAACCACTATACAACTTAGGACTAGGGTAGCTCCAAGGGGTATATTTTTATTACCCCAAGGTAAGGCTGTGATTTTCCTTGCTTCACAAGCTGGAACGTAGGAAGTGTTCCTCATAAACAGATTTTTAAATTGATGGTTATGATCTGAGACAGGTCTCAATCAATTTTGGGATTTATTTTATCAAGGTGTTAAGGACATGCCCAGAAGAAAAAAAAAACAAAACACGGGTGTACAGAAACATGGTCTGTGTCCATTTCCAAAGGTGAATCTGAGGGCTTTAATATTTAGAGTGGGCTGGAGTGGAAAGAGGAAGGGTATGGTAATCCGCATGTTGCAAGGGAAAAGGAGCAGATAGGAGGCTAATCAATTAGGTCTCCTGCTCAGTAAATCAGCACTTTACATAAGGCAAGGCGAACATGGAGTAGCTACCTGTAGAGAGATTTAACCTTTTATCTGTAGCTATCTGGTTAGGAACAAAAGGAAAGGCATTTTCTTGCATGACTTGGCTTTCAGCTTAATTTCTTCCTTTTGGCCTAGTGAATTGGGGTCCTGAGGTTTTATTTTCCTTTCACGGTTACATCCTCTAACTATCCATTAAGTCTTATACTTCAAGTCATTTATGATTGATCTTTATGACTTGCACTGGGAATCTAACTACTACCTGGATGATTGTTCTTTGGAATAAATATATTTGAAGTCAAAACGAGACTCCAAATCAGTTTTTGGAGCACAAATAATTATTATTAGGCGGAACTGATATACAGTCATGTTTTCCATACCTTCTTCTGCAGAGAACACTGTTGTCACTGGGCTAAATGGTCCTTCACCTTTGTTATTATAAACACCCACTTTAACTTCATATGGTGAATATGGCACGATGCTTTCATTCCTAAAGACATATCTTGGGGTGTCAGGGGATGTCACCACTGTCTGGATCCAGGTGGTAACCCCAAGAGGGCGGAAAGCAACAACATACCCAAAACCTTCACCATTCTGTAGTTCTTCAGGGACTGGCTATAAAGGAAAGACATACTGAATCACCCTTACACATAAGGGCAAGGCAAAAATGAATGCAGCTGTAATCCACAGGCATTTATTTGTAAAAGTCATCAAATAATCATCTACATTGTATTAAGCAGTTGCATGAAAAAAGGAGAAAAACATCAGCAGGAGAGTCATGTCAGCTGCTTTTAAACAGACATATGTCACCATTTCATAGCCATCCAGATAATGAACTGGAATTTTCTGTGATTATTCAGTTAGCTGATCATCTTATGGCTCAAGTCTGAGTTTCTAATAGGAAGATATACTTTCAGTTGAAAATATCTGATCTCTTAAGCCAAATAAAAATTATCTAATTCTTAATGTTGACTTTATGAGAAGAAATATTAAAATGGTGATTAAGAACAATTAAGTAAAACTGGAAAAAAAAAAAAAGGCCTGGTACGGTGGCTCACGCCTGTAATCCCAGCACTTTGGGAGGCCAAGGCAAGTGGCCATCACGAGGTCAGGAGTTTGAGACCAGTCTGTCCAATATGGTGAAACCTTGTCTCTACTAAAAATACAAAAATTAGCCGGGCGTGGTGGCATGCGCCTGTAGTCCCAGCTACTCGGGAGGCTGAGGCAGGAGAATTGCTTGAATCTGTGAGGTGGAGATTGCAATGAGCCGATATCACGCCACTCCTGGGTGACAGAGAGAGACTCCATCAAGGAAAAAAAAAAAAAAAAAGGGAAGTAAATACTAATTTATAAATTAATGAATTACATCCCTGTAACTCTAGCACTTTGGGAGGCCAAGGCACCTCGATCATTTGAGGTTAGGAGTTTGAGAGCAGCCTGGCCAACATAGCAAAACTCCGTCTCTACTAAAAATACAAAAATTACCCACGCATGGTGGCGCATGCCTGTAATTCTAGCTATTTGGGGAGGTTGAGGTGGGAGAATCACTTGAACCCAGGAGGTGGAGGTTGCAGTGAGCCAAGATTGCACCACTGCACTCCAGACTGGGCAACAGAGCAAGACTGTCTCAAAAAAAAAGGAAAAAAATATTAACGAATTAAACTCAAAGCTATACTTGAGTCGTGTCAAAAATTTTGTTGACACATCATCAGCATCTTCAAAAAATGCAGGTAATTCTAGTACTTTTTGACTTCAAACCTATTAACCTTTTTCCTACTGATGATGTAAACCAATGGCTGGGAGAATGGCCAGGAAAGAAACAAACTCAAGCACCTGTTGGAATAGGTGACTTCACCAGTGGGGGCTGCACAGCTGCTTGGAAAGTCATAAGGGGAGCTTGAGGGGCAACAGCCGCAACATAACTCATCTCTATGTCTACCAACCAGGTGACCCTGAGCAAATTATTTCTTATATCTGAGCCTGAGTATTTTCATCTGTAAATTGTTGCAAGGATGACATGAGGAAAATACATGCTAAATGCTGGGAATAGTGGATGGCTCAGAGAAAGTATCAAAAAATATTAGCTACTAGGGCTACAACCACCACCACCAGCCCCACTACCACTAATCCCACCATCACCACCTATATTACCACCAGCAGCAGCAGCACCCACCAGCCACACCCCCAGCACTACCACCACCACCTGCACCATTGGCACCACCACCTGGGAAGCCATAATGATCATGGGAACAGCAAGACCCTGATGGGGAAGATGCTGCCCAAACACTTACATCCCAGGTTATCACAAGTTCAGACCGGCTTCCGCCTCCTCCATTGACTTCAGAAGGAGGCACTTCTGGAACTATACAGGTCAGAGAAACAGAGATGAAATGGTACTTGCATTTAGTAATATTTATCTAAAAGATAATGCAATGTTTTTTTAATATTTAAAATAATTTCATCATTGGCACATGATTCATACATATGGGTGTTTATGTACATATACTTATATATTATATGCATTTATATATTTTTATGAGATCATCAAACAACATATTTACATGAAATCATAAAAAAATTCAAAATCTCTCAAACAGTAATAAAAACATGACCAAGTTGGAAGATACTTTGCTAGTATGAGACTTAAAACAAGAAAAAGTGATTCACTGGAGATGATGGGAAATCAATCCAGCATGAATGTTTAGCTTGTGACTATTCCAAGTAGAATATAATTCTGAGAACAACATTGGCTATATGTAAGGATGACCCAGACTCAAACCCTCGAATCTTGTTTTGAGGTATTATTTATAAACTTCACAGGGGCATCAGATTCTCACACTGAGAACTCTAGGCTTAGTGAACCCCATGACACAGCTAGAATAGAAGTCCCATGAAGGTGGGTCTTTGGTATGGTCACAGCTGTACTTGCAATGTCTAGAAAGTGCTGAGCACAGAGAGGATGCTCCCTAAAATATGTGTTGTGTGAACAAATGACCAGAACACCAGGGCAAGCACAGTTCCTCTATTTCTCATATTTCCTAGCATAAACATTATGTGCATTGTTCTGAGTGAAACAGCATCATGAAAATTACTGAAACATATTTGATGACTTCCATCTTAGCTGAGTTCCTAAAGTGATACACCAGCTCTATTTCAAACTTCATTTTAGTTAATATTAAATAATATTACAGATTCTGAAAAGGCAATCTTTAGGTCTCAATTGTCCCTATAATGTGATGCTATGTACACTTTCTAGTTTGAGTTTTAATGCTAGGATATTTCTAGAATAATAAAAGCAGTCTTATGGTCTATGTGAATAGTTGTCTCACATGGAAATTCCTATCAATGATTTTTTCTTAATTCAACACTTGAAGTGACAAAATATACCTATTCATCAATTGCTTAAGCTCCTTCACTAAGCTTGGTGGCAAAATGAGATTTCCTAGCAGCAGAACTCCCAAATGTCATTATCCTACCAATTTGCCAATGCTTGTTATAAATGAAAACAGCACTTCCCTTGTTAACAGGGTAACTATGTCAGACAGTAATTATAACCTTAAGTGACAAAAGCATATTCACTCACATGCACTAATGATCATTTACAATGGACTGAACTCTTGGAAATGTCATACTACATCAGAGTCACTTACATGTGTTTCTTTTGACAAATGCCATATGGCCAGTTCTGCCATTAGAAAGGTTAGATAACTGCAACAATGGATTATTGAGGCTGACCCCCTGCTGGCCTGGAGTTCAGGGCCAAGGGAAATGGAAGTACACAGAAATCTATTAATCCATTACTCAGAAAAAAAAACACTAACCTGCCTCTTCAGTTCTTACTTTTTCTGAGGGTAAACTTGGTTCTCCACCTCCAATTTTGTTACTGGCTACAACCCGAAATTCATATTCCACCCATGGGTTTAACTCAACTACAGTGGCTGTGTGCGTCTTCCCATCGATGACCTCAGGCACTACAAAGGAATATTTCAGAGGTAAGAGTCTGCCTGCTTTAGCATTGACTTGAAATCCATTTATATGTGTGCAGATGACATCTGCCTCTCCTGCTTTACCTGTTGTGACGGTTTGCCAACCCACGGAGAAAGGTGTCCGAGCCTGGATAGAATAGGATATAACTGGGCTATGGTTGTCTTTACCTTCTTTCCAAGAGAGTTGGGCTGTTGTGTCTGTAATTTCATCTACCTTCACATTTTCTGGTGGTCCAGGTGAACCTAAGGAAGGCACAAATGGAAACATTGAGTAGCAGTTCCATAAATGTCATCCTCTCCTATCAAAGAGAAGAGAATGTCACATGACCACTTCAATATCTCTGACTTTTCCCAATTTCAGAAGCACTTAGGGAAAAGGCCATTTACCTGGTAATAGAACAACTACTTCCCTCTACTCTCCCTCCCCGCATTTCTGTTGTTAGATCTTAAATTTGGATGTGAGGCAGTAATTCCCAAACCATAATACTCTCTGATTGCAGATGATATTCACTTTTAAAAGCCTCTGTTCAGCAGGATTCCTGTACCTTTCTAAATTCAATGTCCTCTGCTCCTGGTGTGATGCCTTTCCCTTTAATCCACTGGTGTATCTCTGTAGTTCCCAATCTGATATCTAGATGTGTTTTATTTTATGACACACTCTGGTCATTTTTCAGCCCAGTAGCAAATCAGTATCCTGGGCAGCAGCTCAGGTTGGCAAATTTTCTCAGTCATTCTGAATAATCCTGATACTTTTTTTGTATTTTTAGAAAAATGTCCTGCATACAATTATTCCCAAATCCTGATTATTTTGGAAGCAAACACACTGCACAATATTCTCTCTCAAATTAAATACAATCACTGAATTAATGACATGCTCAAGAACACATCAGCTTGGCAGCAGCTGTGGAATGCCAATTACAGTGAGAGCTATTTGAAGGGCAGAGTTGAGATTTTTATTTCTTTGAATTAGCACTCACCCCTATTGTCATATTCTGTGGTCTATGAGGGGGGATGAAATCAATATTATAACTCGTATGCTCACATACTATCTCATCATGGTTTTTCCTCCAGTAAGGAATGCTGTTAAGATGTGAAGTGACAAACTCAAGGGGGCATAAATGTTTTACCTCTTACTATGAGGTCAGCAGCAGATGAAACACTGTCCACCCCCGTTTGCACCATACAAACATATTTCCCACTGTGTTTCAGCTGAATGTTTCTGATCATTAAATCACCAGATGAACTCTGTTGGGAAAACAGGTAATGAATACACTGTTATTTTTTTAAAAAACACAAAGAAGTTTGAAGTCTATGGCCAAAAACAACAACATTGCAATGAAAACTATATTTAGGGAGCAAACCAAGGTGGTATAAGAGAGTAGATTGCTACAATGGAATGTATGGAAATATAAACAAGTTAAAAACCATACATGACTGCAGTCAAAGATTTCTGTAGCCAAATAAACAACAAGCTTCCTCCTGGGCATTTATGGTTTCAAAAATAAATAAGGGCAGAGATTACAGTCTCAGAGTCTATTTACTTGCACCAGGGTGACACTTCTTTTTATATCCACTGCTCAGCACCAGCTCAACTCTTTTCTCTGGTTCCAACCCCTTTGCAATTATCTGCCTGAGAAGAAGAGGGACACATGTGGGTATCTAGTGGGAGATAAATGCAGCATGACAAGCGGATTACCATGGTTGAAACACTTTTCTGAACACACTGGAGCTTAAAAAGCCTAAAGCTGTTTAATTCCTTGGCTGCAGAAGTTAGGGACAGTAAGCATGAAAGCATGAACCCCTCAATAAGAAGAAATTAAAACATTTTAAACCTTAAAAATAACAGCTAGCCGGGCACGGTGGCTCAAGTCTGTAATCCCAGCATTTTGGGAGGCTGAGGTGGGTAGATCATTTGAGGTCAGGAGTTTGAGACCAGCCCGGCCAATATGGTGAAACCCCATCTCTACTAAAAATACAAAAATTAGCTGGGTGTGGTGGCGTGCCCCTGTAATCTCACCTATTTGGGAGGCCAAGGCACGAGAATCACTTGAACTTGGGAGGTGGAGGTTGCAGTGAGCCGAGATCAAGATCACACCACTGCACTCCAGCTTGGCTGACAGGCAAGACTCTGTCTCCGCCTCCAAAAAATAAATAATAATAACAGCTGTCCTTAAAGACATTTGCTGGCATTCCCAAGAGCTAATTAACAGAGCAATTATATTTCTAAAAGCTCAATGTTAAATGGACCTCATTTTAAGAGCATGTAAAATTGTGTTAATAAAATGACTAACTGCAAGCCAGTTTCACACATTAGTAAAAATATGACTTGTAATAAGTCATATGATTTCGAAACCAAAGCCCTTGGAAAATGATCATCAGTTCATGTCAGAACTGGTAAAGAGAAAGAAGCAATAAGTAGCGTTTATCTTAATTAAAAGAAAAGTTTTAGTCTTGAATTTTTGTAGTATATATTGTAAGATGAATTCTACTATCCTATTTTTAGGTAATTTCCTAAAATCTTCCATAGGGTAATTTCTTAAATATTGCTTCCCATCTTTAGGATTCTTAATGGGTTGCATGTTCTCTGTTAGTTGTATTGCATAGTTTTACATGAAATTTGTGAGAACTGGAAGAAGACAGATGGGAAATGATTGATAGTTGTAATTAAATGATAATCCAGAAACTGTTAAGCTTGCATGTTTTACTTTCATCAAGTTAAAACTTTTTTCTTTCCCTCTCTCCCTCTCCTTCTCCTAGGGTTATTTAGAAATGTATCCCCAGGACAAAAACCTTTAATGCTTGCTGACCTTTAGAAACTCTTAGGTCTTACGAGCTTCATATATTCATAGGAGGTTGATTATCACTTCTATGGAAATCTCTCATTTTCGGTGAAAAACTGTTACTATTAAATGCCATCTAAGGCATTGGGGTAAGGTTGTTATTCTTGCCAACCTTTATTTGCTTATTTTGAAGGCATCTGGGTAAAAGAGAACTGTGTCAGGATTTTATGTCCTCACATATCTGGATACACCTTTTAGGCACAATGGCTGGCTTTGTTTCTTGAAGGAGTAAGGAAAAGTTTGGTGGTGGACTTTTGACTTCTGTTCACTCTTGGCACTGACAGGTGAAGACAAATAGCTGCATCATAAAAAATGAAGCCATCTTCCTAAAGAAATGTAGTCAGGGGAAATATAATTTTTAATTATCCTTTTACACTGCACAGTAGAAAAAGGAAGCAATTAACTAAAACAAGTAGAATTGGAAATGATTTTTTTTCAGCCCCAACATGGAATTGAGTGTATGAATACATAAAAGGAGAACACAATTTGACAGAGAATAAGAGAGATCCTCTCCTTATTTTTTGTCTCCATTAATAAAATATATTTGTATTATTCCTCTTCTAATGCTATCTCTCTCCCACTCTATGATCTTTTAAGGGAGTACTACATAGAGACAAGATTTATCTTAACAAAAGCGCATCCATTGCTTGCTATGTTAGATTCATTCAAGGACACAGAAGTGTTTAACACATGGCCCATGCTTTCTAGGATGTAAACTCAAGTCAGGGTAAAAGGTGGTGTAAACATGTGAAACAAGTTATGTTTACAAATTTAGAAAGTGTAATCCACAAAGGTTAAATAAAATCACATGGCATATGCCATGTGTAGACGACGGCAAAATGAAAGAGACAGACACTTCCAAGTTCTGCTGAAGATGTGGAACTGGAACTCTTATTGCTGAAAGGAGTGTAGATTGGTACAATTACTCTGGACAATTGTTTAGAAGCATCTACGAAGGCAGGACATACATATAATTTATGACCCATCAATTCCATTCCTAAGTATATGCCCTACAGAATGGCATGCAGCTGTCTACCAAAAGACATTTTTTACAAGAATGTTTATAATTATTATCCATAATAGCTAAAAATAGAAACAACCCTGTAACAGTAGAATGGACAAACAGGTAGTGGAATAATCATTTAACAAAATGCTATTAGGCCACAAAAATGAATGAACTGCAACTACACAGATCAACATGGTTGAGTTTCAAAAGCGTGAAGGATATGAACCAGATGGAAAGGAGTATTTGATCATGACCGATCATATGAGAAGGCTGGATTGTGGCTACCTTTGGAGGTATGGTAGTTTTGGGATGAAGCACCATGAGGACATCTAGGATGCGGGTCATCTTCTGTTTCTGTTTTCAGTGCTGGTCACTTGAATGTGCTCATTTTGTGAAAATGAATTGGGCTATCCTCTTATGACTTGTTCATTTCTTGGTAGAATGCAATGCTTACCAAAATGCAGTTATGATTATGCACAACTATACCCCTAAATGCTCAGCTTTCAATAGGGTCATAGATGGGAGAAGTCAAGTAACATGACTGTAATTCCAAACTCCAACTTCTTTCATGGGAATTAAACATTTAATAATAGTAATTAAATTAAAATGTTATTAGCATATCTTAACATTTCTTATCAAGATGCAATTGAGTATTCCCAGGCATTTAAGAAAAAAAAGGTAAAAGAAACTCCAAAAGGAAGTTTCACTTATGTCAAACTAATTCTTTCCCCCATCAATTTGTCATTGTTAGAGAATATAGTTAGTCATGAATTAAATGTGATAAAGGATGTGAGAGAGAAATGTCCAAAAAAAAAAAAAAAAGAAACTCGGTAAAATTAGTTGAAATGGGATGAAATAGTCCTAGATGGATTATTTACCATATTTATAAATAAACTTGCATCTAATATTTAGAAATAATAAGAAACATATTTGCCATTCTTTAGAGTATAAAATAATTCAAGTAACACAACACTAACCATCTTTGGACAAATTCTTAGAAACACTAATAATACTTTGAATAAAAAATAGCTTATCTGTTAAATTAGTTTGTCTTTGTTTGCATTATTTTCCTAAACTTCCTTTTTCCCCACCTCCTCAAGCAGGAAGGGACCAGAATTGAGAAGGTGCAAATTCATAGCTTTATTTTCTTCTCCTCATATCTCTATTTTGCTCAAAACTTCCCCTCAAAGCCCACTAGTGTAATTCTGTTTTCCAGAAAGCACATCTTTTTTTCTATGCTGCTGTCCACAATTTACTCAGGAAAGGAGTTTTTGGAAGTGAGAGAAGTCTATTCCAGTATCTTACGTAGGAGTGTAAGAAGTAGGATATGATCCTCTAAGTCATACAAATTGAGTTCCTTTTTCAAAGCACCACTTATTAAAAATAAGATCATTCATTTAAAAACTGTTTATAAAGTAACTATTCTACTTTAGTTGCTGGGAATACGATGCTGAAGGCAAGAAAAAAGAAACAGTCCTTATGTTCATAGGGCATAGAGTTGGAAGACAGGCATTAATGAAATGACTACACAAATCAATGTAAAATTATAATGTAATGTAAACCCAAAGTACATTGGGGGAATCTAGAACTTTTTGGGGTTTCAGTGAACTGCTCATTTGAGCTAAGATTTAACATATGAGCAGAAGTTGTCCAGGAAAAGTGGGTAAAAAAATAAACTACACTAGGGTACTTAGGCATGTGCAAAGACCTAAGGTAGGTAAGAACACGGTTTATTTGAGTAACTCAAGAAGGAGAGCTGAATGGGGTGGACAGGGGATAGGGATGTCAGGGGTAGAGTTAATCCACAAATAGTTAATCTGTCCCCAGAAAATAAAAAGTTCACTGTAGCTGACTTCAAGTTCATATTTACATCTTAATGACAGTAATATTTTTTCTTTTTTGTAGTTTTACAATATCTACTAAACTTAGCTAGGATTACTTTATTAGTCAATTATTTGTCCATCTAATCACACAGGTTTGTCTTAGGAAAAAACAAATCATATTTCCATAATATGTTACAAGTATTAACAGTAAATGGATTTGTAAGCCAAAGCATCCTTGAAATAAATGCTAAGGGAAAAGCCAGTGTGTATCAAATGAAATAGGAGAGGATATGATTAACTTTTCCCCTGTATTTTCTTAGATGATGACACTAATGGAATTTTTGATGTAATTTAAAAACCACTCTGCACTAAAGAAAGAAAACACTACCTGATTTGATAACCCATACCAGATAAAAATAAACAAGCAGAAAGATCATCACTAATTACAGGTAGGCTGAAAATACATTGTGATATCTACCACATGCTAAAATCAAGGTTTAAAATAAACTTCGGAATTAGGGGAACCTCTTGAACCTTGCAAATATTGTACAAACTTTCAGTATAATAAATTATAAGCAAATAATGAATTCGCTAGTAAGCAATCTCAATGTAAAAGAAGCATAATTTTCCAGTTTAAGAAAAAAAATTACATTTTGATGGCTATTTGGAACCGAGGTTGAGTAAGCAGTCCTCTTTTTTTATGACTTTACACAGCCTGTTATTGCAGTGCTTCCAATATTAATCATTCATTCCTTCACTGGGTTGCCTTCCAAACCCTGACATTACATGTAAATCATCTCCAGGTGCCTTGAAAACAGTCGAACCTGTAAGTTCCTTCTGGAACCTGGTTGGCGTTTTCCTCTGTAAGACTCCCGGAAGGAACAGGTGGTGACACGGCCCACCTCTGCATTTTTGACTACACAGATTAAACCTTGCCCCCACCAATGCCAAATGGCTGCATCAAGTTCACCTTCATTACTAATGTACGCTGCTCATCCAAAAAGCAGAAAGAATTGGCAGTCACTGAAACATGAAAACAGGCCCTAACATTGTAAACAGTTTTAATTTTTCTGACTGATTACCAGTTTCAACTGTCACATGGTTGTCTGAACAGGTGATATTTAAGACAGGTAAGATGCAATCAGTTAATATCAAAATTTGCTTGACTTTCTTGGGTACCAATAAACTGGAATAATTGCTCCATTACAGGATTTTGAGTCCCAGCTTGTTCCATCATAAGTGTTTTAAAAGAGTGACACATCAAAGATCACAAAAACTTGGTTGAAGGCACTTCATGCCTATTTTAGGTTGTGTCAAGTGCCACGGTGCCTCAAAGGTATCTGCTTTTTAATTTCAACATCAAGTTCATATTAACAACTTGGGAATTTTTTTTTTTTCTGGCCAGTGCGATGTGTTGATTTTGATGGAGTAAGAATTGGTGATCTCAGGATGCCTAGTCTGCTGTCCCAGCAATCTTAACCCAGTGTTTTCTACACTTAAATCATTAGAGTCACGTCTTCACAATTGTTTTTGCCATATCCTGGTACCAAATGTTCTATTATTACTTAATTTTTCTTAAACTGATTAACTTTCTTCAACTTAATGTGGGAATTGACATATAAAATGTATATTTTTATCCTAAATGGAAATCTGCTCACCAAAATAATAGTTACCTAGCAAAATTAATATAATGAGTAGAAAATTATATAAATAGACACTGTCCAAAATAATTTAAATGCTCACTAAGCTGGACACTGTCAAAGTCCCTGAGCCGGAGACGTTTGCTCTGTTAATTAAAGATTAGCACGTATTAGAAAATAGCTAATGACAGGCCTAATATCATGTTTAGCCATTTATTTATTTATTATTTATTATTTATTTATTTATTTTTGAGATGGAGTTTCACTCTGTCACCCAGGCTGGAGTGCTGTGGCATGATCTTAGCACCCTGCAACCTCCATCTCCTGGGTTCATGTGATCCTTCCACGTCAGCTTTCTGGGTAGCTGGGATGACAGGCATGTGCCACCATGCCCAGCTAATTTTTGTATTTTTAGTAGAGATGGGGTTTCACCATATTGGCCAGGCTGGTCTTGAACTCCTGACCTCAAGTGATCCACCCGCCTTGGCCATTCTCCTTGATTTAATCTAAATGATTGAAGTAAAATTGAAAATAGAATGACTCTCTCATTCTATATTATATTATTTAATGCTACCTGTTGAGTACAGAGTCTGTGTTTTGAAAAACACTGTGCTATCCAGTTTGCTAAACCCATTAGTTCTCAGTGCTGGCTGTACTGTAAATTCACCTGGGAAATCTTTTTAAGAAAATACCAGAAACACCTAGGTCACATCCAGAACAATTAGAAATTAAAATGGACTAGAAAGAGGAGACTCTCTAGGTGATTCCAATGAGCAGTTAGGGTAAAAAAATTATTAAACCTCCTGGGATATTGCATTCCTCATCTTTACTCTTCTTGAAGGTATAAAAGGCTTCAGATAATTGCTCTGATTTCTCCTAACTCTAATAATCTAGGTAGGCTGTGTAGGCTGTATACTGCTGAACTCATAAGCCGAAAGCAATACTCTATTTTCACCTTGAGAGATGGGCAAGAAAACTAGTATTTGTGAAACAGACACTATGTGTCAAGCACAAGGCTCATTTCCTTGACATGACATTGCCTTGGTGTGCTCATCATAATTTTAAAAGCAACAGTCATTGACATAATTCAACATGGTGATAAATTGCTATAGATACATACATAAATTTACTGCTAATCAACCTCAGTCATTCTAGGATTACTCTTGATTGATGTGACAATTCTTGCATTGAATTAAAATATTTCAAGTCAAAAGAGCTTACTTTGAGTAAAGTTTAACTTGTGGATCAAATCTCATTATTTTTGTCTTACCTTTATATTGCAAGTATAGAGAGTAGATCTGCCTCTTGTAGAATGATATGAATGTTACATAAGAGAAAAAAAACATACTGATATGAAGGAATAAAGAGCCATTGTTTCATAGAAACTTGATCATGTTATGCCAAATGCCATTTGAGTTTCAATTTACTTTGAGTTTCAATTACTATTGCTATATAACAAATTACCCCAAACCTTAGTGGATTAGAAAATTATCATTTTTTTTTCTGTTCAGTAATGTGTAAGTTGAACAGGCATCATCGAGGACTCATCTCCATTGGACACTTCACTAGGTGGGGGGCTTGATTGGAAACTGGCAAGCTTGTTTATTTGACCAGCAAGTTGGTATTGGCTGTTGGGAGTTCAGCAGGACCAGTGGGCTGGGACCTTGGTTCTTATTGAGAAGGACCTGTCCACAGCTGCATAGGGTTCTTAATACTATAGTGGCTGGATACCAAGAGTAATTGTGCTAGTGGAACAAGGTAGAAGTGGATACATTTTTAGAAACTAGCTTCAGGAATCATACTGCATCACTCCTATTGTTTTTTATTGGTCAAGACATTCACAAAAGTATACTAAATTTCAGGAGGAGAGGGATAGATTTTACTACTTGGTAGGGAGCAGTGTTAAAGTCATGCTGCAGTAAGAGCATGTTGGATAAGATATGTTGCTACAGCCATCTTTGGAAAACACAATCTGCCACAGCCTTCCAGATCCATTTTGCACCTGCCATACTGCCTCCGCCTTGGGCAGCTGACCTATATGGACCAAAGAGAAAGGTTCCCTTATACTCTACCAGTTTCTTGGGATCCTCTTACAAGATCTGAGGGAGAGAGGACAGTGAGTTTAGGGTATTTATTCGCCAAGATTCATCCTTGCAGGCTCTTTTGAGCTGACTGTGCCAAGAATCCAAGATAGGTTATTTATTTATTTAAAGCAAAACTCTGGACTAGACACCCTTCAATTTGTGTCAGTAGCCTGTGTGTAAACCAGAGAAAGAACTCCCAATGGCTCAGAGAGAATAAATTTATACCTCTCCCAGGAGAGTTGCTCCCAAAGAGATCACACTATTTTTATTACAATCACAGACCTATGTAGTCTGGCAATTCTCTTGATACTTCAGAAGTGTGAATTTTTCATCTCAAAGTCATATTGAAAAAGATAAAGAAGGAAAGACTAGGTTTGATATCAGCTGTAACTATCGATAGACTATTTTCCTGGTAAAGTGCATGATCTAAAATTTTAAAGTTAGGATAAGAAAAAAAAGGTTTATAAAATCAGAATGTTTTACATAAAAATAATTTAGAAAACCCAATCCACCTAAAATTCCTGAGTCTCTGAGTCTAAACTTTTCAATAACCCCAAATGAACCATTTATTATTCACTTTCTTAATCATGTTCAGATCAGTTAAATGTTATAATTAAATGTCATGCCTTGCAAAGTAGAATGATTTTCTTTCTGAAATTAGAGCAAACCATCTAAGTCAGCATGAACAGTTCCATCTCAATAAAGAGACAAGTAACCCAATTAAAAAATGGGCCAGCTAACCTGACTTTTGGTTTCTGATGGGCAGGTAAGGAACTTAGAAGATGTCACTCTCTCCTAACAACAAATAAAGAGCTGAACAAACTGAAAAATCAACAACTAATTCTTAGATCTGGCAGAGAAGTGAGGTCATAGGACAAACGGCTTCCCCTTAATCAGACAGACAGGTGGATACAGATAATCACAACTTGGAGTAAAAACATCCCCAGGAACCAGTGCTGGGCAGGAAAACATGAACTATAATTGAGTAATTGCTGGAAGTTCAGTGTGGACAATTCCGTGAGTTAAAAACTCCACGAAGAGCCAATCATAGGGGGTGCTGCACACTTGTGTTAATTTTGCCTCAGAGAGTTCTACTGGGTCCTCACAGTGAATATTGGAAAAAAAAAATCCCCTCATGTTTCTGGTAGTTGTGGGGGGAAAACAGACCATTTTGAGATACATTAGAACATTCTGTTCTTAAAAAGCTCTGACCTCAGGCCGGACGTGGTGGCTCACGCCTGTAATCCCAGCACTTTGGGAGGCCGAGGCGGGCAGATCACGAGGTCAGGAGATCGAGACCATCCTGGCAAACATGGTGAAACCATGTCTCTACTAAAAAAAATACAAAAAACTAGCCAGGCGTGGTGGCGGGTGCCTGTAGTCCCAGCTACTCGGGAGGCTGAGGCAGGAGAATGGCATGAACCCGGGAGGCGGAGCTTGCAGTGAGCTGAGATTGCACCACTGCACTCCAGCCTGGGTGACAGAGTGAGACTCCATCTCAAAAAAAAAAAAAAAAAAAAAAAAAATGCTCTGCCCTCAGCAGCTACAGCCTAATCTGCTGGGGTTTTCTAAGAGTCTAGGAGGGGAGAAAAATAGCCAACTCCAGGCCCCTTAAGCCATCCTGTTCCACGTAAGAAGGGACAAAGACTGAGAAGCACTGGTGAAGTTCACAGTCTAGGGGCATAAGTTCATTAGACGACTGAGACCTACTCATAGGACTACAACATTCTTTCCCTCACCCTCACACCTTACCATTACATTACTAGAGGCTTATTTGTGGCAGTCCCTTTTACCCAGTATATCACATCTGCCTTTCAACAAAAAATTACAAGGCATACTAAAAGGCAAAAATACATAGTTTGAAGAGACTGAACAAGCATCAGAACAAGAGTAAGATATAGCAGGAATGCTGGAATTATGAGACCAGGAATTTTAAAATTCTATGATTAATGTATTAAGGGGTTTAGTGAAAAAATAAACAAACATGTAAGAAAAGATGGATAAGGCAAGCAGAGAGATAGACATTCTAAGAACCAAAAACAAAAAAAAAAAGGTTAGAGATTGAAAACACTTTAACAGATATAAGGAACGACTTGGATTGGCTTATTAATAGACTGGGCATGGTTGAGAAAAAATTTCTGAGCTCAATGATACAAAAATAGAATCTTACAAAACAGAGAAAAACAGACTGAAAAAAACAGAACAGAATATGCAAGAACAATGGAACAACTACCAAGGGTATAACATACACATAAGGGAAATATCAGAAAGAGAAGAAAGGGAGAAAGGGAAAAAAGCAATTTTTGAAGCAATGGTGACTAAGAGTTTCACTCTAATAATGTCAGATACAAAATCACAGATCTAGGGAGCACAGAGAACACCAAGTAGAATATATGCCCCCAAGAAAACAGAAAGTCACAAAAACTAAAACAAGCAAACAAAACCCAAGAAATAAAACACCTTGGCATACCACAGAAAATGAAAGATTAAAAAAAAAATTTTGTAAAAAGTGAAAATTTTAAAAAACACTTTTTCCATAGAGAGGTGTGGAAGCCATAGACTCTTGGCTCCCTAAATGCTTGCTTAGAAATCACTGACATGAGGCAGTTGATTAATAGAGAAAAGACATACAAATTTATTTTCTGTGCATACGTGGGAGTCTTCTGTATGAAGACCCAATTTCCAAATGGGTCACAGAAATTTATACACCATTTTGAGGTTACGGAAAGAATGATGGCTTAGTAAAACAGGTTATGGAAGGTGGGAGAAGTGTCTGGATGGCAAAGCTGGCCTTGTATGTACATGAAGCCTCCCTCAGAGAGAATAGATGATACATGTTTCATTTCAGACTTCTAAATGTGTCAGACCCTCAATCTCTCCTGGATCTGGGGAAAGACATAGAAAGGGAAAGGGGCATGGCTGCATTAATGGGGATTATCTAGAGATCCAAATTTTCCCCATTTACTACAACAGCTTTGCAAAGCAGTTTTGTGGAGATGGCCAAGCAGTACCCATTTCAAAATATGTCAAATAAATATATGTTGGGGAAAATATTTTAATTTCCTTCAACTCCAACCCCATTCATGAGGGCTTTACCCCAATGCCCTATTCACTTCTAAAAGTCTCCACCTTCTAAGACCACTACTGTGGGAGTTAGGATTTCAACATGCAAATTTTGAGAAGACACAAATATTTAGACATAGCAACATGCTATGAAATGAGAAAAAAAGCAATCATATAAAATTCTCAATTAAACCACAAATGGCAGCAAGTGAGGAAGGCAAAAAAGGAACAAAGAACAAGATTAAAAAATAGAAAACTGTAAGAAATATGATAGAAATTAATGCAGATATCTCAATTACTACTTGAATATCTATAATCTAAATGCATCAATTAAAAGATAGAAATTGCCAGAATGTATCAAAAAGCCTAGACCCAATTACATGTTGTCTACAAAAACCTATGTTATATATGAAGACACACATAGATTAAAAGGGATAGCGAAATATATACTATGATTGTACTAATCAAAAGACAGCAGGAGTAGCTATATTAATTTCAAATATAGCAGAATTCAGATTAAGGAAAGTTGTCAGGGCTAATGAGGGGCATTACATAATAAAGGGACACTCCAAGAGGATGTAACAATTCTTTACGTGTATTTACCTAACAACAGAGCATCAAAATACATAAGGCAAATACAGATAGAACTTCAAGGAGAAACAGAGGAATCCAGTATCATATTTGGAGACTTCAACACCTCTCTATCAAGAATGAACAGATCCAACAGGCAGAAAACAAGTAAAGACTTAGTTGACCTCAACAGTACCTTCAATCAATTGTATATAATGGACATCTATAGACTACTTTATCCAACAGCAGTGTCAGAGGCGTTTGAATCAGAGTGACTCCACCTTGAGTCACAGCCATAGTAAAATGAGGCTGAGACCTTCTGTACTGCATTCCCAGGAGGTCAGCCATTCTTATTCACAGGGTGAGACAGGAGGTTGACACAAGATACGGGTCACAAAGATCCCATTGGTAAAACAAAAATGTAGTAAAGAAGCCAGCTGAAACCTATCAAAATCAAGATGCCAATAAAAGTGACCTTTGGTCATCCTTGCTGCTTGTTATACCCTAATTATAATGCATTAGCATGCTAAAAGACACTCCTGCCAGTGCCATGACAGTTCACATATGCCATGGCAACATCTAGAGGTTACCATATGTGGTCTAAAAGGAAGAGGAACCCTAAGTTCTGAGGAGTTGCTGTCCCTTTCCTGGAAATCTCATGAATAATCCATCCCTTGTTTAGCATATAATCAATAAACAACCATAAAAATAGTTATCCAGCAGATCTCGAGGCTGCTCTGCCTATGGAGTAGCCATTCTTTGTTTCTTTACTTCCCTGATAAACTTGTTTTCTCTTTACTCTGTGGACTCACCCTAAATTCTTTTCTTGCACAAGAATTAAGAACCCTCTCTTGGGGTCTGGATTGGGATTCCTTTCCAGTAACAACAGCAGGTTACACATTTTTCTCAAGCTCATATGGAATGTTCACCAAGAAAGACCACATACTGGGCTAGAAAACATACCTTAAAAATGTAAATGTATAAAAAATTCGTACAATGTCTCCTCTCAGACCGTAATAGAATTAAACTAAAAATCAATAACAGTAGCTAGAAAATCCTCAAATACTTGGATATTAAATTACACTCTTCTAAATAACACATGGATCAAAGAAAAAATCTCAAGTGAAATTGAAAAAGATCTTGTGGTGCTGGGATAATTGGTTATTCATATGCAGAAGAATGAAGCTGGACCCTTCCCTATCACCATACACAAAAATTAAGTCACGACGGATTAAAGACTTAAATGTAAGACATGAAACAATAAAAATCCTAGGAAACACCCTATGAAAATATTTTATATGGAAATACCCCATAAAAACATAGGAAATACTCTTTTTAATACTGGCCTTGGCAAATAATTTATTACTATGTCCTCAAAGGCAATTGCAACGTAATCAAAAATTGACAAGTGGGACCTAATTAAACTAAAGAGCTTCTGCACAGCAAGATAAATGATCAAGGGCATAAACTTACAGAATGGGAGAAAATACTTGCAAAGTAAGTATCCAATAAATGTCTAAGATTCAGAATCTATAAGGAACTTAAATCAACAATCAAAAACATAACCCTGATAGGAAGTGGGCAAATGACATGAACAGACACTTTTCAAAAGAAGATATACGAGTGGCCAAAAAACATATGAAAAAATGCTCATCATCACTAATCACCAGAGAAATGCAAATCAAAACCACAATGAGATACCATCTCACACCAGTAAGAATGGCTTTTGTTAAAAAGTAAAAAAATAACAGATGATGGCAAGGTTGTGGAGTAAAGGAAACAGGTATACACTGTTGGTGGGAATGTAAATTAGTACAGGCATTGTGAAAAGCATTTTGGAGATTTCCCAAAGAAGGAAAAGCTGAACTCCATTTAACCCAGCAATCCCATTACTAGGTACATAACCAGAGGAAAATAAAGCATTCTGCCAAAAACACATATGCACCCATATGTTCACCACAGTATTATTCACAATAGCAAAGATATGAAGTCCACCCAGGTGCCCATTAATGGGAGACTGGGTAAAGAAAATGTGGTACATATATACCATGAAATACTCTGCAACCATGAAAAAGATGAAATCATGGTGCACTTTGGGAGGCCGAGGTGGGCAGATCACGAGGTCAGGAGATCGAGACCATACTGGCTAACACGGTGAAACCCTGTCTCTACAAAAAATACAAAAAAAAATTAGCTGGCCGTGGTGGCGGGTGCCTGTAGTCCCAGCTACTCGGGAGGCTGAGGCAGGAGAATGGCGTGAACCTGGGAGGCAGAGCTTGCAATCAGCCGAGACCGCACCACTGCACTCCAGCCTGGGTGACAGAGTGAGACTCCATCTCAAAAAAAAAAAAAAAGTCTCCCATTATTATTGTGTGGGAGTCTAAGTCTCTTTGTAGGTCACTCAGGACTTGCTTTATGAATCTGGGTGCTCCTGTATTGGGTGCATATATATTTAGGATAGTTAGCTCTTCTTGTTGAATTGATCCCTTTACCATTATGTAATGGCCTTCTTTGTCTCTTTTGATCTTTGTTGGTTTAAAGTCTGTTTTATCAGAGACTAGGATTGCAACCCCTGCCTTTTTTTTGTTTTCCATTTGCTTGGTAGATCTTCCTCCATCCCTTTATTTTGAGCCTATGTGTGTCTCTGCATGTGAGATGGGTTTCCTGAATACAGCACACTGATGGGTCTTGACTCTTTATCCAACTTGCCAGTCTGTGTCTTTTAATTGGAGCATTTAGCCCATTTACATTTAAAGTTAATATTGTTATGTGTGTATTTGGTCCTGTCATTATGATGTTAGCTGGTTATTTTGCTCGTTAGTTGATGCAGTTTCTTCCTAGCCCTGATGGTCTTTACATTTTAGCATGTTTTTGCAGTGGCTGGTACCAGTTGTTCCTTTCCATGTTTAGTGCTTCCTTCAGGAGCTCTTTTAGGGCAGGCCTGGTGGTGACAAAATCTCTCAGCATTTGCTTGTCTGTAAAGGATTTTATTTCTCCTTCACTTATGAAGCTTAGTTTGGCTGGATATGAAATTCTGGGTTGAAAATTCTTTTCTTTAAGAATGTTGAATATTGGCCCCCACTATCTTCTGGCTTGTAGAGTTTCTGTGGAGAGATCAGCTGTTAGTCTGATGGGCTTCCCTTTGTGGGTAACCCGACCTTTCTCTCTGGCTGCCCTTAACATTTTTTCCTTCATTTCAACTTTGGTGACTCTGACAATTATGTGTCTTGGAGTTGCTCTTCTCGAGGAGTATCTTTGTGCCGTTCTCTGTATTTCCTGAATCTGAATGTTGGCTTGCCTTGCTAGATTGGGGAAGTTCTTCTGGATAATATCCTGCAGAGTGTTTTCCAACTTGGTTCCATTCTCCCTGTCACTTTCATGTACACCAATCAGACGTAGATTTGGTATTTTCACATAGTCCCGTATTTCTTGGAGGCTTTGTTCGTTTCTTTCTATTCTTTTTTCTCTAAACTTCCCTTCTTGCTTCATTTCATTCATTTCATCTTCCATCACTGATACCCTTTCTTCCAGTTGATCGCATCAGCTCCTGAGGTTTCTGCATTCTTCACGTAGTTCTCAAGCCTTGGCTTTCAGCTCCATCAGCTCCTTTAAGGACTTCTCTGCGTTTGTTATTCAGTTATCCATTTGTCTATTTTTTTTTCACAGTTTTTAACTTCTTTGCCATTGGTTTGAATTTCCTCCTGTAGCTCAGAGTAGTTTGATCGTCTGAAGTCTTCTTCTCTCAGCTCGTCAAAGTCATTCTCCATCTAGCTTTGTTCCGTTGCTGGTGAGGAGCTGCGTTCCTTTGGAGGAGGAGAGGCGCTCTGATTTTTAGAGTTTCCAGTTTTTCTGCTCTGTTTTTTTGCCATCTTTGTGGTTTTATCTACTTGTCGTCTTTGATGATGGTCACGTACAGAGGGGTTTTTGGTGTGGATGTCCTTTCTGTTAGTTTTCCTTCTAACGGACAGGACCCTCAGCTGCAGGTCTGTTGGAGTTGGAGTTTGCTAGAGGTCCACTCCAGACCCTGTTTGCCTGGGTATCAGCAGCGGTGGCTGCAGAACAGCGGTGGCTGTAGAACAGTGGATCTTGGTGAACTGCAAATGCTGCTGCCTGATCGTTCCTCTGGAAGTTTTGTCTCAGAGGAGTACCTGGCCATGTGAGGTGTCAGTCTGCCCCTACTGGGGGGTGCCTCCCAGTTAGGCTGCTCGGGGGTCAAGGACTCACTTGAGGAGGCAATCTGCCCGTTCTCAGATTTCCAGCTGCATGCTGGGAGAACCACTAGTCTCTTCAAAGCTGTCAGACAGGGAAATTTAAGTCTTCAGAGGTTACTGCTGTCTTTATATAAAATACCTAGGAATCCAACTTACAAGGGATATGAAGGACCTCTTCAAAGAAAACTACAAACCACTGCTCAATGAAATAAAAGAGAATACAAACAAATGGAAGAACATTCCTTGCTCATGGGTAGGAAGAATCAATATCGTTTAAATGGCCATACTGCCCAAGGTAATTTATAGATTCAATGCCATCCCCACCAAGCTACCAACGACTTTCTTCACAGAATTGGAAAAAACTACTTTAAAGTTCATATGGAACCAAAAAAGAGCCGGCGTCGCCAAGTCAATCCTAACCCAAAAGAACAAAGCCAGAGGCATCACGCTACCTGACTTCAAACTATACTACAAGGCTACAGTAACCAAAACAGCATGCTACTGGTACCAAAACAGAGATATAGATCAATGGAATAGAACAGAGCCCTCAGAAATAATGCCGCATATCTACAACCATCTGATCTTTGACAAACCTGACAAAAACAAGAAATGGGGAAAGGATTCCCTATTTAATAAATGGTGCTGGGAAAACTGGCTAGCAATATGTAGAAAGCTGAAACTGGATCCCTTCCTTACACCTTATACAAAAATTAATTCAAGATGGATTAAAGACTTACATGTTAGACCTAAAACCATAAAAACCCTAGAAGAGAACCTAGGCAATACCATTCAGGACATAGGCATGGGCAAGGACTTCATGTCTAAAACACCAAAAACAATGGCAACAAAAGCCAAAATTGACAAATGGGATCCAATTAAACTAAAGAGCTTCTGCACAGCAAAAGAAACTACCATCAGAGTGAACAGGCACCCTACAAAATGGGAAAAAATTTTCGCAACCTACTCATCTGACAAAGGGCTAATATCCAGAATCTACAATGAACTCAAACAAATTTACAAAAAAAAAAACAAACAACCCCATCAATAAGCAGGTGAAGGAGATGAACAGACACTTCTCAAAAGAAGACATTTATGCAGCCAAAAAACACATGAAAAAATGCTCACCATCACTGGCCATCGGAGAAATGCAAATCAATACCACAATGAGATACCATCTCACACCAGTTAGAATGGCGATCATTAAAAAGTCAGGAAAGAACAGGTGCTGGAGACGATGTGGAGAAATAGGAACACTTTGACACTGTTGGTGGGACTGTAACCTAGTTCAACCATTGTGGAAGTCAGTGTGGCGATTCCTCAGGGATCTAGAACTAGAAATACCATTTGACCCAGCCATCCCATTACTGGGTATATACCCAAAGGAGTATAAATCATGCTGCTATAAAGACACATGCACACGTGTGTTTATTGCAGCACTATTCACAATAGTAAAGACTTGGAACCAACCCAAATGTCCAACAACGATAGACTGGATTAAGAAAATGTGGCACATATACATCATGGAATACTATGCAGCCATAAAAAATGAAGAACTCATGTCCTTTGTAGGGACATGGATGAAGCTGGAAACCATCACTCTCAGCAAACTATCGCAAGGACAAAAAACCAAGCACCGCATGTTCTCACTCATAGGTGGGAATTGAACAATGAGAACACATGGACACAGGAAGGGGAACATCACACTCCAGGGACTGTTGTGGGGTGGGGGGACGTGGGAGGGATAGCATTAGGAGATATACCTAAGGCTAAATGACGAGTTAATGGGTGCAGCACACCAACATGGCACATGCCCTAAAACTTAAAGTATAATAACAATAAAATAAAAAAATGCAGCTTTTCAAAAAAGTAAACAAAAACAACAACAACAAAAAATTCAGACAGATCCAACTTCATGAAGACGTCCCTGAGCCTCATGGTTAGAACTCATGGTTAGAACTAACCACTCCCTCCAGTGCACAACCTTTAGAGCACACTTTTATTGTGGACATATGCAATTTTTCATGTATGCCAGCCTCCTCTGATAATAGTAAGCTCTTCAGAATCAGGATTATGTCTTGTCTATGTCTATATCCTCAACTGGGCACAGTGCTTGAAATTCAGCACATATTCAATAAATATATGTTGAATTGAAAAAAAAAAAAGAATGAAATCATGGCTTTTGCAGCAACATGGATGCAGCTGGAAACCACCATCTTAAGTGAACTAACAGCAACAGAAAACCAAATACCAAATGTTCTCAGTTATAAGTGGGAGCTAAACACTGGGTATACATGAACATACATATAAGAACAATAAACACTGGAGAATACAAGAGGGAGGAGGACTGGGGGCACAAGAATTGAAGACTATTGGGTACTATGCTCAGTACCTGGGTGATGGATTCAAATACTCCAAACCTTGGCATCATGCAATATACCTTTAACAAACCTGTATGTGTGCCCACTGATCCTAAAATAATACTTAAACAAAAATAAAATTTGTATATATTATATGATTTTATCTCAATAAAAGGTGGTTTTAAATTAAAAAAAGATTTTGAACTAAACAAAAACAGAAATACAACATCATAATTTGTAGAATATAGTCAAAGCTACGCCTAGAGGAAAATTTATGTCATTGAGTGCATATAAAAGCAAAAAGAAGGAGCCAAAACCAATAATCTAAGCTTTTTGCTTCAGAAAACTGGAAAAATAGAGCAAATCAGATCCAAATAAAAGGAATAAAAAAAATCAACAGTGAAAATGAATAAACTTGAAAACTGCAAGTCAACAAAGGAAATCAGCAAAAGCTGATTCTTTGAAAAGAGCAATAAAATCAATCATCTCTAGCTAGGCTACTTAAGAAAAAAAGAGAAGACACAAATAACTAGTATCAGAAATTAAAAAGGAAACATCATTACAGACCCTATGTATATTAAAAGATAATAAAAAAATTATGAACAATGCTATGTCTACAAATTTGAGAACCTAGATGAAATGGATCAATTCCTTGAAAGATATAATCTGCCAAAAGTTATACAAAAATAAGTAGATAACACAAATAGTCTTACATATAATAGATACATTGAATCAATGATTAATAATTTTCCCAAACAGAAAGCACCAGGTCCAGATGGGTTCAATGGTGAATCCGAGGTGGGCAGATCACCTGAGGTCAGAAGTTCGAAATCAGACTGGCCAACATGGTGAAACCCCGTCTCCACTAAAAATACAAAAATTAGCCAGGTGTGGTGGTACACAGTTGTAGTCCCAGCTACTTGGGGAGCTGAGGCAGGAGAATTGCTTGAACCCAGGAGGCAGCAGGTGCAGTTAGCTGAGATTGTGACATTGCACTCCAGCCTGGGTGACTCAAAAAAAAAAAAAAAAAAAGATGTTAACAGAATGAGAAGATGAGCCATAGACTTGGAGAACATATTTGCAAAAGACAAATCTGACAAAGGGCTGTTAGACAAAATATAGAAAAATCTCTTAAAACTTCCCAATACAAAAATGAACACCCTGATGAAAAAGTGGGCAAAAGACCTGAACCAACACTTCATCAAAGACTATATGCAGATGGCAAGTAAGAATACAAAAATATGTTCAACATCATATTTCACTAGGGAATTGCAAATTAAAACGAGATACCACTACATATCTATTAGATTGGCCAAAATCCAGACACTGACAACATAAAATTCTGGCGAGGATGTAGAGTAGCAGGAACTCTCATTTATCACTGGTGGGGATGCAAAATGTTATAGCCATTCTGCAAGACAGTCCAGCAGTTTCTTACAAAATTAAACATACTCCTACCATAAGATCCAGCAATCATGCTCTTTGGTACTTACCAAAATGAACTGAAAACTTATGTCCAATAAAAAACTGCACACAGATGTATATAGCAGCTTTATTCATAATTGCCAAAACATGGAAGCAACCAATATATCCTTTAGTAGATGAGTGGATAAATAAACGGTGATACATCCAGATACTGGGATATTATTCAGCACTAAAATGAGCTGAGATATCAAGCCATGAAAAGACATGGAGGAACTTAAAAGTATATTACTAAGTGAAAGAGGCCCATTTGAAAAGGCTATATACTATATGAGTCCAACAATATGACATTCTGGAAAAGGCAAAACTATTGAGACAATAAAAAGATTAGTGGTTGCCAGAAGTTAGGAGGGCTGGAAGAAATGAACAGGCAGGGTACAGAGGATTTTTAGGGCGGTGAAGCTATTCTGCGAGATACTACAACAGTGGATACATGCCATTATACACTTGCACCAATAGAATGCACAAGATGAAGAATGAACTCCAATGTAAACTATTAACTTGGGGTAATAATGATGTGTCAATGTAGGTTCATAGATTATAAAAAATGTGCCACTCTGGTATGGGATGCTGATAGTTGAGGAGGGTGTGTGTGTGGGAGGATGGGGGCACATGGGTACTTTCTGTACTTTCAGTTCAATTTTACTATGAACCTTAGCAACTGTGTAATAAATAAAGTTTATTTTTTAAAAGGGGTCCATCTCAAATGACCACATATTATGTTTCCATTTATATGAAATGTCCAGAATATGCAAATAGGTATATAGAGAAAGTAGATCGGTGGTTGCCTCTGCCTGAGGGTGAAGGTTGGGGATTTCGAAAGTTCTGGTTAAGGGATATGAGCTTTCTTTTTGAGATAACAAAGATACTCTAAAACTAACTATTGCAATGAAAGTACAGCTCTGTGAATATGTTAGAAGCCACTGCATCTTATACTTTAAGTGGATACATTGCATGGTATGGGAATCACATCTCAATAAAGCCATTAAAAAACTACCTAAGCCAGCATGAGTAAAGGTAAAGCTATCATCAGCAGATACCATTTTTCTCCTCATTTGATATGATTTATTTGTTTATTTATGGAATTTATTGCATTTCCCCTTTTTTTGACTTCAGGCTCCTTTTGCAAGATGTACTCATGAACCTTAATCCTGTCAGCCTTTGTCAAACAAAATAAGCCAAAATTATAAACTGCAGCTCTTTCCACCAGTCAACATCAGCGTCAGCCTCCCAGAGATGAGATTTTTTTTAAATTTTCAAGTCACAGCTGTAGGTAAATATCTGTTAAGATATTTAAAATTTGGAGGAACTGAAGGAATTATAAACAATATCAAATGAATTACTACTGACTCTCTTAGAACTTTCAGAGATTTAAAAAAAACCATATATTACTGTATTTGGATTTTTGTATGCTGGTATATACACAAATATACTCACATGTACATAAACATATACAGTGTAATTCTTTGGTGGTATCTTATATTTTTCAATATGAATTCCAATAGTGGAACTCCAGTATGTCCTAAGATATTAATAACACAGATAACCCACACCCTCTCAAACTAACTCTTCTTCTTCTTTTTTTTTTTTTGAGACAGAGTTTTGCTCTGTCTTGCAGTCTGGAATGCAGTGGTTCAATCTCCGCTCACTGCAACCTCTGCCTCCCGGGTTCAAGCGATTCTCCTGTCTCAGCCTCCCGAGTAGCTGGGAATACAGGTGTGTGCCACCTCGCCCAGGTAATTTTTAATTTTTGGTAGAGACGGAGTTTTGCCATGATGGCCAGGCTGGTTGGCCTCAGCCTCCCAAAGTGCTGGAATTACAGGCTGAGCCACCACGCTCGGCCAAAGGCAACTCTTCTAAGAATTGTCAAGTGATGTAATTTTATTGAAGGCTTGTGGTGAAACAAGATGAAGTTCACAGCAAAATCTGCCAGAAGTTTTCTTTAAATATCTGTATTTCTTTCAAAGTTTTTCTCCCAGAGTCATAACTTCTCTAACATCCCAAAATAGTCTTCTGTAACCTTTACGAACATTGGTTCTAAAATCTGCCTGTCTCTCCTCAAATTCTCCTAGCTTTATATCCCACTCAATCCAAGAAAACTAATGAAAATTCTTAGCCAAAGAAGAAGGTAGACTTGTTTGATTACTCAAAAATGAAAAAAAAAATTCTGAAAGATGTAATAGACAAAGTTAACAGAAAAGTGACATAAAATTTGTCCTCTGTGAAAGGTGGAGCCTGTACTGTGAGAGAAAACTAGTATATATATCGGGAATTTGTGTGTAAGTGAAAGATTTCCTGCTGTGCTCCAAAGAATTCTCTTCAAAGGACACATGAAGGAGGTAACAATCTGATACATGCACATTAATACATGTATTGAAATATCAGTTTGTACCCCATAAATATGTACAATTGTTGCATGTCTATTAAAAATAAAAGCAAAATCTGATATGCACATGTAAATTTCATTACTTTGTCTTTGGCAAAAAAAAAAAATCTTATGTAGCTGAGAGTTGTCTTGAAGCAGTTTGCATTTTGTTTTATAACTTTTGAATGTTACTCTATGCTAGATTTTCTTTTAAATTAATATCCTATACAATAATCCAGGCAACTAGGTTTTGTTGTGAATTTCTCTAGCTAGAAATAAAAGGTAGTTTTTTCTTGCTCTTCTCTGCAGAAGTAAACTTGTATTTCACAAGAGATAGTATCAACTCCCAATTTTCTTGATTTGGAAGAGTCAGTTATAATTCCCAATCTTTCCTCAGTATCCAAATTCCTAATAAGCAAATGGAGAGATTTTCAATCTCATTAATCTGAGAAATGAGAGGTTGGGGGTAATGAGATATGGCTTCTCAGCCATCTGTTGGCAAAAATTTTAAAAAAATGAAGGAAAAACTCGTGCAGAAAAGAATATGGGGAAGCAGGACCCCTTTACTAGTACTGATAGGAATATAAATAGCTGCAGCTTTCCTGGGGAACAATTTAGAAATAATACTACCACTACTGCTGGCAGTAGTAATGACCCAAAAGAGCTAACTTCTGTTGTCCTTGGCACTTTACAAATACCTCTAAGTAAAGTATTATCAACATCTCAATTTTGCAGATGATGTAACTGAGACAGAGATAAAGATCAACAGTATATAAGAGAAAGGCATAGGTTTCAAACGCTGACATTCTGTTTCAGATTTTGGAATGATGAAACTATATGTGTGTCACACCAATCTGATCTACTAATTTCCTATCTGAGCTAATACCCCCAGAATATTCTCTGGAAATTAATGACGAGGCATCATTACTTGTCTTTCAAAGTGCTATTAACTATTCTTATCCCTACTTGATTTCTTACTCTAAGCACTCTCAGAATTGTTTAAACTGAGATCTGATTGGTAGTATTTTAAAGTTTTGGAGAAACCTGGGAAAAATTAAAATCTTGTAATGTGTGCCTGCTTTATTTCATCTAGAAATATTGACTATTTCATGTTTCTTTCCCCCTCTCTGTCTGTCATTATATCTCTCTTTCTATCTCTGGCCAAATTTAGAGAGTATTGTAGGTGCTTTTATGTAGGCCTCACACACTTCTTGTACAAATTATTAACATGAATTTATCTATCTTTTCAGGGAGGTTTTGTCCTGTTATATTTTCTCATTGGTTATTGTTGATACAAAGGAAAACTATTACTTAAAAATGTTAATACATATTTTAAGTAGACACATATTAATTGTACATATTTATGCATTACAGTGTAATATTTAGATATATGTATGAGATATATAATAATCAAAATAGAATAATTAGCGCATCTGTCACCTCAAAGCATTTATTTGTGTTGGGAACATTCAGAATCCTGTATTCTAGCTATTTGAAAACATACAACAAATTATTATTATAGTCACCTTACAGTGCTATAGACAACTAGTTGTAAGAAAGCTATGAATATCCTCCTATCTAGCTGTAAGGAAGCTATTATTTTTTGCAATTTACCTGGCATCCAAGCAGTTGACTGAAGTCATTAATTAAAAAAAAATTTAGAGTTGATACTATTGGGTTTTGAGTAGCCCTAATATAAAAAATTTTAGAGTTGATACTATTGGGTTTTGAGTAGCCCTAATATAATTTTGTCCTCAAATAATGTTTGTTTCCTTATTTTCATAGTCACCTTTTATTTGTTTCATACTTTATTGCATTGACCCAAATATGTCCAAATGATATTTGTGTGTAGCCTCACCTTGTTGATGATTTAAATAACAATATTTCTGGTATTTTTCCTTTAAAGACACTTTTGGGATGTGGAAGAAGTATCTTTGTGTTCCTATTTTAGTATGAATTTAAAAGTCAGTAATTGGTCATTATTTTTATTGAATGTCATCTTAGTATCAATCGAGAATATTGTGGTTTGTTTTATTAGGTCTATTGATATGATGTATGTACATTTCCTGGGATATCCTAAAGTAGCTTATGAAGGGTTAATCCTTTTTTTTTTTTTTTTTTTTTTTTTGTTTGTTTGTTTGTTTGAGACAGAATTTCTCTGGTTGCCCAGGCTGGAGTGCAATGGCGCAATCTCAGCTCACTGCAACCTCTCCCTCCTGAGTTCAAGCCATTGTCCTGGCTCAGCCTCTCGAGTAGCTGTGATTACAGGCATGTGCCACCACGCCTGGCTAATTTTTGTATTTTTAGTAGAGACAGGGTTTCACCATGTTGGTCAGGCTGGTCTCGAACTCCTGACCTCAGTGATCCACCTGTCTTGGCCTCTCAAAGTGCTCGTATTACAGGCATGAGCCACCATGCCTGGAAGGGTTAATCTTTGAATATAATGTTCAATCTGGTTTGCTAAAATTTCCCTTAAGTTTTCTTACTGTATTCATGTGATCAGTTTGTATTTACTAAGTATTTACTATCTTGGTAGGTTTTGTTCATAGGACTATGCTAGACTAACAAAATAAGTTAAAAATATTTCACACTTTTAATGTTGTCAAATAGTTTACATAACACAAAATATTTATCTATTTCCTTAAAATTTGAGAAACAAAAATTACCAGTAAAATTATCTAGCCCTAAAATCCTTATTATTGGTGGAGGTGGAAAATTGATTTGCAAGTTTTCATAATAATGAATCTACCTAAGTAGACAATTTTAATTTCATTTTTATTTTAAATTAATTAAATTTAAATTTTGATAATTTATATTTCTGCAGAAATGGTCCATTTAACTAGAATTTCATACATATGACCTGAATATGGAATCTTTTGTGTTTTTACATTTCTTTTTTATCTCTTATATTCTTTTTCTAATGTCTAATTTTAGTTTTTCTTTTCTCTTTATTCTTCATTGGTATATTCTGTAGATTATCAATTGCTTTTTGATATTATATGAATTTTATTTGTTCTTTCTCCTTCATGTACATATGTTTTGTTATTTTTATTAACCAAATTTTGCAAAGATATAGAAAGAATAAAAAGGAGTGTGTATTTTTTATCTGTAGGATTATTTTTTTCATATATTTCTGTTACTTCAATTAATTACAGTATCAAAATAATCTGTCTAATATTTAGCAAATTGATCTACTGATAGTTGAAAGAAGGGCTCTCAAAGTCTACACAGTCTTATTTCTTACTAGTTCTTTGTTCTTGACCTGATAAGTTTTAATCATACATTATTTGAGGTATTATTTTATTTTCATGACAAAAGGAAATTTTTCCAAAAAAAATTTATCCTTTTTGCTTTTAAGGTTTGCCATGAATTATTCTTTGATGGAAATTAACATTTGTTGCACTCTCCTTCTGTTGTATTTACATAATAAATATTTGCATATATTTTCCTTTATGTCATTTCATTTATAGCCTTGGTTTGTTTTAACTCTGCTGTTTTTATGGGCTTTAGTACAAGAAGTCACATGTTGCTTGTTTTGACTTATTCTTGTAAATTTAAGTCTACCTTACAGGATTTCCACTGGGGATGGCTTTGGACTATTCATCTTCATAAATATTGTACTTGATAAATACAGCCCTTGGACATCAATCACACTTTAAGCAGGAACTGAGCCTTTATTTGCCTGGTTGAATAAATGATGAGTCAGGCAAATAACTACACATCAACAGTTTTGTGTATTACCCCCTTTTCCAGCTGGAATTGGGGAATTCTTGTTTCTTTACCAGCAAATAACATTATGGGAAGAGTCATGCTTCAACGACGTGGGTTCAAGATAAATAATAATTCCTCTGGTCTGTTCCCCACTTTTGTGAATTTGTTTCTGGGTACATTCTCTTAATAGTTATTTCAAGTCAGCTGATGCTTTGAATTTGGACAAGATACAAAATGTATAATATAGTCCAACGGGGATATGCTTAAAAACTCAGAATACCCCCAGAAGTTGTTTGGGGAATGAGTGCTTTCCTTTACATAAAATTGTTTACATAGTTATAAAGAGCTGCTGTTTTCAAAATTTTAGTCTTCACACACAAATAATTCTATGAAATAAATCAAGTCAAAGTGGCCACTTGTATTATCACACAAAGGATCAATTTCAAAGATATTCTTTTCTACCACTGAGAGCTGAAAAATACATCAAATCTCAAGCTCATGTGTAGCTGCTGTAACTAGAGTGAAATTGTGGCTTGTGGGAAATAAATCATATTGAAGTGAGCCATTTAAATGAATGGCAGATTGGTTGTCACTGCTCAAGTTTTTATTACTTCCAGTGACTTTTATCCACAAACATTCTAATTTATCATAGATCCAATTCCACAAAGTGTTGGGAAAGCTGTACACCTTGGCTCTAGACATTCTTTATTTCTAAAGTAACTGCACCACATAGGGTTTATCAAAGCATATATATTTAAACATCCTTACAATACAGGGTGAACTAGTGTGTTTACGTCCAAAAGTTTCTCTCTGTAGGGAGCCTCTGGCATATAATGCATGTAAGTCCAAAAGTTAGCTTACTGAGCAAGTCAAAATTATCCCTCAACATTTGTAAAATCATACTTAAATTACCAGGCCCTAGGTCTTCACATACCAGTCAACAGTGTTCTTTGGTTTCTCTTGAACTTTGGAATATTACCTCCCTTTTCCTATCGATGGATGCTAAGCTCTATTTAAAAGTAAGGAAACAAAGATGTTCTACAGGGGTAAATAATGGAGTAAAATTCATTGCTTAAATATAGGTATAATAGAACACTACCATAAACATATAGCTAGGCCTGTATCTCTTCTTGTGATTCTGCATATGTGAAATAGTGTACACATTCTTATTTACATTCACACCATCATATATGAAGATATCTAGATACAGGCAAAAAAAGAGAGAAAACTGTGTTCCAGGAAGAGATCTCATGGCAGGAGAGAATGGGATAAATACAGTTACGTGTCACCACATAAGGACTTTTTGGTCAAGGATGGACCACATATATGACAGTGGTCCCATAAGATTATAATGGAGCTGCCTGGGCCTAGTGCCTCATGCCTGTAATCCCAGCACTTTGGGAGGCCAAGACGGGCAGATCACCTGAGGTCAGGAGTTCAAGACCAGCCTGGCCAGCATGGTGAAACCCCATCCCTACTAAAAATACAAAAATTAGCCGGACACGGTGGTGCATGCCGGTAGTCCCAGCTAGTAGGGAGGCTGAGCCTTGAGGATCATTTGAACCTGGGAGGCAGAGGTTGCAGTGAGTCAAGATCGTGCCACTGCACTCCAGCCTGAGTGACACAGTGAGACCCTGTCTCAAAAAAAAAAAAAAAGTTTCTATTGACTAGTGACACTGTAGCCATCATAATATTACAGCACAATGCCTTACTGATGCATTTGTGATGATGCTGAGGTAAACAAACCTACTGTGCTGCCTGTCATATAATAGTCTAGCACATACAATTATGTACAGTACATAATACTTGATAATCATGATAAATGACCATGTTAATAGTTTATACCATTTACTATACCATACTTTATATTGTCATTTTATAGTGTACTTCTTCTACAAATTAAAAAAGTTAACTATAAAAGAGTCTCATATAGGTCCTTCAGGAGGAATTCCAGAAGAAGGCATTGCTGTCCTATGAGATGACAGCACCATGCATGTTATTGCCCCTGCAGACCTCCCAGTGAGACATGCTGTGGAGGCACAAGACAGTGATATTGACGATCCTGACCCTGCGTAGGCCTAGGGTAACCTGTGCCTTTGTGTATTCATTTTTGACAAAAATGTTCAAAATGAAAAAAAAAATTAAAAACAGAAAAAAAGCTTATCCTTATTGACTAAGGATATAAATAAAATATTTTTGTATAGCTGTACAATGTGTGTTTTAAGCTGGGTGTTAATGACAAAACAGTCAAAAAGTCTAAAAAGGTTAAAAGTTTATAAAGTAAAAAAGTTATGGTAAGCTACGGTTAATTTATTATTGAAGAAAGAAAATACTTCTTATAAATTGAGTGTATCCTAAGTGTACAGTGTTTCTAATGTTTTCAGTAGTGTACAGCAATGTCCTAGCCTTCACCTTCACTCACCACTCACTCACTGACACCCAGAGCAAGTTCCAGTCCTGCAAACTCCATTCACAGTAAGTGCCCTATACAGGTGCACCTTTTTGAAAATCCTTTATGCCGTATTTTTACTGTACCATTTCAATGTTTAGACACACAAATACTTGCCATTCTGTTAAACTGCCCACAGCATTCAGGGCAGTGGCATGTTGTGCAAGTTTGCAGGGCAGGAGGAATAGGCTATACCACACAGCCTGGGTGTGTAGTAGGCTGTATCATTAGGTTTGTGTAAGTGCACCCTACGATGTCCACATAAGGACGGAATTGCCTAGTAACACATTTCTCAGAATGTATCCCCATCGTTAAGCAACATGTGACTGTACTAAAAACTGATGTGAAAAGAGATCCGAAAATAAGACCAAAAAATTACGTGACTCACTCACCCATGGGCATCAACCAGCAAACAACAGCACCCAGAACTCTTGTGTATCTGAATACAAATCCACCTCTTCCGAAACTGAACCACATCGTGCCTATGATTGAACTTTTCTTGGCAAACAGGAACTTATGTGGAAGTCTTTTCCTGCTGATTTAATGATACGACTTTTTGATTCGCCCCATGATCATGGACTGAAACCTACTCCTCCTTTGTGATGTGCCAATTTGTTTTAGACACTTAGTTTCATAAAGCTTTTCTGAATGTATTATTCCAATTGTGCAAAAATCTGTGACTGGTGTCATCATGCTCCTTTGGCACAATTTCAAATCTATACAGTAGATCTGGTTTAAATTATTGGAGCTTTCTGAGCTTATGGATTTTTTCCAAAAGGCCTGTGTTTTTTAAAACAAATGAATGGCTGTTGACTACTTAGCATAGTTCCAATAATTGGCTGATTCAGTTCAAAGCTATGAGTTGTATTTTCTATAACCTGAACTACCCCTAACCTATTTTTAAAACATAGTTCTTACTATCCACCTTTCTAGGCAACTTTCCCACTTATCAGCCTCCTTGTTCACATTTTGCTGCTTTTGGAAACGGGATATATCTATGAACCCACTGGGGAAAAAGGCAAGCAGACTATCTTTGTATTAATGTGCATGCTGCAATGAATACACAATCAGAGGACAAGACTTGTTACATGATTCCCTTCTCATGCAACAGAAAACTGATTTACTTAATTGCCTGTGCTTAAGGGTAATGTCATCTTGTATGGCTTACTGTTTTATACTGATGGGAGAATATTAAGTTACTAATGGCACAAAAAATTCTTAGGCCATGAACTAGCATGGTAGAGAAAGAACAGAATTGGCAAGCGGTAGCATTAATTTATGAAATTTCATGTTGCAGACACCTGACTTGTACAGAGATGACTTAATGCCTTCTTTAGAACCTATCAGTGCTATGTAAATCAAGATAGTTAAATTACATTATAAACTCGAATGTTTTTAACTCCAAGCTTTTCTGAAAGATAGCTGCAATCTGGCTCAGTCTTAGTGTTTCTTTGTAACTGTTTGATGCATATTACAGTCAAACTACTTTGGATTTTTCAGTCTTTCATTACACATTTATTTAGCAGTAGCTAAGACAGAGGAACCGTATTGGATAAACTATTATCAACAGCTCACAATCCAGCTGAGAAATCAATCACAAACATAATTATCTTCATTATAATGGCAAAGGTGACTAATGTTTCAAATGGAATTCTTCAATAATTAAAAGTAGTAGAAGAGCTGGATTAGAGAAGCCTTTCCCAGATTGGGTAAAGGGTCTTTATGAAAGTAACATTTTAGGCTTCTTCTTGAGGCCCAAGGAAGAAGAAATTGTTAACTTGTAAGACAGCCTGAGTATGGAGTAGAGAGCTAGCTCAGAATATGGCCTATGCCTTTTCCTATCATGACAGAAAAAAGCAGTGACAATTTAAAAATAAATAGACATTTACAACAATAGTAAAAGTAAAGCTAAAAGATTTTAGCAATTGGTGAAGTTCTCAAAGGCTGTGAATCAGTCAGAACAATTAGAAAAGCAGTAATTCCAAAACGGAATAAATGACAGAAAATAGAAAGGGTCCTAAAATTACACTTAATTGTAGTTAGGTATCTAAACGTCTCAATTTCTCTTTTCCTTTTAAAAACTTTCTTTTTTCTGTACTAGCTTCCTAAGGTTGCCGTAAGGCAGTACCAAAAACTTGGTGGCTTAACAGAAATGTATCCTCTCACAGTTCTGATGGCTGGAAGTCTGAAATCAAGGTGCTGGCAGAGCCAGGCTCCCTGCAAAATCTCTAAGGGGAAATTCTTCCTTGCCTCTTCCAGCTTCTGGTGGCTCCAGGCATTCCTTGGCTTGTGGCAGCACACCTCTGTTCTGGGCCTTCATCCTAATTGGTCCATCTCTCCTCTGTGTCTGTGCTTCACATGGCATTCTCCTCTTTGTGTGTCTATGTCCAAATGGCCTTCTTTTTATAAGGACAACAGTTATACTGAATAAGGGCCCATTTTAATCCAGGATGACCTCATCTTAATTTAACTAATGGCTTCCACGATAAGGCAATTTCCAAATAAGGTCACATTCTGAGGTATTGGACATTAAGAATATATTTTTGGGAGGACACAATTCAACTCAAAACGCCATCCTTTAAGTTGCATATGATTTTAATATGTTAACATGCCGATGTATACAAATACATACATTTAATAAGAAGTCTTTGTCAAATGAACACAGTTGAGTTGACCATCATATGGCTTTCTACTTTACTGAGGCCTGTATGTGAAGTCCATAATTGACAAAACCAGACTTGACTGTCCACCATGGACCTCTTTACCAAAAGAATGAAGCTGTCCTTGAGTCAGTGCAAACAGTCCTACAAGGGAAGCTAGCTTTGCAATTCCAGATTCATAAACATGCTGTGAGGCTTACCATTAGCCTGGGTGGCTCACCAGCATTAAGCCACTTCTTGACCATTCCCCTCAAAGTGACAATTTTTCCTTAAAATCTGTAAATCTTTCTAATGTGGAATCATCACAAAAGAAGAGACAGAATGGAAACATTAGAAAGCATTTGTGTTGTGGAAACACACCGATCTGGACTTGAAGTTCCACCACTAACTAGCTGAGTGACTCTGGGCAAGTTGATAGACTTCCAGTCCTCAGTTTGTGCACCTGTACAATGAAGCGTCTTACTGCTAATGTCTGGTGCAATTGTGAGGATTAACAGTGATGATGTACCCTGGCCTGACACATTAATTGGGATCAAGCACCTGGAGGAGACACTTAGTAAGTGCAGCTTTCTCCCAGTTCATCACATATGTGTCATGTTGAAAACAAACACCCGTAAAAGAAAATCTTCGTTTCCATAAGACATTAACAAAACAAAGTAATGAAAAGTAACATTTACTATAAATACAACATCCATCAATTGTAATTGTAATTATACATTGAAGTAAATGTGTTCAATTTCTGGTAATTACAAAAATAAAATTAGATCAAAACAGAACTGAGAACCACTCAACCAAAACCACTTATTTAGAAAACATTTCTAGAGCATTGTCTATATGTCAGACAGTTTTCAGAAGCAATGTGCCAGAGACACATGCAATATAAAAAGTATGAGGAAAGTGCCACAACTTACCCCACCAACTTTCTCAAAGTGAGATCCATCTTTCTTAAAATCTGCAAGGGCCCCATTGAAATACCAGGTAAAGATGATGTCTAACAGCGGGTCATGTTGTACCTGGCAGGGCAATATGACGCTTTCACCAACAGAAACATCCATGTTAGATGGTGCCAAAGTTATTCTTGTTGGTTCTATTGGGGAAATAATTTTTCAGAAAAACAGCATTTTATTGTGATAAAAGACATTTGCACAGGCAGACTGTTCATCTAACTTATACTGTGTATGTCTGTAGATGCATATACATAAATATACATACATCTATATAATTAAAAGTATTCAACATTAAAAGAGGCATTTTGATGCAGAGCTACATTTCACTGGATCCACAAATTCTTGTTAAAGAAATTAGGATATTTGAACTTGTAGGACATGTAAGTTTAAAAATTAAAGTCGTGTAAACAACAGTTATATTATTATTAACAAAATCAATTTCAACTTAGTTTTATTGTTTTTTGAAATGTAGGGGTAGAAATAGAAAATACTGTGTTTTCACCAACTTTGACTAGAAATTACATCACCATCAAAATCTAAACAGACATTTAATGGTAGCCTGGATTTGAAAGATATAATACAAAAGATGCTAGAATAGGTACAAAAAGGAGGGGTACTATGTTAAAATGCTAATTAATGTCTGTTTTTCCCCAACGCAAATGTCCACATGCACATTTCTTTCTCCCTGTCATCACCACCTCCTTCCATTTGTCTATCATGAATTAAAATTCTCTTGACCCCATTTTCCCACTGCTACTCCACATTACTTTGCACTACGTTGGACCAAAGTCTTCAAAAGAGTCATTTATGCATGTTGTCTACAATTATGCTAGTCAATTCCCTCTTTAACTCAGTCTAGCCAGATTTTGGTCCTCCCAACCCCCGTCCTCACCAAGGTCCTCATAACCATCCTGCTGATATATCAAAAGGTATTTAACATCATGCACTTCTCTGCTCAAAACCTTGCAGCCACTCCACTTTTCAATCCAACTGAAATAATTCCTCAGGAGGTCTACAAACTGCTTGCATAATTATCACTAAGAAATCTGTTAACTGACACCTTCATGTCCATGAAATCTTTTTCCAAATCTCTCCTTCTCAGTGAGGTTTATTCTGATCATCCTGTTGCTAATGCTCTAACTTACCTCTGCCACTATGCACCTCTTTCTTGTTTACAATTTTTGCCTTCTAATAATTTTCTTCTTTCTTATTCCTACTGTTATTTTCTTTCTCCTTTTATAGAAGGTAAGATTCATGAGGACAGTATTAGTGACAATGTGCTCAAGGATACAGCCCAAGCAACTGGCACAGAGTAGGTGCTCCAATTTTTTCATGAATGGATAAATGAATAAAATATATCCACAACTTTAAGCAATTCTTATTTATATCCTGTTATTTCCTGGACTTGAACATCTCCAGAAAAAATCAACTATAATGAAAAAAACAAAGTGTATCCTAAAGACCTGACATAATAGAATTTTATTTAAAAAAAAATAGAATGAGATCATCAACATATGCTATTTGTAACTCTTATTGCCTATCAACCCAGCACAGTAACTAATGTGCTCCCTGGTGCACACTGTGCTGTGCTAAGGAAATATTGTTCCCTTGACTTTCACCTGTTAAAAATAACATAAGTGCAAATACAGGTTCTACCTTCATAGTGTACTGAACATTGTGAAACACATAGTTACTTTCCTCATAATAATACATCTTACAGTGAATCCGTATGTAAAGCAATATTTTAGAAATGGACCTACCCGTAACAACCAAATGTGTTGTGCCATTTGCTTTCCCAAACTGGTTTTCTGCCATGCAGGTGTAAGTTCCAGCATCAGCTTTAGTCACATTGGCTATTTTGAGTCCTCCATCGTTTAACAAAGAAATTCTAAAGCAAAGACAAATAAGATAAATAAATATATAATAGCCATTTTTTTTCCAAATGAATATACATATTTTTACAGAACATGTTGCCTTAAGCTAGTATTTTTAAGGCATGATCAACCAGTCCTTAGCTTTTTGGGAATACAAAAAAAAAAAAAGAAAATTCACCCCTCACTCACATACATAAACACACGCACAGCATTGGATGACAAAAGATGCTCCACCAATTTGAACTTTGTTCAGTATTTTTACTCAGCATTACTTATTACACCAAAGTTGAGAGGATGCACTTATCAAATAAGTGTCAAATGTTTTCCAAAAATATTAATATATGTTGTGGTAGATTATTCATGGAGTTAGCCTAATCAATTTTAAAGAAATGCAAAGTAGGCAGAACACTATGTCTCTTAAATTTGAAACAGTATATGAGAAACGAGAAGCTGCATGTCTTTTACTATGAACTAAGAGAGTCACATCGCCCCAATAAAAACTGTAATTTTCCAAAAGAACATTTGGGTGGTCCCCTGTGAGCTCATGAAAAGAGCCTAGGCAAATCCAATAAACCTTACCTTAGAGTTTCTTAGTATACACTTAGAGTACTCAAAGCTTTGGCATCTGACTAATTAATTAAGGAAATATAACTGAGTGCTTTACATACACTTAGCACTATAAGAGAACCTGGAATTATGGGGTGAGCAACACAAAAAGTCTCCACCTTCATGGAATAATATTCCAGTGAGTAGCATAGACAACGTAGTACTCTGTTTTCATGCTGCTGCTAAAGATATACCCAAGACTGGGTAATTTATAAGAAAAAGGAGATTTAACAGACTTGCAGTTCCACGTGGCTGGGGAGGCCTCACAATCATGGTAAAAGGTGAAATGCATGTCTTACATGGTGGCAGGCAAAGAGGAAACGAGAACCAAGTGAAAGGGGTTCCCCTTATAAAACCATCAATTCTCATGAGACTTATTCACTACCACAAGAACAGTATGGGGAAACCGCCCCCGTGATTAAATCATGTCCCACCAGGTCCCTCCCACAACATGTGGGAATTATGGAAGCTACAATTTAAGATGAGATTTGGGTGGGGACACAGCCAAACCATATCAACAACAAATAAATAAGTAAAAGTAAGAAGTTCTGATTTTTGAGAAGTACTCAGAAGGAGATAGACAGGGTGATACAATAGAGAGTAATTACTTTAGGAGGAAGGGTTTCTAGGATAGGGTGCATCAGAAAAGCCTCTTAGAAGTGGTGTCATTTGAATTACGAAAAAAAAATGAGATGGGATTAACCTGTCATTAATCTGATCACTGTATCTTTATTGCTCTAATTTGTCTACTCATAATTATGTTCTCTTTCTTTGAATTCCTAAAATAATTACTATCCACATAATGCATTTAACACTTGAGTGTCTTTATCTTTTATGGCTCCTATTTTTGACACATGAGTGAGTGAAAATGGATGGTAAACTTCTTAAAAATATTTGCAACCCCAGTATCAGCATGGCGTCATATATGCCAACTATGGTAACTAAATGCCTCCAAATTCTGGGCCATTCAGTAGAATAAATAGGAAAAATACTGAGGACATTAGACTAGAATGAAGGATCTCAATCTGTAAAAATGTTTATTGCAAAATTTTTAGGTGTGTTTCAAAAATGTTACTACAAGGGTTTCTGTATAAAAATGTATAAGATAGATTTTGTTTTATTTATATATGCATATGTGTATGTGTGTATATATATACATATGTGTATACATATATGTGTATATACACATATATACACACGTGCACATATGTGTATACACATATGTGCGTATGTGTACACACGTGCGTGTGTGTGTGTATACACATATGTGTGTATATATCTCTCTCCATATTTTTCTCCTCCAGTAGACTATAGGAGACTGCCACCCATCACTTTATATATGTATTACTTTATAGTCCATTACTCACTTTCATTTGCATCCTGGTTACACTTCCTTCAGTGAGAAAATCATGGTGGAATTAGAGCTAGCACACAGGTTCATGATCCTGGGTACAGCTATCTATTACGGTTTGTTATGCATATGATTTTTTTAAAACTGTGTTAAGGTATATTTAAAATAAAAAGGTTTGAGAGCAATGACCTAGAAAGCTCATCAGGGAACCATGGCACTGCATGCCAACTTGAGGAACTACAGAGAAAGGTCAAAAATTCCAAGAACTTTCCTAGGAATTAAAAACAAAACAAAACAAAAAGGGACATACCTGATTCTTCTCGTGGGACCCTGAAGGTTGTAATGCATTTTGTTGAGTGTGAAATGCCTCCCATAACTTTACTGGAAAAGATAATCAAATAACTTAAAAAAATCTCTTTATACCTTAGCCTATCTGACAACAAAGATTTTCCTAATGAGCATGTAATAATAACTTAAAGAAGAAACCCTGCAGAGAAGTAAAAATAAATAAAAATTTAGGATATGGAGACTGGAAGTTTTAAGGAACATGGAGAAAAAACTTAGACATGTCAATCTGATCACGTGATCCTGCCCTCCTCCCTCCAGCTGTCCAGGCAAACCTTGCTTAGAACCTCCTCTTTGGTGTCACATTGCCTGGGAGATACAGACTATATCCTAAGCCTGAACCATATCCTCACATCAGGACCTCTGCCTCTCTCTAACTTCATATGACTTCATGAATTCTTTTCCTTGCTTGCTTTTCTCCAATCACACAAGCCTTCTTTTAATGACTTTTTTGCTTCTTTTTGTCTCAGGGCCTTTATAAAAACTATTTCCTCTCTCTGGTTGACCTGTATTCATCCTTCAGACTTTACTTACTTTCCTGAAACCATGAGTTAGATTCGATTTTCCTGTATTTGATCAAAACATTCTCTGTGCTTTCTTCATAGCACCCATCGAGTGTCCAATTACATATTTGTGTTCTTATTTGACTAATATTTTTCTCCTCCAGTACACTGTAGGCTCTCTGGAGGAAAGGACAATATCTAGCTCACTCACCACTAAATTTTTAGACCCTTGAAAAGTGTCTGGTACAGAGTAGACATTCAAAAATAAAACTTGTTGAATGAGTAAATGACGGTATGCCTTTAGAGAGTCACTGTAAAGGAGTTGGGGCTAGTGAAGCTGGGTTGCAAGGCACTGACACCTTATAAATAATAAGCAAATAGATTCAGAAAGTGTGCAGACTAATACAAACACACACACATATATGTGTGAACTAATTGGATACAGATAGATAGATAGATAGATAGATAGATAGATAGATAGATAGATAGATAGCCAGCCCTCCATATCTGCGGTTTCTGCATCTGCAGATTCTGTAGATTCAACCAACCATAGATAGAATATATTTTAAAATAAACAGATAATAACAATACAGCAATAAAAAAGTACAAGTGACAGAACAATATGGTATAACAACTGTTTACACAGCACTTACATATTAGTAGGTATTGTAAGTAGAGACTATTTAAAGTATATGGGAGGATATGCATAGGTTGTATGCAAAAGCCAAGCTATTTTGTGTAAGGGCTTGAGCATCCATGGGGGTCTGGTGGATATCAAGGAAATACTATGTACACATATGTAGCTATGTTGTTTACATATATGTAGCAAAAAGATAAGGCAATAGAAGACTGAATAAAGAGAATTTAGAAATGCCTTTCCCAGGATAAGAGAACTGAGAATATGCTTGTACTTGTTAGAGAATAAGTAAACAGAGAGGGAGAGACTGAAGATAATGGGATGGAAAAAAAGAGTGAGAGAGGAAACTGTCAGAGAAGTCTTGGAGGAAAGAGAGAGCATGATTAAGAGCCATGCTCCCAACCCATCTGATCGCTAATCCCATCAGTAAAATTTTGGGGCCATGACACCCAAAGAGAATGACACTTGATTTATAGTGTTGCTCCGGAAATTTTACCTATCATTGTTATTAAAAAGAAAATGCAGATGTGATGGAGAATTTTAATATGCAAAGACCAGAAGATGGCAGATTATATCAGAAGTTTGGGAAGATACTTAAATAATAAGGCAAATTAATCTGCCCTAAATTATAGGTTAGAGATAGAATGGGAAGCTTCAAGAAGCTGGGGATCTACCACTTCTATGATTAGTAAGCCTTAAAACAAAGTAAAAATGCCTCTTGTTGACTGAACATTATTGAACTTAAATTGATATTTTCTGATTTGGAAACTACAAAACAGAGGTAGGTAATTTCAGGTATCTTCTATGCAATGAATTAGTGTAACAGCTAAGTTTCCACTACAAATACAGAAGTGCTAGGAATAGAGGAAGAACTACAAATCCTTTGGTGTATTAGGTTTAGTAACTTTAATTAAGCAAACTTCAAGTCAAGCAAATCATGCCCATGTTGAAATGAGACAAAACCTAACACCTTCAGAATCACACAAAGACTTCAAAGCAAACATATTGACTCTCAAAGAATGCAAACTCTATGTATATTGTAAAAATTTGAACTACTTGGATATTTTCTTCCTAAATTGGTTCTTCCAGTAAGTTCTAAGAGGCCCACAGGGCATTTGCACAACATAAAAATAAACAATATTCAGTAAATGAATGGAGTAATTGTTTCTCAACAGAAAACCTTCAATAACCCACGCTTCCCTACAGAGATTCAAAGTGAAAATTTTATACCACTTCACTATAAACGAATTTGCTTTCTAAGCTTTCTGAGAACAGGTTTATCTGCAAATGCGTAGAGCTGAAAATGTAGATAACGATGAGTGACTCCTGTCTTGGCACAAAACGTTAAAAAACAATTTATGAAATTAACATTCAGTGCTCCAGTTTGCTTAGGGAAATGTGCAATTTAAATCACTGTGGCATTTTAACTCCTTGATCAGTTTTATAATATACTTTTATTTGTACCTTTTTATTGGTACTTCCTTTTGTAGTAGGAGGTTAATTATTTCACTTAACTTTGTGCAGTCTATGGTTAGTTTGGGATAAGTAAATGTAATTGCTCTAAGCTGCTCTAATGGCTCATGTTGTAATTATAGTGATGGCATTAAATTTATGACTGTTAAAAAACTTTGTTTGTTCATAAAGTATACTGTTGTCTAGACAACATTGACCTGTACTTTATGATGACATTTAAGCATCTATAATAATGCAGTGTGTTTTAGAATGGAAAAAGTCTAAAGCATTACGGATGGCAAAGCAGGATTTCTGAAAATATTGTTTTTCCCTGCCTATATTCTTCTGATCATTACGGTAATTTATTCAACTTGAATTTTAACAAACACACTGCAACTCTACATTTTCTCAGGAAGCATATCTCAGTGGAGTTGCAATCACATGAGATCGTAATGATTAAACTGCTGTGTAGAAAATAACAAGGCTCTTTTAGATGGTACTTTCTGAGTACATATTCTAAGAGATGGATGCTTACATTACATGTAAGACAAAAGTACTCACAATGCATATATTACAGGATAAATAATGACAGTTAAGAAAAGCAAATATACATTGATGAAAATGTATGAGAAAATAAACATGAGAGAAAAAGACCATAGAGTATATGTTCTCATTTACAACTGTATATGTTCTCATTTACAACTGCTCTCACCCCCACGTTATTGGTGAAATAACTGCTTCTCCTTGAGTTCAAAGATAACCTGCAAACAGTATTTAGGAAAATAGTATTAGCGTTTTTATTCTTCTACCTATCCTATTTTGGGCTTTCATGTTATAAATTCAGCAGTGTTAGTATAGTGATTTATTGGTTAGTAAATCTCCAAGGAAAGGAAAAGCAGAATGGAGGAGATCAGCAGTTAATTAACCTAACTTTGAGTAAGTACCAGGCTAATAACAAGCAGCTCTGTGATTCTGTTGAACATACACATTCTATGGAACAGACACCTAGAGAAGATGGACCTTGGCTCTACTCTATAACCTAGGGAAAGATAATGAATTCATATCATTTAACAGGTCCACATATTCATAAGTTAAAAGTCAACAATAAAGGAACATTTTCACTTCTATAAAATGTTGCTAAACGCATATTAACATGACAAATATATTTAGAGCCAAAATCACTTTTATGACAATGACTGAATAGTTTTTCCTACTAAAATGGACTCAAATCAATAGAAGAAAAGACCCCTATAAGGGGATTTCCAGTCTAAATGATTATATACAACTATCATCTAAGTAACTCATAAGGCCCAGGCAATACTCTCATCTGAAACATTTGCATTCTTATACAAAGGAGTCTTTGGAAAAATTATAAATACTCAGACGCACGAAGTAGTAACACAAACAAAGGAAAACAGACAAATGAGACAAATAATTCTCTGATGTCTTATATATTAAAAGAAAACTTCAAAGGGGATATTATTAAGGTTCACAGGCCCCTCATACTTGACACTACTATTCTTCTATGCCTCAGAGAGAGTTATATGAGTCTAACCAGGGAAAATAAAAATGTCGGCTTTATTAGTTGTATTACAGATAAAGGTGATGCAAAACTGCTTAGATGAGCGACAATGGTTTCCTGACATTTCACTCCAGAATTAGGCAGGCTTAGCCTTCCTGGCACAGGCAGACCACCTCAGGCCCTCCCCATAAGGGCAAGCCCCATTATTGCGTGGTAAAGAGAACAGCAAAATACGTCCACTCTCTATGTGCAGCAAACACCAAAGAGAAAGAAGGGGAAAAGTTGAGCTAGAGTGTCAGGGTCTTCTACAGAAATTTAGGAGACAGACTCTTTCTCTGGGGAGTCATTAGAGAAATATCCAAATGTTACTCCAGTGATTGTCCTTCTACTTAGAGACTAGAAGCCCTGGAATGGAAGTCATTCCACACTAATGTCAAAGTGCAAGATACCTGCATTTTATGCATAAGGGGAATTTCATCACCTCAAGGTATGTAGAGGATGCTGAATATTTTTTGGCTGTCCAGAATTGATTCCTCATTCTTTGGCAACTAACATTGATCTTCCTTGAGGAATTCTTTGCCCCTATTGAATGCAGTCTTGGTAGGGCTATGAATCACGGTGTCTTGTCGTATCCTAGCCATGGGCTAGACATATAAGTTGGTATTTTTGAAACTTGACTGTGTACCAGTTACCTAGCGGATTCTTCAAAATGCCCACTGCCGGGCCCACCATCAGATTAGGTCTGGGATGGGGCATAAGGATTTGCATTTTTATCACATTCTCAGGTGATACTGGTGCTGCTGATACAGGGACTGCGCTTTGAGAGAAAATGTTCTAAGCTATGTCCATTGGACTCTCCCTCTTCAGACTCTGATTTACAACAAAAAGACCAAAATAATCATTACTTCACTCATCCCAGCACTTGCTCCAACAACATGGTACAATGCCTGCTGCCAAGATTTCTGGAGCCAGTTTCCTATACATTCTTAAGTTAGGTTGTTTCTTAGCTAATAATTGTTTGTAATATCCTTAATTCTCAGCTAGAGTTCACAAACCCTTAAAGGATACAGATTATGAAATGTTGGTGCTTTGTACATAGTAGTTTTTTTCAATAAATATTTGTTGTCTCAACAAATATGAAGAGTTCAGAAATAATCTTCTATGTAGAGAGGACAAGGTTTTATCACAGATCAACAGTGGACCAACTAACACCCTGCCCTGCTGTTGAGTTCTTGCAAGATAGAATAGTTTTGCCCTTTTATTCCAATTCTAAAGTCATCCGCTTTTATTAATATCCATCAATATTTAAGTAGTTCATTTACAACCTTACACAGTGGTTTTTTTTTTTTTTTTTTTTTTTTTTTTTTTTTTTTTTTTTTTTTTGAGACGGAGTCTCACTCTGTCCCCCAGGCTGGAGTACAGTGGCGCGATCTGGGCTCACTGCAAGCTCCGCCTCCCGAGTTCACGCCATTCTCCTGCTTCAGCCTCCCGGGTTCACGCCATTCTCCTGCCTCGGCCTCCCGAGTAGCTGGGACTACAGGCGGCCGACACCACGCCCAGCTAATTTCTTTTGTATTTTTAGTATAGACGAGGTTTCACCGTGTTAGCTAGGATGGTCGCAATTTCCTGACCTCGTGATCCGCCCGCCTCGGCCTCCCAAAGTGCTGGGATTACAGGCGTTGAGACACCGCGCCCGGCCATTACGCAGTGTTTTTAACCTTTCTAGGACACAAGGTTCTTTGAGTACTTGAAAAATCTGGGAAATCTCTCTGTAGAACAAATGTGTGTGTGCACATATGTATACGTATACACACACACACACACACACACACAAACAATAACAGTTTTCATACAACTGAGGAGGGGATCAGATCATCTAAGATATATGGGCCTCAGGTTAAGAACCTCTGCTAGCAATTCCATTCATCCAATGACGCAGAAGTAGGTTTGCAACCCCTTTGTCTTAGCTGCTTCAGTGCTAGCCTTTCTAGAAGTGCTTCATTGACATTTTCTTTTATGATGACTGTGTACATTTGATGATGGGTTCCTTACAAATTATCTTGCAGTGAAACAAAATGGTAATGTTGCTCAAGAAGCTGGGTCTTGAGTCACACATTTCTTCATACAATATAGAGGGCTTCAATTTGCTTTCCCAGTAACATCTCAGTCCTGACAACCTGAACATTCTTGTCCCTCCTCCAAGCAGAGAGTTTATCACCAACTAGTCAAGCGCAGGTTCTGGTGGGCCAACACACCTTTCATAAGGTAATAAAACTTTAGTGCTAGTTCAATGGACTCGTTTAAGCATCTGACTCTTCATTTGCACTGCAGCACCTTCTCTGTATCTCAGGTTTTTGATTCTGAGCATAACCTTGAAATAACATCTACTCCAAGGCTTCTAAAAACATACGTGAGAAATAATGAGAAATGGTGAGAAATAATATTCATGGTAAGTTAGCTAAAAGAAATGTGGCCTATGTATTCCTCAAGAGTCTTGAGTGTTAATATTCAGTTACCCTTAAGTTGTGAGCGGTAAAAGAAGTAACCTTTAAAATTGATTGTATTTTACTTTAAGTATGAGGAGTATAAGTAGTACATTACTCACTGTTCTCTCTGTGGGCATCCACTGGATTTGGACACACACATAACATTTCTTGGCCAGGAGGAGTTGTGTATCTCCTTATCACATTGTTTCATTTCATCTTACAGATGCTGTGGATTGTTAATTCACAGTATTTTTCTCTGTTCATTTGTTACCACAAAGCTCTCAGCCAAAATTGTGGATCTCAACTAAGTTGGTATATATTTTGTAAACTAACTTCATACATTCATTCCACAAATATTTATTAACATGGACCTTGCTCTGTCATAAACAATAAAGATTCCATGGTGAGGATTTATGCTGTTCTAAAGAAACTTACATTCTAGGCAACTGGAACACTGGCATATTTTTTCTCCTCAGTGTTCACTTTGTGTATTATTTGATAAACTGTCTCCAATTCTTTGTGAAATACGACACGATATAAGTAAATGAAATAGAATAGAAGATATAAAGTTATTAAAAGTAGGCTAGAGTAACAAAGAAATAAATACAATAAAGTATAAGTTTATAAAATTATCTAAACTAAGAAAACAAGATTTTATTAAACTTTGAAATACTACTATTTTCTTAAGTAAATTCATAAATGCTAAGAAAAAATAAGTGTTTAAAATAATCTTTAAGCTAAAGTTAAAGGTGTCTCTTTTTTAGTATTTGAATGTAAAAGGTTAGAAAATAATCTCTCTTCTTTTCCAAAACAGGATAGATTTTTATATATTCCTTCTCAATTATATATATATATTTTTAGAATTTCAGACTCAAAAAGGGTCAGATACTCTCATCTTCCCATAAATGCTACTCGAGCAATGAAATCTGCATTAGGACAGAATTGTAAAATACACAAATAAGATCACAAAGTGGAAAATGGGTCATAGTACAAAATGAATTGTTTGGAGTGAGGCAGTGAGAAATTTACCTCAGTGTAACAATTCTATAGACTTTGTATAACAGATCATAAATTATGAGTAAGTCCTCTCCAGGGATCACAATATAGGAGGCAGAAATCATCATTACCAATCTGTATTTTCCACAGAAGTGCAATGGAAACGGCACTTCACTCGACATCTCATTTGACATCCATCCATCCATCCATCCATCCATCCATCCATCCATCCATCCATCCATCCATCCATGCATCCACTCACCTGACCTGTTTCCATGAAGGGCTTCAGGGAGGGGGAAGAACATACTAAAATATAGCACACTCCATATTTTTTAATAGAAAGCCTCAAGTAGAAATCTATACAAAAATCAATTTTTTAGATTTCTAAGAAATAGTCGCAATAAATTAAACTGGAAAATTATACGTACTTTTAAGACATGGGAAGCTGTCCAAGAAAGAGTGAAATGCACTTCAACAAATATTTGTTGAGTACTTAAAATGCAGTAAGTGTTTTGGAAAATACAAGTATGAGTAAGAATTATTCCCACACAGGACACAGTCTAAAGGCCAAGTTGGGAGCTGTATAATTCATGCACAACAAACATAAAATGTGATCATTAGGTAGGAAATATTATGTCATAAGCATGAATTCAGCCAGCTCTACCTCAAGAATACACAGTCTCTTTTTCTCAGCTGCCACTACTGTGACCCTAAACCAAATCTCCATCTCGCTCTGTCATCCAGGTTGGAGTGCAGCAGCATGATCACAGCTCACTGCAACCTCCAATTCATGGGTTCAAGCCATCCTTCTGCCTCAGCTTCCCAAATAGCTGAAACGACCGGTGTGCACCAACATGCCTGGGTAATTTTTTACACTTCTTGCAAAATGAGCCTCCCTCTGTTGCCCAAGCTGGTCTTGAACTCCTGGCCTCAAGTGATCCTCCTGCCTTGGCCTCCCAAAGTGCTAGGATTATAGGTGTGAGCCACTAAGTCCACCCCACAAGGCCTTTCTTGAAATGTACCATATAATGATAGTTTCTTTTTCTTTATGGCTAAAAAAATTTTATCTTTTCCACTTATTTATATTTTTTCTGTTCCTTATGCAAGCTCCATGAAGAAGAGACCATGTCTGTCTTATTCACTGTGGTATCCTCAGAGCCTTACACATGGCAGAGCACGTGGTAGGTGTTCCAGATTGCATTTCCAAAAGGTGAACACAGTATTTCTCAACCCTCTTGCCCCACTAAATCCTTGCCACTCTCCCATTAAAAGGTTCATTGATGGATGACTAAAGAAAATGTGGTACATATGTAAACAGAATATTATTCAGCCTTAAAAAAGAAGATCCTGCTATTTGTCACAACATGGATGAACCTAGAGGACATTATGTGAAATGAAGTAAACCAGACATAGGTTTGATCTCACTTATATGTGGAATGTTTTACAGTTGGAAAAAAAAAGTAGAATGGTGATTGCCTGGAGCTGGAGGATGGGGGAGATGGAGAAATGCTGGTCAAAGGACAAAGGTTCTGTTATGCAGACTGAGTAAGCTCTGGAGCTCTAGTATACAGCATGGGAATTATAGTTAATTGCACTGTATTATGTACTTGAAATTGCTAAGAGAGCTGATCTTAAGTGTTCTCAACACACACACACACACAAAATGGTAACTATGTGCGGTGATAGATATGATATGATAATTAGCTTGATTGTGGTATTGACTTCACAATGTATACATATATCAAAATATTACCTTCTGCTCCTTAAATATATGTAATTTTTACTTGTCAAGTATACCTTACTAAAACTGAGGGGGAGAAAGTAAAGTCTAACTTCTCTCCCTTTGAATTTGGATAGCTTGTGACTCACTGGTCACCAGTGGAATGCAGGGAAAGTGATGGTGTCTTCAGAGCCTAGGGAATTCAGCTTCCACCTTGCTAGCTTGAACATTCATTCTTAATGCCTTTAGCTGCCCTAGGTAGGCATTATGACTCTTGCTGAGGCCATGATAGCATAGGAAGCCTACACTCACCCATGCGGAGAGACCATAAGCAGAGGCCTTGGGCTTCATGAGAGGAGAGACTGTAATGGACACCTATCTTCCAGCTGCTGTCTCCAGCCCCCATCCCACTGCAGCCACAGGAGACACACTGAGCAAATACTGCCTTGTCAATCAATCTCTGCCGGAATGCCTGACCCATGGAAACCTTGAGAGATGATAAAATGATTGTTGCTTTACACCATTACATTGTTTTAGCAGGGCACATGGTGGCTCATGCCTGTAATCCTAGAACTTTTGGAGGCAGAAGTAGGAGGACTGCTTGAGGCCAGGAGTTTGAGACCAGCCTGGGCAACACACTGAGACCCCATCTCTATAAAAAAAAAATATAAAAATTACCAAGGTGTGGTAGCATATGGCTGTAGTCCCAGCCACTCTGGAGGCTGAGGCAGGAGACACATGTGAGCCTAGGAATTGGAGACTGCAATGAGTTATGATCATGTCATTGTACTCCAGTCTGGGTGACACAGCGAGACCCTGTCTCTTAAAAAAAAAAAAAAAGTTTTAGAGTGATTTGTTATGCAGCAAAAGTTAATGGGAACAGTAGATGTTAAATAAATATTTGAAGAATAAATCAATGTTGAAATGAACAAACATGTACAGAGCAGAGGCTTAGAGTACAAACAGGGATAAGGTGAAGGCTTTGCAAGAATACAGGTGAGATGGTCTTCTACACAAACAGACATAATACACTGTGTTAAATGATACTACTGAATATATAAAGAAACCAAAGTGGTAAAACATAAGAAAGAGCAATTAATCTTGCCTATTCAGCTCCAGGAAGGCTTCCCATAGCAAGTAACAATAAAGCTGGACCTTGACTGATATGTAAGGGTTTTCTAGGTTGAGAAGAAAAGACATTCCAGCCAGAGAAAACCACAAGACTACAAATACAGAATGCAAGGAGAATTCTGCTTCTTTCTCTTCTCCTTTCTTTTCAAACTTATTCAAAAGGTAATGATATATGAACTCTTGTACTGCAACTTGATTTTGTTAAAACAGTCAATTTTCTTACTTCTAGAGAAAGCTCCTTTTCCCCCATCTTAAAAATATTAGAAGAAAAAAATGCAAAAGTAGCATGTAATGATATTGGGCGTTTCTATGATTGCGTTAATATTTTTTTCTTTGAATTTCAAGTGAGAGCAGGGAAACAGAACAGGGATTGGTCTATGGTTAAATGCATGTGGGATTTTTGGGCCTGAGTGAGAAATGCTGTATGACCAAAAGAATATGGTATGGGTAGTTACTCCCTGTAAATAAAACATTTATACTGGGCAAAGATATGAATTATTTATCCAGTTCTAACAACGAACTGGCTTGAAGTAGATTCAAATCCCCAGCACATTCAGATTCATTAACCTGCATTCCCCAAGGAAAATCACAACACTGACGAAATATATTTTAAGGTGGCCTTAACTTCTATGATCCATAAAACCAAATTTGAAATATGGATCTAAGAACTGCATGGTTAGCTGCAAAATTTAGTTGATATGATTTTAGAGACCATGTGTCAGCAATCTGTTTAAAATAACATTTGGGTGGAATTTACTTAAGAAGGTTGAAATAATGTGCAATTCAGTTGATTGTTCTAAAAAAGAAAGGTCTGTACTTACCTTTCTTTTCAGCCCAGACTTATTACTCTTAAGGCATCTGAGCAACATGATGGAAACAGTTAAGTAATAATAAAAAAGACATACTAGCAGCCAACAAACATGAAAAAATGCTCAACATCACTAATTATCAGAGAAATTCAAATTAAAACCACAATGAGATACCATCTCACACCAGTCAGAATGGCTATATTAGAAAGTCAAGACATAACAGATGTTGGTGAGGGTACACAGAAAAGGGAACACATATACTGCTAGTGGGAATGTAAATTAGTTCAATCCTTATGGAGAACAGCATGGAGATTTTTCAAAGAACTAAGAACATAACTACCATCCAACTCAGCAATCCCACTACTGGGTATCTACCCAATGGAAAATAAATCATTCTAGTGAAAAAGTACCTGTACTCCTATGTTTATCACAGCACTATTCCCAAGAGTAAAGTCATGGGATCAACCTAGTTGCCCATGAACAGTGTATTGGATAAAGAAAATATGGTACATATACAGCATGGAATACTATACAGCCATAAAACAGAATGAAATCATGTTATTGGCAGCCACAAGGATGCAGATGGAGGTCATTATTGTAATTAAATTAATGTAGAAACACAAAATAAAAAAAAAAGCACATTCTCCCTTATAAAGTGGGAGCTAAACAATGGGTACACATGGACATAAATATGGAAACAACAGACTTTGGGGACTCCAAAAGCGGGGAGGAAAGCAGGGAGACCAGGATTGAAAAACCATGTTTTCATAGGGTACCATGTTCACTATATTTGGGTGATGGGTTCAATAGAGGCCCAAACTCCAGCACTATACAATATGCCCTTGTAACAAACCTGCACATTTGCCCTCTGAACCTACAATTAAGTAAGTAAAGACATAAGTAGATAAATAAATACATGAAAGCCATATTAACAGCATCAGAAACCTTTTGCTGAGCATCTACAGAGAAGTCATTATAGCAGATACTTTACACACATTATTCTGATCTTTGCAATCCACTGAGTTTTAAAAAGGCGGGGGTCCCACAGAATGTGAGAGAAACGGGGCAGCGACAAAGTTGGAAATAATTTGTCCACAGGAAACCTTGGGTTTATCTGCCTATCAGGGAAACCAATCTCTTTAACTCATCCCTCACTAAGAGTGTGTGCCACACAAATGCCACCCACGAGGCTGACTAACTCTGTTTAAGGATTCCTGGCCTCATTTTCCAGTAAGGAAGCCAAGGCTCAGGAATTATGTAACTTGTCTAACACCCCATAGGTGGCAAGTGACACAGCCAAGATCTGACCCACATCTTTCTGATTTCCATGCTTTGCCCTTTCCATATGCTAAAATTAAAGAAGCAAGTAAAACGTATGTTTAACTTCATCTGACACAGTGAATAATGTGCATCGCAATTCCTATACTGCATGCCAGTTAGGCATTAATAATTCATGTAAATAATGATACAAATACCCACACAGAAACTGAAGCTGTCTGGTGGCTAATAGGGGAAGATTTGTAAGTATATGCTGGTGGTGGAGGGTAGGGTATTAGAGAGAGGAGGTGATTATCACACCATGAGCCCCATCCCAAACCCAAACTCTGGGATTTCATTGACTCTTCTCCTGATTATCTTCACTCTTAAATCAGCTTAATCTTCTCATAGAGTATGGGAGTTATTGGCAAAGGACCTCATTCCTTTTCTTTTTCCAGCTGAAAGCAGAAGAGAAATAGAGGTATGGGTTGGGGAAGCCAGGTCAGGAAGGAAGCTGTGCTCTACTCTCTAGAACTCTTGCTTATTTACCCAGGCATCTCAATCATCTCTTTAAGAGAAGAGTTCTGCCTCCAATGTTCACCTCCTTTGAAGAAGACAAATGGTTTTCTATCTGTGGAAGAACTCAAGCCAGGCTTTCTTATTTTCACGATCATATGTGAACTTTGCCACTGACACAACTGGAATAAAAGAATAAATACCCAGTTTTGCTTCTTACCTGTGTAATCCTTTCTGTTTAGACAGCATGTTCCCTACTCTCTTGCTTTGCTGCATTTTACATCCCTTCCTTTGAGATTTCTGCCCTCATGGAGCTGCTCTCCTGCTTCCCAAGGCTGAGACAGCATTTCTTCTCTCTGCTTCTTACTGGTTTAAAAGACCATGTGGCAACAGTCTCTATAAACACCTTCACTAGAGGCAGGATGGAATGTCCAGTGTGCTCAGCCAGTCCTAGTTTACATGTGTTGTCTTGGAGGTAATTACTAACAGTGCCCCCTTTCCCTTCTAAAATGTCCCAGTTTGTTGAATAACTTCCATGGTCACCTTAATCGTATAGTCTATTCCACTGTAATTGATGGTTTAGTTATCCACATTCTAAACAGACTGTGGGCTTTTTGACGGCTCCTTGATGTCTCTTATTCATCTATGTATTCCCAGAGCCGGACATAATACCCAGTGAAAAATAACAATATGATAAATTAGAAAACAACATGGAGTACCTTCCTTCTAGGCAGAAGGCAGGGACATCAATCAATCTGGTTTTTAAAAGTGATGGCATCCACATATGAAATAAAATTCTCCCTGTGCTTCAAGGTTCAACAGTTAGAAATTCAAGTAAGATACAAAAGCAAAAGACTCACTGAGATCTCAGCTACGTATCTGAGGGTAGATTCACTGAAACTCACTGAGCTTGCACGCCTACCTGACAGTTGCGAGGGAACAACTGTTTTGATGGGTAGACCACGGATGTAGAAGAAGATTAAAATAAAGTCAAGCTTTTTGGATGAAGGGGGCAGTGGAAGGCTGAGAGAGATGGGAGTGGCATTTTGAACAGTATGAAGAAAAGTGGACTCCACTGTGAGGAGAGGAGCCAGGTAGTGTAAGGGAAGGGGAAAGAGATGGAGAGAGACACATTCCTTTGGCAAAGGAATCTCTGTTCTTCATTTAAAAGCTTGAGTCAAGGGGAAGTGCCACCTAAAACAGATTTGTTTGATAGTGACAGAGTTTCTAGACACATCTTTATCAAAGCGAGGCTGTGGCCACTAGGAGGGGCAATGACAGAAATGCTAAGTGGTCTTGGCTCTGATAGAATCATCCTGGTTATTTGCAAAAGTTTAGATTCTGCTTGTAAGTACCATCATCACATTACTCAGTGCTTCACAAATGGCAAAAGTGGCCAGTTAGGAGCATTTCTTGAGCTTTTAAACTCCTTTATGGAACTACTTGATCAGGGTGGAGATGAATGTAAAACTGCATGTAACTTTTAAAATTAAGGCATAGGCCGGGTGCCGTGGCTCACGCCTGTAATCCCAGCACTTTGGGAGGCCGAGACGGGTGGATCACGAGGTCAGGAGATCGAGACCATCCCGGCTAACACGGTGAAACCCCGTCTCTACTAAAAATACAAAAAATTAGCCGGGCGTGGTGGCAGGCGCCTGTAGTCCCAGCTACTCGGGAGGCCGAGGCAGGAGAATGGCGTGAACCCGGGAGGCGGAGCTTGCAGTGAGCCGAGATTGCGCCACTGCACTCCAGCCTGGGGGACAGAGCGAGACTCCGTCTCAAAAAAAAAATTAATTAATTAATTAAATAAAATAAAATTAAGGCATAATTTAAATACAGTATAATACACCTTTTTCTGATGCACAGTTCTGTGCACTTTAACAGATGAATGCAGTCATGTCATCTCTCACAATCATGGGCTACAGCAGGTCCCTCACCCCAAAAATCCTTCTGTGTCCCTGACAGTCAACCTCTACACCCACTCCCAGCCTCTGGCAAGCAGTGATCACTATTTTTTTCCCTAAAACTGCTCCTTTTTCAAAAATGTCATATAAATCCAATAATACAGCATATAATGCTTACTGCATTTTAATGCCAGCTTTTATCTATGTGCAGGAAATACATTAAGATTGGGTAATATCTTTTAAAAACATTGCCTGGATTATAGTTATTCATATTTGGAAAAAAATTCACTCTTTCTTTAAAAGGCATTTAATTTTCAATAGTATTAAATGTTGCATAAAACATTTGAAATAATTTTAATGTGTTAATTAGAAGCAATGAGCCATTCTTTTACTTTCTTCTGACTGAGGTTATTGCAATAAAATATTTACTATTATAAGCAATAGCATTCAAATGAAGGATCCCATTTAAAAAAATAATTAGCTACTATGTTTCAAGTACCACTAAGTGATAGAGATAAGTTAAATAATCTTTAAAATACACCAACTGGCTCTTTCTCACAAACCACGTCTGTTCTCATTCTCAAGGGTCTTTTTCAATGTTAGTTTCCTTAAAAGAGACAAAACATACAGTTTTGATTTGTCTCTTTTGGAAATAGGTGGATTTAAGTGAATGAATGAATGAAATAGCACAAAAACATTGACACCTGGTGAAATACTATGGAATACTGAAAAAGGCAGTACATTTTTGTTTATTCCAAAATGTTTCTTGCTGCAGGGAGAAAAAAAGCACAATAACTTTACCCAATATTGGACTGTATAATACCAATATAAAACAAACAAACAAAAAAAGCCAAAATAAGAAAAAGAAAAACCTTTACTCAATACTGAATGCCAGTAATTATGACGTTTAGAATAGTTGAGCACCAGGTGACTTGGCATTTATTTAATAAATCAATCACTAAATCATTAAATGAGGCTGTAACACAGTTCTCTCTACTGATAACTTGTATGTACGAGAGTTTCAGAGGTAAGCTGTACAGCCTCTACCATTTAAAGACATCTACCCTTCCTAGAAAGTTGTATCCACTACAATGGCTCAGCTACCATCTCCAAGCTCATGACACATAAATCTCTGTTTCTATAGCCTGAGTCTTTCTCCTAAGTTCCAGATTCAGTCAACCTTTGTATGCACGGATATATCCAGTTGGTTTTTCAGTAGGTACTTCAAACTCAACCAATCCCAAACTGAACTTATCCTATTTGCCCTCATTTCTGCCATTTCTATAAGGTTCCCTGTCACTCTGAATGGGTCTGCCATGCTCCCTGAATCCTAACCTGGAAATCTAGGATTTATCCTCGACTCCTGTCTTCTCTTCAAATCATGCCTCTAATCAACAGGTCTTGTTGATATAACATTTTCTCAAACTCCTCAAGGCTTCACTTCATTCCCACTGTCATTTCTTTAGTTCAGGCTGTAATACTGTTTTGCTCAGACAGGTGGATTGCTGCTAATGAGGGATCTTGCTTTCAGTCCTGGTACCACTTCAACCCATCTGCTGGTACCAGTGTTTTTGTTTTGTTTTGTTTTGTTTTGAGACAGGTTCTCACTCTGTTGCCCAGGCTGGAGTGCAGTGGCAAGGTCTCGGTACACTGCAACCTCCAACTCCTGGGTTCAAGCAATTCTCATGCCTCAGTCTCCCCAGTAGCTGTGATTACAGAAGTGTGCCACCATGCCTAGCTAATTTTTGTATTTTTAGTAGAGATGGGGTTTCACCATGTTGGCCAGGCTGGTTTCAAATTCCTGGCCTCAAATGATCGACGTGCCTCGGCCTCCCAAAGTGCAGGGATTACAAGCATGAGCCACCGCACCCTGCTGGTCCTCTTTTTTAAACAGAAATTTAATCCTGTACATCTTCTACTTTGATTTTATTCTGTTGCATCCCAGTGCTTGTGGAATAAAGCCCAAATTCCTTAATTCGGTATACACTGTCATTGACAATAAGACCCCTGCTTACCTCTACTGCCCAATTCTCTCTGAACACTCCCCTCCATGGCACCTTAAAATGGAGGCCCATTGAACAATCAGTTACTCAAGTACCTGCTATGCTCTGAATATGTCCCTCCAAAATCCATGGTGAAACCTCATGCTCATTGTGATGGTATAAAGAAGGGGGGCCTTTGGGAAGTTATTAAGACATAGGGGTATAAGGTCAGTGCCCTTACAAAAGAGATTGAATGGAGCTGCCTTGCCCCTTCTACCATGTGAGGATGCAGCAACAAGGCCCCATCTATGCATCAGAGAGTGAGCCCTCACCAGACTGGTGCCTTGTTCTTAGACTTCCCAGCCTCCAGAACTGTGAACAATAAACTTCCATTATTTATAAATTACCCAATCTAGTATTTTGTTATAGTAGCCCAAATGAACTAAGGCAGTACCCAAACCATGACTGGCCTCTGTACCTTTGCACGTGCTATTCTTTCTTCCTGGAATACTCTTCTCCAACAAAAACCCTGGTCATCTTTCAAGTCCTGCTGCAGACATCACCTTCTCTAGAGAGCTTGTCCTGATCCCTAATTTGGAGATAAGAGCCTTCCTAGGTGATTCCCTGAACATCCTGTACTTTGCCAATTGAGTTTTATTGTACCTGTCCTGTTACCTGTCTGTATACCCTGAAAAGCTACAAACAATGGCATCGATGTATCTGATAAATAATAAATACCTAGTGCCTAGCATATAGTAGGTACTCAAGGTATTTTCAAGTGTGAACTTAAATGTAAGAGCCCAGGAATCACTTTTTGCAGGATAAGCCTTTGTTATCTACTCATAGCAGCTTTTTGAAGACCTCTGTTGGGCAGTAATCCATTTACTACTCTAGCTTGAAATGCTCTCCATACTTGAAAGAAACAACTCTCATTTCTTCAAAGTGATTCTATAATTTAGGTGCCTCACTGACTGAGATCCACATGATCACGGCTGATTCATAATTGCAAAGCTGTTATTGTGCTGCTATAAAACTTTATAAACCAGGTGGATTATGATTATTTACTTATTTATTTATTTTGAGTAGGAGTCTCGCTCTGTCGCCCAGGCTGGAGTGCAGTGGCATGATCTCGGCTCACTGCAAGCTCCGCCTCTCAGTTTCACGCCATTCTCCTGCCTCAGCCTCCTGAGTAGCTGGGACTACAGGCACATGCCACCATACCCAGCTAATTATTTTTGTATTTTTTAGTACAGACAGGGTTTCACCGTGTTAGCCAGAATGGTCTCGATCTCCTGACCTCGTGATCCGCCTGCCTCGGCCTTCCAAAGTGCTGGGATTACAGGTGTGAGCCACCGTGCCTGGCCGATTATTCAAATCTATTATACGATTTACATAGAAGGCACATTTATCAGTTTATCCAATTATTATTATTTTTTTAATAGAAGGAGTTTCCCTCTTGTTGCCCAGGCTGGAGTGCAGTGGTGCAATCTCGGCTCAACGCAACCTCTGCCTCCCAAGTTCAAGTGATTCTCCTGCTTCAGCCTCCCAAGTAGCTGGGATTACAGTCATGCAGCACCACACCCAGCTAATTTTGTATTTTTAGTAGAGACAGGGTTTCTCCATGTTGGTTGGGCTGGTCTTGAACTCCTGACCTCAGGTGATCCACCCGCCTTGGCCTCCCAAAGTGCTGGGATTACAGGCGTGACCCACTGCACTCGGCCTCAGTTTATTCAGTGCTTAAGAAAAGTATTTAATCCTTTGATTGTTTTCTGATTTAGACCTTGAATGATACATATATAGAATATTGGCTTAATCAAAATGTATTTGCTGCCAGTGGCCTCTATGTTAGGCTAGAGAAAGCTTTCATCTTTATCATAAGTTTCTTATTCGCCGACAAGTCCAAATTAACCACTTAAAAAAACTAAAAAATCAAATACACTTCAAATTTTGTCATAAATATCCCATTAAAAAATTGTCTTCTATTCTTTAATGCACCAATGAATTCATTTCTCCTTCAAATAAGATTGAATCTGCATTTTTAAAGTTGTAACAATCCATGATCTAACAACCACAATAAATCTACCATTTAATGTGTTTTTCTGATTTGGCTGAAGCCTGCAGACCAAGTTAAGAGGGATGGATATGGGGCTTTCGTTGCCAAGTGATGACTGCGGCCACTCTGATTTCCCGTGGACTTGGAGAAGGTTCAAGTCCGCAACTTGTTCGATAATTGCTTCTAGCAGGCTTCTCCCTAAGCATCAAGGCCCTGGCTCGTCAGTGTTTTTTGCTGTCCAAAAAGATAAAAACAAAATTCAAACCACAGATCTAAGGAGGATTGGAACACCATGGACCTCTCTTAAATATGTTCCCTCTTTTTAAGGATATCTTCATATATGAAAGCTTATGATCAGTAGGGGAGATATTAGAAATATATCATACAAAGCAGAGTGTCAGAAGGCTTGAAAGGGATAGAGAACTAACTTTTATTACCACGAGACACTGCTGGGTTAGCAATTATTTTCCTCTCTCTCCTTAAAAACACAATCTCAATTTTGTTTATTGGGTGCATTCCCGTCCATAAAAAAAAAAAAAAATTCTGTATTTCCCAGTTTCTCTTGCAGTTAAATGTGGCCAGGGAATGAATTTCTGATTAGTATGGTATAAGGAAGAGTGTTGTATGGGACTTCTGGGAAGACTCTTAAAGGGAAGGAAGTGTATTCTTTTTTTTTTTTTTGATTTATTTATTTATTTATTTATTTTTATTGTACTTTAAGTTTTAGGGTACATGTGCACATTGTGCAAGTTAGTTACATATGTATACATGTGACATGCTGGTGCGCTGCACCCACTAACTCGTCATCTAGCATTAGGTATATCTCCCAATGCTATCCCTCCCCCCTCCCCCCACCCCACAACAGTCCCCAGAGTGTGATATTCCCCTTTCTGTGTCCATGTGATCTCATTGTTCAATTCCCACCTATGAGTGAGAATATGCGGTGTTTGGTTTTTTGTTCTTGCGATAGTTTACTGAGAATGATGATTTCCAATTTCATCCATGTCCCTACAGAGGACATGAACTCATCATTTTTTATGGCTGCATAGTATTCCATGGTGTGTATGTGCCACATTTTCTTAATCCAGTCTATCATTGTTGGACATTTGGGTTGTGTATTCTTATTTCTACCTTCCTCCTTGCTGTTGCCTGGGATGTCACTGGGAGGCAGGCACAAAAACAGTGGTTTTGGTTCATGAGTTGAGAGTGGTGGGACAGCAAGACAGCAGGGCCTGCATCCCTGCTGAATGGAGAGTCCAGGTAGCCTTGACTGTCAGCCTTCACAGTGACCAACCAACCAATGAACGGCCAACCAACAAACAAAAAAATTCTTTTTCAGCCACTTTTACTTTCAAAATTTTATTTATAACATGATCTCATTCTTATAGATCAGTATATGTATATGTACAAATATCAGGCTAAATCCTGATTTTGCAGCGACTATGTAAGGAAGGATATATTATCTCTATATTATGGAAGAGGAAACGGAGGTTCAGAGGTATTACATAGCTGATCTAATGACACTAAATTTTTGTGTTCAAAAATCTTCGAACACAAAAATGTCAGCAGTTCTAAAGGAAGAGTTAACTTCCAGCATAGTCAAAATTAAATAGTTTGTGCCACGAATCTATACTTGTATTAAGTATAGATTAAAGTATTAACTGGCTAAATCAGAAATTCCAGGTTAGATCCTGGAACTTACACACTTTTACCAGCACCATCGCTATACAATGTGGATATAAATATCTCCTTGTGTATCACTAGCTAAATCTCTTAATCTTTTTATCCCCTTTAAAAATTAAGATTAAAAGCCTCTACCTACTATATTTGCTACTATGAGGACAAGTTGATTTAGCATTGTACAAAGCATTGATATCCATGGGAAATAATCTCTATTTAATTCATGTATATTATTGAATCAATTAAAAATTTTTGAACACAAAAATGTCATGAGTTCCATATGAAGAGTTAACTTCTAGCATAGCCAAAATTAACTAGTTTGTGCCACAAGCCTGTAGTTGTTTAAACTGGCTTACAAAATCAAACTGCAAATCACTAATTAACCTCCTGTTCCAGAAATCTATTCTGTGCAGCCTAGCATTTGGTTGGATTATGGTGAACCACTCAATTCACAATTTTATCTTGTCATCCTGCTGTGTCTGCCTTTTAATGAAGGCATCTTCGGCTAAATACTGGAGGAACTGCAGATTGTGCTGTTGTAACCAACTTGTCTAAATATACCTTTGGGGCTAAAATCTAAAAGCCGTTCAACCTGGTCATGTGCAATCTGATGCTGTGATATTTTAGAAAAGCAAATCCACATTTCTTGGCCTAAGGTTTTATTGTTTGTTTGTATTCCTTTCATTTCCAAAGTAATAATTTGGACTCTATGACTTCAATGGCTGAGACCACCTCAAAGATTCTGGGCTCCCTGTACAAAATGTGGCACTGATAAAGCTTAGTGGTTATATCCTAGAGTCAAACAGAATGGCTCCCAATCCTGGCTATGTGACTTCAGGCAAATTAATTCCACTAAGTTTCTGTTTTTTCATTAGCTGCAGAAATATTTAAAAGTGATAATTCACTTAGTGTTCTGTGTTAAGTTTCCTATTGCTGTTATAAATGACCACAAACCTGATGACCTAAAACAACATCAATTTGTTCTCTTACAGTTCTGGAGGTCAGAAGTTCAGTATAGGTCTCACTGTGCTAAAATCAACATTCAGAAGGGTTGCATTCCTTCTGAATCTGGAATCATTTTGTACTCATTCAGGTTGTTGGTGGAATTCAGCCTCTTGTGGTCATGGAACCAAGGTCCCTGTTTTCTTTACTGCTGGCCCCTTCCCTCATCTTCACAGCCAGCAACACTCATCAGGGTCTTTCTCAGGCTTCAGGTCTCTCCTGCCTCTTCTGTGATTATCACAGCTCTCTGACCAATCCTTCTGCCTCCCTCTTCCTCTCTTAAGGGCTCAGATGATTACTTTGGGCCCACCCAGATACTCCAGGATAACCTCCTTATTTTAAAGTCAACTGCTAAGACTTTAGTTCCATCCTTAATTCTACCTTCAAATTTAATTACCTTTTGCCATGTAATATAACACAGTAACAGGTTTCTAGGATAAGGAGAGGGATGCTTTGGGGCCAATTATTCTGCTTATCACAAGCTCTGAGCATAATCCCTGGCAATAAACACTCAATAAACTGTAATAATAAATAATAAATATATAGTAAATTTATAATAGATAAGCAGCAGTAACAGCCAATACTTACGCTTACTTTCTGGCAGGTGTTTACCTAAGTGCTTTATTAATATTTATGTACTTCATCCACATAACAATTCTTGACATTAGGTGTGAACTATTATCACTCCCACTAACAAATAAGGGAATGAGGCACAGAAAGATTAGGTCACAGCACTGAGCAAGTAAAGGCAAAAATGAAGATTTGAATCCAGGTGGTCTAGCTCCAGAGTCTGTGCTTTTCACTAAGACCATCCTGCTTCTTCATCTCAGTGTTATAATTACAGCCAGGAAATCAGGGATGCCTTTGCTTAAACTAAATACCAGTCATGCTAAATTATTTGAGTATAGGATAACAGCAATATTTGTATTTCTTTGGCATGTGCTGTTATTATACATCCTTCTCTTCTTTGTCCTGGGATGTGGATCTGCTTCTGGGATCAACATTCCTTCATCATTCTGGTTGAGTCTTCCCAGCGATTCAGGAAGAAAATCCTTGTTAAGAGAAAGTACTCTATGTGGGAAGACCTTGGATATATTTTCTGTGTTTAGATTTCAAAAAACTGAATACTCTTACAAAGGTATTAAAGAACAAAAATACTACTATTTTAGTTCTTAAAGATCTCACATGCTACTGAAATGCTATTTTGTTTCATTTCATATTTAAAACCTATGTTGACATCAGTATGGAAAGTGAGAGGAAAGTAAATGACCACTTTTCTGGACATCAAAATACCTTTCATGCTCCTGCACGCTCACATCCCCCTTCTTCCAGGAAGAGAGTGCCCTTGGGGAGGCTCTGGGTTTACAATCCAAGCTGACCAGGCTGCCCACCTGCACCTGAACCAACTTCTTCATTGGATTCTTTGAAAAATCTGGAGCAGAAGCTGAAAGGCAAGAAAGGAGAGAAGGAGAAGTGGATCATTTACAAAACTTCTTGTCAATTTCAAAGGTCCACTTTTACAGTTTTAAAAGTTTTCTTTACATTCAGGGTGTCAGTGCTTGATTTACTTGGCTTATTGTGTGCCACACACAGGATAATTCATGTTATTATGTTTTCTAGCAAGTCTAAATCGTGAGACAATTACTTTATACAGAAATGTTTAGTTTATGGTGAAGATTCAAAGTAGCTCAATCATGTGTTTATTAAATGAAAGGAAAACATTTGGTATAGAACGTTTTTAAATGTTAGCTCCACGAAGACAGGAATAGGGTTGTCTCTCTTGCTAACCTTTAGGACATAGCACTTGGTACAGTGCCTAGCATTCAACAAAGCTCAGCAAAACTTTGAGAACAGAGGCTAAGCACTGAATTAATATTCTCATACATATGCATGTATCAAGTTCCACGATAAAATGTTTAAATTGTTAGGTTGAACTTCCAAACTGGGGAAAAATAATATTACGCACATATTATTTTAAATGCTATAATATTGCATGAAGTATAATAATGTGTAGAAAATATTACATTTGCTAATAATACATGGGATGTTAATCCTGAAACAACACTTGAACATTTAAGATACATAATATTGTATCATTGGAATGAAAGGGTATGTTAATAAAAAAAAAATCACTCTTCCTTTTGCTGCAAATGTGAAAAACATTAAAAACCTACTGCATTTCCCAAATAGCTAATGCTGTGTCTTATGGCAAATCCAAGTGAATACAATTTATTTATTTGATTAGTGGAAATCTTAGAGTGAATCATATTACGTAATTATACATGTGATTGTGGTAAAGAAAACATGGTATCCAGAGGTTGTTGGCCTTAAAAATTAAAAATCATAAAAGAGTGATTTTTGTTAAAACAAAAACTTGTTTATATTTGAATACAATCTTTTGTTTACGCACCTCGTATTTCTTCATACACAACAATCCCACACCATACATTGAGTAGGACTCCACCCATTTTAAAGATGGATAAACTATGGCTCATCAGCTTAATTTATTGCAATATAATTACAGTCTTTCAAGTTAAGACTTATATGCAAACTCCTCCCTCTTTTTGTCATAATATGCTACTTCTCTGTCATGGATAACAGCAGCCAGATTTTCAGTTGATCATCCCTCCAGGCATCATTCCTCCTGGTACAGATGATGCATTTCTAACTGCCAGGCACTAGAGATGAGAGAGCCCATTAAAGCAGGGTTTTTTCAATCACTCTTGACATATAACATTTTGGGGTGGATAATTATCTTTTGTGAGAAGCTATTTTGTGCACTGTAGGATATTTAGCAGCCTCTCTGTCCTTCACCCACAATATGCTAATACCACACACTGGTCCTCTACCTCTCCACACCAACCAAAAATATCTCCAGACATTTCTAAATTTCCCTCAGGGCAAAATTGTCCCTGGTTGAGAAACACTGACTTAAATCATGCAGGGCCTTATCACTTGCTGACCATATGGATTGGTTCAGAAACAAGTATTAACCCAAATCAGGCTATATGGGGCCAATGGCATGCAACACTTTGACTTCCCTTTGAGCAATTAAGACAGCCGTCTTTCTTCCACTGGAATGACTGTGGTAATACATTCATTTTGTTGGGAAACATCATATAGAACCTGATAATAGTGATGATATTTGAACACTGGACCAAATTATGCTGAAATCCAAATTCTCCATTTTAATAACATGGACTGATGAGCAAGCCCTCCTGCTCCTCTTCCCTTCCTCCTTTCCTTCCATTCATTTGTGCTATGCTACACTATGCCATGGTGTTTTGCTTGGATTTTCAATCATTTGTAATGTAAATATTCTTCTGGACAATTGCTTTAAACATGATAGAACATCTTCTTTTTCTCCTATACCTAAAGTACAAGAAGAAGATCATCTATAATTTCAAGCAGTGGAGCCTTGGACAATGAAAGCCTCAAGGTATCCAATGTGTCAAGCTTCTAACAGAGCCACTAAAGGCAAAGGCAACTCTTTTGAATCAAATACGATTGATTCAAATTTTGGTATTTGCTATTACGGACCAGCAACGGGGAACACCAAAATCACTTATTCTCCTAAAAGGCTTTGCTTAGTTGGTAATATTGGAGGTGGATAAGGATATCTTTTGCCAATATTTGATTCCTACTGTCGATTAACTTAACCCTTGGTCCTCAATTCTGGCCATAATTGCTGTTTTTCCTTAGAAACTGTTAAAAGGTATGCCTTGATTAGAAACTGAATGATCGTGTTGTAATACTGTAGATATTATTAGATGTAGGAACCTAATGTGAAAAGTAAATATTACTGCTTCTGGAAACAATGAAGGATTTAAGACAAAAAATTAAGAGAAGAGCAGAGAAAATCAGCCTTACCAACAACTTTGAGCTCAGCACTGGAATAAACAAGGCCATGTTTGTTTTCTGCTATGCATTGGAACATGCCAGAATCAGTCACACTTAGGTTTGATATTGTAAGGGCACCATTTTCTATCTGTGTTCTCTCCTAGATGATAATAAAAATATCTTTCATATAAACAAACATACCACTTTAGAATAAAAATGAACTGACTATCATTTCACTCACACAGAAACTTTCTGCATTTTTCTGAGAGTATTAGACAGGATGGCCTGAAATTTAACCTTTTCCTTATTTTAAATGTGAAAGACTAATTTACACAATAGCTACACATTAGAAATATGAATTAGCATCCTTCAATCCAAAAGTATATCATAAAATAGATAACAAAGCAGAGGTAAAATATGCAACCATTTCACTTTTTCCCCTACAGTTAAAGTTTCTTAAAAAGGTACCGTGACTTTAAAACATGTTTTATGAGGTTGATTTTTATCCCATCAGTTGGAAATGTTTTCACTATGTCTTTTCAAATCATGCAAGTTAAAAACATTATCAAATCTGTGGATTAGAAAGGTTTCTGGGAAACACATATATTTACCAGAGTTTCTAGGTAGTATGAAAGGTTAGGTATGGAAACTGAAAGAACACAATTGACTTAGTATACAAAAAAAGGGCAAAAATTACATGGCTTGAGAAGGAGAGTGATGGAGAAAATAAGTACTTACATAACAAGGTAACCAAGTAATAGATACATTCATTCCCCAGAGGCCACACCAAGTTGTTAAACAGGAAAAGGAAATTATATCCTAAATTTGATTAAAGTAAGGCCTTCTCTAATTTCAATACCAAAAAAACGGTAGATTATTTTACAGACTAAATTCACACCATGACTTCTTCCCAGTGAAATGCCATGCTGAAAAGCTCTCCTCACTGGCAGACTGGGTACTTGATTTGATATTTTTCCTCCTGTACCACTGCTTAGAAGTAAAGGAAAGTGTGCAAACTCAACAGTTTATTTTGGGACTAGGGACTAAAGAAAGCATTTGCTAAACACCAAGTGAGGAAAGGGTGGATTTACCAGGCCTCTAAACCCATTTTAGGTCCATGTTACCTTACCTCTAGCACCAGGGCTGCTCCATTTTTCAGCCATCGGTAGGAAGGCTTGGGCTTGCCGCTTGCCCTGCATTCCCAATAAAGACTGTCCTCCACGGCTATTTCCACATCCTTTATGAGTTGAACCCAATGGGGCTTTGCTTCAATGAAAGAAAAGGAAAAAGAAAAGAAATTTAAACCACCCAGCAAATAAAATGTATTTATTATTTTATTATCTTACCTGGATTAATAGAAATGGACATGATAATGAGTAACAGATTGAAGTGAGAACAGAGGCTAGAATTATATTTTATTCACTAAGTATCTACTCATTGGCTGTATGAAACGTTTCTACATTTGAGGATGGAAGTTGCAATCTGTTATTTCCTAAGGCAAATTAATTATGCTCTCTCTATTTTCAAAATTCTGAGCACTGTACTATATTATTTAGATATCTATTAGTAGACAGTAATACAGGTACACAAAACTGATTTTGTTTTCCAAGTGTATTTTTGAATCATGAGATCACAACTGATGATGACTTAATAAGTGAATGACAGCATATATTGTTCTTAATTATGAACTAAAAATTAACATCCATAGGAGAGAAACTGCTACAGCCGAGGAAAAAATATTTTCCACAAGTTAGAAATAACTTAATTAAATACAAACCAGTGAGCATCTTAAGAACCTCTGAGTGAATTAAGATCAAAGCAGGAAAAGATGGATAAGTTGGTTCAACTTGAATCATGTGATTTTTTGCCAGAAAAAGAAGTAACTGATGCAACTTTAAATTATGTATGCAAATAAGTTCAATCAAATGGATTTATCATTTTCAACTTATGCTTTAGAGGGTATTTGGAAAATTCATTTTACAGATGAAAGCATCGTACCACTTACAATGAAAGTCACTTACTATATACAGTATATCCAGCCAAGTCTCAGCTTGTGTTTTAAATCCAAAACTGGGAGGTGAGATGCCTTACTGGTTTCACATTGCATTATGCATGTGATGTGTACTGTGGGATTCACATTTGCATCCTCCATATGGAGAAACAGTTTATCTATTTCTATTTAACTGCAACCATGGGAAGATTTGTCTTTCCATTTCTAGCTCATAAAATTACTTTTTTATAAATGAAACTGAAAAGAAACTATGGTTATTTAGCTTTTACAGATAATGTATTCATCTAAGTTTTCTCTTTTATGTGTGTGTGCGTGTGTGTGTGTGTGTGTGTGTATATATATATATATATATATATATATAACTTGCTCAGTATGAAGTGTAGTTCAGTACCAAATCACTTCTCTCTATATTAAAACACATTTTCTTCTTCTTTCAGGAATGATCAGCCTGAGATGGAACATGACTGTGAATAGACTCACACATCAGCCTCTTATAGAGACCCGAGTTTCTAAAAAAAAAAAAAAAATCCCACAAGCTTCCCATAGTAATACTCTTCTTCTCCAAATGGGAGGATAATTCGCTGGACTAAAAAATCCTGAAATCATAACTGCCACATCAATTCTGATTTCTCCCTTTATTCCATCATATGAGATGCAAATATTCTATAGACTATTTTTTACATGAAATATTAGAGCAGATAACCAGAGAACTGCATGGCCTCTACTTAATATATTGATGTTAAATAGAAATTGTAAGGCAACTTTCATGAAATGCTTTATGCCATTAATTTCTGATTTATTTTTTAGGTATGTATCATATTACCTACACAATGGACTAAAGCAATAGTCTACCTCTTTTACTAAGTAGAGCAGACACTGTTGGTTTTCTATTGTGCATTCATTTCCTCTCTTCCTTATTCCTAAAATAACACCAATTTTTAATTCAGTTGTCCACTCTTCCATCACCTCACATTGTCTATAGAAACATGACATTATTCTCTGTTCCAAAGTGAAGCACTTAATTGTCTAATCTAATTTCTCCTTGCCACTGATTGGTTTAGGAATGAACCATGTAGCCAGTGAGGTTTGAGGAGAGGACTTCTAGATGTTTTGGAGAAAGGAAGGATGAGTAACAACTGATGTGCTAGTCACTGCTGGCAGCCATTTTGTGATCATAATGGAAACTAACATGCAGAAAAGGAAAAAAAAAATAGACAAGGGCAGAAAAAGTAATCACAAAGAAACTGGGTCGTGGCCTGATGATAAGGTAATTAAATGACAATTTAGCTTTGGATTTCCTCATCATATGAAGCATACAATTGTTTATTATGTATACAGGGTTTCTGTTATATAGAGCTAAAAATATTTCTACTAAAACATTAATACAGTTGGAATATCCGGTGTGTTCCCATAATGGTCACTTCTTATCCTAGATCAAGTAGTGGTTGCGCAGAAAGAAGGAACTAAGCTAGAGTATGAGAAAAGGTTACTTGCTTTGTTGGGGCCTTAGAGCTGGACAGCCACATGGGTTAAGTGCTTGCTCCCTCACCCCCTATTTCCATAGAATCCTAGGAACCCAAAGACCTTGAAACCTGGGTAAGTTCTGTGCTATATACATTCTAAACTAATCAAGCAACAAGATGGGAGAGTTACAAAACAGAATGACTCATGCTACCAAACAATGCCTCCATTTTGTTTCTGACAGATCCTAAAATCTTACAATATAATAACAAGTGTTAATCGTGCCAGAAGTAATGCACTGGTAGACTTCATATTTTTCAAGGCGGGGTGTCATAAGACCTACAATTTTAGTATTTGCCTTTGCAAACTTTTCTTCCTTGCAACATGCACATATGCTATCCAAGGACGTGTTGCAAGATGTTTCAATTTCCAAATTCTAAAATAAATAGAATATAATGCAATTTACCTTTGACAAGAGTGGTCAATTCCCACTAGTTTTGCGATGTTTCTAATGATTAAAGTGCAAATATATATTCACTGAGCTGAATATATACGTCTCCATATATTTTATAAATCCGTTTTGAAAAATTATATATTTATTCTAAGTCATGTTTTCATCAAAAACCTAGTTTTCTTAAAATAAGAGGTTTGAAAAAAATTTCAAAAAAAGGCAATCTAATTTTCCTACAAATAGACTCTAAATAAAGGTGACATTATTATTCCTTCCTTACCCAAATTGAGCAGTACATCAAATAAAAGTGATTGCAAATTAAAGGCAGCAAACAGAGTACAGATACATTATTGGAAGGGATAGAATAACACTGAAGAACTCAACAAGAGCCAGAGTTCACGTGGTTTGTTTAATACAGTAATTGCAACTTTTCCCAAAAGGCAGTTTTTTTTTTTTCTCTTTAGTAGAGGTAACAAAGAAAGATACAAAACCTGTTTTCTAGAGGAGAAGACAGACAGAAAAGAGATCTCTCTCTAATGTGTTTAAGTGTGTGAGAGGTTATTCTTAGGAAAAAAATATGAAATATTTTATCTTTGCATGAATCATTTTAAAATGCAAAATGAATATATTATGTCGCCAACTTCATTACAAAAATTTATTTCTTTTTAATTCCCCCTATGATCAATGTTTATCATCACTTAACAAAATGTTTAACCAACAAGTTGAACATTGGGATTCTGCTATAATCTCTCACCCCTAAATAACAACCATATTTTATAGATGAGAAAGTAAAAGCTAAAACTCCAATTTGCCCAAAGCAGATGCTCACCATAGTAAGTGAGACGCCCTCTGGCAACATTTTTTCCTCGTGAATTCTCAGCAATGCATTCATAGGAACCTGCATCTTCCTGTTGGAAGTTGGGGATTTCAAGCACACCACTGAACTTCCTTAATTTAATTTTGCTGGAAAATGGCAGCCCATCACTTCTTCTCCAATTAATCTGAGGTATGGGACTAAGAAGAAAATCGTCAAGTTGTCTGCTATTGTCTGGAAGCCTTTTCAACTTGAGAAAATAAAGCTTTTAAGATTGAACAAGAAGGCACAGGATTTTAAATGCAGAAAACCACTTTCAATGGTCAATTATATAAACCTGATAAAAAAGATTTAACTTAACTCTTTAAGTTGATATTTTAATAAAATAAACTGCATTTTTCTTGACATGATTTCGAGAAAAAAGCCTAATACAGACCCACCATATTAGATTACAGCAAATGAACAAGAAAAAAAAAAACCCACCAATTTATTTTATGAAATTCGGCAGGCAGAGTAATTTTCTTCAAATCGACTTTGAATATTAAAGTTTCAAACTCAATTTTATATGTGCATTTCCCCTGCATTTTGTTTTTCCTTTGCCTCAAAATGAAAGTAAATTTTAGAAAATAAAAAAGAAGAGTCTCTCAAAAACCATCCTGATTTCTTATAGCAACCTAATATTTCAGCACATAGGAGTAAATGTTATAAAACTTACTTTCCAAGGGCAAAACATTCCAATTTCACAGTCGAACCTTTAGCTGCTGGAAGAGTTTCTGGAAACTGAACTTCTATTTTAGGTTCATATTCACCCATCACACCTATAAATCCACAATATAAAGTTAATCGTTTCAATATTTCCTTTAGAATTGCCTCGTTTTTCTTAAATAAAACTTTCTTTTGCTCCCATTTTGAACCAGCTCTTCTAGTGATTTCAATTAAATAAAATTTAGTCTATGCAGCTCAGATTCCCTTTTAACAGCCATCAAGTTGTTGATGAAACAGATTTTTTCTTTAATAATTTTTTTAGTGGTGCTTTTTAGCCTCTAACAAAACATCCAGAGCTTTAAAAAACCTGAACTAACTTGGGTCAAACATGCAATATTAATAAACATTTAAGAACTTTGGATTTGCTGATTCATAGGTTACCACGTACAGAGCAGTTCCAAGAAAACCACTGAGCCTTTACATTACACAAAATGGGAGGCTTTGAAATTGTGTATTCAATTTTGACATTGCTAGTCAAACTGAAATATATAATATATTATTGCTTCCTGAAATTTCCCTAAAGAACAAAAATTATGGCAGGGAATTTACTTAATGATACCCTAGTAGCAGAGATACCAATCTTAAACTTATTAAATGGCTCCCTGGAGTTAAGAAACAATGACTTAATAAATGGGAAAGGTCAAATTCAATTATAACTGACTGGAAAAAAGTGCTTCAATGCTTTGTGGTCATAGCATTATGCTGTATCAGATATGGTTTTGTGTAAATGGGTCAACTACCCAGGCTTACGGATCTGCTTCCTCGGCAGCTCATAGACTCCCCTTAAACAGCCATCAAGGTGTTGATGAAACAGATATTTTTCTTTAATGGTTTCTTTAGTGATGATTTTTAGCCTATAACAAAATATCCAGAGCTTTAAAAACCTCAAGCTGGCAAAAGTCAGGACAGGTGACTTCATGGGAGTGCAACCCGAGCCCCGGGCTCAGAAGGGTCTCATGCTTGGTATAAGTCTTTGCCATTGCTGTCTTAAAATTCTTAATGATTTTTGAAAAAGGGGCCACTCATTTTTACTTTGCACTGGTCCCTGCAAATTATGAAGCTTGCCCGGGGTAAGAATTATGCATAAGGACTATGAGTTATCAAATCATTTTTGTCATTGTACTCATAAAATAGTCTGTGCCAAAAAACATGAAGTGACAATTCTTCTAGATGTACTTTTTACATTTTCCCAATTGCTTTTGTTTGCAGCCTCAGCACCATTTACGCTCAGAAGTGCACTTGGAGAAGTTTCATTACCATCAGAACGTAGCACCAAAGGAGTTGGAGAGCCCAGCACTCGGGCATTTGTCACCATACTTGTCACCACACATGTGTAATTTCCCACATCAGACGGCTCCACCTTAGATATGTAGAGGTGCCCTGTCTCCTGGGAGACAAATCTCCGACTATCTTCTTCAACAAACGATGGGTATTCATTGAAGATCCAAGCATATGACAGTTCTAATAAAATTGTTGAAGAGAGAAAGAAATTCCATCATTAAGGACAGTTTTCCATTGTGTCCTTAATGTATCTATACAAACATCAACTTTACTTCCAAGTAGTGCTGAGTGTTTTTGTTGCAGGCCATGAAGAGAAGCAGTTAAGTGAAATAACTCTCAATTTATTCTTTATTATTATAGAGGACACCGTTGATTAGCATCCTGGTGGGAGCAATATTATTACTGTCATAATATCTCTGCTTCAGACACCTTCTAACAAGCTTCTCTGGTCTTGCTCAGTTTTAGTTCATATCTCCATCCTGCCTCTACCATGATATTTCAAAATTAACAATCTAATCATGTCAATTCCTGACATCAAACTTGGCGAAGTTCTTTAACCTCTCAGGCATCATGCAAAATTGCTTAACCTGAATATGAGGCCCTTCATGGTTAAGGTCCTGCTCAAAACCTTAGCCTCGGAGAAGCCCCATGCTCTCTTTTGTCCCTGAGTCTTTTGCACGTGCTGCTTCTGGGGCCTACAACTCCTGTTGTCTCTGTCCTGTCTTTGGCTTTCTCTACTTTCAACACCAACCACATTCTTTGAGATAACCTTCAAATGGTTTTCAAAGCTTGGTTCCAACATCAGGAATCACCTCCTCAAGTGAACTCTCCTTTAATCCTCCTTCTCTGGGTTGATGCTCCTATACAGAGTAATTCTAAGCTTATTTCAACTAAAACGCTTATCAGTATGTAACATTCTGCTTACTTGTCTGTCCTCCTATCACTTGTTAAACAAGCGATGTTAGTTTTTATTTCACCTGCCCTTCCCCCTCCTCCAAATTAGCAAAATGAAACACTCAAAGGCACTTAGTAGGGCCTCAATAAAGATTCATGGAGTTAGTTAAGGATACAATTATGCTACTGACTAACATCTATGTAAAGTACAGTATGAGAGTTTTCTTGAACTTTATGGCCAAGGTGAATCAGTTTTCTGCAAAGGAACCATTGTTCTTCTCTTTTATGATAATGAGGGCTAGATAATAATATGCCACTTTGTTCTGGAGGCCCAGGTTGTTCAGTGCCAAGTTGAGATTTAAGCACGGTTACTGTGGTTGGCTTATTGGCTTCCTGCTTTCCTGAGCCCTATTTTCTCTTAGTTGCATTAACTCTACTGTATTGATTCATTACTGTAGTGCTTTCCCAATAGAGTTTAAAAAAAAAAAAACTTTTGGAAAACATGGAATCAAAATAAATTTAATGAATAACAAGTTTAAATATATTTAAGAGATAATTCCTATGGTGAAGGTCTTTCTTTTTGGTAAAGGGAACAGTAAATCAATATGCAAATAACAATGAGATAAGGAGAAGGGTTAGATGAGAGCTCCCATGAGTTTTAGAGGAAGGACAGGTGCCATTCTTTCATGGCTGAAGAACAGGCCTTAAAGGACAGGAGAACACCCCAACAAGCAGGGATAAAAGCACTCCAAGTAGAGTGAAGAACATGAGAAAAGGCCAGCAGAGAAGAGAACATGCTAAGGACCTAGAAGAAATAAAACATGATGACTAATTCCCATTCACGATGCAAATGCAAATGCTTGATGTTTCCAAAAATTAGCAAGCCAATTGCAAATTATACAGACATCCAGAAACATTGGTTTTAACCTCAAACTGATCTTTAAATCATGCTGTCATATTGGTATAATGTTTCATGAAATTTCAGTCAGTCATGTGATAAGTTGTGAGCTCTAAAGTCACTTATCGGGTTGTATGAAACAAATGCATCTCAAACATTATGGTTATTCTCAGGCCTATCCTGATGATGCTTTTCTCTTGCAATAGTATTGAATAAACCATAGAGGAAAATAATACTAGCAAGGTAGGTTGAGTTTGTTCTGCAGTTGTTAAAACTGGCAGCTGTTGTAGCAAGAGCCCTTCAGGGTCTTCCTGCTGCTCCGGCAACCTCACTTTGCAGTAAAGGAGGGAAAGCAATCTTTCTCTGCTTTCCAAAGTGTTCCACACATGAAACTAACAAGGTTGTCCTTCTCCCTTTTACCCAGCCAGATATCTACTGTTCTCCAATATAGCAGGCCTTAGCAGGGCATTAGGAATAAAAAGTCAATCCTATTAACCCAGTTTATACCAAAAAGAATGGTTGAGAAAAAGAACTCTGACTCAGAGTCAGAAAACCTAAAATCTGGTGAATTCATGCAAGATAATATTATACAGTAATAAGAATATATGAACAATAACTCCATGCAACACTTGGAATAAATATCACAAATATAATTCTGATTGAAAATGTTCAACTCAAAATGTTTGCATAACTCCCTTTATAATGTTTATTTTAATCCAAAGGTTAACATTATTGATACTTAAAACATTATTATGTAGTTATAGAGATACTGTGGTGGCTTTGCCTATATGACACAGGAAATGACTGACTGGTAGAAGAAGGAAGGAAGCCAAAATTAAAATCATTTTAAGGCTGCTCCCAAAATGAACATGAAGTGGATATGTACAAATCAAGGTGCAGACTGGTGCAGACATGGAGGTTCCCCCTTAGGTTTCACTTCAAGAGAACCTAAAGCACAGAACACAGTTGACTGATGGCCTCTACCTGCTACCCCAGGAGCACTGTGGCCACACACCTCCCTGCGCTGCTCCTAGTACTGAACTGAATGGAGGTGCTAATGCTGGCTCGTTCCTGCCCCATGAAGGATTTCTCTAACGGGCAATTTTGGCTCGGCAACTCCCCATTTTTACAGCTACAGCATCCTCAGAACTGTGCTGCAGTCTGACATTCTTCCTAAGCAAGTTTTCCTCCCCACTCTTTGTTCACCAACATGGGACCTGACTCGCAGTCTGAGGCTCTCTGCCCATTTCTGCTCCTTCACCTTTTTTCCAGTTTTTTTTTTTTAATAAAAAAACTTCTCCAGTTTCTTTTTATAAGTCTGATCCTTTAGTCCCATCTTGGTGTATGTGTCTCAGGGAATCTCAACATGGGGTTTCTGAAATTGAGTAACAGACTCTCCTCTGTATTTAAAATTTCTCCTCCCTGTTGAATTCTGAAAGAATGCCCATTTTCATTGACTTCCTTTCCTAGGAGTAACTGTCCCTCTCCCCAGTTTCCACTGAGACAATCCCCTCATGTCACTCCCATTCTTTAAATACGCAAACTGACTCCTGATTGATTCTTGGTACCTGCCCTGCAGACAAGTGAAGGCAAGACAGCAACCCAGAGAAAAACAGTGTGAGGCTACTCTGAGATTCCCACTGAAGGAAGAAGAAAAAATTCACCATTTACAGATTTCACCACCAAAGAAGAAAATATTTCACCATCTCCATGGGCCAAATTGCTGTCCAGCCCTAAACCTTCATATAAAATTTGAAAACAAATGGAAAGAAGCTTCTGCTTTGTAGAAGTTAGGATTTCTGCATCCTTCATTTAGGAATTAGTGTAATCAGGCAAATTAGGAGGTCTATCTCAGAGTGGTATACTAATATCCCTTGAATTACACTGGACTTACATTCTTGAACAACCATTCAATGCAAAATTTCAGTGATCCATATAAAACTGTCCAGAAAATACACATCCTATATACTTCATAGTATTGAAAGCCATTTTAAAAAATGGTTTTATAAACACTCCCTTTCTCTTTGTATCTCAGCAGCACAGTAAGCATAATTTTATATTAAAAGCACAATAATATGGTCTACCTATTGAAATGATATGTAACTGAATAATCCAATGATCTTCCTCTACCGATTCTCCCAAACACAACCCCAGAAAATCAAGAGAGTAAAGATCCTTGACGAACAACAAAGAAAAACTAACTCTAAGGTTTTCAGCTTGGATAAATGGAAGAAACAGGAAAAGTAGGAGGAGCCACTCTGGGGCTGGAAAAAGGTATAGTAAAAATAGTTTTTGAGACTCAGACAGAGGATCTAGACACAAATGTTCAGTGAGTGGCTGGGAGATTCAAATGTAAGCTTAAGAGAGAGTCTGGGCCTAATATTGGTGGGGTAGGCAGAATAAATGTCCCCAGAAAAAGTCGACATTCTAATGCCTGAAACCTGAAAATATGTTACTTGACATGACAAGGGGTAATCCACAGACACGATTAAGTTAAAGATCATTTGAGGGGAACAATCTTGGGTTCCAGATGGGCCTAATGTAAACCCAAGAGTCCTTATAAGAGAGAGGCAGGAGGGTCACAGTAAGGGAAAAGGAAACGTGACCACAGAACCAGGTATGGTAGTCAGAGAATGACATTTCAAGATGCTGTGCTCTTGGTTTGAAGATGGAGAAAGAGACCATGACCTAAGGAGTGCAGGTGGCCACTGGAAGCCAGAAAGGCAGAAAAACAGATTGCCTCCTTGAAACTCCATAAGCAACATAGGCCTGCCAATTTCTTGATTTTTAGCCAAGTGAAACTGATTTTGGACTTTGGACCTCCAGAACTGTAAGAGAATAAATTTGTGTTGTAGTAATTTGTTTCAAGAGCAATAGGGAAGTAATGTACATGGCAAAGGTGATTAAGTTAGCCATCTCGCTGTGAATTCTGGTAGGCCCACTGTAATCACCAGGGTCCTTAGAAGGGAAAGAGAGGGGCAGGAGAGTCAAAGAAGGAGGTATGACTACACCAGCAGAGGTCTAAGCCATACAATCACTTGCTGGTGGCCAAGAGCAAAGGAACACGGGCAGCCTCTAGAAACTGCAAAAGGGAAGGAAATGGATTCTCCCCTGGAGCCCCAAGGAACAAAGCCCTGCTGACACCTTGATGTGAGCCCATTGAGACTTGCGTTGGACTTCTAATCCACAGAACTGTAAGGGAACAAATGTGTGTTGTTTAAAGCAGGGGTGCCCAATCCCCCTGGTTCATGGACCAGTACTGGTCTGTGGCCTGTTAGGAACCAGGCCACACAGCAGGAGGTGAGCAGTGAGCAAGCAAGCAAAGCTTCATCTGTATTTACAGCTGCTCCCCATTGCTCACGTTACCTCCTGAGCTCTGCCTCCTGTCAGATCAGCAGCAGCATTAGATTCTCATAGGAGCACAAACCCTACTGTGAACCGAACATGTGAGGGATCTAGGTTGTGTGCTCCTTATGAAAATCTAATGCCTGCTGATCTGTCACTGTCTCCCATCACCCCTAGATGGGGCCATCCAGTTGCAGGAAAACAAGCTCAGGGCTCCCAGTGATTCTACATTACAGTGAGTTGTATAATTATTATATATTACAATGTAATAATAACAGAAATAAAGTACACCATAGATAAATGTAATGTGCTTGAATAATCCCCAAACTCTCCCTGACACCCACCCCAGTCCATGGAAAAAAATTCATCCACAAAACAGATCCCAGGTGCCAAAAAGTTTGGGGACTGCTGACTTAAAGCCACTAAGTTTGTAGTAATTTGTTATATTGGCAATAGGAAATTCACACAAATAATGATGATAGCTAACAATGATCAAGTGTTTGTTAAATGCCAGGTATAGTGCTAAGTGCTTTGGCTAGAATTTTCAAAAAAACAAACAAACAAAAAAAACAGATGAACAGAGACAAAAAAAAAAAAAATTAAAGAAAGGCTGTAATTGGAAAGCCTCAAGAAGAATCAGATTTTATTTAATATGATTATAAGATCAATATAATGTTGAGGTATTCCAAAAGAGATATCAAACTACAACCCCCAAACAAATAGTGATTGATTACTTTTTTCAAAGATTCACACCCTTAAAGACATAGAAAAAAATCAAATTTGCATTGAATAGAGTTGTACACTGTCATGAGAGGTATGGAGAAATTTGTAGCACCTATCTTTGTTTATAGACTCTTTGAGATAAAATGAAACATAACTTTTATGTCTTAGAGAGAAGAGCTGCACTAACTTTTCATTTATTGCCTCTATGACTATGTTTATATATATATGTACATATATATCATTCTGACTGAAAATATTTGAGAATAATGTGATTTATGCATTATGAATATAGTAAAAAAGTCTACGGTAATACTATCATATCAGAATTTACTTATCATAAAAATCTGCATTTGCAATAAATGTTAATTGTATCACAGCAAAATCTGTATCAAATCAGCATTCTTTGGAGATTTCTCAAAATCATTTTATGTACTACGATAAATAAAAAGCTGTAATAAAAATGATAATTTGATATACTCAAACAAGCTAGTCTTTACAAAACCTTTCACAACCTCCTGTGTAAATCACAAGCACATTATGCCAAACGATTTGGCCAGTGGGCTTTCTATTAACAATGCTATGTGAATACTAGGAATATGAATTTTTTTAATTCAAAAGTCAAAAAGTTTTGCCAATCAAAGCTATAAATTTAAAAAATGAGGTCCTGAAACTGCTTTCTAAAAAGTAATATGTGATGAATGGCATTCTGCCTCTAGCTATATTCCTTCCCTGGTCACTTAAGTATAAGACCAGTCAATTTAACATGAAATATGTCACTCTGGTGTTTATCTGGAGATACACTAATACATATAATACTGACATTCAAGTTTTTATCTGTAGTTCCATTGTAAAATTATATTATGAAGGAGATTTAATCCTTCTATGGCCACTTTCCAGAAGAAATTCTGTCAAACAAAATTGCAGTTAGGCAAAATTTAAAAGTAACTTGGGCCATTTTCTGTGATGCCAACTGGGAAGTCTGACCTACTTTAAAACAAAGCATATTTAAAAGTGTGTGAAAGCTTGCTTGATGTCATTCAAGATTTTTATCACCGATTCATACAATCAGGAAGAGAATTTTGCTCTGATGCTTACAAATCACACCACTTTGGTGGAAAGTCTGGGATGCAGTATGTACTCAATGATCTAAAACAATGTAGAAAACTAAGGATAATTTAAGGTTCAAATAACACATAGTCAATGGTTAGGATTGAAGAGTCCGCACTGTAAACCGAAAGACATCTATCAGCATGTTTAACATTTCGTTGCATTATCTTTTAAAAGCTGTATTGTAAGTTGTTGCTTTGTGGATGACACTATTATATATTGTATGTTTCTTTGTTTTGACTATAAATGTCTACTAATCCATTCTGATTTAGGATACTACCAAGTCTGACTTGCGAGGGTCCTAAGATAAGGAGAACAATGACCAAGGAGGAAAAACATTAAAAATGCTATTTCCTTTCTCACCTCATATTTTAGGGCTGGTTCTAGGCCACAGGTTAGTGAACTAAGACTTGCCTGCTTTGTTAACTAAATATATTGGAACACAATCACACTCATTCAATTACTATTGTCTGTGGCTGCTTTTATGCTAATAAAGAGTTAAGCAGATGTAAAAGAGACTGCATGGTTCGTAAAGCTTAAAATGTTTATCTGGTCTTTTAAGAAAAGGTTTGTTGAACCTTGTCCTAGGCCAGTGATATCTAGAGATCAAGTTATGAGCTTAACATTCCCTTAACTGTCTTATTTTATTTTTTCCCTTCTTGCTTTTGTAGGGCTACCATGGTGTCCTAACTCCTACACGAAGCTTCACAAAGCTCATGCTAGGCCCCTAAGACTTTGGTACTCACTATTTCCTTTTTCTCTCTCTTGTTTTAGTCTCTGCTTTTAGTTGAGCATATATGAGCTATTTCTACTAGGTAACAGAGATAACACTTATCCAAGAGACAACAGTTTCCTGAGATACTATTCCACTATATTCAGTTCTACCATTTTCTTTCAGGAACTGACACCAGTGGGTACTAGCATCTTTCACCACATTGTGACTCTACAATATATTGTCACCCCTTATCTTCACTTTTGTTTTTCTTTGAGACAGAGTCTTGGTCTGTTGCCCAGGCTGGAGTGCAGTGGCATGATCTCAGCTCACTACAGCCTCTGCCTCGTGGGTTCAAGTGATTCTCCTGCCTCAGCCTCCCAAGTAGCTGGCATTACAGGTGTCCGCCACCATGTCTGGCTAATTTTTGTATTTTTAGTAGAGACGGGGTTTCGCCATGTTGGTCAGGCTGGTCTTGAACTCCTGACCTCAGGTGATCCACCTGCCTCATTGTCTTCATTTTTAATGCTTCTTCCAGGGAAGCGTCTTTCCTAACAAATGTCTCTTTCCTGGTGCCACGGCTGCTGCTATTGATATAGCAATGTCCTTCACGTACCCAACTGAAGTGCTTACCTTCATATCTGTAAATGCAAAAAATGTGAAGAGCAACTCTGGAAGCTAGTTTGTATTTTTGCTTGCATTCTGTATCCTTTCTTTTTCTCATGAGGAATTATTTTAAAGAGAACATCTCCTCTCCTATCTCCAGTTGAAGTTCTTTCGGTGGGACTGACTACCCTTCACTCCTTGCTCCAAAGACATCTCAAGATGAAGAAGTGTAATGATGGGACCAAATTCAAAGACACTCAAAACAGGATGCCCAGCAATGGCTTGGGGGGACTGAAGAGGACTAGCAACAGCATTGGCAAGACATTTATTGACCTCCTTCCTTTGGCAAGGCTGCTAAAGAGGCATGGCATTGCTAAAGAAAGGAGTTTAAATTTTCACAGCAGAGAATGCGACATAGTGAGAGCTGGATAGAGTTATTGTAATATTTTATGAAACTTAGACAATTCCCTCATGCCACAGCCTCAAGCTTGCAGTTCCTGCAACCTCCAGCTTGTACCTGGACTTTCTGGTACAGTGATGAGACTCAAGAAAAGATTCCCAAAACGACAGCACTGGCACTTCAGATAGAACGAACTGGGAAATACAATGCATTTCTTCTCTACTTCCTCATTTTCAGTATCAAAATGTACCTTTTCAAAAGAGTTCAGAGTCCTTGAAAATGCTAGAAAGCAATCTTAAGATTAGCTCCAAACCAAAATGCTGTCAACACTGGACATTTCACTGCCAAGACCTGCTTTGTGTGCTGAAAGAAAGTGCTTTGTAATAGCACATTTTGCACATAGCCACGCTTGATACAATGTGCATTTTGGTGTGCAGATCTTAAATTTACGCCAAACCCTTTTGCCAGACTGGCACTTTCCTCATCGCTTATATTGAATAGCAAGCATTTTCTATGACTTCAGTGACAGTAAATAACAATTTCTTTTTCAGTTCAGTCCTGGAGAAGATAAAGAAGCTTACATCTCATGGGAGTGCTAATTGTAGACAATTATGATTTGATTGACCTGCCTTGCTATTAAAATGGCATGCAAAATTTACACTGCCCTTGCAAAATGGAAATTTTCTTTAGTACAACCTAACTATGGAAAGCCCATCCTTTAATGAATCCAAACGTAGTGCTTCTGGTTTATCATTCCCACACCAACTCTCAGAACCTAACTCCAGAGAGGGGCTTCATCAGTTTGCAAGTGATACAAAAGAACCATACAGACAGGGAAAATGTGCAATAAAATATCTGAAATAATTAAGGGCTAGTGAATAAAGGTGCTGCGTCACAATAACACTGTCCATTCCACATTACATCTCATTTTCTTTTATCAAAATTTAAACTCTTTCCTTTAAGGAATGTCATGGGGGCTTCATTGTTCTCATCTTGCATTACGGGTGATTTTTAAAAGCTTAATAAAATGTCCATTTTCACTGGTAAACAGAAATGAGGTCATTAGCAGAAGATGAAGTTGCCCTGCCAAATTACAAGGGTCTTCTTACCAGGGACAATGAACGACTCCTTAGAAAGCTGGAGAAATTGTTTTTTTTTTTCTCTCTCTCTCTCTCTCTCTCTCACACACACACACACGCACACATAAACACACACGCACGCACAGTACTTTTGTCCATTAGTAGCACATCAAACTATTCATCAGAGTTAAACACCATTAAAAAAAACCCTTATCTTAAAAGGAATCTTTTATTTTTTCTGAATGATAACTTTTCTGAATCGGTTAAAATAATAAGTGATGGCTTCATTATAAATTGCACAATTAAAATATATCAGAGCAACCTGACATTTAAGAAATAGTGGCTATATAAGTACATGATTATGAAAGGATATGCAATTATGTCTGGATATGCAAAATAAACATGACAAAAAAATGCCCCTAGAAATCAATAATCAAAAGTAATCCCAGTCTGCCCTTCAAACCAGTAGGTCTCTATAAATGCTAATTTCTTTAGGCATTAAAGGATATGCTGGAGACTTCATAGCTGCTTCAGGTTCAAGTCAAATACAGATAGTAGTTTTATAGGCTTTGAGAAAAGTGATAGAAAAGAGTAATAAAAATAGTGTTTGTACTACCTCAGTAATAAATATATATGTTTATACATACATTTATTCCTACCCCCCTACACTATCTTTCCAATCCTTGTCTATCTTGGCTATGGAGATATGTCCAGGAAAAATATCTATCACTCTATGACTCTGTAGAAAAGTCTTTCAAAGCCTGAAAAAATAATTGCAACAGCCTTTATGCAATTTTAATAATTTAGCTAAAAAAAAGCCCTCCTGATGTTACAGAGAAATATGCATGAAGAAATACAAGGTTACTGCTCAAATTCAGATTTCAGTGAAAATTCTCATTTGTTTAATGTTTGAGTCTTAAAAAACTTTAAAATAATATTTATTGGCTGGGAGTGGTGGCTCACTCCTGTAATACCAGCACTTTGGGAGGCCGAGGCGGGTGGATCACCTGTGGTCGGGAGTTTGAGATCAGGCCAACCAACATGGAGAAACCACGTTTCTACTAAAAATACAAAATTAGCCAGGCATGGTGGCACACGCCTGTAATCCCAGCTACTTGAGAGTCTGAGGCAGGAGAATCACTTGAACCCAGAAGGTGGAGGTTGAGGTGAGCTGAGATCGCACCTTTGAACTCCAGCCTGGACAAGAAGAGCAAAATTCCGCCTAAAAAAAAACTAATAATAGCAATGTTTATCTATAATTGAAAAATTATAATTATATATTTTTATGGGGTACTGTGTGATGTTTTGGTATATGTATACAATGCAAAATGCTTAAATCAAGTTAATTAACATATCAACTAGCTCACATACTTATCCTTATTTTGTAGTGAAATATACTCTTAGCAATTTTGAATTACATAATACATTGTCACTAACTACGGTCACCATACAGTTCCATAGATCTCAAAAACACGTCCCTCCTATCTAACCGAAATTTTGGACCCTTTGACCTACACCTTTCAATTCCCTCCTCCCCAACTCCCCCACCACCAGCCTATGGTAACCACCATTCTACTCTCTGTTTCTAAAAGCTTGACTTTTCTAGATGCCAAGTGTAAGTGAGGTCATGTGATATTTGTCTTTCTGTGCCTGGCTTTATTTCACTTAGCGTAATGTCTTCCAGGTTCATCCACACTGTCACAAATGACAGAATTTCCTCCTTTGTAAAGGCTTAAGAATATTCCACCATGTATATATACAACATTTTCTTTATCCATTCACCAATTGATGGACACTTAGGCTGAGTCCACATCTTGGCTGTTGTGAACAGTGCTGCAATGAAAATGGGAGTGCAGATATCTCTTCAGAAATGGTCTCTTTCTGATCTTTGATTGAAAGTAGTTTTTACGTTGACCAATTGGCCTTTTTATCAAATCCTCCATTGTCATTATTTTATATTTGATACTTTCCTATCAATTGCCCCTTCTTTACAGTATACATCAATGCAATAAATAATTTCTGATCAATTAAAGATTTACCCCTGAAGAAATAGCTGATTCAGAGTCTAATTCAGAGTCTCTTTCACAATTTCCACTACTTGGGAATAAGGAACAGTTAGACAGTGGGAAGTGAAAATTAGCAAAAACATGAAACTTGCCTTTATTCTACTCATACCCTGTTCTTATGAGCCTCCTGGAAATGATGCTGTTTATGTCATTTAAATGATATAAAGACACTTCATTCTAAAAATAATTTCTAGTAGTAGCCATATTCTTGTTATTTAAATGGGTTTTCTTTCTCCCTATTATATTTTTCAACACTCCACCTATCTAGTTACCAGCACACCATTTTAAGTAATAGATGCGTGTTGAATGGGTCAATAAAGGTAAAGATGTAAGAATGAATGAGAGGCATCCTGATGTACCACATGTCAAAGGCAAAATTTTAACCAAGGAATTCTATAATACTATATTTCAGGGCTATGCAGATCTCAGATTTTTTTCTTTTCTTTTGTTTTTTGAGACAGGGTCTCACTCTGTTGCCCAGGCAGGAGTGTGATGGCAAGATCATGGCTCACTGCAGTCTTGGCCTCCAGGGCTCAGGTGATCCTCCCACTGCAGCCACCTGAGTAGCTGGGACCACAGTGCATGCCATGACGCCTGGCTAATTTTCTAATTTTCTGTAGAGACAGCGTCTCATTGTATTGCCCAGGCTGGTCTCAAACTCCTTAGCACAAGCGATCCACTCACTTCAGCCTCCCAAAGTGCTGGGATTATAGGTATGAGCCACCACACCTGGCCCTTTTCATTTTTAAGGAGACAGTTATTCTAATCTGATTCTTGCTCTAATATAAAAATACTGAATTGATTGAATATTGGCTTCATTGTGATTTTCGAAATTACAGAACAGTTCACTGAGGCAGATAGAGTTACAGAAATAAAAGCAAATGTGTCCTAATTCGACTTCAAAGCAGTGGCTCAGCTCATTTTTGCCTGAGGCAGAAAGCTTTCAAAGCTCATGCCATAGTCCTCAATTGGTAGAAAGGGCATTGGCCTTTCAAGCCAAACTGAATATTTAATATAATCTAAATATGATGGTTCTATTTACAGTTATCCCTAGGCTGTAGTAAAGTTTACATTTACTACTTAAATAATTTTCTTTCTGTTTATATTTTTCAAAAAAGAAACAACTATAATAGAAGTTATAAGAGCACTGTCCCCTGACATTTTTTAGTTCCAACTATATTTACCGGAAACAAACAATACAAGGAAATGCAGGGCAACCACCTGCTCCCTCTTCCACGCATTCTTGTATAAAGCAATTCTAATAAAGGAAACAGATCTCCTTGTGAAAAGAAAAAGCAGCAATCATGTGAGTATTCTTCCGCCAACATGATAAAACGCTTTTCTTTCCAAGAAGCAAATATGTAGAACTGCAGTAAAAGAGCATTAGATTCTGCCTTGATCAAAGTCCAGAATAAACTTACCTAGGAATTCTAATCTGTTTGATACAAATGCTCATTGATTCTCTTTCAAATGGAGAAATATTGAACTTTATTTCTTCAACTAGTGATTCAATATTACATTTTCCATTTATTCTCCCTATTTTCCAAATAAATTCCTATTAAACAAGTTGTCCTGATGATTTACCTTGGTTTTTGACAATTCTTTTTCTTAATATTAACTGAGGTAATATAAAGATCTTTTCTGTCATTTACACTTTGGCAGTTCATATTCTGTTACAAGTAAAAGAAACACATCTATTTTGGTTACTCTGTGGGACTTGAGTCCTCTGTTTCTAGACACTTTTTCTGTCTTTTCTGAGACCATATGCTGTATAGGGCTCTGGGAATTACTGAACTGCTCATATTTGTTTTGTACCAAATTTTATCTCAACAACATATCTTCTGGGATATTTATAAGTATGTTTATTTCTTTCATCCCTTTATTTCATTAATTCAATTAGTTGATCTTCCGCTGGCATGTACTGAAGGGCCTTTCTAGGTTCTGATTTGAATGTGTGAAATCACAGGCTATTTAGAGTGCCATGTTTTAGATCAAGCAACCTCATAGCTATATTTTATTTCTGTCACTCGTAGACACTTATCTTACTTGGGCTCTGATAAAAATAATAAATTTTATCACTTCTTGTTAGAGAAGGATTTTTCAAATTCAAATTAGCGAATTTTCTTTTGCACCATTTGGTCCCCAGAGGAAATGTGAAAAAAGGCAATGAGAACAGTCTTAGGAACAAGGATTTGGCCATCATCCCCTAGGGTGCTGGATGACCTTTAATGGTGGCTAGTAGACAGAACATAGAACATCTCTCCAAATTTCCTTTTGTCCTCTTATATATGAATATATGAAGGGAAGTTTCTCTGTCACTTAACAAGGAGAAACAACAAAGCTAATGTAGAGAACAGAAATTCAGAGTACAAAATACTGTTTAAGGACACAAAAGTGTTTTGACTATTGCTATCTCTGATCGTTAAAGTAACCTGAAATGAGCTTTTTGCGTAATTTTGGAAAGAGGACAGACCTCTGCATTGGAGTCATAGGATTTGAGGTTTACACTTGTCTTTGTCCTCTAGGTGTGTGCCCTTTGATAAATTCATTTAAACTCTCTGGTCTCAGCTTTTTCTCTTACCTGAAAAATGAGAGGGTTGCACGAGACAGCTCTGGTTGCCAACCTGTGGGATGTGAATTCTTTGGGGTCTGTGGAATTTCCACAAGGATTAGGTAATCCATATGCATGCTGTGGTTGATGGAGAGACTGAACTAATTCTATATTATAAAATATGTATGCAGGTCCTGCTTTTTAAAATGTGTGAGCAATACTGTGATTAACAAAAATATACTTCAGCCAAATAGTGTTCCTGAATTCATCATAACTTTTGGGTATCACGTAGTTTCTCTTTCAAAAATATGAAAACCAATAAAAGCAGCTAAGTTGACTTCTCACTGTGAGCCAAATAACTGATCTTGGCAACTTGCACATATTAACTTATTTTTTCCTCAAAAAAGTATAGGAGGAAAGTACTATTATCATCCTGTTTTACAGATAAGGTAACTAAGATAATGGAGGAAGCCCCACATAATATAGTTGGAAGGATCTGAATCCAGGGAGTGTGAGTCAGAGCCTGAACCACTACACAAAGCTGTCCTCTCTATGTAGGTGCTCAATCATGTTAGCAACAGTAACATTTTGACAGTTAAAATGTATCCAAGAATTCAAAAGGGTTGGGGAATGCAGGTGTTTAAGATCTCTTCTAATCCTTAAAATCTTAAATCCCCTCTACAGCTTTCATTTTGTATAAAAGAATGTCTAGGGTAGTGATTACAAACATGAGTATATGGCTGGGCGGTGGCTCACGCCTGTAATCCCAGCACACTGGGAAGTTGAAGAAGGTGGATGGCTTGATCCCAGAGTTCGAGACCAGCCTGGGCAACATGGTGAAAAATTTGTCTCTACAAAAATTAGCTGGGAGGGCAAGGCTGCAGTGAACCATAATTGCACCACTGCACTCCAGCATGGATGACAAAGTGAGACCCTGTCACAAAAACAAAACAAAACAGAAAACACATACACAGAAAACAAACAAAGCAAATTAAAAGCAACAATTAAAACACATGACTAAGTTCCAACCCTGGTTCTGGTATCTGCGAGCTCTGTAAGCCAGGGAAAGATTCCTTTCCTCTCTATTCTTCAGTTTCCTTGTTTGTAAAATTAAAATGATAACCTTATAGGTGTGCCATGTGGATTAAATAAGATAATGCATACCAAGTCCATACAGGAATGCATAACAAATGATGAGTGTTCAATAAATGTTTGTGGTTAGTGTTCTTATTTTTGTTGTCATTTTGGTCTTGCTTGATTGTCCTCAGAGGGTATCCTGCAAAGGAGGATCAAAATGTAGGTTCTGTGGGAGAAGCAGAGAGCCAGGGCTGGATACCACATATACTGCAGTGAACCAGCCCTTTCTGATTCAAGAAGTGAGAAAATGGTGTCTGAGGCGGCAGACAAAAACAACTGGAGGAGCTTAAGATACTGGCAGTGGAAAGCGATGCAAGCAGGTGTCAAACAAGTTTACTGTGCTTTGTTGACAGTAAGAAACTCCAAAGTGATGATGTGTGGAGATGTGACTCCTATGGCCAATCAGATTGAATGGTGGAAGCTGCTTTTTAATAGTATTTTGCTGCAATTTTTGGAGACACAGAGATAAACACTCCTGGATGCATAAATACTATTATATATTAAAAACAGATGGGGAACATGGCAAGAATAAACCTTCATCAAAACAACTGACTAAATTGTATATATTTATAGACAGAGCAAAATAAAAGAACTATGCAGGAAATAAAAGAGGATTAAAATGTTACTTTCAACAGAATATAAGCCAATGAAAATGTTCCAAAAAAACTCATCTGGTCTCCCTTGAATAGAAAGTTAATAGGACTGAGCTTTGATTCTGAGAAATACTCAAAATGCAGAAATGCCAAAACACAGCATGTTTTCTGCTAAATTAATCGGACAGAGCTAAGTTTGCCATGAAGGCAGGGGTTCACAGTACAGGTGGTGCAGAATGAGCTGGGAGTTGGTCTATGGGCCTGAAAAGTGTCAAAAGCTAGCAGTGATTTGGAGTTCTATTTCTAACTTGCTATTTCCAAATGGGAATAATTATTCCTAAGTGTCACTAGACTGTCTCTAATCTTAAGTCGTGGAAATATCTCATCACCTCCCTATGGGGCTAGAGAGAACTTGCTTTGACTTTAAAATCAGAACAGCTGTTCATTAAATGCTCATCCCCATGCCATTGTTTTGGGTGGTATCCAGATATTAATTGAAAATGAAAGAAAGGTCTCCATTCTACTTAACTTTTGAAGCTTAATGACGACATACAACAAGGTAGGAAAAGAAACTTAATTTATATTTAACATTCTAACTCATCTATAAAATGGGACCTGGTAATTAAAAATGTTCTTTTCTCTCCTGTAGTTGATAAATTTGCATCCTAGGTTAAAGGGGAAATGTTTAAAGGTGGATGGTGGACCCATAGTAGCCCTCCCGGCTGATGGCTGAGGCAGATGGTCTAGCACTGGCTCTTGGAATAGCCAGTCATTAGTCCATCACACTGCCAGGAGAGTGTCTGATACATGTAATTTCACTGAATTAAAATCATCCTAGTGTTTCTCAAAAAGTGAGCACCTAACATACAGCAAAAACCAGTTAACAATGATAAATATAAAAATGTACATGAATTTAAATAAAAAGTCTACACTGTAAATATTTATTGAGAATCTAATATATTAGAAGTTTATTGAGTATATAAAGTATCCCCAGAATATTAATTATGTAATTCTGATAATCAGATACACTCAAACTGAGTGGCTTTCGAATCACTGATTTTAGAATTTCAAGTATTTTAAGTGTGACTCAAAAATTCAGTTTAAGAAAAATTATAACAAGTGAGTACACAGAGGTTTCCATAGCTGTTAAAAAAAGGAAAAACACAAACATAGAAAATAGCTCTTAAAATCCAGTAATAGATTTATTTTTATAAAAAACTTCTCTACCCCCAAAAATCTATAAAATAAATCCCAGTAATTATATTTAGTCTAATATGCATTTCCTGATAAATTATATCCTAAGAAACAGCAAAAATAGTCTTTGAATACACAATATACCCTACCCTTTTTTCTTCACAGGGCATCCCACAAAATTGCCTACAAGCATACAGGCAAGATAAAACGGACTGGCCTTTACAACTTCAACAAAGAAAGCCCTTGTATTTGATACCACAGGAAGTCCTGGATAAAATCAGAGAAATCATATTTTATAAGGATTCATCAATTACTTATATTTACTTAAAAAACAGCTAGTCCACCACTTCCTTTTTTCATTTCTTATGTTAGTTACCACATTTTCATTTGATTATTAAAGTTAATCCCTGCAGTTTTCTGTATTAGAGATCGATACACGTACTCTGGCCATTCGTCTTACACGACTGATTAATTTTTCAGTTTGGATTCATACCGTCAACATGCAGCTTCAACCAACTTTGTGTGCAAGTTACTGAGAGGAGAAATTGAGGTGTTTAAAAATAGAATTTTAATTATTAAAAACTACTGATCTTTATCTCTCAAATACTGTATATGAGTAGATATTTATAGGCAAACTTTATGGAATTATACTGGCTTTTATATTAGTATTTAAAGACAATTAAATCAAATCACCTTTATGTGGTAACTGAATTAATAAATTGGATTAATTCTGGAAGTCATTTTAACACATTGCTCAATAGGTAAGAGCTTTCTAGTTACATAAGGGAAAACAGGTATTCTCCTTTTTTCACGGGAAGATTATGTCTGACTCTCATAAACCTCTATTTAAAAGCCATTTTACAGAAACAAACATGATAAATAAAAATAAGTCCCAAAAGGCCTGTAGCATTATTTTTGTGTATTACATCCTATGCTTTGAAAACTCTTACATATACTGAGAAAAGTATTTTATAGTTGTAATAATAACTATACTAATAGTTACAGTAGTGACAGTAATAGCTAATACTTCATGAGAATTGACCGTGTCATGTGTTATCTTACTGCACACCGACATCTCTTTTAATCTTCACACCATCCCATCAGGTAGTAGGTATTATCCCCATTTTACTGATGAGAGCATTGAGGCCCATAAAGGTGACAGATCTCAGGCATAATAAGTGGGGGAAGCAGGGTCTGAACCCAGCGTAATTCCTAAGTCCCTGCTCCTCAAATCTAAGCAGTTCTGCACAAACTAACTCAGACTGGCCATTATTGTCCCCTTCTCCTTCCTAAATCCAAGCTCTATTCCATATGCCAAAGAAAAAAGAGAGAAATGAAACTACAATTTAGATCCCAAACCTAATGACTTGGAAGGAAGCCTTCTTACTCTCTCTGAAATAAATAAGGGGCTCCTGAAAGACATAATTAGGATTCTTGGGAAGAAGCATGGTGATAATTTGTAGGAGACAACACTAAACCTTTGCCTTTCTTCAGATCTGTTCTTTTAAACTGACCGCCCATTCAGATGCCTCCATCACCTCTCCTTCTAGTGAAATGGTACGAGGAATTATATGCAATGACCTTCAAAAGATACTCTATGAACTAACAAGAACAAAAATGTCATCTCTTAGCCAACTGATCTCATTAAGAAGCATTACTCCAACAGTTGACTTAGGGCTCTAATAGACCTAGATTCCCAAATCCTGCAGTATTTCACCTGGGTGGGACTGAGGCCCGGAATGTGGAATGTGGGCTTTTGTTCAAGGGTTTGACTAAATAGAAGAAAAATGTTAAACAGCCCTAACAGCATGCTGTTTTTACTTTACCAGTCTGCTGAGAGTATGCTTTTTTTTTTTTTTTTTTTAGAAAAGGCTATTTGATGACAGAATAATTGGCTCTGCTTCCACAGTTCTCTATGTCAGTGTTCTTCCTTCCATCAGGCCCCAGAAAGCTTTGAGCTGCTTTGGGGGAAAAAAAAAATCAAGAAACAGAGTTAACCCATTTGGAAACTACAATACACTCTGAGAGGTAGGCATGGGAAGGGAAAGCAGAAGTCACAGAAGGTAAGCAGTCCTTACTTGGAATTGTACACTGTTACCATCAATATTGGCAAGGCAGCCATAGCCTGTCAGGCAAATCGGGTCAGCCCTAAACCTTTCCTAGTTGACAGTATCCACCCACCCATATGTTCTTCAAATGCCTACTTAACACTTAGCAGATGCTTCCCCAACACAAATTACACCATTATAAACGTGGTAATGGGATAATAAAAGATTTAGCAGTGTTCAGATAAATGGGCGAGTGTCACTGGGCAATCAGAATTATGATACAGAGGTTAATACAGGCAAAAAGATATTAAAGACATTAAAAAGGCACTGTGTACTGTGAAAGTATTTCCTTTTACATTTATTCGTTTTTCTGCCGCTACTCTATTTATCATATGATAATATGAACTCATTTTTAGTCATGAATTACCAGAGATGTGTCTTACCGGAGGAATTAAACACATAATAGCTTGTAATATGAATGAAAGGGTTTTAATAACTTTGGATTTGGCAGCCCCATAAAACATGATGACCATCTCGAGATTTACATGGAAGGTAGCAGCCTTGTTTGATGCAAACAGGCTCCCCCAGGATCATCTATGCTTTCTCTTACTGCATGCTTCCTCCTTAAAATGGGAGTTTTTCAGATTAAAGAAGATATGGAATATTATACTACCATAAAGACATAGCACTGCTAACAATGTGTAGATTTGGTTACTAGTAAATGTTTGTTTACTATGCTGGGGGACAGTATAGGAAGTAGTGCTCAGGTGTATGGGCTCTGATCCAGCTCTACTGCTTACCAATTACATGACCTTGAGCAAGCTACACATTCTGAGCTTATGTTCCCAACTGTAACATGGGGAAAATAATGGGGCTGTGGAGAAGATAAAATAACTTAATATATGTAAAGTACATCTCTGTGGCCCATATGAAATTAAATGCTCAATAAATGTTACTTATTAGTATTTTGTACTCCCATAGTTTCTTTTTTTTTTTTTTTTTTTTTTTTGAGACAGAGGAGTCTTGCTCTGTCCCCCAGGCTGGAGTGCAGCTGCATGTTCTTGGCTCACTATAACCTCCACCCCCGGGGTTCAAGTGATTCTCCTGTCTCAGCCTCCGGAGTAGCTGGGACTACATTCGTGTGCCACCATCTTGGCTCACTATAACCTCCACCTCCGGGGCTCAAGCGATTCTCCTGCCTTAGCCTCTGGAGTAGCTGGGACTACGTTCGCGTGCCACCACGCCCGGCTAATTTTTTGTATTTTAGTAGAGTTGGGGTTTCACCATGTTGGTCAGGCTGGTCTTGAACTCCTAACCTCAAGTGATCAGCCCACCTCGGTCTCCCAAAGTGCTGGGATTACAGGTGTGAGCCACAGCACCCAGACTCCCACACTTAGAGTCTTAAGTAAGACATTGTCTTCTAATTTCTATGAGAATTGTGATGTGACTTTGCTTAGATAACTAGAGATAGGCCCTGAGATGGGGGAAAAATATGAGAAGTGATGCAAAAAGGGAAGAAGAGGAACTAAGAAGAAGGGGGAAGTGAAGGAAGGAGACAGAGGAGAAAAAAACAACAGTGAGAGAACATATAAACTAGGTTCCAAGAATGTGAAGTATTTAATTCAAGGACATTAATTAAAGAGTGTTACTCCAACAGAGAAAGGGCCTGCTGAGGCAAGGGAGTTACTGATGAAGTAAATTAGAGCTGACAAGACAATGGCTATATTTGGTCTGCTTACATATCCTCCCTCCCTTTCCTGTTTTCTTTCTTTCTTTTTGCCATTCTTCTTTACTTTTGTCTTTCCTTTTCCCTCCCTCCCTCCCTTCCACCCTGCTTCTTCTTTTTCTTTCTTCCTTCCTTTCATTCAACAAATAAACATCTATTCAGCAATCGCTAAGGCTTTAGAACATCATAAAAGAATATTTATAAAAATGTCAATATCTAAAAGCCAAAAGATGAGATATTAGGTCGAGAGAATATTGTACAGCAGAACAAGACAGAGAGAACTTGGTGCTAATGAGCATATAGTAGCATACACGTTAGAGGAGTTCCCTGTCCTAGGGAGCTTACATTCTAGTAGTGGGAGGTAGTCCATTAATGAACACACACAAACATATATTAGAAAGATACCAAGTGATGATTGGTGCTACAAAAAGAGTATTAAAAGATTGATGCAATAGAAATGGACTTGGGAGAAGTACTTTGAGCAGGGTAGTCAGGGACAGAGCTTATTTTTTTTTTATTTTTGAATTTAGGTTTAACATTCATACAGTAGAGTGCACCATGTTAAGTGGACAGCTTGGTGAGTTTTTACATATGTATTCACCTGTGCAAGTATCACCCAGATCAAGGTCTAGAACATTCCCAGCAATTTGGTTTGGGTATTTTTTTTCATAAATGGTACTGTGTTATATATCTAATTACCTATCTTAATTCTTTTCAAAAGGTGCTATTTTAAGATCTATCCACATTGTACCTTTTATTGTGGTTTCTAACTTGGGTACAACACTCCATGAAGTGCATCTGCCATATTTAACTTATCTTCTATCCCAGTAATGGACTCCAAGCTTGCTTCCATTACTTCAACAGTCCAAATTCGACTGAAAGAAACATCTTCAAACATGAATCCATCCTGAGCTATGTGAGATATTTTTTTTCTTAATACATGACTAGGAGCAGGAGGTCTGTGTCTGAGAACACGCATTTGACTAACCAATGTATGACTGCAAGCCAGAATGCATGTCACTATGAACTCCCAAACCACAGTGCAGATCTGATTGTTGGTGTTTAAATGTGTATGTGCTGCTATCTCATAATTTTGAAAATCTGTTCACACAATTCTAAAACTTTTTAATTTCCTCCTCTTAAATTCACTTTTCCTTCCCTGGTATATTTTTTGAAGCATGTGACCTTCCCTTTCTTGATGATTTGCAGAGGGAGTGTTATTAGGGAGCTAACACTTAAACCAAAATGTAATTATCAGGGAGGAGCCGACCTTGAAAAGATAAGGGAGTTCCAGGCTGTGCAAATATCTCGGACAAATGCCCTCAGGCAGGACTGAGGCTGCCAGGTAGAAGGAACACACAAGACAGTCAGTATGGCTGAAACACAGAGGGAAATGGGAAAAGTAGGACTGAGGTCAGAGAGGAAGCGAGGGCCAGAAAGAGATCTGTGATTCCAAATCCACCACAGTGTGCCAAGTTTCCCTGTTCCATTTGCAGAATCTTTTAATGTTGAACCTGACCTTTCACTACCCATCAATGAACACAGAATGACAAGCACAATTGTAGCTGATATATCTCTGAAAGTTTAATAGCAATAAAGATAGATCAACACTTGTGATTCAAAGCACTTAGAGCATCATAAAAGTACATTCTATAAAAATCTCAATAACAAAAAGGTAAAAGATGAGATATTAGGTAGAGGAGATATTGTGCAGCAGAATAAGAAACACTCAGAAAATTGCTTGTTCCTCATGGGAAAAGCCAAAAAGAAGAAGAATAATAAACTTATCTAATTAGAGAAGTCTGTGGAGATGCTCAACTCAAATTAATCTAGAAATGAGTTTACACAAGGTTAGGGATTTTGAGACTTAAATTTATGGACAAAACTGTTCTTCTTGTTTATTAAGGTGAAAACTCAAAGGGTAGTAAGTTAATAACTATAAAACTGAAGGAAAAAACTGCATCTGATTAGTGGAAATAATATATAGTGAGTCTCAATAAAGGACATACCCTCTCTAGATGTTAATTAACCATACAGTCATAGCAAAATGATGTGATTTTGAAGCAGTGTATTATAACGCTATTAGAGAACAGAAATAGCTGACTTAATTTTTAAATCCATTATAGAGCAAAATGGCAAAAGATCTATCATTCCAGTGACATCAAGGGTGTACATTTTATTGGGAGATGACATCCAATCTCAATTTGTCTCTCTGGTTGACAGTAAAAACTCACTATGAAGATGATCATTGTTATCTAAATTTTCCATGAAAAGAAAGAAGCAAAGAAAAGTAAACACTAAGAGAAGTGTATTTGTTTATCTAGAGATACATAGAATTTTTCAAATGTTGAAATGAAAGTTAATCTCTCTGTAAAGTCATTTGATTAAAAAAGATGGTGTGAAACTAACAAAGTTAGAGAAAGGCTTATAAGCCTTTGCAACAAAAGTTGAAACAACCTTTACAAACAAGAAAACCACTGCTTTCTTTCAACTCATTATTAATGACTTTTAATCTTAGAAGATAGGATTTTAATTATTCTTTGTTATTATGCTGTGAAGATAAGTAAAATGATGTGCGTGGAAGTGCTCTGAATTCATAGAAAAAAGATTCTGTAAATATGACTCTTTTATTGTACATTAATATATGGAAAATGTTTCCTGTGCAATGCAAATGAAATATATATGAACAAATTAATAAGATAAAATGCAAATAATATAAATTAATCTAATGATTTTTTTTAAATTGTAATAAACAAAGTGGCTTGAGAAGTCTAGATTAGATATTTGCATGCACATGACTAGAGTATTTATTGCTTCCCTACAATGTCTTTTGCTGTTTCTCCTACTAGACCCTCAGCATCACAGGACAGGAACATCATCTTCCTCTCTGTGTTCCCAGAGTACAGGATGATACAAGAGCTTGGGAACAGAATTCATGTAATCAAACCACTCTACCCAATCAACAGCTAAGGGCATCATACATGCTTTGAAGAACATAACCAAGACTGACTTGATTCAGGTAATCTGAAAAAATGTTAAAACATCCACACTGCCTGTTATATCTTTATACACACACACATACACACACACACACACACGACTGGAAATATGCTGAGATTAGAGCAAAACAGCAAGACAGACAGGAGTCTGGCTTCCAATGGGTACCTATTTATAAAGAATTTACGATAGTGGCTAGTATTTAGTAAAGGTTATATAAGTGCCTAATTTAGAAAAATACAACCCAGGCCATGCTGGCTATTAGTCAACTCTGAAAAAGTTATTTTATTGCCCTGAGCCTGAGTTTTCTTATCTCTGAAAAGTGGGATAATACTCCTTATTTCACAGGGTTATTGCCAGGAGTAAAATGTGAAAATAAAAAGTATTTAGCAGAGAGGTTTTCAGGACATTACAGGCTTACTTTGTTTTATTGTGCTTTGCTTATTGTGCTTTGCAGATATTGTGTGTGTGTGTTTTTTTAAATTGAAGGTGTGTGGCAGCCCTGTGTAGACTAAGTCCATTGGCACCATTTTCCCTACAGCGTGTGCTCACTACATGTCTCTGTGTCACACTTTGATACTTCTTGCATATTTAAAACGTTTTCATTATTATTACATCTGTCATGATAATCTGTTATCAGTGATCTTTGATGTTACTATTGTAATTTTTGGGGAGCTCCATGAACCCTGCTCATGTAAGATGGCAAACTTGATTAATAAATGTTCTATGTGTTCTGATTACTCTACTAACTGGTGTTTCCCCTGTCTCTCTCTCTTTTCTCCTCTCTCTCTTGTTGGGCCTCCCTATTTGCCGAGACATAACAGTATTGAAATTAGGCCAATTAATTATCCTACAATGGCCTCTAAGTGTTCAAGTGAAAAGAAGAGTACTTTAAATCAAAAGCCAGCAATGATTAAGTGTAGTAGGGAAGAGAGGTTATGTCAAAAGCCAGGAAAGGCTGAAAGCTAGGCCTCATGCACCAAATGCTTAACTAAGTAGTGAATGCAGAAGAAAAGTTCTTGAAGAAAATTAAAGGTGCTACTCCAGTAAGCACATGAATGATAAGAAAGCAATACAGCCTTTTGCTGATTTAGAGAAAATTTGAGTGAAGATCAAACCAGTGACAACATTCCCTTAAGCCAAAGCCTAATCCAGAACAAGGCCCTAACTTTCTTCAACTTTATAAAAGCTGGGAAAACCCAGTACTTTGGGAGGCCGAGGCGGGTGGATCATCAGGTCAGGAGATCGAGACCACCCTGGCTAACACGGTGAAACACCATCTCTACTAAAAATACAAAAAATTAACTGGGCGTCATGGTGGGCACCTGTAGTCCCAGCTACTGGGGAGGCTGAGGCAGGAGAATGGCGAGAACCCGGGAGGCGGAGCTTGCAGTGAGCTGAGATCACACCACTGCACTCCAGCCTGGCGACAGAGCGAGATTCCGCCTCAGAAAAAAAAAAAAAAAAAAAAGGCTGAGAAAAGTGAGGGAGCTGTAGAAGAGAAGTTGGAAGCTAGCAGAGGTTTATGAGGTTTAAGGAAAGAAGTCATCTCCATAACATACAAGTGCAAGGTGAAACAGCAAGTGCTGATGTAGAAGCTGCAGCACATTTTCCAGGACAGCCAGCGAAGATCATTGATGAAGATGGCTACACTAAACAGCAGACAGCAGACTTTCAATGTAGATGAAATAGCCTTCTCTTGGAAGAAGATGTGATCTAGGACTTTTATAGCCAGAGATGAGAAATCAAGCCAGGCTTCAAAGCTTCAAAGAAGAGGCTGACTCTCTTGTTAGGAACTAATGTAGCTGATGACTTTAAGTTGAAGCCAATGCTCATTGACCATTCCAAAAATCCTAGGGTTACTAAGAATTCCACTAAATCTACTCTGTCTGTGGTCTATAAATGGAAGAACAAAACATGGGTGAGAGTATTTGTTTACAGCAATGGTTTACCAAATATTTTAAGTCCATTGTTGAGACCTACTGCTCAGAGAAAATATTCCTTTACAAATATTACTGTTCACTAATGATGCACCCACAAGCTCTGATGACATACAAAGAGATAAATGCTGTTTACATGCCTGCAAATACATCTATTCTGCAGCCCGTGTTACTACTGTAATTGTTTTGGGGCTCCACAAACTGTGCTCATATAAGACGGCAAACTTGATCAATAAATGTTCTATGTGTTCTGATTACTTTGCCAACTGGTGTTCTCTCTCTCTCTCTCTCTCTCTCTCTGTCTCATTGGGCCTCCCTATTCCCTGAGGCAAATAATATTGAAAATAGGCCAATTAATAATCCTACAATGGCCTCTAAGTGTTCAAGTGAAAGGAAGAATAAATTTGATTTTGAAGTTATAATATTTAAGAAACACATTTTTCAAGATTGTAGGTGCCGTAGATGGTGATTCCTCTGATTGATCTGTGCAAAGTAAATTGAAAACCTTCTGGGAAGGACTCATCATCCCAGATGCCATTAGAAACACTCATGATTCATGAGAAGAGGTCAAAACATCAACATTAACAGGAGTCTGGAAAAAGTGGATTCTAACTTTCATGTATGACTTTGAGTTCAAGACTTCAATGGAGGAAGTAACTGAGATGTGGTGGAAATAACAAGTAAAACAAAATTAGAATTAGAGTCCAAAGATGTGACTGAATTGCTACAATTTCATGATAAAACTTCAATGGATAAGGAGTTGCTTCTTGTAGATAAGCAAAGAAAGTGGTTTCTTGAGATGAAATCAATTCCTAGTGAATATCCTGTTGGACACTGCTGACATGACACAAAAGGATTTAGAATATTAATTAAACTTAGTAGATAAAGCAGTGACAGGGTTTGAGAGGACTGATTTTAGTTTTGAAACAAGTTTTCCTCTGGACAAAATGTTATCAAATAGTATTGCATGCTATGGATAAATCTTTTGTGAAAGGAAGAGTCAATTGATGTGGCACACTTCACTGTCGTCTTATTTTAAGAAACTGCCACAATCACCCCAACCTTCCGTGATCACCACCCTGATCAGTCAGCAGCCATTAACACTGAAGCAAGACCCTCTACTAGCAAAAAGTTTACAACTTGCTGAAAGCTCAGATGATTGTTGGCATTTTTCAGCAATGAAGTATTTTTAAATTAAGGTATGTACATTGTTTTTTAGTCATAATGCAATTGTACATTTAATAAGCAAACACAGCTTTTATATGCATTAGGAAGCCAAAATATTTATGTGACTTGCTTTGTTGCCATATTTGCTTTATTGAGGTGGTGTAGATGGGTCCCAGACCACAATATATCTGAGATATGTCTGTACTTCTTTTTCCCCATGTTTTTTGTCTAAATTTTAAAAATTCATTTAGATCAACTTTTAAAATGTGTGTCAAACAGTGTTCTAAAATAATTTACTTTTGGTATAGTGAGTTTCAATGATGAGAAGTCATACTATTAGCCAGGCCTTAAAGACACTTAGGTAAGGGTGAAAAATGAGTAGATTGTTTAACCTGTGGTTCCCACCTGTTTATCCCTATTGCAATTTATATAAGCTTTGATTGATCACTTATCACGTGGTTAATTTTTTAATTAAGAAAAACTGTTTAATTGACACATAATAATTGTACATATTTATGGGATATGCAGTGATATTGCAATACATACAATGTTTAGTGATCGGATCAAGATAGTTAGCATATCTACCAACTCAAACATTTATCATTTCTTTCAAAATCCTCCTTCTAGTTATTTGAAATTATATAACATATTATTATTGACTATAGTCATCCTACAATGCTATAGAGAACTGGAATTTATTCTCCTATCTAACTGTAAGTTTTTTTTTAATCTTTTATTATTTTTAACTTTTATTTTAAGTTCAGGGATCCAAGTACAAGTTTGTGACATAGGTAAACTTGTGTCATGTGGGTGTGTTGTACAGATTATTTCATCACCCAGGTATTAAGCCTAGTACCCATTAGTTATTTTTCCTGATCCTCCCCTTCCTCCCACCCTCCACTTTCTGACAGGCCCCAGTGTGTGTTGTTCCCCCCATCCATGTGATCATTTGTTCTCATTTAGCTACCACTTATGCATGAGAACATGTGGTAACTAGTTATCTGTTCCTGTGCTAGTTTGCTAAGGATAATGGCCTCCAGCTGCATCCATGTCCCTGTAAATGACATGATCTCATGTTTTTAATGGCTGCATAGTATTCCATGGTGTATATGTACCACATTTTCTTTATCCAGTCTATCATTGATGGGCATTCCAGTTGATTCCCTGTCTTTGCTATTGTGAATAGTGCTGATGAACTTATGCATGCATGTGTCTTTATAACAGAATGATTTATATTCCTTTGGGTATATACCCAGTGATGGAATTGCTGGGTCGAATGGTATTCCTGTCTTTAGGTCTTTGAGGAATTGCCACTCTATCTTCCACAATAGCTGAACTAAGTAAGTACACTGTTGGTGGGAGTGTAAGTTTGTCTAGCTGTAATTTTGTATCCTTCAACAAATCTCTCCACAACAACCCCCTTCCTCCTGCCCTTCCCAGCCTCTGGTATTCTCTATTCTACTTTTTACTCACATGGCTGAAAAGTGTTTCTATTATATGTCTCTTGCGCTTCCTAGACTATGAGCAACATGAAGGCAACCATGGTGTCTTACTGATGTTTTTATCCTTTGTGTCCAGCACAGAGTAAGTGTAAAGTAAATGCTTGGTGAATTCAATGACCTAGTTACACTGAAGGAATCTTTTAAAAAGTCATTATTAGTGTACACAAATCAAATGGTTAAGCTGTTTTGGATAGAGTTTTATAACTGGGTTATAAAATCATTAAAAAATAAATTTCTGAATGATGTGTCTAATTAAAATTTGTCAGTAAACTTTACACAAAGAAAAAAAATCTCCAAATTAACATAAGGCTCTTTCTTCTCCTTCAAAGATCCCATTACTTTTTCTTTTAACTTTCTCATTTGTTTATCTTCAAACAGGCAGTGTTCTTAATAATCTCCATTTAACAGATGGGAACACCAAAGTTCAGAGCTGTTGTTAAATTGCTTTCTCGAGGAACGGCACCGTCCCAGTTGGGGTCGTGATAGAAGTCTTGCATCTTCCATTACTCTTTCAATTAGAATCTCTAGTCATTAACACATTTTCTTTAGCCTGCAAAATAATAATCCTTTGTAGGGCTCCAGTGTGGAAAACTTCCATTTGAGAAAGGTGTATTTCAGAAAGTTTTATACGAACGTGCACTTGCAGGCCATTATGAAAATCATTGGGCCATCTTAGGTTTAAGAGTGTAATTGTGATCAACAATTCTCTGCAACTATGGCACCATGACAAAGCCCTTTCTAGTTGTTTATTTTTTAAAAATTAGAGGGCTATTTATGGATTAATATTACCATATTTGCCATACCAAGTGATCTGTACAAAGCATAAAATTAAAGCTCTGGGCATTCAGCTTTATAAAGCAGTGCTGGTAACTACCTTGAGTTACAAAGGTATTTATATAAACATTTCAACTCTTGGGAAACATTTGTAAGACTCCAGCAATAACTACAAGACTTTAAGGATTGATTTGCACACCAAAGGAAACTTTAATATGGTATTTATGTTTGCGTGAGTTTGTGGGTCAGTGTTTAATACTAGTTATAAGATCAAAGCAAAGAAGGATTCCCTATATCTTCAATTTCAAAATAAGAAAAGATTCATAATTTTTACTGCTTCTATTAAAGCTATTAATGCTTGTGTAAGAAGAGGAGGGAAGAAAAACTCAAGAGGGATAAACTCGTGGCCTTGTAATGGAGAAATGCTTCTCAACTGACAGGTTATATGTGCCTGGCTACTATGAAATAAACTCAGTTATTAATGAAAATGTCCCCAAAAAAGGTTTAATGCATTCTAGTTCCACAGCTTAGGAAGAGCCAACTTAATTTACTCTTGAAACTCAATCACTCACAAGATGAGATTTTTTAACCAAGATTTTTAAATGTTCATACTAAAAAAGAGATTCAAACTGTCCCTACTGTAACAAAACTAGTTTTCATAAAAGCATGCACTCAAGATAAAAAAGAGAATTGAAAAACATTATTTATAGAAAATGTTTGAAAGCAATTCAGCTCCAAGTCACAGGGCTTTAATAGCTCTAGTTGAATTTACACATTCTCCACTCATATTCACTCTCTCCTCTCTTTCTCTAGTGCACACACCACACACGCGCGCACGCACACACACACACACAGAGTTGTCTGAAACAAGCTGATTTAAGGGACTAATGAAACATTTAAAAATAACAGTCATAAGAATAATGCTACAATGTATGAGACACTTCTTTCTCTTAGTAAATTGGGTCTGAGGAACATAACTACCTTTTAGAGCATAATTATTAAGCAACATAATGTAATGTGGGCTATTAAACTCACGCCAGAGAAAGCTAAAGGGAGCTATGGTGACAGGAAGTTGAGAATATTTTGATAACTGCTCCCCAGTCCTCACATTTCCCCCACTCTCACCTCTGCTACTCAGTGCATCATTTTTCCAGAATAACCATTCTTGTAACCACTCTCATCTTTCTCCAATAACCCAACCTTTGTATCTGTAATCACTTTATAGTTAAAGCAATAGGCTTTGGCTGGGAAACACTGAAGAGTAAAGCCCATCTTTTAAGAATAAGCTCTGTAAAAGATACAAGGTCTTCTTTGTTTCTTAGATTAGAGGGGATGCTCCCCAGGAACAGAGGCCTGTGAAATGTTAGGCCCTGGGGTTCACTCCACATGTGTTCCCAGGGCTTCAATTTTACCATGTGGATATATTATAGGGTAGAATGCAAAAACTGCATAAATCTTCAAAGTAAGGCATGAAACCCCAAAGGAAACAAGCTTTTTGGTTGCTGTCTTACGGCTACGTCCCAAAACCCCCAAGGTTTGTGTTTTTCTCTCCTCTTTCCAGTGAAAAATATAGGAGCACTGTTTAAGGGATGGATATGAAACTATGCCATGAATGAATGGTGTTTAGTTTGGGATTTAACGATGGGCCATTTTTTTCTCTTCCTAGTAGCCCACCAAATTAAATATCATCTAATCTTACAAAATGTAAATCTTCCTTGGAACTCATCAATTTCTACCTTATTTAGAAGCATTCCTTTTTCTTCTTCTACTATATCACAAACTATATCTGATTCATCTTTATAACAGAAACCTCCTGTAACACATGACCTTGAATAAAGTAGGTGGCAAATGACATTGTTAGCATTCCAGCAGATACCTGCATCTGTTAATAGAGTGCCTTCTATATACTAAGCATTATTTTTGGCTTTGAGAATAAGGGCTGAAAACTTTAGCAAAGCCCTAATTTTTATGGAGGTGGATTCCAATTGAAGGTAGTCAAGAGGTAACACTTTTTAAAATACACGAAATAAATACAATATAATGGAAGAAAATGATTACTGCTATGAAGAAAATAAACCCAGGTGATACAATAAAGAGCGACTGGGAAGAAAGGTTACTTTAGATGCAATTCAGGAAAGTGGACCTCTTTGTTCAGCCTGCAATGGCAAGGAGGAGTCAGCCATGCAAAGATTCGAGAGTGTACTTTCACGGCAGAGGGAACAGCTAATGCAAGGGCCCTAACACTGGGCATGGTGCTCTGAGTTCTGGGAGGAGCAAGAGGACAATAATTCTAGGTATTCTGAAGGGTTAGGATAGTGAAATGAGAGGCATTGTGAGGTAGGTTGAGTCCAGATGTTTTGGGCCTTGTGGGAACAGTAAGGAATTTAGACCTGACTTTACCTGTGAAAAGCAGCTGCTGAAGTGTTGCAAGCAAGGGAGTAATGTGATTGAATTTACATCTTAAAGCCCTAACTCTGACGATGGTATGGAGGATGACTGCATAAGGAAACCAGGGTGGAAACAGGAAATCAAATAGGGGACTCCTCAAGTAAAAGAGATGGACAGTTTCAACAAAACTGTGCAATATTTTGTTAAGAGGAATTGCTGACAGAATATAAGGTAGGAGTAAAAGAGAAGAATAGAGCTCATGTGATATTTACATTCCGAAGGTGCTTCACACTCATTTTCTGAATTAATCATCATAGCAACTTTGGGAGTTAGGAGGTTGATGGTTATCCCTTGAGAAAAGTCACAAAGCACTAGGTGGTTGAGTTAGGAATGAAACCAGAACTCAGACTCGACCCAGAAACTTCAGTTCAGAAGCTCTCTCTAATTCTGTGATAGGAAAGCAGAAACAGCAATCAGAAAGGAATGTGAGATCTAATCCTATCAACCTGATCTGGTGTTTAAACTTCCTCTACAACATCCACTTACCACAAAGCAATTTGTGTTCAGTATTTTAAATTTTCAGTTTTAAATTTTTAAGAGCTCATCCTTTTATTAAAATATTATAAGAAATAGGAGCCTATTCAAAGTGATCATGAAACCAAAAGAAAGTTATTGGGCCTTTAGAAATATTCTGATCTCCTTATTCTTATTTGTGTGTAAATTCATTAAAATAGAAAAGTTTAATTCTCTCTCTGGTTCTTTTTTTCTGTTTTGTCTCTGGATTGACTGAGACTCCCTGCTCTGTCTACTCTTCTCTTTCCTTTTTTTTATTTTTTTGAATCAGGAAACCCCTTATCTTGTAAAACAATTTTCTACTCGCCCCCCTCCTCCCTGATGTCTTCCTTCTTCCCAAACTCGTAATACTTTCATCTATTCTGCTCTTACAAGACTCGCTATTCTCTGTCTTTTCCTATTTAAATCTAGGTCTAAATCTTTCTCCTACACATCATAAACCATTTCTGATTTATCTTTTTGATAGCACCCTCTCCCCCAATACAATACTTTGAATACGGTAGGATCAAAATAAATACACACAAAATAAGCAATTACCTCAACTGCTGGGCTAAATTTATCTTTATGAGGAGTTCTTTATTCTGTGGAGCAAGTGCCAAGAGATCAGGAATTTTCTTTCTTAATTCAATTTGGTTGAAAGGGGAACTTACAAACATTTTTTTAAATTCAGCAACTAATTACTTTTGCAATGTGTCAGGGATGTCATACACATTGTATAAATAAAAGGAAAGGAAGATAGTTGTTAAATCTTCTCAATGTCTGTTACTCTGGTTTATCTAATTCGGGCACTTTGAACATACCAAATCACTTCTATGCTTATCTCTCTTTGACTACAACTCCATCTTTTCCTCCCAACAGAGAATGAAGTCTATTTCCTTCTCAGAAAAGTTCAGAAATGATTTTTCCTTGTAGACATCAACATGTTCTTAATATAACTCAGGAGACAGCATGCTGTATTGGAAAAAAAATTAGAGTTATCAGGAAAGCTAAGTTTTAGTATGGGTCTGCCATACACCATATGACATTGCTTAAGTCAAACTGAGACCCACAGAGGTCTCAGTTTCCTCATCTGAAAAATAAGGAAACCAGACAAGATTTTTCTACTGTGTGTTTCATGCCCACCATGATACTGCTGAATACTAAAGCAGTTATAAAAAAAAATAGTCTATTTAAAATTCAGTCTCTAGTTTGGATTATTGTGATTTTTTCATGTGAACTGTCCTTCAAGAGCACCAGTGGTAGGGACAGGTAATCCAATTTCCATAGCTAGAAGGAAAACCACTCTAGTCGAATCCATCACATTTTTCACTTCTTTTCCCCTACTCTAAAAAAATCTCCATAGACCAAAATGAAAAGAAAGAAGAAAAGAAGAAAAAGTCAGTATTTAGGCAAACTACTCTATTAAACATTTTCTATCATTATGTCTCTTAGATTTATATACGGTTTCTGTCTTTGGAGTCATAGTTGGTAAAGTGTGTCTTATCCTTACACTAAAAATGTATTTATCTATATTTTTATCTTAGTACCTGAATAATATTTTTAAATTTAAATGTAAAGAAAGGGATTTGACATCATTTATGCCAAATGAATAGACAGTTATTTCCACACTCATCGATAATCTACTCTTTCTCTCACTTCTTTGAAATGCCCCCTTAATCATAAAACAATATCATATAGATACATTTGCAGATACGTATATACATACACACATACATGGATCAATTTTTTGATTCATCATTTTGTGTTACTGCCTTGTTCCTACAGAATAACTATAATATTTCAGTGCTATATTTATTTTAGTTCCACATTGTTTTAGTAATTCATAGGGCAAGTTCCCATATTAAACAACTGAATTTGCAAAATAGCATCTTTCAAATAAATTCATTCTTCTAAATACATTATCAATATCATTATTCCAAAAATTTTAAGATTTTGATTACAATCACCTCTTATTTGTATATCACTTTGGGAAAAATTGTTATCTTTACAATAATGAGATTTCATATTCACAAATATGGTTTCTATCTCCAGCATTAAAATTGTAATGTTTTCCAGTAAACTGCTGTTTCTTTCTGCATAAACGACACATACCTTTTTAAACATGTATTGCCTATATAGCCATTTACATATTGTTTTTATAATGACTATGGCTAGTATCCAAGAAGACTATCCAGTTTTCCATATTTATTTGTAAATGTGTGGGACACTATTTTAGTTTCAATAGATTCGTGGGTGACGTTCATGAGTTCTCAGAAGATACAATGACAAGAGCCATTTTTGAATTATCCAGGAAGATCATCCCATTGCTCTTTTATTAGTAAGGATACTGCTTTCTGTTGTTCTGATAGATAATCTTGATCCACTTTAGGGGCAGTAGCCTCTCATTCTTCATTTTTCTATTGTTGGTCATTTAGAATATTTAGTCTTTTGCCGTTATAATGCTATGAGTGTCTTTTGAGTATTCCAAGGCAAAATAGCAAATCAAAATAAAATCCGCAAAATATAATGTTGAAAGGTGACAAATTAGGGAAAAATGTATCATACAAGACAAACAAAATGCTAATTGCCTTAAAAGATAAGCAATGATCAGAAGATATTATTTTAAAGTTATTTCTTTTTACAACAAAGATTGTTTCTAAGGTGTTTATACTAACATTGTGAAGTGCTTAAACTACAACGATAATTTTAAAAGTACAAATTTGTCTTTACAGTTTTCAATTATGGGGAAAATGTGTAAGGAAAAAAATAAGACTGAGAATAAATAGACCAAAATGAGGGTTATCTTGACATTGTGGTAATATGATTTTACCTTTGTTATTTAAACATGCTAAATTTTCTAAATGTTCCATAATAAGCATCGTTGCTTTTCTTATTTGAAAAAAATCACACTGAACTATGTGTTTTTTTTTTTAAATTATCTTCAAGAGAAAGGCTTCGGTTCATTCTAAAATCTTACTTTTTTTAGATTCCTTAGTTTAACTGTATGCAATGGCAACTGTACACCAGTAAATTGCTTATTTTTTTCTATGTGTAATTTTCCTTCATCCAGATACTTTACTTCTTTAGCAAATCTACAATTTCACCAAAAGGAAAAGAAACTATGTATGTGTAGGTATGCACATATATGCACACACACATACAAAGGGAAATGGCTAAAATATAAATAACAGCACATTACCTCTCATTGCTAGTAATTATTTTGTTTCTGCTAGAGGAAGAAACCAATAATAAAAAGACATATAGGAGACTTCAGCAGAGGACATGTACTTACTAATTCTTTTCAGGACTAAAATGATAACTCTACCTTGTCTATTATGCTGAATCTTGAAAAGTATAAAAAGGAATAAAAGAAAAGTATAAATTTTCCTGCTAAGAAGCATAATCTCAAAACCGAGGATGTATAGAATAATGTGGCAGAATGGAAGGGATCTTTCATTCTCTCTTACAATAGGATGTTGGATGTTAAGTTTTAGAATTTAAACTGGAATTTGTTCTATTTTTCTATGTAATGCTAAGATAAAGAAATGTGGAACTTTAGGAACACATATATTGTGTGGGTGCTAGAAGCATTACAATGGAGAGAATATGAAGATGTGGGTAAAGTATAGCCAGGCCAAATATTCTATTTTTTTTTTTTTTTTTTTTTGAGACGGAGTCTCACTCTTGTTGCCCAGGCTGGAGTTCAATGGCGCAATCTCAGCTCACCATAACCTCCACCTCCTGGGTTCAAGCGATTCTCCTGCCTCAGCCTCTGAAGTAGCTGGGATTACAGGCATGTGCCACCACGCCTGGCTAATTTTTTTTTTTTTTTTTAGTAGAGACAGGGTTTCTCCATGTTGGTCAGGCTGGTCTCAAACTCCTGACCTCAGGTGATCTGCCCACCTCGGCCTCTCAAAGTGCTGGGATTACAAGTGTGAGCCACCGCGCCCGGCCAAGCCAAATATCCTTAGCGGAAGACCTAGGTCTAGCAAAAGACCTCGAAACTTGCTTCTTAAAATAGCAAGTTTGGAAAACACTGGGGAGTGGACGATGAGCAGTTGCTTGGTGAGTACAGTGACAGATGCATTGAACATCCTGACTTCACCACAATGCAATATATCAATGTAGCAAAATTGCACTTGTACCCCACAAATATATATAAATAAAAAAAGAAAAAGACTGACAAATACATACTTGATGGTAGCACTCCTCAGGGCATCCATTGAAAGGTATCTCATTTTGATAAAGTATCAGAACTTGTTGACATTTAAAGGAACTGTGTTCTCTCTCCTGTATGATAGGAAACATATCACAGAGGCCATATGCACAATAGGTTCCCCAATGGTTGTTGGTGGTTGTGAGCAGCATGGTGAGTCTCCAGTTAACCTTTCTTTGACCTGATGTTTTCCAGCTTAGCCAGAATGGCCCAGACAATCATTGGCTTTCTGCAGTCAGCTTATAGCTCAGGGAAGGTAGGACCTTGAGAGGTCATCAACAACATTGGAATAAATTCTGCTCCACTGTGGGACGGTGCAAACTTCAAGCTAATGTGCTTCAAAGGAAATTAATTTCCCACTGGTCTTGCAAGTTTGTGTTACATAAATCCCTGGATTTAAGACTAGGAATATTTCTGAGATGCTTTTGAAAATCTGATCTAACTAATGTTTAAAAAAAAGGAAAACAAAATTCTCCAGAACATAATGTTGTAGGCCTTTAATAAAAGATTTGCATTGAGTAAGTCTTATCCTGGATTATCTCCCAGGAACAGTAACAGTGGTCGGTTTTTCAAAGGTATCACAGAAAAAGAAAGTCAAAGATACGGCATGCTCACTCAGGAGGCAGTGCATGTGTTAATTCTTTTAACTGAGATTTGGAAGTTATCCCTGTCTTTAGAGGGGACATAATTGAGGCCTAAAACTGGCTTGCTTTTTGGATCCTTGTCAATGCATTTCCTAATGCGGCCAGATCTCGAGGGCCATTCTCAACTATATGCATTCACATCTCATCTCCCAATTTACGGCAGAGATTGTATTAAACCTTTGTAATTAGACAGGGTATTTATGTTCTAGACTTTTCATTTGGAATCTTCTATGCAGCTTTGTAAGAATCTCCTCTGCCTTCTTCAGAGTAATTACCCTACAGGAGGTGCTCTTGCATTCTCTGATCTTAGAAGAATTTCATATCATTCATCTCTCCTTTGTCTTCTAACGAAGTCACATCATTGTTTCATAAAGAGCAACTGGAGGTTGTTTCCCCAAAGTCTTAACTAGTATCCTTCTGGAACTAACATACAGTAAAATTGTCTATACAGTTCTTCACTCTATTATATTATTTTTTATTTCAAGTGTAAAGGTTCTCTATTTCTTTGGCCAATGCACTACACACAGCTTAGAAGAAGCAGTCTTCCACGAAGAGCCTTGCATATATATAAGGGCTATATGTTATGCCCTTTATCAGGATGTCTTACCATGGTCTTGGGTCATGTTAAAGTAAATAAGAAGGCCATTCACCTGAGGCTGTCTCTGAGACCAGAGCTCTTAGGTAAACAAACTGGAACTTATCTTGGAAACATTTTTTTAACTGACTAAAACCAAACAAAGCAAGACTTAGCCAATCATGAACAGCCAAGCACACAACTGGTTACACAGATAGGAATCTCCCACTGAATCATATCCAGATAAGTAAGGTGAATGCCTGATCACACTGTACCCAAATTAGGCAAACACCTAGCTGTCACCAATCAGGTAACTTCTCTATTTGTTTTCATGATCAGCATATAAAATTCTTTTACTTTTGTTGCAGAGCTCTCTGAACCTCTTCCAGTTTTTTGTGCTGCCTGATCCATGAATCATTTCTTTGCTCAAATAAACTCTCTTACATTTATTTTGTCTAAAGTTTTTTTTTTTTAACAGTACTATTAATCCAACTGTTGGTTGTTCCATACTATTACAATTTATCTTAGAAGTCTGTCCCTAAGCATGTGTACAAGAACTGGAAGTTCACAAAAATTTACCTAGAAACTATTCTTTGGACAGAACTGTCTCATATTTTTTGTTTTAACTTTTCTCTACATGACACTTCAACTGAGACTCACAGGTTATCTGTTTAATGCCATTTTCTTTGACTAAGAAGTCAATTTTTAGCTTATTTTGAAGCTCTTGCAACTTAGAGTTATTGGAATATCCATTCAATTTGGATTTTTTCACTCATTTTACTTCCCGGAAAATGCCTTCATTGCATTATGATTTTCTAATTGTGATGACTTGGTTTTAGCAAAACAGCATTTCTTTCAATTTTGTTGAAGATACTTGATGTTTCTCAGCTTGGAATACTACTTCCAACATACTTCACCAAGGATCAGAAAGAAGTCATGAATTCTTTAACACCTTTTATGAGATGAAGTGTGAATCAATGCATTTTGGAAATACGGAATTTTGCTTCTCCTACACTCCACTCATAGAAAGATTCAGAATGCCTTGACTGCACCCTGTGGATGTTACAATTCTCTTTATGTATCCATATCTTGTTCTAATAGCCCATAAATTCTTCTTACTCTCTACTCTTGTACTGCAGAGAACAGAATCCTCCCATTGTATGGCTCAGGACTGTCCAACCCCTGCCCTCTGCCTAACCTGTGAATCTGAGACTCAGAACCACAGCTATGAAAATAAAAAAATAACTTTTACTGCTTACTAGCACTGGATTAAGAAAACCCATATAGATTTCATGTGAGAGCCACAGGAAAAACAAAACACATCATGTGAGTATCTGTAAATGGTTGGCAATAATAAGTGTGTGCTGAGAATTAACATGTCATGTTTATACCAGATGTCAGGTGTACTGCTTCTCTCTCTGAGTTGTCAAAAAGCATAATACAGAGAGAAAAGGTCAAAGAATCCTGGGGGATGTTAGTGGTGCTTAAAGGTTATAATGATTGAAAAAGATTGCTTTAAGTCTACATGTATCACCACTTCAGATGTCATTTCATGTCTCAAGTGGAAACAGAATAGGCCTTCTTAAGAGATTTGTGGGATACAATATGTTTTGGCAGTAGAGTTGAAAACACACTATGGTTACCGTAAGCCTGCCAGAATGGGTCCCCTTATCTGAAGATCAATGATTACAGATGATTGATGGACTAGTTTCCCCACCAGAAAACACCAGCCTGTTATTACTAGAACAGATGCAATGTGATCCATACATAATTAACTGAATTTACAAATGCCAGAAGTACATTAACTAGTGAAAGCATCCCTTAATTTTCTCCTCCAGATTTCATAATGATATAGTAAAGAAATGACCCACTAACGTATCAATAAGTGAACAGTCAAGCTGAATCTGAATAAATTCAGGCAACTGACTCTACTTACTCACTGATAAAATAAGAGGAGAGACTCCCCTCTCTATCCTTTCCTCCCTCCCTCCCTTCCTTCTTCCTACCTTGCTTCCTCCATCCATCCCTTTCTTTCTTTTGTTGTTTCTTTCTCTTTCTTTATAATTTGTCATCCCAGTGTCCTATCCTCTTTCTTTATAATTGGTCAGCCCAGTGTCCTATCTTTAAAAATATTCATATGGAAGAATAACATTTAAAATAGGTAAAAAAAAAGTCACTCTATTTGAAGAGAAAGTTATGAAAATTAGCGTTTGTACACAAAGCTGCCCCCTTGAGTATTTTCACAAACCTTTAGAGCACTCGGCAGAGGATATTTTGAAAATTACTGGTGAACCCTATCTTTAAGCTAGGTCAGCGCTTCCTGAAGTGTGCTGCTCAGAACATCCGGTCCTGCAAGATGCTCCATAAACAAAGAGTTTTCTTCTCAAGTAAGTTTAGGAAATGTTGCATGCTGGATTATTCCTCTTTGATAGGTAAAATCAATATTATCCCATTAAAAGCTCTGAGAAATAAAAGAAAGATGCATTCTTGTTTCCCTAGCATTTTTGAAAAAGTTTTCTTTTTTAATTGTCCTCATACTTTTCCATGGGGCCTATTACCATTCTGCAAGAATACAGTCTGAAAATGCTGCTCAATGTCACCCAAATGATGTCTAAGCATAACATATGCTGACAGAAGTATAAAACCATGAGAGAAAATAAGGAGTCTCTGCTGGGAACACAGACTTTACCAACTGTATTTCACGTTATCAACCCATCAATTAGATAGTCTTGCCAGGAAGGCAGTGCTAACAATGTTACTTAGCTGTGGAAGGTGATCAGTAAATGGTAGTAGTAAAGACAGAATGTGGCAGGCTGTATAAAAACCAAATCAGAATTTAGAAGAAGTAACAGGAGTGGGCTGCAAAACACCTAATACTTTCAGATATAATAATGTCACTGAAAACATTGCATATGTTAGAAAAAACGGAAAAGTCCTTAAATTTCTGAATTTACATAAAATTTACATTAGAAGAAACAAGCAATTTACTTATAGCTACAATAGAATTAGGTATAGTTCTGCTTAGTTATGGTGTTTACTTTGGGGAACATGATGTGTCCTCACTGGAACTGAGCTTTAGCTGACATCTGTCAACTGATCTTTCAAATTCACCTTCTTCCAGGTAAAATCGATCTGAAATATTACAGAGTTTGTATTTATGTGTAATAGAATCTCACTCTTTAGATTTCCCCTACTCTGTTGTGCTTAGCTGACTGATTTATCCTCACTTTGGGGGCATAAAACATTTGCTAAGAAAAGTAATGATGCAAACTAGACTGGAAGGGGAGAATGTTTAATTACTTCAGAAAAAGTATGTAAAACAAATTTGGAAAACTATTTCCAGGACTGAGATGCTACTTTCAGATACTACAGGCCTCCAAGGGCCTATAATTAGCTGCTTTAATTAGCTTCGTTTGGAATTATTTTATGTACCCCTGAATCTAATGAAAAGTGGATTTTTAAAGACTTTATAAACCATCCCCTTGACTGTCTCTCATATTTGTAATCCCTCAGATTGCTAAGTGAATGAGGCTTATTCATTTTTTTATTATCTGTAAAGAATATCCTTAAAGGAGGAGACTTTCAGCTGTGTCCTGTAGGCTGAAGGCACCTTCAAACCATGTAGTGTTTCATCCATACCATTTAAAAAATATTGGAAAATTTTACCAGCATACAGTTTCTGGCTTTTCTTTAAAAATTTACTTTCTCCATGGCAATAATCCACTGGAGCTGAGTAGCCCATGAACCCTCCAGGTGGAACATTCAGTTTACCACAATCCCTTCTATACTGAATTTTATACCATTTTTCATTATACATTGTTTTCTTTATAGTAGAGTTGGAATAATGTAGACTGGCTATCATATGCAGATCTCTGTCAAATATGGAAAAACTGAAAGGAAGACCACAAAGGTCAAATAACTAAAGAAAAAATAAGAGAGCATATGGTGAATTACGTTATTATTATTTGCTGCTCCTCTCTGTGGCAGGAAAGTTCTGGCCCATTTGGTCAGCACTGGCCATTAACAGTTACTTTGGAAAATGGAATGAGCAAAAATGATGTCTATACCACCTGTGAACAGCTTGCATAGTTCAGACAGTTTTATTTTCTCTGTGTCATGAAAATGACACGTCCCAGGTAGGGACCACTCTTTCTCAAAACGACAAAATCACATGGAATACAGATTCAGCCAACCCACTGCTTAGAGGGTACATGGATAGGAAATCAATCTTTATTCTTAGATGCCTCTGAGACTTTGGAGTTGTTTGTTGCTGCAACATAACCTATTGAAAGCTGACGGATGCAGAGCAAATTTCATACGAATAGTGAAAAATATCTCCATGTGTTTCATATACATATACAAAATGTGTCTGTGTCTAATGAATTTAACTTAGCCACGGTTAGGAAAAAAAGCCATGGTAAGAACTGTAACCAGCAAATGGGAAATGCATGTGCCAAATCCTCAATAAACTCAAAAAAGAACTGCATTTTCTATATTTTAAAAAATGCAAATAAAGTAATTGATGCTGTTTAGAGATTTAGCTGTTACCAGGAAAATAATTGCCCAAGCCTCAAATCCTAGCCCTCCTTTCGTTTGAATTACTTGGCTGCATGCTGCAGACCTGTGGGAATAGGGAAAGGTGATCACTGTGGAGTTTCTGTGAATGAATTCTTACTGAAAACTTCATGCATGATTCATTCCACTCTTACCTTTAACCCTGGTACCATTTCAAAGTCCAACTTGCTCAATTTAATGAGGAAAAACAGGTTTTAAATAAAAGCCGAATCTCAAAAGGAAGGGGATCAATTCTGAAATTCCCTCCCCACAAGACCAATCTGGGTTTTCCTTCAGACAGAGCAACAGTCACAGGCACAGACACACAATAACAACAATAACAACAAAAACAAATCCAAACTACTCTGGGGTGAGGTGCCAAGCAGTGCCTGTGAGGATCAAAAGCTATAAAACCTTAACCAAGTGGTAAGAGAGGTGCTCAATCTCTGTGAGCATCAGTGCAGTTGACTGCGAAGCACCCACCAGCTACTCCACACCTGGGCATGTGGATGGATGAAAGTCAGGAAATTTCAGTTACACAACTAGGCAGACTAGCAACTTTGCTCTCCAAGACAGCATTTTTGTAAAAGTTTTTTTAAAATTATCCTCATACTTTTGTCTCTCCAAGACAGCTAAAGTTCAGGGAAAAAAATCTGCTGAGATGGAAATTACCTAGCTTATAAATAAATGAGTATCAAAGTTCCATGTAAGCCACAAAGTTCACTTCTGTTTTAGAGTTTAAAATGTCCTACCTAATAAAATTCACCCACAAAAATACTTCAACTCTTGTACTTGCTCTGGCATAAATATTTCTCTATTCCTTTAAATGGTTTTTGAAAGCATTTACATTTGTATGACTTGAAGACAATGTGTTTCAAAGTATGGCTTAAAAACCATCTGAATCAAGACTCTCCTGGGTCACTGATAAAGAATGCAGGTCTCCAGGAAAGACCCCACCCTATGGGGTCAGAATCTCTGGGAGTGGGACTGTGGAATCTACATTTTAAACAAGCCCCCTAAATGAGCCACTAGAGTTTACAAAACACTGCCCTATGACCAAAAACACTTGATTTGGACTTTATCTGTGTAAGAAATATCCCTCAGTTTGATCTAATACATTGTCAGGTTTCTTTGTAACAGCAGCATGTGTAATATTAATTAAAACACAGGTACACACAAATGCGCTGTAATGGAAGCAACCAATGTTTTATTGCCCCCACTTGCTAGTGCACAGATCAATTCTTGGATCTCACCTGGTGTTTCCTATAGTCTTTTTTTTTTTTTTTTTTTTGACCAAAAGCATCAACTAATGGTCTTTCTGTTTCTTTTTGGGATAGGAGACAAAGCCTTTACCATTCTTGACTTATAGCTAATTTTTTACTTAAAGCAGAAAACATCGGTCAGGACTCTGCCATATTAAAATAAATTCTGTTGAAGCACTATCTCTCGAACAGTAGATTTAAACCCCTGAGTTTCCACATGTAATTTTTTGATGGGCTTCAGGCTCCTCTGTCTGTTGGTGGATGGAATCAGAGCAAGAAGACTCGTACGTCTTTAGAGTGAGAAAGAATGATTTTCTCATCCTACCACTGCAGACCAGTTAGGGGATCTGGGAATAAACTGGAAGGCGGAAGTGTGAAGCCATGCTGCTGTGAGAACAATGTAAGAAATGGTCAGGGGCATTTCTGAAGCTTGGGGGAAATTCACCTGTAGACTGAAAGTGTAAGTTGTAATGAATGAATGAATCCAGTTTCTCGAAGTTGTTTCCATGACCCTGACTCTTTCCAGAGCTCTTTGTGGTATGTTCCATGCTGACTTTAATCCAAAAGGGATGCCGTGACAGCCCCAGGGACAGCTGTCAAAAAATAAAGCTTCTGTTTCTTTATTTTTAAATTAAATTTCCTATTCTCCTTGCATCAGTTTCATTACTACATACATACACACATATCATCCTAAAATGATGTCCATTGCATTAGTTATGAGTTTGTTTGTCAGAAACAAAAACCTATCACAGTCAGCCTAAGTAAGGATCAGAATGATATACAGACACAAGCTGTTTCATAGAACCCAAGGGCTAGAAAACAGCTACAGAAATGAGAGCTGGGGAGCCTGCAGGCCAGGCAGTCTTTCGTCCTTAATCTCTGCCCCTGGTCTCTTCTTGTTTCTGTCGGGCTACATCTCAGCTCCTGAGGCATCAGCTTTCTTGGCTGCCTAATCTACATGATAGAAAGGCTCTGTTCCAAACTCTCAAATTCAGACTTGTAGGCTTACAGGTCAAATATCAAACTCCCAGGAGACAGCATCTGATTGGCTCATCTTGTGGCAGGTGTTCTCCCTGGGCCAATCGGTTGAAGTCAGTTGGAATGTGCTGGCTGGGCCCCTGGGGTCACTGATGCTAGTACAGGATGGGCATCTCAAAGCCATCTCCATTCCTTTTCTCTAAACATAATTGTTTTAACTTTTTCCTCCTCAACCACAGATAATCCAATGAGGAACAAAACCCAAACATTTTCTAGAACCATGTTTTCTAAAGTGGGGTTCAGATATTCCCAGCCAGACAATCCCCCAGGGTACAGAAAGAAAGTATAGTTAATCCCCTTCATAGATTTACTTTTATTTAGATATTTTAAATTTTTACATTTTTCCATAAACATATTAAGATGGTAGTATATTTGTATGTGTATAAATAAATCAGACATTTCAAACAATTCACATGGATTGCCTTCTTAAATACTCACAATGATCCTATAAGGATAGGTTCTGTGATTATTCCCCATGTATAGATAAGAAATAAGAGATACAGAGGTTAGGCAACCTGTTCCAAATTCCATAGCTTGTAATGAAAGTGTTAGAATTGGAACTCAAGCAGTCTAGCTCTAGGTGCCCAGTTTGTACCCTCTCTGCTTCCTTCATATGTGTATATGTGTGAGTGTGATTGTAGCAGGGTGGTGCTTAAAAAGGTTTTCATTGTTACAGAGTACCCATTAAAGGAGTCTGAAAAACACTGTTTTAGAAGGTGGAAAATGTATAAGTAAAAAAAAATTGAAGCCTATAATGTTTGTGAGCACAGGAAAATTTTCCATCAGAAAGCAACTGACCAGCTGGGCGCAGTGGCTCACACCTGTAATCCCAGCACTTTAGGAGGCCGAAGCGGTTGGATCACTTGAGGTCAGGAGATCGAGAACAGGCTGGTCAACATGGCAAAACCCCATCTCTTTTAAAAACACAAAAATTAGCCGGGCATGGTGGCGTGTGGCTATAGTCCCAGCTACTCGGGAGGTTGAGGCATGAGAATTGCTTGAACCCGGGAGGTGGAGGTTGCAGTGAGCCAAGATTGTGCCACTGCACTCCAGCCTGGGTGACAGAGGGACATTCTAAAATAAAAAAAAAAAAAAGGAAAGAAAGCAACAGACCTAGGTGCCCAAATCTACCATGACATGGCTTTGGACAAATCACCTAACTGCTCTGAGCCTTGGCTTGTCAGTGCAGAATGAGAGTGATACTCTCTTCCTTGAAGTTCTGTTAGGAGCAATAAGCTGTGTCTGGCCAATAATAATGGCACCTATTATTGTCATTCTAGGGTTAACTAGTCACTAGCAAACTCATCATTTTCATTCCCTGTGGGCCCATATGTACCTGAGGACAGAATTCCTATCTATCTTCCTATTTCCTGCAAACTGAACTCAGTACTTTTCTCTTGGGGAGTGGTTTCGGGCAGTATTCGACAAGTATCAATTTGGATATATTTCTATCAACTTCAAGAGCAATACGCTCAGTTTTTCTCTTATTTAATATCAATCTTATTCAAGTGAAGACACATATTTATTATAGTAAAACCTTATTATTATAAGACATATCACATCTTCCACAAATAAATAGCTGTTTGATGGATACTTGAGTAAATCAATGAATGAATACAATGGATGGATGGATGGATGGAATATGCCTGGATGGACAGACTTAGAAAGAAAAAAGGAAAGTTGAAGGCAGGCTCAATTAATATTTTAAATTCACAGCTTCCACATTCAGGCACTTTGGAGAACTTCAGGATTTTCATCTCCATTTCCAACTACAAAATGGTCTATAGAGTACAACAAATGTTTCCTTTAGAGATCAAAATATTTTATAGTTATCCATATAAAAGCAGCTAAGGTTTATATGTCAATTGATTCAGAACATACTTGTCTTAATGCGACTATGAATCTGTTAATATTCTGAACTCCTGAAAATGTCAATAGTCACATCAGTATTGACATATTCAAAAAATAGTTTACAATTTTGAGATTCATTCAGTCTACAGATGGATTACCTAACTGTTTGCCATGACATTCTAACCTATCCCCAGGATAGGAGCAATAAATAAGCAGTAATATTCTATTGTACAGATGCCAATTTCTCATTAGCCTATCAATCATCTGCTTCCTAGTCTTGATCTTGCAGTTTGTGGTGACATAAGTGCTGCTGTAATGCAACTTTTGCACCTGCTCCTTTAGGGAAGGTGGAAACTACTGGGTTATTGGAGAAGCAGTCTACACACATTGACCTCTGATGCAAATGTGATGGGAGCCAGAAAGCATATTCTTAATTCTGTTTTTTCCCCCTAAAGAGACAAAGTATTGCTATGTTGCCTAGTCTGGTTTCAAACTCCTGGCCTCAAGGGATCCTCCCATCTTGGCTTCCCAAAGTGCTGGGATTACAAACATGAGCCACCATGTCCACTGCAGAAAACATATTCCTTTTTTTTTTTTTTTTTGAGTCAGAGTCTCACTCTGTTGCCCAGGCTGGAGTGCAATGGCGCGACCTTGGCTCACTGCAACCTCTGCCTCCCGGGTTCAAGCAATTCTCCTGCCTCAGATTCCCAAATAGCTGGGATTACAGGCACCTGCCACCATGCCCAGCTAATTTTTGTATTTTTAGTGAGACGGGGTTTCACCTTGCTGGCCAGGCTGGTCTCCATCTCCCAACCTCAGGCAACCCGCCCACCTTGGCTTCCCAAAATGTTAGGATTACAGGCATGAGCCACCGTGCCCAGCTAGAAAGCATATTCTTTCTTCCCAAATAAAACATCAAATTTAGAGATTCATCTCTATATTTTTTTATTTTGACACTACCTATACATACATTCTTGACTTCAAGATTTTGAAAAATGCTAATGTTTTAAAGTTTATTTTATTTTAAATTTTTTTTATCTTTTTTTTTGGAGACAGAATCTCACTCTGTTGCCCAGGCTGGAGTGCAATGGTGCGATCTCGGCTTACTAACACCTCTGCCTCCAGGGTTGAAGCAATTCTCTTGCCTCAGCCTCCCAAGTAGCTAGGACTATAGGTGCACGCACCACCATGCCTGGATAATTTTTTTTTTTTGTATTTTAGTAGCGGGGCAGTTTCGCCATGTTGCCCAGGCTGGTCTTGAACTCCTGAGTTCAGGCAATCCACCCTCCTCGGCCTCCCAAAGTGCTAGGATTACAGGCATGAGCCACCGCACCTGGCCTGTTTTAAAGTTTAACTTTATTACCTGCAGAACAGTAGCAAAGTGTTGTTCAAGGAAAACTGTGTGCCTAAGATGAAGCTGTATTATACTTACAGATTAAACTGTTTAAGGAAATTGTTGTTTTGAGACATAATCACATCCAAAAACACTAGTCATGTGTCTCCCTGCCTTGACGGAGACTCTAGCAACTGGACAAGTCTTCCTAGAGATGAAAACTCCTATTCAGTGCGTTTTCTTCAGGTTCTGTCAGCTAAGCTACCTGAGCTGACTTCTGTTTTTCAGTCTATCCATCTTGGGTAAAGAAAAAAAAATAAAGATGCTGATACAGAAGTTGTAAATCCCATGCCATCTGGGCATGTTGCTAACAGTTCTCACCTTTGTCACACCAGGGTTTACAAGGCAATTTTTACCATAATGTCACTTCAGCCTCCATTACCTGCTGTTTGGCATCTCACATTCTCGTTTTTCCATCCCAAGGGCTATGTTGTTATAATATGTGAATGGCAGTATACAAGACTTCCATTTCAAGAATATGTGCATAGCAGAGATATGGAAAGCTGAATCAAGACACCAAAGTCACTTGCTGATTAAACACTGGGACAGACTCAAGCCTGTTTTCTACTCAGAATAAATTTCTATCAGCCATTGTTGAACAGAACTCATCTCTTTATTAACATGCATGTATGTAATAACTTGATTAACCTATGAATTCCTGAGTAATTAGTATTTATCATAAGGTGCCCATGAACTAGTCTTATGACCTTACTGAAAACAGGGTAATTTTTCTCGTGTATTTCAATGTCTAATGATTGTGTGGTGATATCAGCAAGTGAATGGTAATTAACACGAACTCCCAGCTTTTCACATGACTGATAACTAGATTAATAATTATGCTACAGGTGATGCATGTCCAGTCTTCTATTTCTGGCTTTTGATTTCCTAGTTTTCTGACAAACTTTGGGAGGTTAATTCCTCTTGCTTCATAGAGGTGCTGGATTGCTCTGCAGAGAAAGCAATGACTGGGAGGTGGCAGAAAATGACACAGAATGATGGGGAGATAAGAACCCTCTCAGATGACAGCAGTCTGTTGCTGCGAGGTTACAGGGATTCCTAGGAAAATTCTTCATTGTCTCCCACCATAAAACAATTTTTTATTATTATAGTATCAAATAGATGGCAAATGCTCTTATGCAGAGCTGCCCCAAGTTGCTGATACTATCTTGTAAATTACATTGATTAATTAAGGAAATATGATTAACATATGCAGTTTCCACACTTTGGGATCCTTATTTAGGCCTTTTCCACATCTATCTTCCCAATCTAGTTATGGAGAACATTTCTGGGTTTTATCCCAAATAAACAAAAGAAAGTTATAAACTTACTGCACTAAAAGGAGATTTTAACACAATTTTACTATGAGTCAAAACATTTAGTTAACTCTGGAGATATTTCTGCTAATGTGATTTTAAGCATTGCTGATGTGTTAAACAATGGGCTGGAAAATTAAAACAAAACCATGAACTGTGCTGTCTCCAATTTTGAAATGTCAGAAGCTTTTGGCTTAGGACAGTGTCACTTCTGCTGAGGACTCTGTGACTTCTCATTTGGAGAATGGCAACAGGGTGCTGGTTTAGAGCATGCCATACTAGAAAGAGCCCTGGTCATGAGTCAGAGCATCCAGGTTCTAGTTTTACTTCTTCACAGCTCTGTGATTTTAGGTTGGCTGCCTCCTCTCTGAGGCACACTTTGCAAACTCCCGAAGTGTAGCCCTAAATAAAAGCTGGAGGGTTTTGTGCTGAAGCTTAGTTTCTGGCCTCCTGCCTCATGTGCCATTTCTAAGCAGGAAGTCTGGGCTCAAGGCACTAGGCATTGGCTGGTTAAGAGCCCACGCTCTTAGCATCTGCAGGCTCAGCTTCCAGACTCTAATGTACATTATCACACATCTTCCTCCCCATACTTTTACCCAAAAAGAATCTCACTAGCAGGTAATTTCCACAAAGGACTAGAACACTGCTTGGCATCTAAGCAACACTCAATAGACAGAGGCTAACACTACTATGATTATTTTTATTTTATTTATTTTATTTTTTTTGAGACAGAGTCTCGCTCTGTTGCCCAGGCTGGAGTGCAGTGGTATGATCAGCTCACTGCAACCTCCACCTCCCGAGCTCAAGCAATCCTCCCACCTCAGCCTCCCGAGTAGCTGGGACTACAGGTGTGCACCGCCATGCTCAGCTAATTTTTTGTATTTTGGGTAGAGGTGGGGTTTTACCGTGTTGCCCAGGCTGGTCTTGAACTCCTGAGCTCAAGCAATCTGCCTGCCTCGGCCTCCCAAAGTGCTGGATTACAGGCATGAGCCATTGTGCCCAGCTGGTTACTATTATTATTACTATTACTGCCTTTCTTTGCTTACTCTGTTAGGCTGATATAAGAGGAAATACAACAGATAAATAAAATATGATTGTATCTTCAGTAATCAGAAAAATAACAAATTTAAACATTTCTAACCACAGAGAGGGAACCAAGAAGAAATGAAGAAATGTGAAGTGAATATAGCTAACACAAAGTATGGGAGACAGAGAAGGGCAAGCACATGTCCTGCAGGGACTGTGCGACTCTGTGGGAAGAAAACCAAATGGACCACAGTGCAGGCCATGAGCTCTCTGATTAATCCTTCATCAGTTGTACTGATATACCCCGGAGTTACAGCTTCAGCTGCTCTCTGACCTGGCTCATACCCTCTACTGAATTAAAGGCCATAAGTCAAAAAGGTGATGAAGCGGGGCTGATACCAGCTGCTGTGGACAGAGTTTACTCTGATCTGTCAATCCCCTCACCTGTCTGGTTGGCACCCAGGTCATTTTGGCTGTTAAAAGCTTATATCTTCACAAAGTTTCCAGTGAACTCTCAAAAAGCATGTATAACTGGCCAAATTTTTAAAAATGTATTCCTTACATGAATGTGTTCATTTCTTCAACCAATATTTACTGTTTGTTACAAACCAGCCTTGTACTAGGCTCTTGGGTGCAGACGAACACCAACATAGGCCTGCCCTCAAGAAGCTCATAAGCCAATGTGTTAAGACAGTGGACGTGAATTGTGAATACCTCCGCATTACAGACACTTGGATCAACGAGCATCACACTTTTTAGCATCTAAATCTGTACAATCTGGAACTGAGGGAAGTATGCTTTTGGTGAATGTTATTTGCTCTCCTATGCATGCTCTGGGTTCTTATGGGTTCATGTCTGACATCTGGGAAGATTTCTTCCCGTCTTCACCTACAATCCTATTTGACTTACACTGTCATCCCAACCGAGTGTTTTAAAAATGAAAGGACTACCTGAAGTCACCAAAGGCAGAGAAAAATCAGGATATCATTATTTAGGACAGGTGTGATGGGCTAACAGTTCTCCAATTTTATAACATTTGAATAGATTCATCTTTTGGGACATGTTTCCTCCAACAGCTTACTAAGACATGTTCACTCTGTGCATACTTAGGCAACCAAAAAGTTCCTCCTTTCCGATCAATGAATGTATCTAATCATAATAATACTTAAACAAAATCACTCAGTCGGAATTTTAAATTGGGTCAACACCTATAAAACTGATCACAACCAAGACTACCCAGCTATTATGTTATGTTCATTTGAGACAATATAAATTTAAATTATTTTGATACTTCCTTCCTAGATGTAGTTTTAGCAATTATTTATTTCTATCTAATATATCTCCCTCTTTTTACTCATAATACAACACTTCTTTTGGAAACTGCTTCTTTCTCATTCCAGTGCTTGTCAGCTGGTGGACTGATTCAAGCCCTCAGCTTCAGGGCTCCCATAAAAAAGGCTGATTCTAAAAGAATCAGGAGCCATAGAGAAACAGGGTGTCTGCTTCATTAGGATATTTAGCATTAAGGATCACAGAACTTAGAGCTGTCAGAGGTCACCTTTGCCTCCACAAGGAAGATACATGAGAATGGAGGCAATATGGAGAGAAGTGCAGTCAAGAAATACAGAGAAAAATGGATTGTTTATGGAATTGATTCAATCCCTGAATCCAACGGATTGAGTTTTCAGGGAGCGGACCCCTAAATAGAGTTTGGAATAAAAGCTTTTAATCAATGATCAAAACTCATGAAAGGAAAAAACTAGGATTCAACTGGGAAGAGAAAGAAACTGAATTGTGATGTGGTCCAACAAAAACATGGTCATCCTGACAGGAAGTTATGGATTAAATCAGAATTGCCCAGTGTTGGTCAGAAATGGTTGACCCTTCATATCCGAGCCTTGCTCAGTCACTAGATGTGGGCTTCCTCAGGAGGGGTGTGACTGTGGGCAAGTGTCTCTCTGCAGCTGGGGCAGACCAGGAAGGAGTGAGAGCTGGAGGCCATCCACTAACCCCACACCCCGTGGCGAGGCAGCACGTCCTTCTGGGTGGTGTATCTCTTCGTAAAACCTCACAGTGCTACCAGAAGCCACTTGATCATCCCAGTTATGTGAGCCAGCAAACTCCCAATTTTTTGTCAATACGGTTTGACTTCTGTTACTTTGTTTGCAATCAAGAGGCTCTATGCTTCCCTTCAAACTTAAAGTTCTTCTGAAACATCAAGATTCCAGCAATTATGAACACCCTTGAAATAAACTGGAGAACACAATTTAAACCCACAGCAGACCACATGATGGCAATCCTATTTTTTAATCAAGCTCCAAGTCTGCAGTCTCCAGATGGTTCACGAATTTCAAGTGGCCAGATCCTGAAGATGGGAGATATCTGTTTTATTGGGCTGAGGGTTTGTGATCAAAACTGACAACTCTTTGGGTGGAAAGGACTGTAATTTGTATGTCACAGAACAAATAAAGTCCAGCATGTTTTCCTTTGAATAAGTTTTACTGTAATGAGAAGCAGACTTCTCAGTTTCACTTCTGGTCAGAAAGATCCACTCTAACTTGTTTATCTCCCAATAATTCTCATCCTCTCAATAACAAAATACGTGTTTCTCTGAGAACAGTGATTTATTCATTAATAATGCCCTCTTTGTTCCTGCAAGTGGCCAAGTTTGCAATAGAGAGCACGATAGGAAAATCAAACCAGCACCCCAGGCTCATACTGGGGAGATAATAAAATTATTTTCATATGTGCTGAAGTTCATTTTTACTCTGGGTCACTATCTTGGTAAGGTTCTGAATTTCTAGTAATATTTCAATTTATACCAATATAGCATAAAATTTGCAATTCCAACGCCCCAATGTAAATGATGTGGATATACACACATATCATTTCTATGTGTATAAATATATATATATATATATAAAATACATATATAAAGAGGCTTATTGGCACATACTAATAAGCTTGTGTGTGTGTGTGTGTGACAGAGAGAGAGAGAGAGAGAGAGAAAGAGAGGCAGACAAACAGCAAAGATCCAGTTTGACATGGCATAAAACTAAAAACCAAATGATAATGGTGTAATGACAAAGCATTGTTTAGCACCGTTAGGTGACTGAAGCAAATGTGATCTCTCTTGTCTTTATAAACCAAAAAGTCAATGAGTCGATTGTTTAGAAACCTCTCTGGATGGACTATTTTTTGTAGTGTTCCTCATATTCCAACTCAGCAGACAAAATCTAATGCTCAGGTTATCAAGTTTCTCAGAGTAATTTACAGATGCAATAACAGTACATGCGCTGCAGGCCTTGCCCTGAACCTTAATAAATATGAAAAGCAGAAACAGAGCATGACTTACCTCCAGAGTGTGGTGGGGGGCCGCAGAGCAGCACAACTCCCTGGCCTTCACGCACAGACACTGTACTCCTCATTTTGGTTTTAAAATTTTCAAGATCTGATTTGAAAACAAAACAAAACTGAATTTTAGAAAGACCAATTAAATCACAAATTTTACACCAAGACCTTCCTTTCTTTTAGAAAACAATTTTAGTTTTTGCTTTTTTCTTTAAAAATTTTTATTTTTATTTACTTAGAATTTCACCCTTTATTTTAGATTCAGGAGGTACACGTACAGGTTTGTTATGTGGTTATACTGTGTAATGCTGAGGTTTGGGGTTTGGTTGATCTCATCACCCAGGTAGTGAGTACAGAACCCAACAGGTAGGTAGTTTTCTAATCCTTACCCCTCTCCCTTCCTCCCCACTGTAGTCGTCCCCAGGGTCCACTTTTGTCATCTTTATGGTCATAAGTACCTAACATTTATCTTCTGCTTATAAGTGAGAACATACAGTATTTGGTTTTCTGTTCCTGCATGGAAAACAATTTTAAAATCTCTTTCCCAGAACCTAGAGAGAAAACCATTTGCTTTGAGGTAGAAAAGCTGGATTCTGATTTCTTTATTAAAGCTTCTAGAAATTCAGCAATACAATATAAATATATACCCACTGATCCCATGTTGCTGAAATAGTGTCTAAAATGGCATGAACTATCCAAAGACAAAGCGTGTATCAGAATGAACTAACCAGACAATATAATTCAAAAAAGGAAATGAAATATCCTAAATCAAAAATAAACATAAATATGACTTTCACATTCACCAGTGATTCACCATATCATGAATACTTTTAGCTTCAACTTGTAATAATGACCAACTATTCATGAATTTCCCTCCTAAAACATTTTATCATAGCCTAAATAGATTTTATTCTACCTATAATTATTTTTATTTACAAAAATATTTGATAATATTCAGTTTCTGAGTATAAGTCCTATTTTTCCCATATTCTGAAGGGCTTTGTGGAAGATATATTGTCACTGAAAATTACCAAGTACATAGAATTCAAAGGATAACAGTAATTTAAATCAGCATATTCCCTTTTATTTATAGCGGCTAAAAATAATTATTTTTATAAGCATCCAAAGATTTTTTCAAGTGTTTAAAAAAGTTAAAAAAATAGCAATCAAGTGCAAATACTATTTTGATTACCAACGGTTATTTTTAGAGAACATTTAATTTCTTCCAATGACAATCCAGTACAGCAAATACTGATTCATTCTTTCCAAGTTAAATTAAAGGAGAGAGAAAATTCCGTTGACTTCATTTTTAAAAATGCTTTAGTTCATAGGGAAAGAGGAAGAAAGATCTGTTTCTTTAAACTCTGACTTATAAAAAATGCCTGTGAAGAATTACACCGTTAATATACTCTATGGTGTCACTTTCTGTATCAGAACAATTGTACTGTCAATTTCTGAAAGAATATACTCACTTCATAGCTCTTAAGGGCTGATATAAATTACCTAAGTGGTGTCTATACACAGTGAAGCAGTATATGTATTTTAGAATACAACTTGGATATTTTCAACTTTTCTTTGAAAAATATAAAAAGCAAAATAATTATCTTCAAATTGATAAAACCAGAACCTGTAGACACTTAGGGATACTCTAAGGATCATATAGCAGTATATCAGAGAGAAATAAGAGGGCCTATGTGCCTCACGTTATTGTTACTGAAAAATAGTATTAAATTGCTAGGTTATAAATATGGAGTAAAGTGATTCAGCAAAACTCTCTTGTGTGTGCCCAGAAAAGAAGAAAAAACAGTTGATGGACTTATTTTAACCACACGCTATCCAACAGAAATGATACAATAACATAGCGTTGTATCACCTTAAATCTAACTAAAATGCAACATTCTCAAAACATTAAGTCTCTTGGAATGTAACTAACTGAGTTAGAACTGCAAAACTAGACCATCCAAATGTTTCCCAATGGCTAAATGAGGCAGTACCTCATATCAGAATGTAGCTTATACATGGAATTTCCAAAGATTATTTCTTGATGATCAAGTATGTGTCATCATTGCTGCCTTCCTGTCTAATTCCTTGTTATCTTCTGCCATACAATTTCACAGTGTGGATGTTTTCTATCACTGATTTTAGCTAGAATATGCAAAAATGTATAGAATAGTTCTACGGAAACCAGTAATGTCTCCTCCAAAGGTAAAATCTCTTTTGCCTAAGCACAAATATAGCTGGCACAGATCTGCCCATTGGTCTAGAGACAAGCATGGCTACTCTTTCTGCAGTGCACGAGTGCAAGGAATATTGTTCTGGATATCTGATATGGCCGGTTCATGGACGTAGCATCAGGAAGCAAAGAAAAATAACTTAATTGTAATGGCACATTGTAAGTGGCACTTTGCTGAAAAGGTGGTAAGTACACAGAGGACTGCATAGTTAATCTACAGGTGTAACCAAGGCTTTAACAAGCAGAACCTGGCCAAGTAGACGGACAGTAGTAGTAGCAGTCAGAGGGCCAGGGTGGGCATTTTTCTGAGGCAGATGGAGCAACATAGATGCATAAGAACATACATGTTACAGTCAAGGTATAGCGAGACTTTTCTCCTTTTTTGCAACACTAGGAACTATGAGAAAAGAGTAGTGTCAATGTCTAAAAAGCTTCAGATCATTAAAATATCTAGTGGAAGATTATATGTGCCACCCAAATGTAAGTCAAGCTATATATAGTCCAATTTTGGACTTTAAAAACAAACTAAGATGATAAAGAACACCTACAAGTAACTACAGCTATCATCATATTTAATGGTGAAAGACCGAGTGCTTTCCCCCTCCCCAACATCAGAAATTCGAGGGAGTTAAGCAGGTCACAGGATACAATTTCTACATACTAATAATAAACATGCAAAAATTGAAATTAAAAACTCAAAACTACTCACAATTGTTCCAAATAAAATAAAATACCCAGGTAAATTACACATAACAAAACATGCAGAAGATCTGTATAATGAAAATTACAGAATGCTAATGAAAAAGAAAAAAAATGCAGAGGCATAAATAAATGGAGACACATACTATGTACATGGATTGTTAGATTCAACATAATTGCTGTTCTTCCCAAATTAATACACTGTCATATGCTGTAGAACAATGTTTCGGTAAATGCTGGACCACATATATGGCCAGACCATATTTACAACAGTGATATCATAGGCATCATGACATAGTAGTGAAATATATTACTCCTGAGTTTGTGGTGATTGTGTAAAAAACCTACTATGCTGCCAGTCATATAAAAGTTTTGCATATAAAATTATGTATAGCATATAATGCTTGAGAATGATACTAAATAACTGTTACGGGTTTATGTATTTACTATGCTATAATTTTATTGTTATTTTAGAATATATTACTTCTATAAATTGAAAAAAAAAAGGTTAACCATAAAACAGCCTGAGGTAGGTCCTTCAGGAGTTTTTCAGAAGGAGGCATTGTCATTATAACAGATGACAGTTCCATGCATGTTATTGCCCCTGAAGATCTTCCAGTGGCATAAGATGTGGAGGTGGAAGACAGTGATACTGATGATCCTGACCCTGTGTAGGCCTAGGTTAACGTGTGTTTTTAAATGCTTTTGGCAAAAACACTTAAAAAGAAAACAAAATAAAAAAGCTTATTGAATAAGTGTACAAGAAAATAGTTTAGTAAAGCTCCACAATGTGTGTTTTAAGCTAAGTGTTATTATGGGTCAAAATTCATAAAACATTAAAAGTTTATAAATACAAATATTATAGTAAGCCAAGATTAATTTATCACTGAAACATATTTTTATAAATTCAGTGTAGCCTAAGTGTACAGTGTTTATGAAGTCTACAGTAATGTACAGTAACGTCCTAGGCCTTCACATTCACTCACCGCTCACTCACCAGTTCACCCACAACAGCCTCCAGTCCCGCAAGCTCCATTCATGGTAAGTGTTCAGTATAGATATACCGTTTCCTATCTTTTATATTGTACTGTACATTTTCTATGCTTAGATATTTTCAGAAACACAAATACTCACCATTGTGTCACAATTGCCTACAGTATTAAGTAAAGTGATCTGCTGTACAGGTTTATAGCCTAGCAGCAATAGGCTATACTATACAGCCTAGGTGTGTAGTAGGTTATACCATCTGGGTATAATAAGTACATACTATGATGTTTGATGAAATCACCTAATGATGCATTTCTCAGAACATATCCCTGTCATTAAGTGACACATGAGTGTATAATTTTAATATAATTCTGATCGAAATATCAGCATGGTTTTGGGTTTGTTCTTTTTTTTTTGTAGATAAAGACAAGCTTATTCTAAAATTTATATGTAAAGGCACAGGACTTAGAATGTGTAAAACTATCTAGACTAAAAACAAAGCAGGAAGAATCACTCTACCTAACATTGAGGCTTATAATATAGCTACAATGATCAAGACCATGTGGTAGTGGCACAGGGAGAGACACATAGATCCATACAGCAAAACAGAGAACACAGAAATAGACTCACAAAAATGGGCTCAGCTGATTTTTGAAAAAATGCAATTCAATGGAAGGAGAGAAAAAAAAAAATCGACCTAAACTTTACTCAGTTTAAAAATCAACTCAAACTAGACCACAAACGTAAATGTAAAACATAAAACTATAGAACTTTTATTTAAAAAATATTGGAAACCATCTTTGTGATGTAAGGATAGGCAAAGAGCTTTTAGACTTGACACCAATTGAATGGTCTTTAAAAGGAAGGACCAATAAACCAGACTGCATCAACATTTAAAACTTCTGCTCCATGAAAGCTCAAGCAAAGAGGATGTAAAGAAAAGCTACAGACTGGGAGGATATACTTGAAAACCACTTATCCACTAAAGAAAGAGTATCTAGAATAAGTAAGACTGCCCAAAATTCAATAGTATAAAACATACGATTCCATTAGAAAATGGGAAGAAGACACAAACAGTTCACTGAAGAGGAAAAACAGATGGAAAATAAGGACCTGAAAAGATGTTCAACATCATTAGACATCGGGGAAATGCAAATTAAAACTACAATGAGCTGTCACTCCACACCTACCAAAATACCTAAAAACAAAAAACAAAACAGTGACAGCACTAAATCTTGGAGAGGATGTAAGGAGGCTGGATGATTCAGACATTGTCTTCTTAAGTGTAAAATGTCAAAGCCAATATGGAAAACATGTTTTTTAGTTTCCTGTAAAACGAACCACACGTAACTACCATATGACCAGCAATTGCACTTTTGGGCATTTATCCTAGAGAAATGAAAACACTTGTTCATACAAAAATCTGTACATAAAAGTTCGCAGAGTTTTATGTCTAACAGCCCTAAACTGGAAACAACCCAAGTTCCTTCAATGTGTGAATGGCTAAATGCACAGTGCTACATCCATACCATGGAATGCTACCCTGCAACTCAAAGCAATGAAATCTTTATACACCCAACCCCTTTGGTAAATCTTCAGGAAATTATGCTGACTGAAATATGCCAATTCCAAAAGGTTACTTACTATATGATTCCATTTATGTAAAACTTTAAAAAATTCAAATTTAGAAATAGGGTTTAGTGCTGGGCATGGTGTTTTACAACTGTAATCCCAGCAACTCCAGAGGCTGAGGTAGGAGGGTTGCTTGAGACCAGGAGTTAGAGACCAGCCTGGGCAATAGTGAGACCCCATCTCTTAAAAAATTAAAATAAAAACAAAATGGGAGTAAACTAGTGGTTGCCAATGTTTAGGGAAAGTGGAGGGAGATAGGGGAGTGTCGTTATCAAAGGGTACTATGAGGGATCCTTGTGGGACCTGAACTGTCCTCTTTCTTGACTGTGTTGGTCAACACATGTACATCCATGTGATAAAATTAGAACTAAATACACATACACAATGAGTATGTATAAACCAGGGAAATATGAATTAAAAAATAATAAGCAAGCAAGCAAAGATAAAGTCCAGTTCCTCATATTTCCTTATTTCCTTTTATTTTCTCTTCCCCCACGTTACCTACAGGATAGAAGTGGCTTGCTGACCCCGCTTCTGGCCATCAGCTGTGTGTGCTACTCTACCAGAGCCCATAGCTCCAGCCACAACATGGGGCCAGTATCTCCGAAGTCAACATCAAAGAAAGGTGTGCAGAGCCCTTAGGGAAGAACACTCCTTCTTGTGACTAGCTTTTTGTAAAAATTCACATGGACCATTTCTGGTGTATAAAAGTCTTCACTTTGATACACGTCTGTTAATTTTCTATATTGGGCCAGGTTTTCTATTGCCTATCCAAGCTCTGCACTTCAGGTTGATCTTCCCATGCAGTAGCAAGGAAAACTCCAGGAAACCATCAATGCATATGGAGAAAAGAAACTGGGGTCACTCTGACTTTTTTTCTGATATTCTGTGCTCAATCTTTTTCCCCTTCCTACATATTGTTGGTGTTGGTTTCTCACCTGAATTGACCTAGGTAGTGAACTATCAAGCAGAGTATGTGAAATACCACTTGGTATAACTGCAGGGGTATAGTGCACAAGTCTGTCTCTGTACGACTTAAAATCAACCAGAAGAATGACTACCATTTCCCAACAAGTAAATTTGAGTAAACTTGTGTCAAGCCAAGTTAAATGAGTTTCTTTTTGCAGAATAAGTCAGGGACCTTAATATAAACTATGGACAAATAATATCTACTAAAGTGGAATGGATATTATAGAGTATTCTAAATGTATTTGACCAAATAATTCTATGTAGACAATTTTATGGGAAATGCTGAAAAGGCCACATGTGCAATTGGGCACATAAATATTAAAAAAGATGTCAATAAGAGACTGCAAAGTAAAACAAGCCATTTTCCCTCTAAAAGAACTAAAATGTAACATAATAGTGGCAATATATCTGAAATGGTGGCCAGCTGACTAAATGGTCTCAACATTTAAAAACTGAAGAGCTCTGCCTCAAAATGCTTTATATCTACTTGTGATCACAGCATGAAGAGCGAATGAAATCATTGTCATTGAAAACTGGATGTGAGCCTTACTACTTGTATAACACAATGCTATTTGATGCTATGAGGTGAAGTGTTACCTCTTCAATTAAAATGAAAAATACTATCCAGTAGTGATAATTTGTACCAGGAACACAGACACAGGCAATGCAATAGTCTTCCATACATAATATCTTAAACGTCTTTAATGTTTAATGTTGAAATGCTTAGTGATTGGTAGTTATCAAATTACATCATTACATGAACAGTGTAAATGACAAGATTGCCTTTGAAAGAATCAGGTCGCTGCCAATAAAAGAAATTTGTGCACTGCCATGCAAAAGCTAAGAAGAAACCCAATGAACATACCCAGAAAAGCAATCAAAATCAAGACTGCAATTCAGTTATGGTTTTCACCCTTACTGTAAGTCAGGCTTGTCCAATCTTTTGGCTTCCCTAGGCCACATTGGAAGAAGAATTGTCTTGGGCCACACATAAAATACATTAACACTAACAAGAGCCAATGAGCTAAAAAAAAAAAAAAAATCACAAAAAAATCTCATAATGTTTTACAAAAGTTTACAAATTTGTGTTGGGCTGCATTCGAAGCCACCATAGGCCACAGGTTGGACAAGCTTGCTATAAAAAAGAATCCCATGCAACGATTCAGTTTCACAATCAAGTGGTAAAGTTTCAAGTAGTTGATAAATCTCATTAAAGCATGCCCACTACAAAAATAAAAAAATCCCAGCTCAGTGAATGACCACACCTTTCTTCCTGCCTTATGGCACATGCAGAAGCACTTAGAAGATCTCCTAAATCGGAATATTAGACATAAACAACTGACTCTTAGTTATCTTCGGTATCAGCATGTTCAAAACTCAATCATTATTTTCGTTATTTCTTGCTCTATTTCCCAACACCCAAATTCAAAGTGTCTCCTCCTTTTTTGTTCCCTTTCTTGCTGGTCCAATTCTCAAAACATTTAATTATGTATAAACCCCCTAAGGGAAAACTCTCCCATGGCAAAGTGTGTCTTAGGAAAACAAAACTTTATCCTTATGAAAAATAATAGCTTATTCAACAAAAGTTCAATAGTGTTTTAGTTTTGTTTCTCCCAAGCCAGAGCCTCCAAAAAGACTTGGGTGACATAGTTTATGGGGGGTGATCTTAGAGGCAGTGGGGAAGGAAAGGGGAGAGATGGAGGAAAATTCAACATCTGGGTACATTATCGAAATTGCTACTGCAGTCAATGAGAACTTGATTTCAAATGAACCTCTGACAACCATACAAAATGTCATCCAGAATCATCCATTTGAAAGATGGGAGTCGGGGGTATACACAGGCTCCCAACCCCAATAGTGGAGGAATTTCCCTGGGAGCAACAACTCCCTCATCTCCATCAGAGCTTCTACTATGAACCTGCAAGAAACTGTCTACCCGCTCTGCAAATGCTTTGGGAGGTGGGAATCAGAGGTGTGATACAGGGCATCAAAAAATGTCTACCACAAACAGATTTTTTCCTTAAGCCTGAGCCTTTTGCGAGATTTTAAAACAGGTGTGCATTGTAAGTCTCCAAGCAGAGACTGAAGTATTTCGTATTTTTCTAACACTATTTAGGAAATGTAGCAAAGCATCTAATAAGATCATAACAGCCTCAGGATCTGTTGTTTTGTTCTGAAACACAACCTGGAAAATGCAGGCACAGGGTGGACCCTAAGCACCTAAGTATACTCTACAAGACCTTTCCACATAGGTATTTCATAGTTCAGCTTCATCTGCCTCCCATACATTGCTCCAACACTGTCAACTCCCAGCCACATACACTAAGCAACAACAAACTTTTCCTTTTCCCCAAGCACAAAAATGCTAGCCCATGCCATGCACATAAGGCTCCCACTCCTCCACTGACACAGAAGACTTTTATTTATCTTCCAAACCAGCTTTGGCCACATCTCTTTTTTGAAACCTTTGAAATTATTGCTGTTCTTTCTTATTTTCTATACTTTTATATTTTCCCACCTTGTTCTTCTATTCTGGGGGCTCTGCCAGGATTAGAGCCTTGTCATTTTCATCTTTCTATCTCTAGACTGTCACATATTTCTTGGCATTGTGTAGGTCATCAAAGAATGTCTGAAATAAGCATCCATCATCTCATTTTCCTTAGGATCTCCATCATGGGTCTTCCCACCAAAGTTAAATTATTGGTGTCTGCATTGCAGAGTTCCTAACTTTCTACTAGTGAAATTTAGGAAGAGAACACAGGAATTAGAACATCAGGATATTCTGACCATAATCCAGGCCTGCAGATCTATAGGTGTGTCACTTGATTGCCCTGTGTCTTCACACATTCTATTTGTAAAGTGGGTACAATATCCACTCTTTGAACCTCACAGGGCTTTTCAAGAGAGGAACCTTAGCATCCCAGATCTGTAAGCCTTTTGAAAAATGAAAACAATTATACAAGTACAAGGTTTCATTTTTCCTTTTGAGTCTCTGGTTTCATAACGATTCCTGTTTCCATCTCTCTTTTGTCTTCCTTACAGTTTTTCAAACATGCACAGTTCACCCCATCTTAAAAATAAAACACATCTTCCAATGATCTCATGCCCAACTTTTCTGAACACTCGCTCTACTGCCCACCCCCAGAGGTCCATGAACATCTGTTTCCTTTCAATTTTTAACTTGGGTTGAAGTCAAGTCTTTGTCCTGTGGAGTCAGACAAACCTAGGTGCAATCCCTTGGCTGATTCTCTCTAGCTATTTGAACAGGGCATATTACTTCATTTGTTGATCCACAGGTTCCCCATCAGTAAATTAAGGATAAGACAGCAATTACCTCTGCTATTGTTGCAAGGAAGAAATAAGATAACTCGTGTAAATTACTTAAAACACTGCTTAATTTATAAATGTTAAATAAATGATAGGTACTATCACTTTTCTTCACATTCTTTCAGGAAACTCACCAAGTCTCAAGATCCTACCACTGTGTATATATCAATGATATGTCCATCAAATTTTGATTCAAAACATTCATTTTCTGCATGCATTTCAGATATTTTTTGGATGTCCAATTGCCATCTCATATTTGACACTGCATTTTCCTATGTTCTTGGTGTTTCCTCTAATACAGTTCCTCTTCCAACTTCCCTGTTGTTATTCTCTCAAAGACTCCCACAACCAGTTTGGCTCTTTCTTTTCCTACATTTGCTCAATACATTAAATTTGATCAAGTTAATTGTTCCGCAAAACCCAGTCTTTCTCTTCCCATTTATCTCTGATTTTGCATTACCATCATATTAATTTTACTGGAACGATTTAAATTAAATTAATTTTTGAAACAGGGTCTTGCTCTGTTGTCTAGGCTGGAGTGCAGTGGCACCATCTCAGCTCACTGTAACCTCTCCCTTCCAGGCTCCAGAGATTCTTATGCCTCAGCCTCCCAAGTAGCTGGGTCCAAAGTTGTGTGCCAACATCCCCAGCTAGTTTTTTGTATTATTTTGTAGAGATGGAGTTTTACCATGTTGCCCAGGCCAGTCACAAACTCTTGGGCTCAAGCAATCCACCTGTCTCAGCCTCTTGAAATGCTAGGATTACAGGCATGAGCCACCACACTGAGCCTGGAACTATTTTGTAATGCAGATTCAGCTGTCACATATGAGGCATATGGGCCCATATACTTGTTTGGCTTTTACACCTTAGATTACACTCTTATGAAGTCATAAGAGTATGCTTCATCCACACTGAGTAAATGGGGATATGAAGGAATTAATAGATGGATGGCTTTGCTAGACACTGTGATAGAGATTTTCTTGAATTTAACACATTTATTTTTCACAAAATTTCTATTTTAAAAGTATTAACTTTGCATTTTCTAGAAAACTGTGGCTGAAAGCTATTTTGGAATGTGACTAACATGATGCAATAACTGATAAAGCTGAGATCACATCCAGTCCCATTGATTTCAAGTCCAGTTCTTTTTGTCTTTGTATTATGCAATAGGTCCATCCAACCCTCACGCTGGTCTCCCCGCCTGCAGCCTCTCTCCTCCCATCCAATCCATCTATCCTCTACACACAGAGTTCAGTTTTCTTTATAAAACACACTCTCAGTTTCTAACACCTGCTAAAACGCCTATACACATATTTCCCACTGCCAAGATGATAAAGTCCACATTCTCTGTCCTAACATTCATTCAATTATTCAACAGATGTGTATGCATATACATGTGTACATGAAGTTTATGCCTAGGTTCAGGGTATTTGGACAAGCGAGCGTACTCTGTCACTTAGAGTATTTCTGATTCTAACTCTTTGCTTATGCTCTATCCTTCCCCTTTCAACTTACATTTACTAATAATCTTCAAGGTCTAACTAAAAATACCCCTCCTATGTGAAAGATACCTTCTCTGAACATTTTGGATGTTTACGGAAACTGCATTTTAGGTCTGTCTGCTCAGTAAGGCTAAGGCTGAGGGCATGATCCTTCTCCAGCTCCCTTTGTCGCCTTCCACAGACCTCACACCACACCTACCCAGTACAGATGGCCTCAATCTAAGCAGTACGATCCACTCCCTCCATGGCACTCTCAGTTGTCCAGGGCAAACAGAATGCTTGTGCCTGGTAGCTGCTCTCTAGCAAGCCCTTCTGCTTTCATCATTTCAATTAGATGTATTTGCTAACAAAACTAATTACGCTAGTAACAATTTCACTGAAATTATTAGAAAAATACCAAAAAAGTGATGAAATATGAATATGAAAAAAGGAATATGTTGTTTATATAAAAACAAATATAAAGGCTTTTGAAAAGCTCAATAAAGGAGAGTCACCCTTCCTCTCCCCAAAACCAGTGCCAAATTAGATAAAAGAGATTGGGCAAGACAACCATAAAAGCTGGAAATACAAAACAAAAATCTTCATTCTGTTTATTCTATTTCTGTACCCAGATTGTTTCAGAAATATTTTTTAAATAACTCAATTGCAAAGTAAAACAGCAATTGGAAATCAAAGAAAATTCATAATGAGTGTGGCTTATATAAATAATAAAGTGAACTCCTACTGTCCAACCCTTTCTCAAAGAAGAACGCTTGGCACATTACAAAACAAAAAACACACACAGTTGCATACTCAAAGCAAAATTACTTGTTTATGGTATCTATATACCTTTTAAAAATGATTACCTGTTTTAAAACAATTTTTCATATAACAGAGTACTGCCTCTGACTATATCAAATAAGAAAACCCCTTCTGTACTTAGCAAAAAGTAAAAAACAAAATGCTCATTTGCTAAATCAAACAAATAAAATTAAAAACCATGTTTCTGGCCAGGCACGGTGGCTCACGCCTGTAATCCCAGCACTTTGGGAGACCAAGGTGGGCGGATCACGAGGTCAGGAGATTGAGACCGTCCTGGTTATCATGGTGAATGAAGCCCCGTCTCTACTAAAAATACAAAAAATTAGCCGGGTGTGGTGGCGGACACCTGTAGTCCCAGCTACTCGGGAGGCTGAGGCAGGAGAATGGCGTGAATCCGGGAGGCAGAGCTTGCAGTGAGCCGAGATCGCACCACTGCACTCCAACCTGGGTGACAGCGCGAGACTCTGTCTCAAAAAAATAAAAATAAAAAAAAACCCATGTTTCTGCTACTGACAGTTTTGCTCTTCTAAAGTATCTATTCTAGGAAAAACACATAACAACAACAAAAACTCTCCCTATTTGATTATGGATGTTAATTTTACAATACTAAAGTTTAAAACACGAACAATTACTACAAACTGAAGAGTCAACTAAATCTTTGCTTTCTTAAAAGAGTTTCTTATACTTCAAGTGTTTATATATGTGTGTGTGTGTGTATATATACATATATATAGCCCTAGAATTTTTCCATCAAAACTACACTTTTTTTTCCCATTTTTGTGGCAAGAGCATGAATCACATTCTTTGTTTTGAAATGAAGACCTCCAGGTGGTATATCTGAGTTTGGAGATAATTTAGAAAATCTCTGTGCAAAGTACATGTTAAAAGGATTTCAATGGGGCAACAGAAAAAGCCAATGTTCTCACATAAAACATTATCAAATAAAGAAAGCTGTATTTTCAAGACTATTACACAATATCATATTTAAAAAACTTACCACTGTACTGGGTATGCCATAGAGGAGTTTTAACCATTAGTTATACAAAGATGTACTTGGTCTTCTCACTTAGTAACATCTCCTTTCCAATGTGGAAACAAAGAGATCATATAAAATGACATTATTCTGAATATGGGAACAAATTATACCACTTCAATGCAGTTATCTTAATTATGTACTCAAACATTTTTAAGAACTTTTTAATAGTGTAGATTAAAATGTCTCAGTGGTTTCTTCAGCAAAGAATTTGCAGTTAGACTTCAGTGGTAATATCCACCACTCTGTGATTGAATCTCTCTGTGATTTTGCACAAATTTCTTAGACACTTTGATACTTAGGATCTTAGTCTGAAAAATGAAGATAACATAACGTGTTAGAGGCCAGCTGAGAGGATTATATGAGAAAATAAATGCAAAGTTTTTGGAATACGGTAGGTGCTCAATAAGTGTTAGCATGTTGCTCCCTTTCTCTAGGCAAAGATAAACCCTGTGTCTTTTCCTAGCCACATCTATCCAGACTTATTTGTCATCCAAGTCCAGCTAAATTATTGCTTTCTCCTTTGAGGCCTTCAACAACTACTCTAGTTTACCTGTATTTATCCTCTTGCTTTTTATAGGCATGTCTGTCTCTCCAGGAACACCATAATTTCTCTTCCTTCCCCCTAGTTAGTAGAGTAGTTATTTAATAATAGTTGTTGAATTCAACACGAGAGTCTTAAAGCTCTTGATATTTAGCATCTGTGTTTGGCTAAATATATTAGTCATTGAGGCTGTTTAGAAATTTCATAAAATAGTTGCTTTTAAGACACGTGTGATTTTTGCAATGCACATAAGATGGTACAAGTTGACTTCTATCAATTATAGCAATATTGAAAAATATAAATAAATTAGCACATGCAATAATTCTCCTAACTCAACACAAAAATATTGAACACAGAATCCTTACCCTTACTTACAAAATAGTTCATTTGTTAACACTTCACCCTGCAACAACTTAGTTCCAGAGTAATAGCATAGTTCACAGGTGGTGAGAACTCCTGTGATCTGGCATTCAAAGAGTACCCTTCTTATATAAAAAGAAGCTAATTAGGTTAATTAGCTTAATTTGATTTTCATCAAAATAAGAGAGGGACATCAAAGATTATTTTATGAACTATCTGGAAAAAATGCTTCTCTAATTCAAGTGAAATGAAGATTACTTTTTAAAGGATCAATGATGACTTCAATATGTACAATTAGGCTGGGTGTGGTGGCTCATGCCTGTAGTCCTAGCACTTTGGGAGGCCAAGGTAGGCAGATCACTTGAGGCCAGGAGTTCGAGACCACCCTGGCCAACATGGCAAAACCCCACCTCTACTAAAAATACAAAAATTAGCCAGGCGTGGTGGCACATGCCTGTAATCCCAGCTACTCAGGAGGCTGAGGCAGGAGAGTCTCTTGAGCCTGGAAGGCAGAGGTTGCAGTGAGCTGAGATTGAGCCACTGCACTCCAAAAAATAAAAAAGTATGATCATCTAAAGTTGCATATATTTCATCTTATATGATACTAAAAAAATCTGTGAAATGGGCAATACTGATATTGTTATTCCCAATATTTACATAAGCAAACCAAGGACAAGAGAGATTAGGTTTTGCCTAAAATCACACTGCTGGTTAAGTGTCAGAGGCAGGCTGATGGCACATTCTCTTTCTAACAGGGAGAAAACAGAGAAACAACACAACCAAATTAAAGCTTAAGCTCCTGATTCCTTTTCAGTCCATAGAAACTTCACCTACAAAAGGTGAAAAAGATAATATGTCCAATTTGAAAGTCGTATTTAGGTATGTTCATTCTTTCAATCATTCACCCATTTATTCAACAACTCTAATTAAGTGCCTACAAAGCTGAGTGAAAAAGGCCTGTGTTGTGACCTTCTGAATCTGGCCAACTGGTTCCTTAACCATGCAGTTCCTTGGTTTCTCTTTCTCAGCAACTAGGAATAACACCTACCCAGGAACCCCCTGAGGTTTGATATAAAGACCCAAGGCAATGATAAATGAGACAAAGCTTTTAAAATGTATATGACAACACCATATTTGGGTATAACTGGCTTCCATTAGTTATCACTTCCTATAACCCTATGTTCCTGTAAGTTTTTTCAAATTTTGTATAATATTCTGTGGTGCATTTTTTGTCTGTTTAGTACCCATCTCCCCCACTAACTAGAATGTAAGCTTCACAAAACCATGGACAGTTTTCCAGATCATTCTTACATCCTGAGCACAGAAAACACTGCTTCGCACATATTATATATTAGTACATAAATAGATGTATTAAGTGATTCCAATAAGAGATCTCACTCTCTTATACCCCTATATTAATCTTACATGAGACAAGTAATATATGTCCATTGGTGGGAGATTAATAATATCTTAGATCCCTACCTTGCATAGTTGATTTCTGTTCTCCTGCTACAGATCTCTTGAATCGCCAACTTAAAGCTTAAAAAGCAAATAGCAAAAAAAAAAAAAAGTCTCCCATAAAATATAACTGTGGAATGTAGAGAAATGCATGTACAGTTAGCCTTCTGTATCCATAGGTTCCCCATTGGTGGATTGAACCAATTGTGGATCAAAAATATTTGGAAAAAATTTGTCTGTACTGAACATGTATACTTTTTTTCCTGTTGTTATTTATTTTTTTTTACTTTAAGTACTGGGATACATGTGCAGAACATGCAGGTTTGTTACAAAGGTATACATGTGCCATGGTGGTTTGCTGCCCCTATCAACCCGTCATCTAGGTTTTAAGCCTCATATGCATTAGGTCATTTGTCTTTAAACAATACAGCATAACAACAATTTATAAAGCATTACATTTATTAGATATTATAAGTAATGTAGAAATGCTTTAAAGTATACAGGATGATGTGCCTATGTTATATGTAAATACCATGCCATTATGTCAGGGACATGAGCATCCCTGGAGTTTGGTATCCATGAGAGTCCTGGAAACAATCCCCCATGGACACCTAAGGATGACTGTATTTACCCCTAACTTTAACATTGGGTGAGACTTACTGTGTCATGTATCTGAATTTCAAAATTTTATAAGCAAGCAAATGAATGTAATTTATAACTTATGGGGAATAATTAAAATTATATGTTTTAATGTGACTCTTGATAGTTTTCATGACATAGGCCTTTAAAAACATCTAACCCAGAAAAAACCCATCAACCTAATATACAGTTTTTTGAGAAAAGAAAGTCATATATTTTATCATTTTAACACTATACCCCAAAATACACTAAAGCATAATAGATGGAAATAAATATTATGATAGCATCCTTGTTTCCATGGAAACATCGCTATCAGTATACCTCTGAATATGCATTTGCCTTTGTTTCTCTGGCTAAGTAAACAAGCATAAATCCATACTACTTGTTTTCTTTATAAGTTTTATCTGAGATCCAGAATAAGCCAACAGCAAGAGAGCAATGAGTGCAATTTTGTACTTCAGAAATGCATTACACAGGATGCTGGTTGACACATGGATACATTAGTTTAGTAGAACCCCACCCTTTGGTACTTAAGAAGCCCTTGAAAAAGATTTCTTAGTTTAAATTTTTTAAGTGCAAAAATGTATACAAATTAGAAAGCAATTAGGGCAACTGTGCTGATGTGGAGGATAAAATGAGATGAAAATGGGACAAATCTAAACATATGTCTGTTGGAATAAATGTACCAACTTATTAAATGGGTGGTATTATCCTTTGGCCCTGTTTGTTTATTGAAAATGCCAGAAATCTCAATACTGGCAGGAGAAATGCACTCCATCAATCCTATGTATAAAATCGCTGCCTATAAAATAAATTATCTTTTGCATTTAGCTAACATGACAAATTAGGTTACCATTCTCATAGAAAATATTTCTATACAAGTATATATTCCATAAGCTTGACTTTCTACACATAAAGGTCTCTATGTTCCTATTCCATTCAATTTCATTTTTTGCATAACTATTACATACTGAGGTAGAAGGCTTTTACAGTAAAATAGATTGAAAATGGGGTTCTCCATTTAACCTAAGTCTGCCTTCTGAAACCTCCCCTTGATACACAGAAATCTAATTGTTAGATGACAAGGTAACCTTGTAAACAAACAGGTAAGTGCATGCAAGTACACACACACACACACACACACACACACACAGAGAGAGAGAGATTATTTTTATATCCCATGTGCTAAGAGTTATTTATACTTATGGTGGCCTACCACCATAAATCAGTCTCTTCTCCTCTGGCTAAATACCTCCAGTATCTTTCTCTTTTTCTAGGCTAAGGTCTATCACTAAACATGTCAGCTCTGCTTGCATTTGTACATACTGTGGCTGCTGCCGATAACACCCTTCCTTCCTCATTTTTATCGAATAATAGCCTATTTTATTCACACTTTAAAAATTCTGTTTCATGATGGTCTTCTTCCTCTGCTTTCCACCCTAAGAAAAATAATTATTACCTTTTAAGGTCTAGCACGTTTTTTGTTTCTTCCTTATAAATTTTTCATGCATAAAATCAAGTACCTAATTTTCTCTTACATGTATTTCTAAAATCCTTGTCTTCCTCTTTACCTTATTTCCACAATCTTAATTCAGATGCATAACCCATCTATAGGGACTGGCTAACATACAAGCCTGTAGGTGAGTTCCCCAGTAGCTCCATGGGTGGTGCAAAGATTCAGCAACTATAATAATAGCTCACATTTAATTGGATCTTACTAAGTGCTAAGTACTTCTTTAAGTTCTTTGCATAAGTTAATTCACAGCATGACTCTCACAGCAATCCTGGTAGGAGGTACTTTTATTTTTCTCTGTTTTGGAGATGAAACTGTTGCATAATCACATCAGGTGACTTGTCCAAGGTCACACAGTAAGTGACAGATCTGGGACTTAAGCCCATACAGCATGGCTCCACAGCCCATGTCCTTAAACAATATGCTTATAGATTCAATATCTGCCTCCAATGAAGAAGTTACAAAACAAGATCCCTGCATTCAGTTCCCCTGGATTCTATACTTATTTGCATTCAGGTTTAATCAGAAAGGCAAGTGGGAAGGCCTTGGGGTGGAGGAGAAGGAAAGAATTTCAACCCTAAGGAGGACAGTAGCAGCTTTAAGGAGAAGGTCCTGGGTTTGGAGGAGTAAAGAAAGGCACAGACCAAGCAGTTCATCCACCAGAGACAGCTGTAATTCCAGAGCTTGACAGTGGGAAGCCCTGGGCAGTCCCTAGCCTGTCTGGCTCTATTCTTCCTTCTGGGCCCTTGGATCCTTTCCATCTCACCACCTACTTCCTGCTTCATTCCAGTGATGAGTATTCAAGTCCAAACATGCTGCTTATGCACAAATGAAAACCTGTCCTCCTGACCAGTCTCATATTCCTCCCATCCAGTCTACCAACTGTGGCCAGATTCATCTTTCTTACACACTTGTCCAATCCTGCCCCTCCCCTCCTTCAGTGGCTGCCCACCAGCCTTAAGATGAACCCAAACTCTTTCGCATGGCTGATGTGGTTTAGAATGATCTGAGTCCCATCTTTCTCTCTGCACCATCTCTCCATCCCCTGTGGCACATCTGCACTTCAGTCAGATGGAAGTCCTTTCCCTCTATGGCACAGGACACACTCTTTTCTGTTTCTCAGGCCTTCCTTCCTCTACTCTTTCCACCTGGCTAACTACTATTAATCCCTCAAGTCTCAACTTAGGTGTTGTTTCCCCTAGGAGGTCGTTATTAATAGATTCCTTAACAGAGCATAGCATTTTTAAGTACTTTGTGAGCTTCATGAGGACAAGAAACTCTTGGTCAAGACACAATACTTAGTGGGTGGTGCATCAGTTTTCCAGGGCTGCCACAGCAAAGTACCATAAACAGCGTGGCTTAAAAAAAAACAGAAATGTATTGTCTCACAATTCTGGAGGCTGGAACTCTAAAATCATGGTGTTGGCAGGATCATGCTCCCTCTGAAACCAGAAGAGGGATTCTTCCTTGCCTTTTTCTAGCTTCTGGTAGTTGCTGGCAAACTTTGGTGTTCCTTGACTTGTAGATGCATCACTATAATCTCCGCCTCCATTGTCACGTAGCATTCTCCCTGTGTGTCTCCGGTTTACATGGATGTCTTCTTATAATGACACCAATCACATTGGATTAGTGGCCCACCCCACTCTAGTATGGCTCATCTTAACTACTTATATCTGCAACAACCCTATTTTCAAACAACATCCCATTCTGAGGCATTGGGGGAGGACTTCATCATGTCTCTTATTGGGGGGGTTGGGGGCACAATTCAACTCATAACAAGTGGTGAATAATATTATGAATAAATAAAACAAGTGAAAATGTTATGTCTAGGGTAGAAGGGGTGCTTACTAATAAAGTCTTCAGCACCTCTCACACAAGCTATTTATATTTCAGAGGGCCTGAGCAGTAGATATTTTCCAGAAAGCTATGGGAAAGGCTTTCCGTATTTCTTCCCAGAACTTTTCATCTACCTGACAATAGACCTTCCTTGTTTACTTATAAGTTTCTAGGTCATGACATAATTTTTTTTTAATGTCCAACAATGCTAACTTTCTTGTTTCAAGCAAAGATGCTTTGCCTTGGTGTCCCCTTTCCCTACCCAAACTGGTACTTTAAACTAAATGTGGGATAGCTTTATTTCTAATTGTCAGTTTAATGAAGGTTTGGTCTACTCCTACGAAAATCATTTTAATTGAGGCATTTTCAGCAAAAACTTAAATTTTCTCAATTATAACCCTATCAGGTACTAGCTGAATATGGGCTTTCTTCACTGTTCAATTAAAGGACATTATCAACCATAAAAATATTAATCTTAATTAAAATCCACAAATGAATAAGATTAGAAAATAGGAAATATAAATAATTATGAATATTTTTATGTAGCACCAAAATCTCTTCCCCACAATGCCACACATCCTAATATGAAAAGATGGTAAAAATTCCTAGACTTGAAGGGATTAAATACAGCTATTTTTCCTGAAGTCAGCAAAGAGAATCACTTCAGTAAAGTATGTAGTGTCTAGACAACTACTGCGGTATTGCTCCACTGAATATCTGTCTTTCAGTATGATTGATGCCACTAATGGCATTCACAATATTTAATGCACTAATGATATATTTTAGTTAGGAGGTTACACGATGTTTGCAATGCAACACTTTCTAAAATTTCATAGTCTTCTGACAATAACATATAGAAACATTGTAACTACTTTTTTGTTTTGATTTTTTGTTTTTGGTTTTTTTTTAGACAGGGTCTCCCTCTGATGCCCAAACTGGAGTGCAGTGGTGGGATCTCCGCCCACTGCAACCTCCACCTCCCAGGATCAACCAATTCTCCTGCCTCAGCCTCTCGAGCAGCTGGGATTACAGGTGCCTGCCACCATGCCTGGCTAATTTTTGTATTTTTTAGTAGAGACGGGGTTTCACCATGTTGGCCAGGCTGATCTTGAACTCCTGACCTCAAATGATCCATGTACCACGGCCTCCCAAAATGCTCTTGTTTTATGAAAGCCTTCTACCAGAATCAATGAAATTAAGTAGAAATGCTTTAATAAGATATTTATTTAACTATGACAGTAAGCAAACATAGCATTACTAAGGCATGAAGTTGGAAAGTAATGCATTTCATATAGCCTCTTAATGTGCACTGCCAAATCAAATGGAACAAAAATGAAGAATGCTAGTAGAAAAGAATGTGCACTATCATTAAGAATCACAGGACAAGACAGGATTGCTGTGGTAGCATCAGCAAACATTCTTCATTGGTGTTTAAAGAAAACAGATGGGAAGGTTTCACAATTTGTCTAAACTCAGTTTTTGGCAGAAATAAACCTGAAATTGGGGCTGCCACGTAGGACTTCACAGGTTGTGCACTGCACAACTCAAGAGGGTATCATTCACAGAAACAGTAATGTGAATGGCACTTGTGCGGCACTTCATTGTCACAACCATACATGATAGCACTGTTTAAAGGCCACATCTTTGTCCTCCTGATCACTAGTCGAACCCATAAAGCTCAGCTGCCTGACTTTTATTACATTCATTCTTCTGGCTGCAGAGTCAGAAGAACTGGCCTTGAGTCCATGATCTGATGCTTAATAGTTGTGTAACTCTGGACCAGTTGCTTACTTGATCTGTGACTCAGTTTCCTCATATGTAAGATGGTAGTAATACGTACCTGAACTACCTCAGGAGGTTTTTAAGAAGCAACAACAAAAATAGCATATGTGAAATTTTATTATGCACTGGACACTGTTCTAAGTGACTTGCATGCATTAATTGTGGCAGAAAAAAGAGATGCATTTAGATATGCAGATAGGCAAGTCTTTAGGTTTATTGAGATTGACAGGGGAATAGCTTACAATATAATTCGTGTGTGTGTGTGTAGAAAGGAGAAACTCTTTTACTAAATGTTGATATCATAAACCTTAGAGCTGTGCTGTCCAGTAAAGCAGCCACTAGCCACATGTGCCTACTAAGCCAGTGACATGTAGCAGTCTGGATTGAGATGTGCTTTAACTGTAAAACACAAAATGGATTTCAAAGACTTAGTACAGAAAAAAAATTCTGTGAATAATTTTTATATTGATTATATGTTAAAATAATACTGAGTTAAATAAAATATATTATTCAAGTTAATTTTACTTGTTTTTTTTTTTTTTGCTTTTTTGAATGTGACTACTGGAAAATTTCAAGTTACATATGTGGCCCCACATTATATTTCTATTGGACAGTGCTACCCTAGAGTATTTTACTTCTGGAAGCCAAAATACTCCTACATGCATTCCCAGAGATCAGGGTCATAGGGTATAAGTTTTTTTGAGTCAGACTGACAGATTTGCATTCTAGGTCATGGCAATAAATTTCTCCCTAATATGTTCTGTACAAATGTTCCATATGAGGTCTTATTATATATGGATGTAATACAAAATAGTTGAAAAGTTTCAAAGACGTTTTTCTTTGTTTCATTTACGACTATTTCACAGATGTGTATTCATCAGTCTCCTAGCAGTGTACAGATGGCACACTTCAATGTGGTAAATGAGGAGCGCCTGACAATGAGAAAGATATAAAGAAGCCAAAAAGAATGATGTAGTATTGCAAGGCTGGTGACAGTGGGGAACCATCACCATACTTAGGCTTGAACAGTAAGGAGAAGTGAGGTTCCCAGAACTCAGAGAGGGCAGCTGTACAGAAAGGAATACTGTTAGGAGCTGTGGCCTCCAGTAGGAGGACTACTGAACAACATATGGTGATCCAGCAGGGAGGAAGCCAGGGGAACAAATATCCTGACCTTTTCTCTTCCCACTCTCCAATTTCCTGCTATTGCCTCCCATTAGCTAAAACCACCCAAAAGCCAGAAGGCAAGAGATGTAATCCATATGGGTCCCCTGGGACATATGGCAGAGTGGAAGGTGGATCTGGAAGAAATAGAAGGAAGACATCTAGCCCAATATGCATTTTTCATTGGTTGAAAAGATGGCTCTTGTCAATTAAGTGAACGAAGGGAAAGAGCAATTGCATGGAAAATAAGACCTACTAAGATGCTCTCCAAAACATGTCAAGTTGAATTTAGTTAACAGGTCTGAGATTTTCTTTCTGATTTCAGTGATGGCATGATGATACCCTCACCACCTGTCCTATTTTCAAGTTTAAGATTTACCATTAACTCTCTCACACAGGACAAATGACATAATATGCAGATGTTATCATCCCTGAGGTGGAGAGTTCATAAGGGCCCGCTCTGTTCTAAGTTGCTAAGAGTAAGGGCAGGACTCACCTGGACCCCAGGTTAAAATTGCTCTATGTAAAAACATGAACCATTTTTAAATAAGCAGATAAAAACAATCTTAATAGGTCAATGTTTTTCAGCTACTAGGGGAATAACTCATTCTGGCAGACCCATCAGGATGCAGCCCAGCTTAAAATTGGATGATCCATGTAGACCGTTGCCTGATGTCATTTTATGGATGAGACACTCAGCTGCGAACACCTGCTTTAAGATTTTCCAGGTTAAAGCTTTGTCTTCTATGCTATGTGCAGCAGAATTCTAAGGTTTTTAACCAAGTATGCATACACTTACTCAATATGATTCATGGATTTCCCATGGGTAGGGGAGCCCAGTGTCTAGTTGAGAGCAGGACTATAATTTCATCTTTTTGGTGTTTACATCCATTCTGAACACAAATTTTATGTTGTGTATGTTGCCAAACAAGACAAACAAGTAGATAAGTTTCTTTTAACCAACAACATAGAGTAAAAGCAGAACTACTGGACACTAGGGGCTTTATCTCATGACACTATGTAGATAATGTGATTAAGACACTTGTCTTGGCCTAGAAAATAAAAGAGACTATGATGATGTAAACATGAACTCACTCTTCATCCTTATTCTCCAAAATGTGTATTGTATTATTTTAGTTCATGTTATTACAAAGCAAACAACTCAGAAATATCTGACAAGTATGTAGCATGTAGAGTGTAATAACACTAGCTCTAAAGACAGAATGACACCTGCTAACCTGAGGAACTTATAAATTATTTAGCTTGCCTACACACACCTCAGGTTTCCAACTATAAAACAAGGAGAACAACGTTGCATACATTTATTGGGTTGTGAAGATAACAAAATAACATACACAGAGGCAGAATAAATATTTGCTATTATTATAAAGTATCAGCTCAAACAAAAAGGTCTTTTATGGCTATGTTTAATAAAATGCCCTCAGAGTCTACCAGAATGGTCCATTTCATAACTATTTTTCTATATCCTTTGAAAAACAGTTTTTGTTTTCTCTGTTATACAAGATCTATCACTATATACCACACATTCATACTTTACCTAGTTGTAGGAAAAAGTTTGCCTCTTCTGATAATTGTATATACTTTCTATATCCAAGATGAAAAATTTATAAACCAACATGTTTCCATTTTGGTTTCAGCGATCAGGACACTTCCCAGCTGCTAGAATTAATGTCTCCCAGGTGCCTCAAATCCTTTTAAATAGTCTCCTTCTATTTTGATCTGTGCTTGTCCTATTTTATATTAATTTCCTTCTGTAAGCCAACTCAGGTCTTTACAGAAGCCCTTGAGTATAAATCATAAAGAAATATCTAAGTATTATATAATAAAAATTAATGTAATTTTTTGTGGCTTCTTATTGTGCCTGCTCTGGGGCCATTTCATTGCCAACTGACATCCTGCCACAAGGAAGACAAAGTAAAAGAAAAGAAATAAAAATTAAATTAATCATTTTTAGAGGAGGTTCTGAGTCTTAAGTAAATCATACCACTGCAGTACAGAGTTTAAATCTGAATTATTTATGTACTCTTTTACAACACTAATCTCTGTAGTCATCTCTGCTGAATCAAAAAAAATGGCAATTGTTTTTGATAAAGAGAAGAATGAAATCCACTTTTATTTATAATAATCAGCTGGGAAACATGTTTCAAGTGCAAATTTCCAGGCCCCAGTCCTAAAAATTCTGATTCTGTAGTTAGGGAAGGGGTTTTGGATCTATTAAATATAAAGCACATATAAAAATAAGAAACAGATAAGTCAGACCAGTGATCTGAGGACCACACCTTTTGAAACTGCAGAAAGCGGTAATTTATATATTATGCAAGAAAACCTTCTGATGCACCTCAGCTTTCATTAAATTGTAAGCCTGGGTTGGCTGAAGTCATTTCAATCCAGACATTTACCAAAAGCCACTTGGCATTAATTGGTTTTCTATCAAATACTCAGAATGAATAGCTGAATACTTTGTTATACAGTAATTCAAAAATATCTACACAGAAACTTTGCATTCACAGGAATATTGTGGGAACCTTAGCATGAAGCAAAAGAAGTATTTTAATGTTCTGGACCATAAGGCAATTTAATGATATATTTCTCAAAAAGCATGTTAAAGTACATTTCTTATTTTTATAATAATTTGTTATGATCATATGTAGTTACATAATCATTTAATAGCAAGATAATGAATCAAACTGAGCCTATCCTCCCAATAGCCCTTACCTAAGAAACAAGAATTGTCCTTTGCTGGGAGGCTAATGAAAATGAAATGAATTAAGTTTATAAAACACAGTAGGCTTTCAATAAATGGTAGCTATATTTCTTTAGTAGGAAAGAATTTATATTCTGCATTGTAAATATTTGAAACATTTAAAAAATACATGTGTTTTTTATATAAAGTCGAAACAAAACAAATTTTTTTAATCTTGCAGTTATAAAACATAGAAGGAAATCTAAGAAAAATGGTCTCAGAAATACTAAGAAAAATCTCATACATTATTGTTGGTGAAAATGTAAATTGGTGTAACTTTGGAAAGTTTGATAAATTTCTATGACTCTCCCTATAAAGGTCTATGTACAAAGATCTTCTCTGCAGTGCTATTTACAAAAGAAAAAGGCTGCAAACAACCTAAATGATTCTTGAAAGAATATGGTTTATCTGAAGCCCTGTTTTTTTTTTTTTTTAATTATTATTATACTTTAAGTTTTAGGGTACATGTGCACAATGTGCAGGTTAGTTACATATGTATACATGTGACATGCTGGTGCGCTGCACCCACTAACTCGTCATCTAGCATTAGGTATATCTCCCAATGCTATCCCTCCCCCCTCCCCCCACCCCACAACACTCCCCAGAGTGTGATGTTCCCCTTCCTGTGTCCATGTGTTCTCATTGCTCAATTCCCACCTATGAGTGAGAATATGCAGTGTTTGGTTTTTTGTTCTTGTGATAGTTTACTGAGAATGACGATTCCCAATTTCATCCATGTCCCTACAAAGGACATGAACTCATCATTTTTTATGGCTGCGTAGTATTCCATGGTGTTATCTGTGCCATATTTTCTTAATCCAGTCTATCATTGTTGGACATTTGGGTTGGTTCCAAGTCTTTGCTACTGTGAATAGTGCTGCAATAAACATACATGTGCATGTGTCTTTATAGCAGCATGATTTATAGTCCTTTGGGTATATACCCAGCATTGGGATGGCTGGGTCAAATGGTATTTCTAGTTCTAGATCCCTGAGGAATCGCCACACTGACTTCCACAATGGTTGAACTAGTTTACAGTCCCACCAACAGTGTCAAAGTGTTCCTATTTCTCCACATCCTCTCCAGCACCTGTTGTTTCCTGACTTTTTAATGATTGCCATTCTAACTGGTGTGAGATGGTATCCCATTGCGGTTTTGATTTGCATTTCTCTGATGGCCAGTGATGGTGAGCATTTTTTCATGTGTTTTTTGGCTGCATAAATGTCTTCTTTGGAGAAGTGTCTGTTCATGTCCATTGCCCCCTTTTTGATGGGGTTGTTTGTTTTTTTCTTGTAAATTTGTTTCAGTTCATTGTAGATTCTGGATATTAGCCCTTTGTCAGATGAGTAGGTTGTGAAAATTTTCTCCCATTTTGTGGGTTGCCTGTTCACTCTGATGGTAGTTTCTTTTGCCGTGCAGAAGCTCTTTAGTTTAATTAGATCCCATTTGTCAATTTTGGCTTTTGTTGCCATTGCTTTTGGTGTTTTAGACATGAAGTCCTTGCCCGTGCCTATGTCCTGAATGGTAACGCCTAGGTTTTCTTCTATGGTTTTTATGGTTTTATGTCTAACGTTTAAGTCTTTAATCCATCTTGAATTGATTTTTGTATAAGGTGTAAGGAAGGGATCCAGTTTCAGCTTTCTACATATGGCTAGCCAGTTTTCCCAGCACCATTTATTAAATAGGGAATCCTTTCCCCATTGCTTGTTTTTCTCAGATTTGTCAAAGATCAGATAGTTGTAGATATGCGGCATTATTTCTGAGGGCTCTGTTCTGTTCCATTGATCTATATCTCTGTTTTGGTACCAGTACCATGCTGTTTTGGTTACTGTAGCCTTGTAGTATAGTTTGAAGTCAGGTAGCGTGAGGCCTCCAGCTTTGTTCTTTTGGCTTAGGATTGACTTGGCGATGCAGGCTCTTTTTTGGTTCCATATGAACTTTAAAGTAGTTTTTTCCAATTCTGTGAAGAAAGTCATTGGTAGCTCGATGGGGATGGCATTGAATCTATAAATTACCTTGGGCAGTATGGCCATTTTCATGATATTGATTCTTCCTACCCATGAGCATGGAATGTTCTTCCATTTGTTTGTATCCTCTTTTATTTCATTGAGCAGTGGTTTGTAGTTCTCCTTGAAGAGGTCCTTCACGTCCCTTGTAAGGTGGATTCCTAGGTATTTTATTCTCTTTGAAGCAATTGTGAATGGGAGTTCACTCATGATTTGGCTCTCTGTTTGTCTGTTATTGGTGTATAAGAATGCTTGTGATTTTCGCACATTGATTTTGTATCCTGAGACTTTGCTGAAGTTGCTTATCAGCTTAAGGAGATTTTGGGCTGAGACGATGGGGTTTTCTAGATATACAATCATGTCATCTGCAAACAGGGACAATTTGACTTCCTCTTTTCCTAACCGAATACCCTTTATTTCCTTCTCCTGCCTAATTGCCCTGGCCAGAACTTCCAACACTATGTTGAATAGGAGTGGTGAGAGAGGGCATCCCTGTCTTCTGCCAGTTTTCAAAGGGAATGCTTCCAGTTTTTGCCCATTCAGTATGATATTGGCTGTGGGTTTGTCACAGATAGCTCTCATTATTTTGAGATACGTCCCATCAATACCTAATTTATTGAGAGTTTTTAGCATGAAGAGTTGTTGAATTTTGTCAAAGGCCTTTTCTGCATCTATTGAGATAATCATGTGGTTTTTGTCTTTGGTTCTGTTTATATGCTGGATTACATTTACTGATTTGCGTATACTGAACCAGCCTTGCATCCCAGGGATGAAGCCCACTTGATCATGGTGGATAAGCTTTTTGATGTGCTGCTGGATTCGGTTTGCCAGTATTTTATTGAGGATTTTTGCAGCAATGTTCATCAAGGATATTGGTCTAAAATTCTCTTTTTTGGTTGTGTCTCTGCCCAGCTTTGGTATCAGGATGATGCTAGCCTCATAAAATGAGTTAGGGAGGTTTCCCTCTTTTTCTATTGATTGGAATAGTTTCAGAAGGAATGGTACCAGTTCCTCCTTGTACCTCTGGCAGAATTCGGCTGTGAATCCATCTGGTCCTGGACTCTTTTTGGTTGGTAAGCTGTTGATTATTGCCACAATTTCAGCTCCTGTTATTGGTCTATTCAGAGATTCAACTTCTTCCTGGTTTAGTCTTGGAAGAGTGTATGTGTCGAGGAATTTATCCATTTCTTCTAGATTTTCTAGTTTACTTGCGAAGAGGTGTTTGTAGTATTCTCTGATGGTAGTTTGTATTTCTGTGGGATCGGTGGTGATATCCCCTTTATCATTTTTTATTGCGTCTATTTGATTCTTCTCTCTTTTTTTCTTTATTAGTCTTGCTACCAGTCTATCAATTTTGTTATCTTTTCAAAATACCAGCTCCTGGATTCATTCATTTTTTGAAGGGTTTTTTGTGTCTCTATTTCCTTCAGTTCTGCTCTCATCTTAGTTATTTCTTGCCTTCTGCTAGCTTTTGAATGTGTTTGCTCTTGCTTTTCTAGTTCTTTTAATTGTGATGTTAGGGTGTCAATTTTGGATCTTTCCTGCTTTCTCTTGTGGGCATTTAGTGCTATAAATTTCCCTCTACACACTGCTTTGAATGTGTCCCAGAGATTCTGGTATGTTGTGTCTTTGTTCTCGTTGGTTTCAAAGAACATCTTTATTTCTGCCTTCATTTCGTTATGTACCCAGTAGTCATTCAGGAGCAGGTTGTTCAGTTTCCATGTAGTTGGGCAGTTTTGAGTGAGTTTCTTAATCTTGAGTTCTAGTTTGATTGCACTGTGGTCTGAGAGAGAGTTTAATTTCTATTCTTTTACATTTGCTGAGGAGAGCTTTACTTCCAAATATGTGGTCAATTTTGGAATAGGTGTGGTGTGGTGCTGAAAAAAATGTATGTTCTGTTGATTTGGGGTGGAGAGTTCTGTAGATGTCTATTAGGTCCGCTTGGTGCAGAGCTGAGTTCAATTCCTGGGTATCCTTGTTGACTTTCTGTCTCGTTGATCTGTCTAATGTTGACAGTGGGGTGTTAAAGTCTCCCATTATTAATGTGTGGGAGTCTAAGTCTCTTTGTAGGTCACTCAGGACTTGCTTTATGAATCTGGGTGCTCCTGTATTGGGTGCATATATATTTAGGATAGTTAGCTCTTCTTGTTGAATTGATCCCTTTACCATTATGTAATGGCCTTCTTTGTCTCTTTTGATCTTTGTTGGTTTAAAGTCTGTTTTATCAGAGACTAGGATTGCAACCCCTGCCTTTTTTTGTTTTCCATTTGCTTGGTAGATCTTCCTCCATCCTTTTATTTTGAGCCTATGTGTGTCTCTGCACGTGAGATGGGTTTCCTGAATACAACACACTGATGGGTCTTGACTCTTTATCCAATTTGCCAGTCTGTGTCTTTTAATTGGAGAATTTAGTCCATTTACTTTTAAAGTTAATATTGTTATGTGTGAATTTGATCCTGTCATTATGATGTTAGCTGGTTATTTTGCTCGTTAGTTGATGCAGTTTCTTCCTAGTCTCAGTGGTCTTTACATTTTGGCATGATTTTGCAGCAGCTGGTACCGGTTGTTCCTTTCCATGTCTAGTGCTTCCTTCAGGAGCTCTTTTAGGGCAGGCCTGGTGGTGACAAAATCTCTCAGCATTTGCTTGTCTGTAAAGGATTTTATTTCTCCTTCACTTATGAAGCTTAGTTTGGCTGGATATGAAATTCTGGGTTGAAAATTCTTTTAAGAATGTTGAATATTGGCCCCCACTCTCTTCTGGCTTGTAGAGTTTCTGCCGAGAGATCCACAGTTAGTCTGATGGGCTTCCCTTTGTGGGTAACCCGACCTTTCTCTCTGGCTGCCCTTAACATTTTTTCCTCATTTCAACTTTGGTGACTCTGACAATTATGTGTCTTGGAGTTGCTCTTCTCAAAGAGTATCTTTGTCGTGTTCTCTTTATTTCCTGAATCTGAATGTTGGCCTGCCTTGCTAGATTGGGGAAGTTCTCCTGGATAATATCCTGCAGAGTGTTTTCCAACTTGGTTCCATTCTCCCCGTCACTTTCAGGTATACCAATCAGACGTAGATTTGGTCTTTTCACATAGTCCCATATTTCTTGGAGGCTTTGTTCATTTCTATTTTTTTTTCTCTAAACTTCCCTTCTCGCTTCATTTCATTCATTTCATCTTCCATCGCTGATACCCTTTCTTCCAGTTGATCGCATCGGCTCCTGAGGCTTCTGAATTTTTCACGTAGTTCTCGAGCCTTGGCTTTCAGCTCCATCAGCTCCTTTAAGCACTTCTCTGTATTGGTTATTCTAGTTATACATTCGTCTAAATTTTTTTCAAAGTTTTTAACTTCTTTGCCTTTGGTTTGAATTTCCTCCTGTAGCTCGTAGTTTGATCGTCTGAAGCCTTCTTCTCTCGACTCGTCAAAGTCATTCTCCGTCCAGCTTTGTTCCATTGCTGGTGAGGAACTGCGATCCTTTGGAGGAGGAGAGGTGCTCTCCTTTTTAGAGTTTCCAGTTTTTCTGCTCTGTTTTTTCCCCATCTTTGTGGTTTTATCTACTTTTGGTCTTTGATGATGGTGATGTACAGATGTTTTTTTTGGTGTGGATGTCCTTTCTGTTCGTTAGTTTTCCTTCTAACAGACAGGACTCTCAGCTGCAGGTCTGTTGGAGTTTGCTAGAGGTCCACTCCAGACCCTGTTTGCCTGGAAGCCCTGGTTTTCAAGCTTCACTGTGCATCAAAACCACCTGGAGGTCTTGTTAAAATACCTGTGGCCCTGCCCCACCCAGGAGGGTCTGAAGCAACAAGTCTGAGATGGGGCCTGAAAATCTGCATTTGTAATAAATTCCCCAGTGAAGCTGATGCTGCTAGTCTGGAGAACCACATTGAAATCTAACTGGTTTATGCCATAGATTATTACACATATGTGTAAAAAATTAGAGCCAGATGCCCTAAAACAGAATAATCTCCAAAACTGTAAGGTGCTGAGCACTCTTCTTTGTATTACTACTGTAAAATGTCCTATACTTACATAGGCTTGAACAGGCATATAGCAATTGCTGCTTGGAGACTTAGGAAATGGGGTGGGAAGACATCCTCTTTATTGTATAACTTTAATGTTTTACATGTGTATATATTATTTTTAAATGAAGAGCTATCTACTGAAAAAAAAAGAAAAAAGCAATTTAAGAATATTCATGTTTAGTTAGTTACTTTTAAACTGCTTTACAAAACCCCTATCATCTTCCTAGGCCAGGAGCATCTGACTCCAAATTTATTGCAGTAGCATGAAATGTGAAATCTAGGGAATCCTAAAGACAGCTCTCTGTATATATTTTTTGGCAACACATTAGGATTATGTTGCATTAATGATCTCAACAGGAGGGGAATAGATATGAAAAATGATGTGTTTATTTTGGAGCAGCAAAGTACAATGTTAAAATACTAACAATGTCAGCATGGAGGAATGGATGAAAACACAAAAAGATCATCTGTTCATTTACCATTAGGAGGTATGTGCTGGTGAAAGTACCCGACATTCGCACAGGTGGCAGGTGTGGAAAGCAAACTGCCTAAAACAAAACATTTGGATTGTTGAACATTTCTTTAAATAGGAAGCCAATGACTGGTATGAAACTTCATTGTAGCTGATTCATATTTTCAATAAAAAATTGCTGTGATTTTTCCTTGTTATGACTTAGCTCAAAACTTTTTTGGCACATGAAAATGTGCTGCTCATTTCATGTAGCACAGAGTTTGAAATGTTCTTTTTATGTTGAAAGATCAAATTACTGAGATTACACTCAAAGGCAAAATAAAATCTATTTACCAATAAGTTTTTTTTATGTACACTCCACATACTATAAAAATAAAGCAAATGAAATAATTCAAACGGCCAATAAACACAAAATTCTAAAAGTTCTTTCACAAATATGCAACAGTCTGTTAATGGTCAAATTTATTTTAAGATTATTAAAATGTCATATTTTATAAAGTTCTATGAAAAAACAAAATTCAGATTCCCATTAATGGTCTATTTTGTTTTAATATTATTAACACCTGATATTTTGTAGAATCCTTTGATAAACAAGATTATAAAATTGTCTTTGTTGGAAAAAAAGAAATCACCATTTAGTGTAAGAGCAATGAAAAAGTGTTTTGATTGTTTCCAAAAGTCTAATTTACTCCTAATGGGAAACAGTTTTCAGCAAATAACTTGCCATCAAAAAATGATAAAATTTTAGAGGTCATGTATGCATAGGGGTTAACAGCCACTGATTTACAAGTAACTGGTCAAAACTTTTTATACTTTATCATCAACTATGTGCCTAAGGAAAATTACCTAAACTCTTTGAGACTTAATAATCTCATCTGTAGAATAGATATTATATAATAATATCATTGACCTCAGCCAGGTTGAACAAGAGCCGCCCCCCAAAAAATAAACCCAATATTCAAATATAAAATGTTATTTGTAGTATAGCGGAGAGGAGACGCTATGGAGTCATTTCTACTACACTTTCAAAATAAACCAGTGAAAAAGGGTTTACTGTGATTCATCACGTGTGCCACATGCATACTCACTATTAAAATATTTTAAATTCAGCATCTATAAATGAAGTCAGAGAGAATATAAAATCCATTAAATTTTTAACACCTTTCCTTAAGAAAAAAAATGTTGCATGGCTCAGAGGAGAGATAAATTAATACAGGACAACAAACAAATTGAAAGGATCTAAGAAATTTTAAATGAAACACAACCACACCTGACATCAAGATCAGAACAAGAGTTCTACATGCCCCATGAAGAGAATTCTGTTATAAATAGCACCACCCACACCCACATCCACCAAGGCATCTTCTGTAGTCTCTGATGAGTTTACCCTGGCTTGACCATACAATTTATCATGTATACTAAGACACCTTTGAAAATAAAAATAAGACTAGGCATGAAGCAGGGTAAATAGGTGAAAACTAAGAGTGTTCCAGACAAATGGAGACAAACTGTCACCCTCAGTCAATCTATCAGCAAAAGTAATTCTATAGAGACTGAAGAAGGGAATAGCTGGCAATTTGATGAGGTCTAGGAAGAGGTCTAGGAACACAGCTCTCTGCTGAAGAAATATCTGGAATTACCAATTGAAAATCAAAAAACTTATAAAGTCATTAATAATAAAAGTAGTTTATCTTTTTCAGGACTTACAATATACCTGGGGCTAATGGTTTCAGGAGTTGGCAAACTACAGCTGGAGGGCCAGATCCAGGCTGCCACATGTTTTTGTCTGGTCTGAGAGCTAAAAATGGCTTGTATATTTTAAGTTGCTGGAAAAAAAATCAAAGGAATAACTTTTCATGACATGTGAAAATTATATGAAACAAAAATTTCAGTGCCCATGAGTATAGTTTTATTGGAACACAAGCCACCCCCATTTGTCTACATATTGTGGCTTCCATAGTACAAAGGCAGAACTCAGTAGCTATGAGACCATATGGCCCACAAAGGAGTCAGACTCTAAAAGCTATGTACTGTATGATTCTATTTATATGACCTTCTGGAAATAACAGAACTACAGAGATGGAGAAGAGATCAGAGGTTATTAAAGGTAAGGGATAGGAGAGGTTTCACTACAAAGGAACAGCAGGAGAAAACATTATGGGATGATGGAACTATTCTGTAGCTTGATTTTGTCACTGGTATATTTGTCAACACTCATAGATCTATACACTAAATGGTGTGAATGTTTACATATAAAATTAAGAAAACAAAAACAAAAACTGGTCTGTTCGGTTCCAAAGCCCATAGCCCTAGAGACTCAACAGAAACATAGTTTTCTTTCCATGTATGCTCTCTTCCAGCTGGAAGTTGCAGACCAACTGCAGATTCTTAGTCTCAATTTAGGCATCCCTAAATACTAGAGCTATATTTTTATTCAATGAAAGACTGCTAGAATTACCTGCTTCATGTGAAGTTTGGCTGTCTTGACTTTACTGACTGAGTGTTCCACATATATTCCAGACTGACTGGACTCCTCAGGGGTCAGTCCCTGAATCCTCTTATCTCTGCCTTGTATCAAGGTGTTTGTGATAATTTTCCTCTATGGAGCTTTCTCTCTTTTCCCCATGTTGCCTCTTCCTACATGTTTTTCAAGACCCAGAGGGACCTCACTATCATCCTTCACTCACTCTTCCTCATGCCGAATCAATCTATCGCCAACCTCTGTCACTTCTTCCTCTGCGTATTTCCTGATCCTTTCCTCTTCATCTCCAAGCTAAGATCCTTATCAAGGCCACCATCATGAATTCATTCTATTAATAGCAAAGAGCCCAGACAATCTTCCAAGTGCAAAGCTCACGCTCCTACTGACCTGCTTAATTTATGCCCAATGGCTTTCTACTGACTTCTGAAGGGGTGCAAGATCTCTGACCCGCCTATCTTCGAAGTCTCAGGTCTCTCCACTAATCTCTGTAAATTCTAGGGTTCAAACATTAAACTTCTTTCAGAACTCTGCATGTCCTATGCTTGCTGAGTTTCCTATCACTAAGGCTTTGTACATGCTGTGCCCTCTGCTGAAACTCTTTTCCTCTACCTTTTTATTTTCCTCCTCACCTCCTACTCACCCAGTAGTTATCAGTTAAAATCTGTCTTTAACCTTTAAGGTAGTGTGCCCAAATACCCACAAACAAGGGTATGCCTTTTATTATTCTCCCATAACACCTTTAATTCACTTTCATAAACTCGGGCTATTATACTTTTCTGGAGCACTTCAAAACATTCTAACAACAGCTTGTTATTTTACTGTAAATACTTCAGAATTATTTATAACATCTGTAACTTTTTTCAGTTAACATAATAGTTTACCTTTATTGCACACAGTGGTTTCAAATATTTTCTCCAAGTCTTACTGTACAATTGCTCCAGAACCATTTGTTGAAAAGGGTACCCTTCCTCCAATGAAATGTCTCTGCATCTTTGTCAAAAAATTAGTTGAGAATATATGTGTGGGTCTACTTTCAGATTCTCTATTTTGTTCCTTGATCCATGTGTCTTCTCTACCAACACAACACAGTCTTGATAACTGTAGCTAAATAGTAATCCTTAATATCTGCTCAAGTGATTCTTCACATTTTGATCTTCTTTGTTGAGACTGCTTTACCTTACAGTCTGAGCCTTTCTATATAAATTTTAGAATAAGTTTTTTATATCCAATAACAAATCAAAACTAACTAGCAAACACAAAGACCTCCCTGGGATTTTGATAGGAACTGTATTAAAACTACATATCAATTTGAGGAGAATTAACATATTTACTGTATTGAATATTTTAATCTATGAACATGGTATGTCTCTCCATTTATTATATTTAGGTCTTCTTTGATTTCTTTTGTCAGCTTTATACAATGTTCAGCATAAAGATCCTGTACATGTTTGGTTAAGTGTATACCTATGTATTTAATTTCCTTAAAGAAATTTGTAATTGATATTGTGTTGGTAACTTTGGTTTCCATCAGTTCATTATCATATTAAAATACCACTGGTTTTTGTGTGCTGATCTTGTATCCTGTGACCTTGCTGAATTCACTTAGTTTTAGGATACTTTTGTAGATTCCTTGGGATTTTACAGTTATCCTCTAAAAGTAGAGATAATTTTTACAGTTACCATCTAAAAGTAGAGATAGTTTTATTTCTTATTTTCATATATATATATATATATATATATATATATATATATATATATATATGCCTTTCATTTCTTTCTTTTTTTTTTGCCTTATTGCAGTGCCTAGAATTTCCAGTACTATCTTGAAGAAGAGAAGTGAATATGGATATCTCTGCCTTATTTCCAGTCTTATTAGGAAACCATTCAGTTTCCTACCATTAAATATTATGTTAGCTGTAGGATTTTTGAAGATGCTTTTTATGAAGTTAAAATAATTACCTTGAATTCCTCTGATTTCATGAGAAATGTTATCATGTATAGGTATTGAATTTTATCAAAGGCTTTTTACTGTGCCAATCGACATGATCATACAATTACTTTTCTTTCCCTCGCTGATATGATGTGTTATATTGACTGAATTTTCAAATGTTAGACCAAACTTGCATTCTTGGGATAAACCCTATTTGAACAATTTGGTCATGATGTATAAATCTTTTAATATTTTGTAGAATTTAAGTTGCTAATATTTTAAAAATCTGTAGCAGTTTTGCACTCCTCCTCCTCTTCCTTTGTTCATGCCATTTATCTATTGCAGAAAATCAGTCATTTGTGCTGTTAAATTAATTGCAATATAAAATAGGTTAATTGCATCTCTGTAATGTCTTTTAACTTGTTCTTCTATCCCCTAAATTGGTAATTAGACCTAGAGGCTTGATTAGAGTCAAGTTATTATTTACTGATTGATTTATATTAAGGATCAATAATAGTTGGTGCTACATACTTTCTAGGGCATCAAATCAAGAGGCATCTAAATTTGGATGTCCTTCTTTTGGCAATGTTAAAATTGATAAGTAGGTTCATGCATTTGTTTCCCAAACTAGATCCATTGACATCATTAGTAAAATCTGCAATTTTATTTCAATCCTTTTGTATCTACTTTGCATCATATTGTTAGATAGTTACAGTATCAGACAATAACTAAAATGGTTTGACAAAAAATTGAGGAACTGGAATGATAGACACTAGTGTTAAATAAGTAGGATATTTCAATGGGATGATTTTATAAGTGGTCAGTTTATTAATGAATATTTTCTTGTCAAGACCACTTATGTTTCTCAATTCTTCAACATAACTACAAGCAATACTGACCACATGGATATTAAGCAAACTATGCCTCCTGATATGGTTTGGATCTGTGTCCCCACCCAAATCTCATGTTGACTTGTAATGCCATTGGGGATTGGAGGTGGGGCCTGGTGGGAGTTGACTATATTATGAGGATCGATCCCTCATGAATAGTTTAGCACCATCTCTTTGGTGCTGTTCTCATGACAGAGTTCTTAGATCTAGTTGTTTAAACATGTGGGGAACATCCCCTCTCACTCTCTCTTCATCCTGCTCCAGCTACTTAAGATGTGCCTGTTTCCCCTTCACTTTCCGCCATGATTGTAAGTTTCCTGAGGCCTCCTCAGAAGCTGCTATGCTTCCTGTACAGCCCACAGAACCATAAGCCAATTAAACATCTTTTCTTTATAAATTACTGTCTCAGGTATTTCCTTATAGCAATGTGAAATAAGGCTCAAATTCCATACAAAGACATAGAAGACCTAATGTCATTTAATCTTAATCTACTCTCCTTTGTGCAAAATTTACTCAAATAAAACTACTCCCTAGTATCCATAGGAACTTTCATGTCTATGCCTTTGTTTTAAAATGGGCTACTGCCTAGAATACCACTCCAAAAATCTAAAGCAGTGTCAATATTCAAAGTTTTTAATGGCCTGTGTAACATGGGCACCAACAAATTAGATTGGATATCAGCCAGTAAATCCCACTGATGGATGCCAACCAGTCCTGCTCCGTAGCCCCACTGTTCTTTAGGAAGCTACTTACTAGGCCACTTCCTCCATAATATATTGATTGACTCCCCCCAGACTCCTGTTGTCCTCTATTGATATTAAAGTAAGGATCACATCATTTCCTTTTCAATGGTTATATCCTATGTTATTTCCCCTTCTAGTTTGTAAACTTCCTGAGGTTATAAGCTCTCTGATTCACCTTTGATCCCCTTATTCTCCTTAGGATAAAGCCTGTCCTCACATTATTTAAAGACCTACATGTTTTTGAAATGCAGAAACAATCAGCATCTCTAATCTGAAACTTTTCATATTCTTCCATGCCCTGTTAATCTCTTCCTACTCTGTGCTTCCACAATTTCTTCAAATTCTTCCTTGTAGATCCATGTGTCATTCCCGATAAACTATGGGTCGATTAAGGGCAAGAAGCATGTCTTTATGTCCCTCACATTTAGCATAGTTACTGGCACTTAGAACTTGCTCATTAAAGGATTATTAATTTAAATAACACAACATCAAACTGAGCTCAGTAATCTAATCGTTGGTTCAATGAAGATCTGTAACAACACTGAGCCATTAAGCGTTTGCTTTCTACAGTGTCTAGACTTTGCTAATTTGTATGTTGTGTATGTCTCTTTTCTGAAGTAAGTGTGGAAACCTTATGAGTTTTTGGCATGTCTTTTTGTCTCTCCCATAGAGTTTAGTATCTATGAATATCTGAAAATGGCTGATAGATAACTTCAATACGAATAGACATGAATTTCTGTTAGTAAAAGTGAAAGAAGATTAAAAGCTGGGTATGTAAGTAACAGAATTCCTAGCAGCTAGGAGAGAGAGTGAAGTACACCTATCCCTGCCTCCTGCTGTTAGAATCCATGGTTCTTTCTCTCATTATGATGCCGACCCCCTTCGTGAATGCCACTATGAGGAACTAATTGGTTTTCTGGATTCTGGATTTCCTACACAAGATGTCAAATGAGTTTGCACCTCATGCAGACATATCTCACAGCAGGGACAAGACTATCTTAGAAACCTTACATGTTTCCAGTTTAACACTGTTCTACCTGGTTTCTTGGTCAATCATTTAAGCAAACCTGAAAAACATGTTTTCTGTTATTGTTGTTTTGTTCCCAGGTCAACGTCTCCTGGAGAGTCGGCATGTCTTATTCAAACCCTTCACTTCCTCTCTAATGAAATGACGCTGTTGTCTAAAGTCTTCCGTGTTGTCCACCAGCAGCTTTAAATCAATTCATATTACACAATTGTTGAATTTAAAAACAAAATCCACAGGGAAAATAAATGGTGGTTAGTAGCCAAGAGCATATGTATCTGTTTTTACTGTTTCTATTATATTTAATGCAGTTGAAATTTGTAAACAGGCATTCCTCAGGAACCCTTTGACAATGTCAGTTGCCTACTAAACTTAGCTGGGCCTTAAATGCTCTCCATAGTACTTTTTCAACAGAGTCAAAAATCTATGCAGTAGTTAAAGCATGAACTTTAGAAGGAAAAATAGTAGGCTTTCAATACAGCTCCCCTCCTACAATCTGTGTTACCTCATAGAGTTGTTATAAGGATACAATGAGATAACTATATAAAAGCTTTCATTAGTACTGTGCTTGGTCCATAATAATTGCTCAAGTATAATTTATAATTACAATAGCTCAAAAATACATATGCAAAAAATCATAAAATCTACATTTATTAAGCAGCCCCCATAATTCTCAACTGAATGTATCATCTGTTACTCCCTGAATAAACTTGGTTATAGAACCCAAGCTAATATATTCTGATTTCTTTTTTGTTGAAATACTTGATGGTATATACAGATATAAAAGCAGAAATGTATAATGACAGTGGTCTGGCATGAGATGGGCAGAAGGATTTAAAGGAAAGAATGTCAGTGGAAGGATATGCTTACAGCTTAAAATCCAGCTGCCAAGCCCCAGAGTGCTTACATCCTGGTCCAGAGGACATTAGTCACAAATATTTAATTAGGAGCTACTAAATCCAGTAGGTGGCATCTGAAAAGTGACTACACAGAAAAAAAATCCATATTATATAGTTATGAGTTTGTGGCATAATATTTTAAAAATCTGTAGCAGTTTTGCACTCCTTCTCCTCCTCCTCCTTTGCTCATGCCATTTATCTATTGCAGAAAATCAGTCATTTGTGCTGTTAAATTAATTACAATATAAAATAGGTTAATGGCATCTCTTTTTAAAATGTCTTTAACTTGTACTTCTATCCCCTAAATGGGCAGTTAGACCTAGAGGTTTAATTAGAGTCAAGTTATTATTCATTAATTGATTTATATTAACAATCATTCATAGTTGGTGCTACACACTTTCTATGGCATCAAATCAAGAGGCACCTAAATTTGGATGTCCACATGACACAACTGTTGAATTTGAAAACAAAATCCACAGGGAAAAGTCATGGTGATTTCTAGCCAAGAGTATATGTACCTTGCTTTAATATTTCTATTACCATTGATCCTGTTCAAATTTGTAAATAAACATTCCCTAAGAACCTTCTGACAATGTCAGTTTCCTATTAAAACTAACTGGATCTTAACTTATAAAAGTGGCTGGTACACAGCAGGCCTGTAAGCTAACTTCCAAAATTATTTTTCACCAGACTTTGTGTTCCATTCCGGGGATACAAAGAATACCAAATGATCCCCCAAGGAGTATTAAGTATCGTGCGGACAGGTAGAAGCAACAACAACAACAAAAAGGTCTTTATCGTTACTATTACACTCACGACTCAGTCAAAGAGTGTGGGGATTGGTACATGATTTAAAACAAAAACAAATAAACAAAAAACCTAGACCATAAAAGGTAAAAACAGAAAATAATGGAAAGGATCCAACTACAGCCTTCAATTAATTAAACAGCACTGAAATGATTTTTCTCTGCTGGTGTCTTCTAATGGAAGAATCTAGAAAGAATGATAAATTGAGGATTGTTTCCATTTCTTCTTATATCTATCCAGAAGTCATTGTACACACAAAAAAATGCATTTCTCCATACAAAGAAAAGTCTGTAGCACAATACATGTCTTTGCTTTTACAGCATCCACCCCTCTATCTGACAACAGCATATTTACTTTCAGAACCCTCCATTGCCCCACCCTGCCAGTGTGTGAGGACACCAGGTCGCAGGGCTGTCCAGGGATAGGCAGGGCTCCTATTTCAAGCTTATGCCTGGGATTTGTGTCTGAACCCTGAAGGAGAAGCAAGTTCCTGTCTCCTGAGACTGCTAAATTCAGATGCTGGCTGACATCCAGGAGGTGGAGGCTGCCCCAGAATGAGGCCAATAGAGAAAAAAGCAGAGATGGAGAGATACCAAGGCCTGAAGGCACCGTTTGAACCCCTGGATCCAGCTAGGACTATAGCCAATTTACCCAAGACTTTTCAGCTGCAGATGCCAAAAATTCCCTGTAGAGCTTAAGCCAGTTCTGCATTGAGTTTCTATTGCTTGTCACTGAAAGAGTCCAAATTAAAGCAAGTGGAACCTGAGCAGACACAAAAAGATGCTGTCAGAAGGAGAGAAACATGGAGAAAATACGTGAGTTTAGTGGGAGGGCAAGTGAGTCACACCAAGAGCAGAGAAAACTTAGGAAGAATTTACAGATGAAGGAGAAAGATAAACATGTTAAGTGGCATAACATTAGTCTTGCTGGACACTTTCTTGCACACGGACTCAGGGCCTATTGAAGACAAAAGGATTTTGAGCTGCTGACAACACCAAAATACAGTGTTAGAAAAACCATGGATAAAATATCAATAACAAAGATGTTCATAGTTCACAGTCAAAAACGGAAGAAAGTATGATAATGAAATTTATATCGATTCCCCAACTATTATGCTGAAAGTATCATTATGCATTAAGAGGCATAACTGTTTTGGTGTTAGAAAAAAACTGGAAAATGTATAATTATATGTCTTCTCATTAATACCTATTCTAATGGGAACTTAAGGCCGAGATGAGTTGTCATGGAGGAAAATGTACCTAAAAATTGTGGGTTGAATGTGACATTTTATTAACAAGTTGTCTACTGGACAACCTGGAGCTAAATGTAGATTTTTAGAAGAGATTTTCAGTGAATGCATTAAAACAAATTTAATAACTTGAGACTGTATTTAACATAAAAATTTTCAACTTGATCATCAAGAGGCTACAATCAAGATATTAGGAATAAAAAAGATACATAAAAGAAATGAATGTACCTATTGATTGTACGTCATTATGTATTAGTATTACTGAGTGCAAAGAAATAAAAACTTAGTGGGAAATTGACAGACAGCAGTTTTAATCACAGTCTGCACATATAAAGAAGATAACTGATTAGTGTTCTCTATGGGAAATTTTTATTAATAACTCTACCAAATTAAATAACCAAAGTGATGATATATTCCATTTTTTAAAACTATATCTTTTGGGATTTTGAAATTAAAGTTCCGAAGTACAATTTATAGCAAATATAATTTTTTTCAAAAAAGATACAAATACAATTTTTTTCAAAAAAGGTATACTATACTCTTGAGTCACATATTCTTCACTTTAACACAGAAAGATTATGGCAGACAAGTCACAAAAGAAAAAAATGATATTGGATATCTTTTGCAAATTAAATCATCCTAAAATGACTAAAAAATAAGAGTTATTTTACCAAATGCAGAATTATGAAAAGATGTAGAGGGAAATATTCTTATCAAAGCTATTTGATTTGAAGTCGTAACTCCAAATCTAACAAAAATGGTGGGGGATGGGGGAAGGAAAAATCCTCCAAAAGAGATCATTACTCTGAAAATTACAGGGTTTCAGGTATGGTTTTAAAGACATTTTCCAACATTTGCAAAATAGAATCACAGCGGTATAATGGATAAGCATTAAACCAGGACTCAATTAAATAGATGCTCACACAGAAGAAGAAATTACAGAATATTTTTAGCATCCTACAGCAAGAGAACACAACAGCCTAAAAATTATGGTACATGATACACTACAAAACACCACACACATAATAGCGCTTTATCTGAAATTAAGGGGTTGAGTTCAATTCTAGCCTTTCACAAGCCATTTGGTTTTAACTTTATATATACCACCCAAGCAGCTGCTACCTTCACCAGGCAACCCTTTCTGTCACAGACAAGCCATAACTGTTCTGCTATAGACAAGAAATTGCTTTTTAGAGTTCTTTAGAAGTGACAGAAAAAATCCCAACAGAACGGTAATAAAGGAACACTCCTACAGTGGCCAAAGAGGGAAAGTAAAACAAAACAACAGGCAGATGATTTCTAAGCAAGAATCTTTCTGAGGTTCAAGAAAATAAAACTGATCTATGCCAAGAAGCATTCAATCTACTTCTATTGCAATGGCATTATATCGGAACAAAAGAAAACCCCCATGGAAGAATGCCAGTTAATCAAAGGGCCAAATGGGCTGATAATGTCTCCAGCTTTGGGAAATATCTAAGTCTCTGGGATACTGGACTCCAATAAGAATGGATTTCACAGGACTTAGGTCTTATAAAATCATACTCAATTTGAAAGGAATCAGAATCAGCTTTACAGAAAGGTAATCAACATTTTCCCTTTGATCCCTGCAATGATACATATAACATGTTTTGTATTCAAAAACAACATTTACAGATGTTAAAATGCTATTGATATCTCAAGCAAAATCTTGAGTCTAGATGCTTCTTACGGCTGGTAACTGACAGAAAAGGGAAGGGAGCTAGCCAAGGCTACATATCAAAGAAAATCTAGATTTTTTTTAAATGAAATACAATTTAAAAAATTAAATGTACATGTCACTAGGACATCAGAAATCTTTTAGATGCTCAGTTCCCAGGCATATTATCATCGGTACCAAAGAGTCTAACTTACTGAATTTCATTTCCATCAATGGGCCCATATTGATAGAGATGACCCCATTCTAATACCAGCACCACTGGGGTAAATATCTTAATTGAATTATCTGAATTAACAGATTATTTTTTATTAATGGCATCAGCTAAAACCATTTAGATAAGACAAACCCACAGCTGAGAACAAAACAAAAAAATACACTAAACTATCAATTGGATTTCCATGAATGCAACTGCAGTTCGACACAGGAATAGGGAGGTTTCTGGATTCTCTAGCATAACAAACCTGTGGTTATAGCAAACAAGTGCCACTTCCAGTGATCAACACCTATATACGTGACAGATGAGTCTCCTCCAGATGACAGATTTGGGAGGGGTTTAAACATTATTTTCCAAACTGAATTACATCGTTTTACAAAAATAGGTTCCAAGCCTGTCATTTAGTTGTTAGTTTCAACAAGTACTGCTTTAAAGGGAAAAAGGCAAGCATATTCTAAAGGCCATTGTTATACTGTGATACTTGGGAAAATCTCAATTAAAAAAAAGAAGAGAAAAAATATTTCATCCAATGCTCTCAGTTGTTTCACAATCTAGAAACAATTTAAATTTGTTTCATAGCATAAATTCTAATCTTAGAATCACAGAAGGGTAGAACAGAAGAGTATTTTAAATAATGTGACTGATCCTTCTTTACAAATAAAGAAACTGAGGCCCAGAGAGGACAAGAGGCTCCCATCTAGTAGTGGAGTCAGGACTACAACCCAGGTCTTCCAGGATTAATCTTGGGTTCCGTCCACGCTAAGCCACTGATGTGATTAGTAGAGTATGTCATTTTAACCCCGCTAGAAGACTCTCAAATTGAAGACAGCCCTTGTCAGTCTACTAAGTACAAAAAATTCCTAACAACTGACTCCAGAGATTTAAAGAGATGACTCAAAAACTCATCAGACCCACAGAATGGTGGGAAACATTTGCATGTATCTGACAAGGGACTTGTATTTAGAAGTCATAAAGAATTCCAACAACTCAATAATAAAAAGACAAATAACCCAATTTAAAAATGGGCAAAGGATCTAAATAGATATTTCTCAAAAGCAGGTATATAGTTGGCCAGTAAACACATGAAAACAAGCTCACATCGTTAGTCATCAGGGAGATGTAAATGAAAACCACAATACGATACCCCTTCGTACCCACTAGGATGGTTATAATAAAAAGACAAACAATAACAAATGTTGGCTAGAATGTGGAGGAGATGGAACCCTCAAATACTGCTGGTAGGAATGTAAATCGGTGCGGTGACTTTAGAAAACAGTCTGCCGTTTACTTAAAAACGTTAAATGTAGAGTTATCCTAAAACCTAGCAATCCCACTCTTAGGTATGTATATATCTAACAGTAATAAAAAAATATTCTGCATACAAACATGTAAACAAATGCTTACAGCAGCATTATTTATAGCAATGAAAAAGCAGAAACAACCCTAATAATCATCAACTAATAAATCGATAAACAGCATGTGATATAGCTAATCAGTGGAATATTATTCGGCAATAAACAGGAACGAAGTACTGACACATGCTACTATATGAAGAACCTTACAACAGTCATCAAAGAACACACAGTGCATGATTCCGTGTATATAAAATGTCCAGAATAGGCAAACCCATAATACAGAAAGTAGATTCCTGCTTTTTAGGGGCTGGAGTGGGGGGTTTTGGGGGAAATGGAGAGATGGCTAATGGGCATGGTTTCTTTGGGGTATGATAATAACTCTCTAAAATTAATGGTGGTGATGGCTGCACAACTCTGTGAATATACTAGAAACACGGAATTGTATACTCTAAACAGGGAATTACACGGTATGTAAATTATATCTCAAAAGCTGTTATTTAAAAATAGTATCTGAATCTGTCCTTCTCCATTCCAGCTCACCACATCCCCAGCTAGCAGCAGGACCATAGTCAGAACATACAGTGCCTGTGTAGGAATTATAAAAAGCTGCCTTCTCTGGGAAAGAGATAGAAAGTCACCTCTCCCTACATGCTGTCACAGTCAGACCTGGGCCCGGCTCCCTAAGTGAAGAAAAAAGCCTTGGGTGGATTTCATCCAGGAGCATTTGGGCAGAGTATGGCCCGGGCAAACATGAATGACAAGGCTGCCTGATTAACCACTCTATAACGAAACTAGGTGGAATAGAAACTTTTCAGGTTACTTGCAGAGGATGTCATTAAATCAATGTGTTTAATAACAAACTCATGATCTTTATAAACCAGTCTCAACTCCTCCTCCCTGTTACCCCTCTCAAAAAATATACTGGTCTTCCAATGTTGCTGTGAACTGCACTACTATCCATCCAACTCAATGAGAAAAATACTCCATGCCAAAACATATTCGGTTTTTTGTTGTTGTTGTTGTTGTTGTCTGAGATGGAGTCTTGCTCTGTTGCCCAAGCTAGAGTGCAGTGGTGTGATCTCGGCTCACTGCAACCTCCGCCTCCCGGGTTCAAGCGATTCTCCTGCCTCAGCCTCCCAAGCAGCTGAGACTACAGGCACGTGCCACCACGCCTAGCTAATTTTTGTATTTTTAGTAGAGATGGGGTTTCATCATGTTGGTCAGGATGGTCTTGATCTCTTGACATTGTGATCCGCCAGCCTCAGCGGGATCCCAAAGTGCTGGGATTACATGGACACAGGGAGGGGAACATCACACACCAGGGCCTGTGCAGGGTGGGAGGCTGGGGGAGAGATAACATTAGGAGAAATACCTAATGTAGGTGACAGGTTGATGGGTACAGCAAACCACCATGGCACGTGTATACCTATGTAACAATACTGCATGTTCTTCACAGGTAACCCAGAACTTAAAGTATAATAAAAAAAAAGAAAAATACTCCACATTCCCCACATGCCATCCATTACTGCATTTTATCATTTTTATCTCAAGATTTTAAAATCGATTTCTTCCTTAAAAATCATGAACTCTATAAACAAAAGTAACCATTTCCTAGTTTTCTATTCTCCTTGTTTGAATCCTTGATCCTCTCTAGCCTCACTGCCACAGAACACCTAGCGTTATCTTATACATCAAAATATGCCACTGTTTATGGGCCTCTAAAGTGCTTGGAATATGATGGTTTACATAAACTTGAACTGTCTAGGCTGTGACCACTTCTGCCAACTCATCTCATGTCATTCTCTGACTTGTTGGCTACACTGAAATACATGTGATTCAAGTCTAGAACATTCTGGGCTCTTTTTCACTTCTGCCTTTAAGGTGGAAGAATGGAGATTGAATTTCAGTTACCGAAGATGGATCGTGGGGAAATGGAAAGCTAGTGTTTTCCTTTATAGTTATCTGTCCCAGTTTGTATGTATTTGTGCATTAATCTGATGGCATTCTATTCCCAACTAGACCATAAGTTCCATGAAAACAAGGACGTTCCTAAATGCTCAGCCTTTTGTGAAGAGTCCGACACACAGAAAAGGCTCAATTCCTGCTCACTGAATAAATGAATGAACTCAAACTTTGAAGTCTCTCTCATGTTTTTTGGTTGTTCATGCTATCATTATAACTCCACAGTGAAAATCCTTTCTTTATGTCTGGTGGCTATGCTACTATGATTAGGCCACTTGTTCAATTACGAACATTCTATGCTCATATAATGAAGATCTCAGTGATGAAGATTCCAAATTCAACTCAACCTCAGTGGTTCAAATAATGCACTACTCTCCCATATTCCAACACAACAGAGTGTCCAACAGATGGAAACTCATCTCAATATGCTTTTAGGAGAAAATTGATTAGGAAACATTCTAGTTAATTTGAGCATACTTTGCCCTCTCTGTACCAATCATTCACATATATGCACCTTAAAAACCTAAGAATAGGTAGGTAAACATAGCAAGTCCAGTGAAAATTTAGATTAAGTTACCTGTCAATGGAATCGTCTCAGCTAACTATTCCCCCCAATAATGTAGAGCCTGAAATAATACTGTGAGACCATGGATATCCTAAGATATCTTCAGTTATTGTACAAACTAAAAGATTTTATGATTCAAAAGGCAAATAACAAATATGTTTCATTTATATGGAAAGACATAAAATACACAGGCTGAGAAGTTAGTGATAAAATGTTAATCTCAACGGAAACTTGGTTTTAAAAAGTCACAACTTTCTAATGAGACCAGGTTGAAAAGCATTGTGCTTGACTAAAAAGCTTTGTTTTGTTTTAAGTTCATATACTGTGAATGGCATACTGAGTTGTAGCATTTGGCTTTAAATTTAACTTGGTTTTAGACCATCACAGCAAAGCAGCTTTGGATGTGATCAAAGTCACTTCTGTTCAAAGATGAAATTTGCATTTTTAGCCACACTAGTTAGTTATGAGAAATAACACAGCCTATAACTCAGAGAAAATTAGGCTTCTACGGATTTTAACACAACCATTTTAGCTAATTGTCGGTAATTTTTATTTTCAGATATAGCCAGCCACTCTGGGATTCATCCTTAAAACTGTTTGCATTTGTTTAATCTTTCTTCAAACTTCTCTTTCCATGTCTAAATGTGCTTCTAAATATTATAATCTATAATAATTAAAAAATTAAAAAAATATAATCTAAGAAAAGTGAATAATGTGCTACCCTCTACTGATAGGAGCAATGTGGTCAATTTCTGCTTTCTATAAAAAGATTGCAAAATAAACAGAAAAGCGAAAAAAAAAAACAGGGAAAGAAAAGGCAAAAATAAACCAATTCCAGACTGATTAGATGCTATCTTATATATCTGGTTATGTGAGGGGGTAGACTCCTTCGTAATCTAATAAAATCCTTTTAATTTCATAGTATATCTGCTCTCAACTTCCAGGTCAGAGATCATTAACCAGTGACCCATGGGCTATATCTGGCCCTCAGACTTGTTTTGTTTTATGCTTACAGGATTGGCCTATTTAGTGCTTTTATAAAATTTAAATTTAGTCCCCAACATTTAAAATGTCAAGACAATTCAAGTAAAGAACAGATTCTGCTTTATTTTGAAAAGAGATTAGCTTTGGTAATACGGTCCTGCATTTGCTCATTCATCATTTCATTTATTGAACAAATATTGAATGAGCATCTACTACATTCCAGGAAAACTGCCAGTTTGTAGGAATGTACCAGTGAACAACATAGTCTTTTAATCTTTAAGAGAGACAAAAATAAACAAATAGAAAAGATGTAAAATGTCAGGTAATCAAAACTGTGGTGAAAATACAGAGGGTAGAAAGCAATTTTTAGGAAATGATACTGAAGCAGTGACCTGATGATGGAGCAAACTGTACAGACCCGGGGGAAGGGTCTGGGTGAAAACATTCACAGCACCTAAAAGTAAGGCAAGATAAGTGTGAGAGAAGTGCAGGGAAGAGGAAGGAGATCACATACGGGAACCAGGACAGAGCCCTTGGAACAAAGGTAATGAGTAAAATTTATCTTAGTCTCTATGAGAAACCATTGGAGGTTTTGTCCAGGGAGGTATCGATATGTTCAGCATGAAATTATAGGAAACATTCTAGTTGTTGGATGGAGATGAGGAAATTACAGCAGTGGGGCAGTACTAGAAAGAGTGATAGTTACAGGATATGTCAGAAGCTATTGCCACGGGGGAGGTGAGAGGCGAGCTGACTCTCATTCACAGGTGGTACTGGTGGGAAGAGTGAGCAGTGGCCAGATTCTGGGTATATTTTGAAGATAAATGCAATCAGATTTATTGCTAAATAGATGTGGAATACGAGAGAGACAGAGCTGAAACATGGCTCTCAGTTTGGATCTGAACAACACAACAAATGTGCCCTCTTACCAAGGTGGAGAACATCAGAAAAGACCAAGTTTATGGGCAAAATCAAAATTATGGTTTGAAAACATAAGCTTGAGATGTCTACTGATACCCAGAGATGTGGACACTGGAGTTCAGGGCAGAGGTCAAGCTGGGAAATATAAATTTAGGAGTAATAAAATGACTCAAAATGGGGAGCTGAGTAGTGATAGTCCCTTTTATTATTATTTTTGACAGCAAGTCTCGCTCAGTCACTCAGGTTGGAGTGCAGTGGTACGAACTCAGCTCACTGCAACCTCCATCTCCCAAGTTCAAGTGATTTTCCTCCCTCAGCCTCCCAAGTAGCTGGGACTACCAGCATAAGCCACCGTGCCCAACTGAGAGTCCCCTTTAGAAAGAGCAAGCTGATTCAGTTTGGATGTGTGTCCTTCCCCAAATCTCATATTGAAATGCAACGCCAAGTGTTGGAGGTGGGGCCTGGTGGGAGGTGATTAGATCATGGGGGTGGTTTCTCAGAAATGGCTTAGGATCATCCCTCTTGGTATTGTCCTTGAGACAGTGAGTGAGTTTTGCTGAGAGATCTTAAAAGTGTGTGGTTCCTCCCCACCGTTCTCTTGCTCCTGCTCTGGCAATGTGACATGCCTGCTCCCTCTTCGCCTTCTGCCATGATTCTAAGTATCCTGAGATCTCCCCAGAAGCCCAGCCATGTAAGCAGATGCCAGCATCATACTTCCTGTACAGCCTGCAGAACCATAAGCCAATCAGAACTTTTTTACTTATAAATTACCCAGTCTCAGGTATTTCTTTATAGCAATGTGAGAACAGACTAATACATGTGCCTTCTCTGGTCCATCCCAGACCCTAATACTCCTTATTGCTTAAACAAAACCTGCTTCACTCACTAACATTATTTTCCTAAGCAACAGAACTGAATAAAAAATAAAAAGGAGTTCAAGAAAACGTAGAATTCTAGTTCCACAAATAGCACAGCAATGTTGGTTAAAATACAACAAAATTAAATCAAATGCATATCTAAGCAAAAATAGAAAGCCACAAAGCAGACTTATAAATTCTACAGCTTACACCGTGGTTGCTGGAACAGTGTAATTAGGGCATGGAGGATGACAGGATTAGTTTGGTAACCTGGTAGCTTAGGTTCAGTTGCCCATGTGGAAAGAAGAGATGAGATCTTAACGCTAGGGAATTGCCATTTAGAAATAAGACGTTTTGCACACATCCTGCATCGCTGCAAGGCTGTACTTATGGGGAAAGGACTAGAAAATTAATTTGTTCATCTCTTTCTCATTGAAGTTGGTGTAATATAGATAGAAGGAACGGTGGAAATGAGTATTATTTCAACCAAAAATTCGATCTGCTGGGCCTATACCTCACATGGTTTGGGGTTTCATATTTATGTAATATACAGTCAATTTTTCTTCTTCATGGATTTCATACTTGAAAATGCACCAACTCACTAAAATTTATTTGTGACCCCAAAATCAGTATGTGCAGTACTTTCAAGGTCATTCACAGGTACGTGCAGAGTGGTGAAACAGTGGGGTTTCCTCATATGCACATTCCCAGCCGAAGCTGACCAAAGTGACATTCTGCCTTCTTGTTTCAGCTCTCATTATAAACAAATATCCTTTTCACCATACATTTTGTGCCACATTTTTCATATGTTTGCACTGTGTTTGGTGATCTTGCTGTTTAAAATGGCCCCCAGGTATAGTACTGAAATGCAGTCTAGTGTTTCCATGTGAAAGAAGTTTGTGACATGCCCTACGGAGAAAATATAGGTGTTAGCTAAGCTTCATTCAGGTATGAGTTATAGTGAGGTTGGCCATGAGTTCAATGTTAATGAAGCAACAATATATAAGGTGTCTTTAAAGAGAAACACACACAAAACAAGGTGAGGTATTATTTGATTGAGGAAAATGTTGAGAGGTGCACAGGAACCTAATCTTGTATTTCCCTTAGGAGCAATAGTTCAGTATTCATTAATTCAGTGTTAGCAGTGACTTTATAGAACCTAACTACCATGAGTAATGAACATTGACTATTTATGGTGGGCTACATCAAGCGAATATACTAACATAAGACAGTTCTCACTTTGGTATAGCCCTGAGGTTCCTGGCAGCAGCAATAACAGCTGCTAGGTAAGGACACTACTTAAACAGAGGCTAACAAGAATCAAATGTTTGTCCAGGTAGGTAGAAACTCTGCTAAAGATCAAATTCGCATCAAAAATTTAAAAAGACAAAAATATTCACTACAACAAGAGTCAGCAGATCAACAAATCGCAGGTTAGCATTTGCAATATTCTGATCTAACAAAACAACACTATGAATGAATACCTAAATACTTTAGAGTTAAACAAATAAAGTAACAAAGGAAAATGAGAGAGGGGTCAAATAATCAGAAAATAATGATACTCTGAATAAAGAACAGAAACACATGAAAAAGAATCAGATAGAATGTCTCGACATGGAAAATATATTCATTAAAATTAAAACCTCAAAGGGTAGCTTAATAACAAGGTAGGCAGAGATGACGGAAGAATTAATATAGTATAGGCTAGAGCTAAGCAGTTAACATGGAAGAACACAAAGAGATACAGAATGGAAAATATGAAAGAGAGGTAAAAAGAGATAGAATAGATAACGAGAAGATTCAAAATACACTCAAAAGGAAAACCAGGAGGAGTAAAGAATAGGCATGGGGGATAAGCAAAAGTGGAAGACACATATATGGCTGGGAATTTTCCAGAGTTTCCATAAGACATGCATCCCAAGAATTACTCTCCAGAATTGTATAAAAATGATAATCGCATGCATTATGTGCTAGACAGTGTTCCAGGTGCTTGACATATATTAGCTCACTTAATCCACACACCTACTGAGATAAATTTTATTATCCTGTCTGTACAGAAGAAGAACCTTAGAGGTTTAGAATCTGCCCAAAGTCACATGGCTGCTAAATGATGAACATAAGCTTCAGACCCAGAAAGTAAGCTACTGTGTCTGTGCCTTGAGCAATACACTTTACTAAAAAATTATTTTTTGGCAAATGAGGGCAAAATAAACACACTTTAAGACCAAAGAGGAAAAGAGATGAAAAATAAAACAGTACTGACCAGCAAGAGGGACTCAGTAAAAGGATTTCTAAAAGATACAGATCCTGACATCATGTTGAGTGAAGTAAGCCAGGCACAGAAAGACAAACACTGCATATTATTTGTGGGATCTAAAAATAAAAACTCATGGGCTTAAATAAGGATGGTTACTAGAGGCTGGGAAGGGTAGTGGGGGATTAGGGGTGGTTAGGGAGGTGGAGATGGTTAATGGGTAAAATAAAAAGAGTTAGACAGAATAAGATGTGCTAATTGCACATTTTAAAATAACTGAGAGTGTAATTGGATGGTTTATAACACGAAGGATAAATGCTGGGGTGGGGGAATACCCCATTCTCCATGATGTGATTATTACACATTGTATGTCTGTATCAAAATGTCTCATATACCCCATGAATATATACACCTACTATGTAGCCACAACAATTAAAAATTTAAAAAAATTAAAAAAAAACACAGATCTCAAAGAAGGAAATGCTTCCAGATGCAAGAATGGGTGCAAGGGAAACAGTAAACACAGGAGTAAAGCTAAACAAACATCAGTTATGTGAAATAACAATAAGGCTCTAAGGGAAACACAGAAGTCATTTCTCTCTTAGTCCTGAAATATTCCCAAACTAGGACTTACTAGTAGGTAAGAGATAGTCTATAAAGGCATAAACCCACAAAGACAGGACAATAGAAGAACAAAGTACAAATGTAAATGTTAGAAAACAGGTGTGATGATATTAAATGGTTTGGCATCATGGAGAAAGATGACTTTTAAGCTTTTAGTGAGCCAAGCATGGAAGTGATTGATGTGTGCGCAGAATCCTCAACGGCTTAGGACTGGGGGTAGCAGGCACATCTGGAAGAGGAAATGCAATATGACAATGGGAAGGTAAGAATTTGAAGCTGTGGTTAGGAATCCAGGTTCTCTGTCCCGTCCACATAGCCAGGTGAGTGCCCTCCCCCACACTAGAAGAGAAGAGGCTTATTCTCAAAAAAGGGTAAGGAGAGGCTGTCTGAACTGCAGGTGATGTTTTGTGGAGGGTCTTGTAAGGTATATTAAATGCATGTATGCACACTGGATTCTGCAATCCCCCAAGGCCTCTTTTCTACTTAGCTCCCAGGAGCCAGTGGAGGTTTCTGCCCTCAAGGAAGAAAACTGGATTTCTTTCCCCTCTGGGGAATCTGACTTTCTCAAAAAGAAAGAGGTAATAATGAGGTGAGCCCAGTGAGATGAGCGACACCATAGCGACCCTCCTGAAGACAAACTCTGCTCAGGCACATCTAAGTTTCCATTAGGTTTTTAGTTCCACACTCCTAAGTTTGTGCCAACAACCAAATATAACCAGATAGCTGCAAAAAGGTTTCCCACTTGAAAGAGAGAAACAAACCAACACAAAACTAAAATGAAACAACCTGGATAAAACAGTTCATATGAGGGAAGAAAACATAAAAGCAACTAACCATCATTTATATCTTGATGTGGATATGAGAAGCTATTACAACTATTACACTAGAATATGGTATAGAAAGGAAATTTCAAATATAAAAGTCTCTTAAATTGTAAAAAATATTATGATAGGTATTAAAAACTCAATAGAAGTGTTTAAAGAAAGGACTAAAGTAGTCTATCAAGAATAGAGATAAAAGTCAAAGAGAAGGAAATTTGAAGAGACTGTCTGGGGGAGGGAGGAAGGGTTGAGAGAAACAATCTATTCCAGGTGGTTCAAGATGCAAGTAATAATATGTGTGAAATAGGAAACAGAGAAAACTAAAGACAGGAAATCATAAAATCTCCCATAATTAAAGGACTCATGTTTTGAAACTACAAGGACCCACAGAGTAACCAAGATGTGAAATAAAATTCGACCCATAACAAATCAAGTCATTGTGGAATTTGGTTAGGTTGGTGCAAAAGTAACTGTGTTTTTTGCCATAATAGAAAACTAGGGGCAAAGAGAATACCTAGAAGCCTCCCTAGAGAAATACAGGCCTCTCTATACAAGATACCACAAATCAGAATGTCATCAGACTTCACAACAGCACAGCAAGCTAGTTAGCAAGGCGAAGTATCTTCAACATTCTGAAAGAAAAAGATTTGTAACATATTATTCATACTAAGTTAAGCTAAGTCTCTCGATTGAGTATGCCAGCATACTAATTTTTAGAACACATGTTCTAGAACAATAAAAAATATGATGCATCCTTTTTTAGGACATGGAGGACATGACACCCTAAAACAATGAACACCAAGAAAGACGAAGATGTGGAATGTGGGTGTTGGGGGGTGGACACAGCAGAGATTTGTAGGGGATCATTAGAGTGAGTGATGGTGAAGGGAGATCCCAGAAAGACAATTTTGTTCCTGATATACAGGAAAACCAATCCAACTGGAGCACTCTGATGGCTCTAGGATATAATTCTCCAAGAAGATAAAACTAACAGAATATCTGATTACATCTCAATACCTGAGAGGACATCCAAAAATTTGGCCAAAATTTTGGTTGACTTAAGTATAAGACTATAGAAAAATCAATAAGTAAAATAATGTAATAAGACTACTATTAGAAAAAGAAAAATCATGCATGAAAGGAAAAATATTCAGAATTATTGTTTGCTGCAAAACTCATCTCTGGATATCCTTTACAAAGTCATAGTGATGTAAACACTGAATATTGACCTAGCTGAAATTATGGCCCAATAAAATCCTATAATAACATGGCCTAAGCTGATGCTTATTCAAATATGAATCAACTGGAAACTGGTTCCAGTCCTCTACAGTATTCTTCCCATCTTCTAGTTTCAAACACAGGCAGGCCAAAATTTGTATCCTCTGTGAAGTTTTGGATGTGGGCTGGTTTGAGAAACTGTCTTGTGATCACTGGGGACTCTATCCAGTTGTGGCACATTCAGTGAAATGCAGTGTGCATTTGACTTTTTATCTTTACGTATTTTGTAAGAATTATGGCTTAAAATTTATGGATTTTGTAAGCCTCATAATAATGCAACATCATATTGCTGTGGTGGTAAGGTGGTGGTAGGAGAGTGTTGTAGCATCAGCTGGCATAGTTAACAGTCAACAGTAATACTTAAAACTGGAAAAAAAAATCAGTAAGCGGCAATATAGGCAAGTTATTCACACAAATTTAGATAAATACCAAAAGAGACAGTGAAAATGTTGAAAGCAGTTTCTTCTAAAAAGGAAAAATAGAGAAAATATGGACAAAAGCTTGATGTTTTCCTTAAAAATAAAAAAATATAGATGTTTGTACATGCTCACACTATTTCTGATCTAGAAGATAAACGAAACATTAGCACTAATGTCTAATTCACAGGGTTAAAAATTCAGCAAAAATATTCAGCAAAAATAGTATAGGGTTCTCTAGGTGGGCTATACTATTTAAAACATTATAATCCTCATTGTTGGAGATATTGATTAACTTTAGATTTTGTTAAACATAGATACTAAAATTTCTAGGGAAGTTACTATAAGAAAATAAGTAGGATGTATAACATCCAGTGCTTTTCAGGGAGAAAGTAGTTCAACCAATCCACGTGAAAGGAAGAAAGAAAAAAAAGAACATAAAAATCAGACCGTATTAATATAACAATATTAATATATTACCATATAAACTAGAAGGCAAAATGCTCTATTGAAGATAGTGTCACCACTTGTTGACAAAAAAATACAGTCACTCTAAATTTTTAGACACAAATAATTGACTAAATACATACAGTTTAAATAGAAATACCAGGAGAAACTAAAAAAGCCATCATCAATGTGAGAGAAAAATGATAGATTAGGCATCAGTAATGATATAGGTGATTTGAGCAACATAATTAACAAATTTAACCCAATGAACATATGGAGAACACCATACCCAGTATTTAGAGAATATCCATTTTTTTAAGGACATATGAATCATTTATTAAAAAAACTAATCATATGTTGGGCCACAGGAAAAATATCAACAATTTCCAAGAATTAATATCTTACAGTCCATTCTCTGGTCAATGGGATACTAGGTTAGAAATCAGTATCAAAAGATGACTAGTAAAACTCCACATGTTTGGAAATTTAAAATACATGTCACGTCTGATAACTCACAAATCAAAGAAAATCATAATGAAATTATAACATTTACTGAACTGAAACAGAACAAATTTGCTATATGTCTAATTCTTTGAATACAGCTAAAACTGTACTTTCAGGAAAATTTAAAACCATACAAATTTATATCAGAAGAGAATAAAGTATAGAAAAGAATAAGTTAACCATACAAGTTAAGTAATTTGAAAAGAACTATAAAAAATACAACAACTTTGGAAGAACAATAAAGATAAGAGAAAAATGAATGAAACAGAGTGTAGAAATTTGAAAGTGAGGAATAATAACATCAAATTCTAACAAATTATATTTTAAAAGTGTACCAAGATAATATTTATAAGAGAAAATTAAATATATGTCTAGATAAAGCAGAAATGAGAAAAATAATTTTAAAACTTTTGAAACATTTTTTACTAGTATATTAGAAAACATAAATGAAATGGATAAAATTCCTGGAAAAAATACAACTTATCACAAAGAAATAATACTCAATACATTCAATGAGTAGGTAAAACATTTCCTCAAAGAAAACTCCAAGCCTAAGTTACATACTTTTTTCAAGGAAATGATAATTCCAATATTTCTCGACATTTTCTAGTGAACAGAAAAAATAAGGAATAATCTCCAGGTCACTTTTAGAGGTGAAAATAACTTTGAAAGTAAAGCCAAAAAAGGATAGCCAGAAAAGGATAAATAGGCAAAAGTACTACAGAAAATATTAGCAAACAGCTAACATCCAAGTATTTTTTTAAAACTGCATAAACTCCAACTTGAAACTAACCCAGGAATAGAAGGTCACCTAATACTAGTAAATGTTCACCATATTAACATATTAAAGAAAGACGGCATCACTATCCCAGTAAAACTAAGAAGGGAATTTAAAATAATAAATCATTCATTATAAAAACTAAACTAGCTGATAAATATGTGATAAAGGGAATCTATAAAATCCAGGGTAAACATATCAGATGTATGGCCTTTTCACTTTCATTTTATCACAACCACTATTTTCAAGCCACTCGAACATTAAGATAGAATCTCTTTAGTTTTTCACTAGTGTTAAAAGTGGAGCATCAACCATATTTTCATTTACTCATTTACCCATGAAGGACACAGAAGTACTTTCTCCATAGCTGAGAGAAACAAAGAAGTTATGGCTAATCATATAAATATACAACATAGTCAAGAGAAGAGACACAGCTAAATTGAACAATTAGAGAGAACATTTTTCAATGACAGCACTTGAACATCCATTTGCCTGCAGCAAAGACAGTTAAGATTCCTCTGAAGTCATGAGCATCCTACTAATACAAGGGTCTCCATTCTAATCCCTTCTTTCAGTTAGCGTATAACTTTTTCTTCAAGGCTATGAAGTTAAAGCAATGCTCTACTGTAGCTAATAATTTGGAATTACTCATATAGTAATTATCTTCTACTTCTTTTCTCATCTTCTTTGGTTTTTTATCAGAAATCTATGTCCCAACCACATGAATATTAAACAACATTTTTTATCTTTCCAGTCCAATGTGGTGTCAGGTGAAGAATACCCAATGTTGCTTCTTGTAACTTCCAAATAAAACACTTAGAAAAACACCAAAAATGCAGAACAAAACAAAAAATATAATTTCACTGTACAGCAACACAGCTAAGCAATCAAATGTCAATATATAGGGAATAAATAAAACTTGTAAAGCAGAGGGGGACAGACTGGGGGGAAACCTAAGGTATTCAATGTTACATCTTAGGTTTGCTTTACGAAAGGGAGAATTATAATAAAGGTAGGAAAATAGTATGTACTTCACTCACCTTATGTATCCTCATATGGTGCACCCCAACTCAGAAACTCAAGGACAGTACCAAACAAAGAAAATGAATAATTTCTATTGGGAGAGGCAATCTTCCACGTGCTCTGGGCTCTCTTGCAAGTTTTTGCTGGGTGTGCCAAGAAGGAATGAATGGTCTAACTGCTCATTGCCATGCTCTCATCTCAGGGATGTGTTTGCAGAGAGCAACCTGGGGGGATAAGGTAATGTCTCCCTCTGGGACAAGGACCAGGCTTGCTTACTGTTTGCTGTAAAAGAGATGGATTATCTAAGCCCAGTGTTTCCCATAGATGGGTGCAGTATCTACCCTAACCTTTTTGCATTTCTCTGTGGGACTTGGAGTTAAGGGGAACTCAATCAAACATGCTGAACCTCATGATGCTTTATGTTCTAAGAATAATAAAGTCCTTAGTCACTGACCTGGGAGCCTCATGTCTTCTTCCAGCCTCCATGAAACAGTAAGACTAGCTTGTTAGCTCCTAAATAGATTAAAATCCCATCCCTCATTCAACAACTTCACCCCACTCTGCCCATATAAAGTGCTGGCCAAGAACTAGGGGCAGACTGCAAGAGGTGAAAGATAATTTTAGAGGTATTTTGTCATACATGTCGTATTCTTTTTTTCTCTTACAAGTCATACTTTTCAGGAGGGGCTGACTGAGGAAATACCTGTAAGTTTATTATATTTCTTCATATGTTATCAGGTATGAAATTAAGAATCCATAGTAGAAAAACATCACTAGAGGAATGTATGTATCACTTTATAAGAGGAATGACTCCTAGAAACAAGGAATTAGGCTGCGAATTGCTCATCTGCCACTCTTCACAGGGCAAAGACTGCAGGGCCTGGGTAGTCCACCAACACCATCTTGTAGACAAAGACTGAGTTTAGACAAGATTTGTTTTAGAACCTATTGAACATACTTAAGCATAAAAATAGAAACACCAAATGGAAGCGGTGGAGGAAACCCTGCCTCTAAGATCATAAATAGCATTTCAGAAAACTGACTGTATCTTCAAAAGAATACAAAAAGAATACAAAAATATGAATCAGGAACAGGAAGTCATAGGAAAGAACAGGCTGAGATGAAAAGAATTTCAAAGAATGGGACACAAAAAAAGAAATCCAATATAGATGATCATGCCATTTGAAAATATAAATTGAACATAAAACTAAAATATATAAAAGGAAACTCTCCTGAACTGTATACAAAATGTATAAGTACAAAAAAGGAATTTTTCAAGTTCTAAGCAAAGTAAATTAAAATAACCTAAACTTAGCTATATGCTGGAAATCTATATGTTTTAAACTAGAAAGATGAAGAAAAAATAATCCTCCAATATACAACCAAGCGAACCCCAAAATACAAGGGGTGGTGGTGAACTCCCCAAAACCAGAAATTAGCCTGGCCACCTTCCTCTCCTCAGCAGCACTAGTTCCAGAAGACAACAGAGCAAAACACTCGGAATTCTCTGTTAAACAGCTCCAAGACTCAACATTTATTATCAACCAAATGATGTCCTCACTTTCAAGGGAATATGATGACATTCCTTAAAATGAAAAAGCATGAAACATACTTGAATTTTTTAATGTAACATAGTAAATGTTACAAATATTTTAAAATTTATTGAGAAATTTTAAGAAATAAGAATATAAAAATAAGAAGAGGTCTAGTAGTTGGCAGTAATGCCAGGTAAAACATGGATACATCATAGATTTTGCCAAAATTCTAGTTAACAACTATATGCACATACACAATTATCTATGAGAAGACTATTACATATATATTTATACATATCCAAACATATATATATATTCCTATATACATTAAAATAACATAATTTAAATCAACCATGGAAATTGCACTAAACCTGCAAAATATAGCTCAAGAGGAAAAAGGAAACCAAACTCTTTGTTTAAAACAGAGAAACTCTGAAAAAATAAACTTAAATTCTGTCTATTAGAGAAATATATACAAAGTACTTTAGTTAACTTAAGGGTAACTAGTTGTATAATATAAACATCACATATAGCTTTCAAAATATGCAGAGAAGATACAAGTAAAAAATATTTTGCCTACAGAAAGAAATAAAGAGAAAACAAAGGAAAGAACAAAATAAATATGAAAAACAGAACACACAGAATATAATGGCACAAGCAAAGCCAACCCTTGCCATTGTTAAAATAGAAAGCAAAAGAATAGGCTAGACATTAAATGACCCATCATTAATTTAATAAAAAGTTTATGGGGAAAACAGAAAGAATACTACCTCATTATAAGAACACATGCATTGCAATTTCAGAATTATTGAGGTGTGAATAACTACAAGAAATCTCAGAACCAAGGTAATCATGATATGCATTATGTACAAAATACACAACTAAAATAAAGAGAGACTAATAAAAAGAAAAAAAAAAAAGAGAAAATAAGCAAAGATAAAAAATAAATTGAGCCTCTGGGTCCAAGTCCAAATTTCCTAGAGAAAGCATGTGACTTTCTCAGGTTGGGCTATGTGCCCACCTAGGTCCAAATAACATGGTACAAAATGGCTCCCAGAGCCCAGGCGTCAGTGGGAGCTGTGCTGAGGGTAATTTGTGAGGTCATCTGTGATAAGACCCCAGAGGAGTCAACAACATGTCACCACATATGGTAACTTCTTCTTGTTCTGACAGTCTTTCTTCCTTAATATTTTCAGGTTTGTCAGATGGAATTTTCTAAAAGTTCTTCAAAAGCAAGGACCATCTCTGACAATTCTTTCGCATTTTTTTCCACAGTAAAATGCACATAGTAGCTGCTCAATAAAAATATCCTCAACTGCATTCTTTTCTGTTCCCTAAACAGAATCCTTGTGAAATACTAAAATAGAGCACACACACACACACACACACACCCCTACATGCACACATGCACACCAGCATACACACAGACATACACACACACACACATTTAAAGCTCTGATTTGAACACTATAAAATGTCCAAAAATCATACTGAATTGCTTTCTCAGTCTATTTACTGAATTAATAAAACCCATGTATTATTTCTGAAATCCAAAACGACTACACAAATTAAGTTACATATTTTCTAATGTTGGATTTGCTAGACATGTGAACATAAACTTACAGGCAAACTGAAGTTTGGCTTCTCTGCTGACAATTGTTCCAAGTGAATTTGTTGCAAAACATTGGTAAGTTCCTGTATCCCAATTTCTGTTGGGATTAATAACCACAAGATTTCCTCCATTCAACTTATAACGATGTTCCATACTCATATCAATATCACTTCCATTCAGCTGCCATCTGTAAAACAAATATCAAGGTTCCCCCCCCTTAGTATTTTTAACTTAAAAGAAGGCTCTCCATTATAAAATCTACTTTAAACATTATCCCTCAAAAGTAAAAAGTGATACATATATTATTCAAGTGTTACATAACTGAAGATCAAATATGCCCAAGTATTTATCAGAAACGAAAAGTTAAAGCACAGTAGAAAGTATAACAGAGTAGCATCTAGCAGTTAAAGTTTTTAAAGGTTTCTTAGGAGGTGGGAATGATTTCATTTGTTCACTGGGGAAAAATTAGGCTAGGTCTGTATAGGCAAAGATGAAGTAGAAAGTTGAGATAATTATCTCAGATACTTTAGGCCAAGGTCCTGCTGACAATGAAGGAAGAAAACAGCACATTTCTTTGATTTATCCAGATTGACTGAGCACATTTAATAAATTAATTGGGTAAGTGCTCAACTATCCATTTCAATTTGTCTGGGTAAATACCTGTCCCCGAGGCATTCTCCACTTTTTTAAGCCATTACAGTGCTATTTACAAAATGGTACACTGTGGTAAATGACCATAAACACTACCTAGGGGGTCGGAAAAGGTAAAGGCACTAACCCCAGAGCCATATTTATCAACGAGAAGCCTAAAGATAAATGAAGAGAGAAGCTGGTTTTTAAATAAGAGGTTTTAAGCTGAAAGTTTTTAAACAGTAAGTATGCTTGACATATCACAGTACTTCACCTTTAAATACTCATTCATATCCCACAATCTCAAGAACACATTACCGTAAAAAACAGGGCACCCAGCTCCTAGATGACCCAATTTTTATAATAAAATTACACTGCCATCAGTTCTGTAAATTGTAGCATATTATAACAATGGTCATATCAATTATTTTTATAATAATTTGCCAAAAATGAAAACTATAATGCCCATTTTATAGATAATGATTTTAATAAAGCAACCATGTGAGTTGACAACTGTCCCCAAAACTATTAATTGGTGGGATCAGGAGTGGCACCTACTTGAATTCCAGCTCAGAGTTCTTCAATGATGTTATGGGCCATCTAAAAATTGTTGCTTTAATATATACAATATTTAACCTGCACATATGTTGAGAAAACATATAAAGAGATGAAATGTGAACATCATCTCAAATACAAGTGCATAAAGTTAAATGGAATATTACACAACTGTGAAAATGGGCCACTTTTATAAACATGGCTGACTCAAGCAATGGTGCATAAAAAGGTAAATTAAAAAATTCAGTTAGATACCATTTATGTGAAGTTTTAAAATACAGTTGACGTTTATAATTTTCAGATCTTTTAAAATACACTTACATTATAATGTATAATACATTAAAATATATAATCATTATACATAATTATTTTATATATTTATATATAATTATACTGTATAATTATATAGTGTAATACATCAATATTACATAATTATTAATTATGTACTAAGTGTATTTTAAAAGGTATGAAAATTATAAACCTCAACTTTTTTTTTGTTTGAGACAGAGTCTCCCTCTGTCTCCCAGGCTGGAGTGTAGGTGGTGCGATCTCAGCTCACGGCAAGCTCTGCCTCCTGAGCTCACGCCATTCTCCTGCCTCAGCCTCCAGAGTAGCTGGGACTACAGGCGCCCGACACCACGCCTGGCTAATTTTTTTGTATTTTTAGTAGAGACAGGGTTTCACCGTGTTAGCCAGGATGGTCTCGATCTCCTGACCTCGTGATCCGCCCAGCTCGGCCTCCCAAAGTGCTGAGATTACAGGAGTGAGCCACTGCACCCGGCCATAAACTTCAACTTTAAGGTATTTTAAAGCTCTCATGGAGAGAGAGTAGGAAATTTAGCTTTTTTGGTTTTAGTTCTTAAATTAAGAAGTAATTATATGGATGTTTATCATTATGCCCTATTGTATGTCTGTATCATTTTCTATATCTGAAATAATGCATAATGAAGTTTTAATGACTGAGTAGTAAAGAAAATGGGTGAGTTTATAAGTTTAATCCTTACTGCTCAAAGTTTATTTTATCATTTGCTAATTTTAAAAATCAAGGCTTTCTCACTTTTTCTGTTTTCCTTCACATATGACCTCCTCAGGTCTTAAAGCAACATTTTTAATAAGAAGACCCAAATGAAATTAAGAGAATAAACTGGAGGTTCCATTCCAACTCTTCTCTTTTGAACTGGAACAAAATTAGAAAGAAAAATCTGCAACATCTTTTTCATTTACGGCAGATTTCTGCTATTGGTTTTTGTTTGGTTTATTTGCAAAGTAAACTCTCTTATTATCCTTCCCAAATCAAGTCCATATCTCATGAACATTTGTGTCACTATGTCTCATTTTGATTTTAAGTCTACCCTTAAGGTTTGAATTTGAACTGGGAGCACTCATAAACCTTCTTTCATCTTATTCCATCCCAAGTCCTAGAACTACAGAAATTCAGAAAAGCAAGTAAAATAAAGAAAAAGTATCCATTCACACTCCTTGTGAATACTCTGAAACACAATATGGTCTGCAGGCCAGCATTATCACCCCATGAGAGTCTGTTGGAGACGCAGAATCTATGGCCCTAAACCATATCTACTGAGTCAGAATCTGCATCTTAAGATTTCCCAGTGACTAATATGCATATTCAAGTTTGAGAAGAACTGATCTAGACCATCCCCAACAAGTAACCATGGACTGCCTACAGTAGACACAAGCAGAAAAGAACTGCTCACTTTTAATTTAGCCTATTTCATATTCAACAACCGATTAGAAAGCCCTTCCCTCCCTCCTCCCCTTCCCTTCCTCCCTCCCTCCCTTCTTTCTTTTCTTCCTTCCCTTCCTCCCTTCCTCCCTTCCTCTCTCCCTCCCTTCTTCCCAATCAGTAAAAAAACATTTATGAAGTGTCTATACTGGGCAATTTTCTATGTTCTGAAGTTGTGGTAAAAGGTCCCTGACTTCATGAAGCTCACATTTTTTAGATTTTTTCCCCTAGTTTCCTAGTTTCTGTTCCCACCCCCACCCCTCCGCCTAATCCCCAGGCCTTAGTCATGCCTTTCAACCAACAGCATAATGAAAAGAAATGGGATTTGGTACCAACTGCTCATTGGTTTATCAGTTGGACTCACCTGACACCCACTGCATGACCATGGAAAATTACCTAACACCCCTGAACCTAAGCTTTTAACATATAAAATGGAGAGAATGCCATCTATCCCATAGGATTGCTCTTCAAATTTATTCAGACAATGTATGCAAAGCTCTCAGCTCAGTGCTTCCACAGGGAAGGCATTCAACAAACGGGCAAATATCATGGTTAGTATGGGAGGAGGTCCCATCAAAGGCTGCAAACCCATCTGTCCCCTTTGCTTCTCTTCTGTTCCATTCCCATCAAGCACATGTTGGTTCTATGTTCGATTGAATGCTTTTAGTCCTCTCCTTTTACATGGAACAGACTATGTCTTCCACCTATGGCTGGATGACATTGGTACCTGCCCTGAGATGTCAGCAAAAAGTGGGATGAGAATACATACTGACATTGACTTTTAAAGAATACATCTGACAGTAAATCACAAGTGGGTGGGTTTAATTTTTAAGCTGTAAGAGATTTCTCAGTTACTAAGTGACTAAATGCTTGCAGCGGGAAAAGCTCCTCTAAACCCAAATCAGAAAAGATGCAGTTAAGTTCAAACACTTTTGAAGGAAAGACTCTCATGACAAAGGGCACTTGAGTTTATCTTATCTAAGAAGAGCAGTTTTTATAGGAAAAAACACTTTTTAGCTCAGGACTTAGAATGTTTATGGCCTGACTAAGCATGCCTGATGGCTTCATTTGAAAATTGTGTTTTTCTGTTTAGCTGAAGAATAATCAAGGTACAGTGGCTATATGGAAAATTTTAAAGATAAAAAAATATGGAGAAGCACTTATTCTTACATATTTAACAGATGGAAAGATTTAAGAAACCATAAAGTATGCTGGAATATACTTTATTTCATTAGGTGTCCAAGATGTAAAACTATCATCCTTATGTTTTGACTGAAGAATCAAAAGGAGAAAGATTTGTTCCATTACACACAAACGCTTCTCACTTCCTTTAGTTCGGTCTTCATCATACAGACACAATCTCTAGATTATTTCACTATATGAAAAGGCAAAGACTATTATTTTTAAAATATGTTCCTGCATTTTTAAATATGTTCCCAAAGTATTAGTGTATTCACGTTAGTAAACTCTTTAGAGCTAAAATATACTTGCCATAACCAGAAGAATGTTAATTTTCTTTTAACAAAGCAATATAATTATTTTTCTCCTGCCTAATACTATTCATCATTAAATGGAACTCACCCCAGGTTATATAAAATTTCTCAATATCTTATTAAACACTGATTGTTTTTCCTCTTGCTGAAAATATGTGAGCTCAAAAGGGGTGTCTTTGTTTAAACTCTGAAATGTGCAAGTAATCTCTGGGCCTAAGCTGCCAACAGATATTAATATTTTATCCTGAGAAACAAACTAGTATATGTAAGTTCCCAATGCAAAATACTCATATTTGGGACTGATTTCTAAGTATGTCTAGTATTTTCATTCATGTAAGAAATGAATAATAAGGGCCAGGCACAGTGGCTCATGCCTGTAATCCTAGTACTTTGGGAGGCCAAGCTGGGAAGATCTCTTGGAGCCAGTAGTTTGAGACCAGCCTGGGCAACACGGAGAAACCATCTTTACAAAAAAAAAATGTGAAAATTAGCCAGGTGTGATGGCATGTGCTTGTAGTCCCAGCTACTCGGGAGACTAAGGTGAGAGGGCTTAAGCCTGGAAGATGGAAGTTGCTGCCAGCTGAGATGGCACCACTGCACTCCAGTGTTGGCAACAGAACCAGATCCTGTCTCAAAAAACAAAAAACAAAAAACAAACAAACAAAAAAAACTTGAAGGGATACGCAGGTTCAGCTCCTTCTTTTACAAAGTATGTGTCCAATAAATCTTCAAATTAGACTCATTTTCTTTGCAGGAAACTGTAATCCAACTGTCTGGGCTTCATGAACACAACATTCAAACATTCAGTAGTAAGCTGTGACAGGTAAATGGCACACTCAGGTCATAAATTTGGGAAGCTTTTAGTAGTAAACATTGCCTTTTGGTTCTGCATATTCATAATTCTTTGTAAAAATTACAAATTTCTACTTTTACCAAGGAATTTAAAAGTTCACCAGGAACTCTAAGTATCAGAATGAAATCTTTTTGAAATATGAAAATTATGTAAAACTTCATAAAAGTATATTTGTATACCCAAATCCCATTCCAAAAGGCTTAATGCAGTGATCTGGAACAAAAGAAGACAACCTCGTGTCTCTTGGGGCTACACACCCCAGCATTTCAATCATATAACATTTACATTGTGCTCCAGAAGCAGAGTAGCCTTGTAGCTTCAGCTTGGTGGTAAATGTCACAAGATTAAACACTGTTGCATAATTATCATGTTGTAACACACTTGAATGATCCTACAAGTTCAGTGTCAGCCTTCAGTGTTCAAACACTCATTTTACACAAATTAGAATCTGCTTTTAGAATCACAAGTGAGAAATGATTTATTACTCATATTTCACAAATCTAGTAATTCTCAATGAGCTTTCATCCTCTTAAACTGGTTTGTGTGAAGGTTCTATGTGAACTTGTGTCTCAGTCAATAATCAGAGAGAAATATTTGGGGTACTGGAATTAGAAGTCCTGGGTTACTGGCCTACTTAAGGGAGCGTATCTTTGATCAATCCCCTTCTTTTAAATCTTAGTTACATTCTCTACACACAACAGGGACACTGGCTAGAAAAGGTAGTGTCTGAGAGAACTGGACCAAGCCTAATAAAATATAATGGTGGAGTCTAAAGCAGATTTCCACCTATAAATGAATTTGAATACAATTTCCTTAAAACAGCTGCATGCCCTGAGGCCAACAATTTTTGATTCCTGAATAGAAAGCATAATATACCTGACATAGGAGTTATTTCAAAACTGGTAGTTATTACTCCTAAATGATAAAAACTTTCATTGTCACTTTCAGGAAATAAACTAAAACATCAGTGGCTGAGGGTATAAAAATCACTGCCTTCCAACACAAAGAACAAACTATGTTTGAGAGACAGAAAGAAAACGAATGTGTGTGTGTGTGTATGTGTGTGCCTGTAAACACAAATTTGTATAATAATGAGTTAAATCAGTAAAAAAGCCTAAATTCTAAGAGTCAAAAGGTGCTTTTCAAAGTATGTAAACTCCACTGGATAATGACTATTTCAATCACTGTTGAATTTCTACCATCAGGCATCATATTTTGTACATGACAGGGACTAATAGAAGTTTCTTGAATAAAGCAATCTAATTCTATTTTCTACCCTAGCCATTACTAACCTCCGCATAGTCTTCACGGACTGTGGTCATCCATATTGCCAATAAACAATCTTAAAGATAGAGGGAATTAATACATCATTATTTTCCTTTATCTTACTAGTTATTATTATTTAACATATTAGGTATTATCAGAAATGGCAACCTTTTCACAAAACCACACTAGCATATGGAATAACAATAATGAATATAAACACAGATCTATGTTGTCATTGCTATAATTTAAAGCAGCAGGCTCTAAATTGTGTCTTCCATTTGAACTTGCTAATAAGGCTAGGCAATATCACAACTTGAAATTGAAGCTAACAAAACCGACTTTAAGTAGTTTAAAAAATAAACCCCAAATAGAATTCACCTCACAGTTGATTATATAAAGCTATTGTCTTTCAGAATATCTACTCTGTCACACAAGATCTGGTCTGGACAATGGACATACAAACAACATTCTAGAGAGAAACAAACGTTGCATTTTAAACTTCAGCATGAACCAACGCGAAAAGAACAAAATAACTTACGAAAATTTGGGGGGGTCTGGGATTTGGGTTTAGGAAATATGCCCACACTAAACACTTGTTAAATCAACAGGCAATACTTTATTTGGGGTTTGACAGGAAAATTAGAAATTTAATCACAGAAGCAATTTGTGGTTTTAGATGCAGCTTTCAAGTTAATAAGCAAATGTGTCTGTGTTCAAATGCAATGTTTGTTAATATGTTTACTGAAGTGATGAGAATAATTGCAGCCTTCGAAAGAATGAATGTCTGAATTTGCATATTCAATACTTTATCCAAAAATAACTAGTTAGACTTCAGCAATAATTGCTAAAGACCTAAATGAGTTAAAGTTGCCATGCTGTTTTTTTAAAAAATTGAATGTTTAAAATGTGTTTTATGATATAGATTCCCATTTCTCACTCATCGATAAATTTTGAACATACATAAAAACATAAAACAGATTAGAGAGCCACATTGGGATTAAAAACAACTGTTCACTTTCCATGGTTCTAACCTGGTTCATATCAATCAGGGATTCTCTTAAAATTATTTCAAGGAGTGTTACAGATGTTTTCCCTTATTGCCTTCCCTGCAGCCATCTTAGCTTTTCCTGGTAGCAGCTCCTCTATTCTCCTTTAAAGCAGCCCTCCTCATACGAACCTGGCCTGGCCAGTCAGAACATTCCATGGCTCAACCTTACCGATTGCTTAAGAATGTGAATGTGACCCAACTGATTTAGCTTGTGTTTGATCAATACGTGTACATCCATTCCCCTTGCCCCACTGAAAAAACACAAGAAAGAGAAACAAAAAAAGGATATGATTTATTTTGTTATACTATCACCTTTAATATCTAAAATCTAACCTTTATGTCTCTGCTGGGTATTGACTACTGACAGGATTAGCTTCATTTTTATTTCACATTTTTCTGACACCATTTGGAGTTTTTGATGACATTTATTAGAAAGATACTCTACTCTTCCAGTTGACATTTTGCAGAAGAAATGAGTAGCCTGGAGTTCCAGGCAGCCATCTTTGTCACCTCAAGGCAATTTGTCTTTAAATGGAGCCAAAAAATAAGACTCAGTACAAATTTAAGAATATCTTACAGAATCAACTATTAACAACTTCTGACCCTGTGATCCTTCATGATATTATTGACTCCTGAAATATAATACAATCCCAAATTCCATTATTTGTTTTCCACCTTTTTACCTTTATACCACTTTGTTGATGCCACTAATTAGGCATTCACTATTTTGCTAGGCATTTGGAATGTAAGAATGAAGGACACACTTCACCGTTAAAGGTGTCTTCACTTTTAAAGGAGTTACAGCCTACTAGGGCAATCTGACTTCATTTTGATAAGCTTTATCATATAGGTAATGCAATGCAACGGTTGGGCACATTGTTTGAGCACAGAATCCAGCACTAAGGATGTCAAGAACGCTTCCTAGGAGAGATGATAGTGCAACCAAGTTTAAGTTGCCCAGTAAGAGGTGTATCTACCTCTGTTTGCCTCAGGCACTGTAGATATTCTTTAGTGTGTTTATGTTTTGTCTTCATTCCACCATGTGGCTATTTGATTACTCTCAAATGTGGCTGATTGTGGGTGTGGGGACCAGAGCTCACCAGCTGGAGAAGCCAGGATGTGGAAAGGAGTTGAACTTGAGCATGAACACAGAGATCTGGACTTATAAATCTGACAAAAAGGATTTCATTTCTTTAAGTGCCAAAATAATTTAGAGGAACAATAACTCGTCTTGACACATAAAAGTAAAATAACAATGATATCAGATCTTACATAGCAATAAGAAATATGTAAAGGACAAATTGCATATAATCAAAATTATGCTTAAAATGTCATATATATGCTATATTATGATAGACTAGCATATAGCACATATACTATATATGTACTATATATTCTAAAAATGGAACACTATATGTATATAGAATTGACAGCATACACATAGTGTGTGTATATATACATATAGCACCAAATACAGTACTATGTATAGTACTCTGTGTGCCTAGATATATATTACTGTGTCAATATATAGACAAGAAATAAACTCAGACTTCCCTTCCTTACATCCACTCCTTGAATAAATGGTTAGCAGAATTTAGCACATTATTTTATTTTCCCTTTCTTTCTTATACTGAATGCATTTAGTTGACTATCAGTAAATTAAATGCATTCAGTTGACTATCAGTAAATTAAATATGTGCAGGATGTGACTCCATTATAGACAACCATGTTTAAGGGCAACTGTGGCCAGGAAAGACCTCCACTTTGCAATGATATTTAGCCCTTACAACTTCTGTATCCAAGATTCCTTACACTCTATTAAAATTGTTTACCTGTTCCTATAGAGCTGAAAGAGAATAACGTTCTGTTTACTTCCTTGTGAAGAGAGAAAAATGAAAGCATTTATAGAAAAGAGTTGTGGGCCCAGGGGTCGACCTGAAACATTCTGCAAGCCTGGACATATTCATCTGTACTGTCAAATACAGTGGCAACTAGCCACACGTGGCTACCAAGCACTTGAAATGAAGCTTCTGTGACTGAACAACTGAATTTTTAATTTAACTTAATTGATTTAAATTTCAAGGGCCACATGTGATTACTGGCTACCATATTGGACAGCAAACCTCTAAGTCTTGAGCTAGACTAAAAGTTGGAAACACAAGGCCCACATGGGCCACATTCAGACTTACGACTTACCTTTTTTGGTCTACATTATGTTTTAAAAGAAAAACAGAGTTAACAGTAAAGTTAGAGATTCCAAAATGAAAATATCTAAATTGTAAAACTCTCTTAGAAAGCTTTGGTAATACCGGACCAGGATTCCTAGATGGTAACAATTGGCCAGTGCTGAGAAGCAGTTATGATCACATAATGATAGGCTTAGGGTTGAATGATAGACAGTTTCCAGTCATTATTCAATATGTCTATATGTTCTTCAGGCAGGCCTTCCTCTTTCAAAGTTGTTATTTGCCTGGTCCCTGTTGGCATGTACCTATTTTACCCCAATCTCACTGAAACAAGTGGCCCCTTTAAATGGCATCAGCAGCAGCGACCAGGGATTCTCCTATTTGTGGTCTTTCATCTTAGCATTAGTTGATTGGACATTTCTAACCCCATAAAAAGTGGAAGAAAATATTTCCCATTTAGAAAAAGTATTAATACTTCCTCAGGGTAACCTCCTTCAGCACTATCAGCAGTTACAATGAGATTGAATACTAATTAACCTTTAAATATAGGCTTTGGGGCTCAGGCAGGGAACTGCAAAAGAAAGAATAAAATCCTCAATTAAACCCTAAGACGAGTAATTTCTCTTGAGAATTTCTGAACTTTTGGATTTCCAACATGGCCAATTAAGAGTTCTTTTTACCTGATGGGATAAAAACAAAGACAAGATCACTCTTCAGACAAGTTGGCATCAGTCTATAAGGCAGGATTTGGTCTTTCAAAGGACATTCTTTTACAAGATTCTTTAACTTTATTCTGAATCCTTAAAAACATGTTTGGATTGCCTTTAACAAGTGGTTTCACATGGCTCCTTAATATTCCTCCTTGGCTGTCTCTCTATCTGCTTATATTTATGATTATATATGTTAAAAAATACTTTTTCTGACTTCATGTAAAAAGATCCACCATATTCTTCCTTTTTATGTCCTCGATGTCATTATATATTTAGAGTATTTATTTGTGATTTTTGAAGGACAATAAAAAAATAGGAATAGGCAAGCATATTTTATTCTGAACCATTTTAAAGAATAATGTGAAATATTGCCTAGCTGAATATTAAAATTAAAAGGTAGGAAAAAAATAGGCCAAAAATAAAGATGTCATCTAAAAAGACAAATTTGTCATTACAACCCACATTATTCCATATCCCATTTACTGCAGTGGCACAATCTATTTCTTACTCAGATAACATGAATAACAAGGGGTTGTTTCTTCTTAAAACAGAGTCTGATATTTCTTAGAATGAAACGAGCTTCTCTTGTGTTTTCTAGGTCTCAATTTCTAGTGGTCATAAACTTTTAGTTTAAGTGAAATTTTATATTGGTTAGAAATCTTAATTTTAGAAAATTTTTAAAGTTATAAGGAAAGTATCTGCTCTATTTGGCTACAAACCAAAAATCATCAAACAATACCAAACATGTTAAATTTCTTCATTTATCAAACCTAAAACTAATAAATCAGCCCAAATCACACATCTCCTAGTCTCAGTAACAGATTTTGTTAAAATTGCAACATATAAATGCCAGGATGACATCCCAGGACGTATAATAAAACAAGAATCACTATGCAAACAGTGAAACTTCTTTATCAACATTTTACATGTTATCAATATATTTAAATACAGACTCCATGGCATTACAATAGGCACCTGTTATTTAAAGACATAATTACTACACAAGGTTATTTTTGGATATCTAAGCTCAAGACCTTTGGCTATTTGATAAAACTATACAAACATAATTAATCTATTCATTTAGAAATACATTCCTATATGACTAAATCTTGTATCTTGACAACTTTTCAGGTGAACACATTTATCACCAAATTATTCGTAAGATAAACACCAGGAAATACAACTTTACTGACAACAGAAAAACAGCCCACACATGAGTCATTCACATGGCTGCTTTATCATATTTACAGCTATGTCTATGAGAATAATCTTTCATTTCAGGGAGAAACAAACAGATGCATTTAAAAGGTGTTAGAATGCCTTACAAAAATGCTGGAAAAAAATATTGTTAAGCTGATCTGTTCAACTTTCCCCATAAGAAGAAAATATTTCCAGATGTTGCATATGCTTATGTCTGATTAATGGAACTAGTTCATGAAATAGTTTCTTCCTTTTATAAATGATTTTATTAAATAACTTTCTTATTTCTATAGAAAGAGGTAGAGGCAGAGAAAAACTTTTTCTCATCTTTGCCAACTCTAATCAGTAACCTGGAATTATAATGCTTATTTTGTTGAAGTACACAATAGGGCCCCAATAAATATGTTGTTAAATATTGTTGAAAGAGACTGATCTTGATTACTTCCAGATGCAAAAATACAAAACCTACCTTCTACCCCAATCTTGACCCAGTTTACCAATGACTATTGGCTTCAATTATTTATATAGTTTAAGAGAACAATAGAGGCTCAATAAGATCTAAATTACAACTCTAAACATTTAAAATTTTATTAATACTGGCTGAAGTTTGCTTGTTCTGCAGATTATAGAAAAGGTTTTGTCAAGAAAACTAATAGTGTGAATGGGGTTTTCATAGTAGATGTTCACATTGCATGAAAGAGCGTGTTGTTTTAAAGGTGTCTTGAATACTTTCTTTCAACCACTTATAAGAATGCAGCATGTAATTTATAAATAATTCATCTCTTCATGAAAGTGGGTCTCCCAAGCACTCCTAAGAGTAAAAATGATTAATCCTGGGTTATTTAATAATACAAATACCCATCTGATCCAAATAATCCATCATCATCCCCAAAATATCAATATTTTTTTCTTAAGGTGGTGGGAGTATGGATTTTTTTTTCTTTTTTCCTTATACTTTGCATGATATTTGAAAGTTTTCAGTGAAGAGCAATTGTTTATATAATCTTAAAAATATAGACTTTAACTTGATATACATCTAACAAATGAAATACGTTTTCTCTTCAAAAATCATTAAAATGACTTTGGTAAGAATACATTTTATTCTTCCTTACTTATTGAACCTCCAAGCACATATCCAGTAAAATGGTAAACGGACAAAAGGTGGCACACAGAAGTATTTGTTTAACTATGATTTCAAATTAACTTTAAAACACAATTTCATCCCCACAATGAATGTGTTCTTGACAAGTACATGTAAATCCAAGTTTATAAATTAAACTGCACTATACATCAATGAAAAGACATTATTTACTTTAGGGATTCTGCCATGATCAATAATTAATCAAGTATATGCTACATATAGATTTAAATCTTCATATATTAAATCTGTTGAATATATCATACAACTATAGCTTCACGTATTTTTTTCTTACTGATGGCATAAATATATTGAAGCAAAAAAAAATTCACAATCACCACATAAGTGTGTTTAGTTTTTTTTATTTGAATTTTCAAACTTTTCACTGTACCTGTAATGAGGTGATGGATTGCCTCTTGCTTCACAATGCAAAGTTATTTTTTTATCTTCTGAACCAACAGGGAAAATGCTGTTGCTGGGTTCTTTGATAAATACAGGGCCTTGTAAGAGAAGCTCACCTATATGGGTGGGAGACATCCAAAAAATAATAATCAGTAAAAGGCATTGTAAAAAGTTACATTCCAGTATTGAAGAAAACAAGGAACTAAAAATTCTAGTACTGCTCCATTTGCATACAAAGCAAAATGCTCTGTAGACATTGTTTTGTTAAAGGAAATCAATTAACCCACTCAACAGCATAGTACCACCTCTATGAGAACTAACGTTGGTATGAAAAATATTGCCATATTAAGATCATTTCATACCGCAGCAATTACTTTTTATTACAACAAACTACATCTAAGTGTAGATTGGTGAATAAACTATTACACCAAGTCTTTCTTGTCATAGCCTTTTTGCCAAACTAAAGCTGAATTCAAAATGAATTCAACACCTGAGTATTTTCATAAAATCGGCTTGGCATGCAAACCTTAAGCTTGATAATGTTATTTTTCTAGTTGGAATAAAAACACTCAATATTTTGGTGGGATGTCCATTTTATTACTAGCAAATTGAAGAGAAAGATACAGCACTGAACAGGCGTCTTTTTAAAGATGTTTCTACTTTGGCTAAGAGAACTTGAACATGCTCTGAGGAGAATTTCCACATAGAGAAAAAAAAACAAATCTCTCTATTGTACTACGTGTTTAAAAAAGAACAAGATAATGCCACCACCAAATGCTTATGGGACTGCAGTTGTATAATCTTTGCCATAGCATTTCTGAAAACAAACAAATTCGCCCAAAAAAAAAAAAAAGCTCTTTACTTTCCTATTTTGCTTGGAATGCTCAGCAAAATTACAGAGGAGTTTCTATTAACTCAGAGAATGAATAAACAGACTAAGAGACAAAGAATCCGTGAAAAGTCAGACAAAGAAAACGAGATCAAGAAGCAGCAAAAAAGGCCCTAAAACAATGAACTGGCATTTTGGCTACTTCGAATAGCAGTTTACATTAATAAAAATATTTATCATAAGTGTAACAACAATAAAGTAACAATATGATTAAAATAATCATTGAAATGATAAAAATAGCAGCTGCTAAAGCTGAAATTCTAAAGTAAATTCTGCATGCCCAAATGTGTTCATTAATCCTCAGAATATTCTGTGAGGTAAATGCCATAATTATTCCCAACAGAAGACAAATGCTGTGCCTAAGAGTGGTTAGGCGGCATGAGCAAGTTCACACAGCATTGCAGAATGTAAAACACATATTCTAGAATAATGGATTCCACAGTCCGTGCAGGGATACTCTCTCACTCTTTATGTAAGGAATTTGGCCTTACCCTAGGTCTGATCTTTGCCCTCAGCTTCCAGGAGGAAATCTGTGCCATAGCTGATTGAAATGTCTGTTTAGGATGGGGACTGGCCACACTAGATCTTAGGGTGGGGCCAGCCACACCCAATAGTCTTGCCTTGGAAACTGGCCACATCAGACAGACTAACCATGTGATTAAGGGTGAGAAATTTGGGTCACGTGGTATCAAATGACGTGGAGACTGAGCTCAACCACATGTGCAACCAGTCAGTCACACCTACATAATAAGGTCTCAATAAATAACTCTAGACACGGAGGCTCAACGAGTTCCTGGTTGGCTATCATACTCCTTGAGTATTGTCACACATCGATACCGGAAGGGTCAGATGTCCTGTGGTCAATAAAAGCTGTGCGTTTGAAACCTTCCAGACTCTGCCCCATGTGTGTCTTCCTCTAGCTGATTTTAGTATGGATCCTTTCCCTGTAAATAACATAACTGTGAGTATAACAGTTTTCAGCAACGTTTGTAAGTCCTTTTAGCAAATTATCAAAAATGAGGATAGTTTAGAAACTTCTTAAACTCAAAGACTGTTAGAAGTAAGGGCAAGCTCACAGCTCAGCTGACTCGGGGCAACTTTGCACCACGACATCACCACACAATTAGCCCTTACTAATCCCCACCATCCTTTGAGAAAGCAGCTTGCTATCCCCCTTAGTCTCTGATCTTTACCTGATCATTACTTTCATCTATCAGGGGAAATTGCCAAAGGAAAAAAAAAAAGCTTCCGTTTCCCTTTTTAGGAAAGAGCAACTTCCAGAAGAAATGGATTTTAAAATTGCTACTAACACTCCTAATTTAAAAGAGGCAATATTGCTATTTTCTTCATTTTTGCCCCTCAACCAATTCACTGAATAGAAATAATAAGTAAAAACAAAAATGCCATTCTGTTCTATTAATTGAATTTATTGTCCTAGAAAGTCGAAAATATTTGTGATGTCTTTTTACAAATATTTGTAAATATAGTGAACATTTCCTAACATTTTTCTAGTGTAATAGCTTCTGATTTACTTCTGATAACATATATTTCATTATTTATGAGATGGGATAGCATCATTTTTTTCTGACAAATTCTGATGTTTGTACAGCTTGAAAGCAATAATGCATTAACATAATGGTATAAATTTGGAAATAACAGGAAAGTTGGGGAGATAAACCAAAAGAAGAAAGGTTAGTAGAGATAAGAAAGCAGTGGTTTAAACGAAAAAGGCAAAGAGAGGTGTTCAAAAAATTTCCTCTAAGTGGTCACAATAAAAACTCAAATGCCCATCCTATCATTATCTAATAAAAGTCATGTCCCAAACGATGCTACATGGCTTCTCCAGAGGTCACTATTAATTTTAAATAAAAATGTTAAACTACTAGGAGCATTTTCTTCTGAGATCCTTTTGAGAGAAGGATAATAACTACTAATTTGCTAACATTTATTGAACCAGGCACCATGAACTATGTGCCAGGCACACTAAGCAGCTATTTACATCCTTTGCTTCTCCTATTTCAATCTCCCCTGACCCCAGCTCCTGATCTCTGAGGTCCAGCCACACTGCTCTTGTTCCTGCTTCTCAGACACGCTGAGCTTCGTGTCACTTCTGGGCTGACACATTTGTTCTCCTTGTGTTCTGGTTTCTTTTTGTCATTCAGAATTTAGCATAAATGTCACCTTCTCAGCTTAAATGTGACCATCCGCATTCTCCCTCATCCAAAGTCATTATACACCCTTCATTTCCACCAGTCACAGATATCAAAGCACATCTCACAACCTTACGAGATCTTTCTACATAAACACTACGCATGTTTATGCATGTGTTTGTTATTTATTTGTATCGAATTCATTGCTGTATACTCAGCTCTTAGAACACAGTAGATATTCAATATCTGTCTGTAGAATGAATAAGATGAATGAAACAATCCTCATAATAACTCTATATGAGGCAGATACTATTTTACAGCTAGTGATTGATAAAGCTAAGATTTTAATTTCAGAGCTCATCTTCTCACCTTGCACGTGGTTTGGCCTCCCCAGAAGTGAGGCCTAGAAAGGTTAAATGACCTGACCATAGTAACAGAGTTTCTTGGTGAAAGACCTGATATCAACCCTAGTCCTCATATTCTTGGTTTGTTTCCCTTTCCATGAAGCCACACTGTTCTCAATATGGTCAGAGGTGAAAATTAACCAACAGCCTGCTTTTTCAACTTCAGTATTTCCTGATGGCGCTGGAGTTAATGGCCTATGAGGCACATATCTGCCATCTCTGAAATTTAAGGCTCCTAAAGGCTTTCAGGCCATCAGCAGCCATTTGGGAGCCTCTGACGCCTCTTAAAAAGTAAGTACAAAATAATAATCAAACGTGACAGGTCAGTGCATGCTTCATACTCAGAAAAGAGACAAGGCCTCTCAATCTTGCTTCACGGGAATGAAATAGGTGATGAGAGATGCTGGGTTTCATGTTCTAGTCTCTTGCCAGCAATATAAACTTAAAAGGAAGAGATTCTGAAGTCTCTGCTAATCTAAAAGAAATTATCCAACATTTTCTTCAAAATGAATTTTGATCCTCAAAAAGACAGAGCCTTGACTATTCACACAGCTATTCATAACCAGTAAAAAGCACCCTGTCTGAAAACAGAAGGGGGCCTTTTGCCTAACTAATGGATTCAACGTAACATTCGGATTGACGCTAAACTTTACTTTTTGTGACAGGGGCATTTTTTTGACATGCTAGCCTGGTTCCAAAGCTCCATTTTAAATGTACATCCTAAAATAAGGGGCATATCAGACTTCCGAACAGGACTAATAAGTCCAAAAATCCAATCCTAAGGTGTTATTTTTCCCCCCTAACACCTACAGGCAACAAGGAATAACTGCCTTTGAATGTAAGTACAAGCTTTATGAGCTCCTAAGGTAATGTCATGTAAAAGATCAAACCGCAGACGATCAATTCTAATGGTCATACTCTATACAATTTTTATGAAGACTGACAAAGAAAACATAGACAAGGGATTCTGGGCAAGCTGCATCACTCTACTAAAAGAAATGAGATTCCTAAAAGACAATGATGGTATCTGAAATTCCTAGGGAACAGGAAAGCACATACTGTTTTTCCTTACTGATTTATGTCATATCTACATGGAAAACAAAAACTAGCAGTGCATTTCAAAACACAGGGTAAATCACAACAGGGTGTAAGGGTAGGCAATGCAATTAAAGACAGAATGTAAGAGGACATAAATTTAGAAAGGAATATTCCGTGCACTTACAAGGCATCAATCCCAAACAGAATGAGCTCTAGCCTGGGTCAAAGAAAGTAAAATCATATGCCGCCAATGAAATAAGATCTATATTCTAGGTCCCACTATTCTTTAGGAAAAAACTTTTAAAAGATGGAAACTTTTTTTAGAAATGAGATATCTTCTATTTTGGCAATGGTAGTTTAAAGCTGGAAAATGCCAAAGAAACAAGACCAAAATAAAATTCCATTTATATGCTTCCAATGTCAGAGGAAGACAAAGTATTCGATCTTAGAATATTTCATTTCTTTAACAAATATCTGAATGCCAGACATGTGCCACATGTGAAAAACTGGCTGTGGCAGATGCTGCTGGTAGTCCACTCAATAGCTATCACCGGCCCTTCTTTCCAGCCCTTAGAGTCAGCCTTTCACTGTGGAGACTGAAAGCTCCAGAGATACTTTCCACAACTCTTTGTCATTCTCGGCTGGGAAGAAGGGTAGCCAGGGGAGATTGGCTTATGAGACCACTAAAAGCCCAAGAGGGTGTATTCATTTTCTAGGGTTGCTATAACAAAGTACCACAGACTGGGTGGCTTCCAAAACAGAATTTTTTGTCTCACAGTTCAGGGGGCTGAAAGTCTGTATCAAGGTGTTAGCAGGGTTGATTTCTTCTGAGGGTTGTGAGAGAAGGATCTGTTCCAGACCTCTCTGCTTGGCTTGTAGATGGCTATCTTCTCCCTGTATCTCTCTTCATATCATCTTCCCTTTATGTGTGTCTCTGTGTCCAAATTTCCCCTTTTTTCATATGGGCACCAGTCATAATGGATGAGGGCCCACACTAATGACCTCATCTTAACTAATGACATTAGCAATGACCCTATTTTCAAATAATAGGGTACTGGAGTTCAAGACTCCAACATGTGAATTGGGGATGAGGGTGGGGTAGCAGCACGATTCAACCTTTAACAATGGGTTAACCTGCTAAGAACTTCTAGATAAAAGTCTCTACTCTGATTTTGTTTTGAAGTAAATAAAATGCTGACCTTGCTTTGCTTCCTTTTTGATATGGAAATTTTCATATGAGGAAAGAATGCTGGGAACTACTGCGACCAAGTGGACACCATGAGGGAGAACACTATACGTGTGTGTGTGTGTGTGTGTGTGTATAAAATATATATTTATATATGTGCATAAATACACACACACACACACACACACCACACATACACACAATATGTTACAGAAAAGGCAACCCAGAGCTCTCACATCTTTGAGTTCCTGAACCAACATGAACCACATAATTCCAAACATCATGTGTTGGAAAAATAAACCTCTAATGCATTTTGTCACCTGCAGCTAAAAGCTATACTGTAACCAATGCTCTAGAAAAAAAGAAAAAGGTAATATAATACACTTCAGATCAGAAAGGAAAATAAAATACTTATTAGGAATAACTAATGTGTCTGTTTTCCACATCTGGAAATGTTAGCAAGCAATTAAGTTAAAAGAAAAAGTGCTAGAGTATAGCATGCAGCTGGAGTATGATAGCAAAATAACACCAATAAAAGTGATGAAAACCCTTTAAATTGAGAAATTAATAGTTCACTACATGATTTTTCTCATTGCATGGGAAGTGGCATTCAATAATTAGGGAATTGGAACTGAGAGGGACTGGTTAAGCTTCACAGGACCTAGAAATAAATGTTCAAGTAAAATAATACTGCTCGCAGGAATGGCAGAGCCCTTTCAAAGCATGGAGATTTTACCAGGAATTGCATTCATCCTCTAATTGCAACCTGCCTAAGGAAACACAAAAATGTCCACACATATAAAAATATATGTACAAAATGGTTTGTGTTTAAGGTTAAGTATCTTGATTTTGGCACTTTGCTTTCATAAATTAATCGCAGAGTTTGATTTAAAGGTATGATCTATTTCACTGGACTGATTAACATTAGTCTGTACTATAATTCCATAAAAGAAGAGGACTTGAGAGTACTTCTAAAAGTGCCCAGTGTTTTATGTTGATACTGTTTAACTCCAATGGCTATATTTTTGCTTGTTGAAATGTTCTTTATAGTTGAATGAAAGGGTTAATTTATAGTTATAGCGCAGGACATAATGTTTTTGGCAGAAAAACAGGGTGGGAGGAGATGGGTTGGAGTCTTGGGAGATTAAAATGTTTTCAAAGTACTTCATAGCTTTCTGTATTTAAATTCATGCTATTTTCTTTTTATGAATGTGAGCTTTAATGTTTTTGAACCTCCATGACATCCTTCTATAATTCTCAGAACATAATTATACCTTTCTTGCTAGACAGCTTAATAGCAACCCCACATGATTAAAAAAAAAAGTTAGAATGCCATTGTTGGATGCAATATGCAATGTGTACAATACACCAGGAGAACACAGTCAATGGTCCATTTATCTGAAAAAAAAAAAAAAACAACACTTACATTCCCTCTTTCTATTATACTTATTGTACATTTTTGAAATGTGCAAATTCACAAGGTTCTCACTCACCACATGAAAAGAGTGCATTAATCAACTCTTTTTAAAATATTTCTTTAACACATTACTTTCAAAGGTTTTAATAGAGATGATTTCATTTCTATTATGGAACCCATTATTTCTAACAGTTTCTATTCTTTAACAAAGGGTTCAGGTCAAGGCCAGTTAGGACCAGACACAATTCCCTTTATGTATCTTAGAAAGAATGTTTCATATCAAACTAGTTCAAGGTCACTGTTTCTATGAGCAAATAATTATCCAATGAAGAATTCCTTTTGTAAATTAGTTGTAATGGAGAAGCTATTAAGAACTAATACTAGGCCTGGTGTGCTGGCTCACATCTATAATCACAGCACTTTGGGAGGCCAAGGCAGGAGGATCATAGGAAGCCAAGAGTTCAAGACAAGCCTGGGAAACATAGCAAGACTCCATCTCTATAAATAAATAACAATTAGTGGGGCGCAGTAGTGCATGCCTATAGTCCCAGTTACTCAAGAGGCTGAGATGGGAGGATCACTTGGGCCCAGGAGTTTGCAACTGCAGTGAGCCATGAACACACCACTGCACTCCAGCCTGGGCAACAGAGTGAGACCCCATCTCTAAGAAAAAAAAAAAAAAGAACTAATACGACTTAGTGATTGTATTTTGTAGTATTTTACAGCTGTAATCTCATAAAGTAGAAAAGAGCATACTCTATTACTGCCCCCACCATAGTAAGCAGAAGCCAGCACTGTGTTTGTAAATGTCTGAGTGTATAAACACCATCTACTTCTCCCTCCCTGTTTCTTTTTCTTTTCTTTCTTTCTTTCTTTTTTTTTTTTTTTTTTTTTTTAAGAAAGAGTCTTGTTCTGTCACGCAGGCTGCAGTGCAGTGGCCCAATCTTGACTCACTGCAACCTCTGCCTCCCGGCTTCTAGCAATTCTTCTGCCTCAGCCTCCTGAGTAGCTGGGATTATAGGTGCCAGCTGCCACACCCGGCTAACTTTCTGTATTTTAGTAGAGACTGGGTTTCCCTGTGTTGCCCAGGCTGGTCTCAAACTCCTGAGCTCAGGCAATCCATTCGCCTCGGCCTCCCAAAGTGCTAGGATTATAGGCATGAGCCACCGCGCCTGGCCTCCCTGTTTCTTTTCTTAAGTGAGGATCCTGATTTTATACTTCCAGACTACTGAGAGGGATTGAGTTGGGTTGTGGGGTAAGATATGAAGGTCTAAGGAAGCAGAACAGAAAGGATAACTGATATGAGTAGGCTTTGTGTCTCCACCCAAATCTCATCTTGAATTGTAATCCCCATAATCCCCATGTGTTGAGGTAACTGAATTATGCGGACAGTTTCCCCATGCTGTTCTAGTGATAGTGAGTGAGTTCTCATGAGATCTGAAGGTTTTATAAGAGACTCTTCTCCCTTTGCTCGGCTCTTCTCCTTCCTGACACCGTGTGAAGAAATGCCTTGCTGCTTCTTTGCCTTCTGCCATGATTGTAAGTTTCCTGAGGCCTCCTCAGCCATGTGATTCAATTAGGCCTCTTCTCTTTATAAATTACCAGTCTCTGGCAGTTCTTAATAGCAGTATGAAAATGGACTATTACAACAACTTTCCCCAAAATGCATCTGGAACTATGGGGTGCGGAGATTGGGGTATGTCTTAGAGTTGCCTAGGCTTACATTTGTTAAACTTATTTTTAATTGATTCACAATTAAAAATGTAATTATCATCATGATTAATTGTAGACACAGTAAGCATACAACTGATAAACATACAACTGATAAAGTAAACATACAACTGATAAAAAGATTTCTTCAAATAATATTAATCCTTACTGCATGCTGGACTGTTAACTTTTTTCCTTTATATTCTATTCTACTCTATTCTATTCCATCTGATGTGCTTTATCCTACTTTTAAAAATGCTAGACATAAACTACTACTATGTTCATATCATCACAACATCAATGGGTTCTTATCCCCAATTTGATAAGCTTTGGTCTAGAAACCTTCTCTCCTGCCACCAGTGCCCCAGATTATTTTAGGAGGGAATGGGTGACAACTGCAAGATATTTCTTTCATTTCCTTTTCTTAGGAATGAAACCAACCTTGGCAATGTAAGAAAAAGTATAAGCATCTTAAAAATTGAAAGAGTATCACTGGGCCCAAGATACAGTAAAGACAAGAGAGCCCTCCTCAAATCTACTGAACTGCTACCTCTGTAGCCTCAGGGAGAAGAGAAATACTGTGTATTGCCAAAAATGTTGGCAAACAAAAACATATTTTATTTTGTTTTCAGAAGCATTGTTTCTTAGAGCTATACAGTATGGAACAAAATCCCTCTTCATTATATATTCTTAGTTAATAAACACATGCACATTCTAAAATGTCAACCTGTGGAGGGAAAATAAACATGGGATGCTAGGCCCAGTATTACACACTTTGCATTTGCTAAATCACCTAATTCTAAGTGACTATTAAGCACTCTGAATAAAAAAGTGGTGCTCCTTTCCTTTCTTTTTTTTTTTTTTTTTTGACATGGGGTCTCGCTCTGTTGCCCAGGCTGGAGTGCAGTGATGCAACCTCCACATCCCGAGTTCAAGCAATTCTCCTGCCTCAGCCTCCTGAGTATCTGGGATTACGGGCACACGCCATCATGCCCAACTAATTTTTGTATTTTTAGTAGAGACGGGGTTTCGCCATGTTGGCCAGGCTGGTCTCAAACTCCTGACCTCGTGATCCACCCACCTTGGCTTCCCAAAGTGCTGGGTTACAGGCATGAGCCACTGTGCCCGGCTTCCTTTTAATTCCTATTGCTTTCCTTAATAATGGCACAGATTATAAATAAGTAACCCACAGGGCTGGAGAGGATGAGTTAAACCGGAATCTCTCTATACTTTTTTGGTACCACCGTTTTGGAAGAAGCATTTGGCAGTATGTATGAGAAGCCACCAAATTGTGTAAGGAAGTCTGAGGAAACTCTGCTCTCAATTCTTTCATTCATCCTCCCTCATTATCTCCCTTGTAGTAATCGTTCCTCATTCTGAATTCCTAGAACAATGTTTGTGTATTTTACTCATCACAACATCATTATCCTATAATATATTACATGTACTTGTTTTTCACTCTTATCACCCTCATCCCCGGGCTTTATACTTTCAGAAGATAGTGACCATATTTAACACACACTTCTTCTAACCTCTTAGCATACCTATTTTATATACATATATATACATATATATAAGTTTTCATATATATATATATGAAAACTTAGTAAATTAGCAATTGTCTGGGAATCTCCCTGGGTCTGTAGGTGTGTTTACTTAAGCATCATTGCAGATGGTTTTAATTTACAAAATGTTACAGCTGATCACAGAAAGACTTCAGACTTTCCTGAGACCACCCTAATCAGATTCACTTAACTCCAACTGTAATTTATGCATCCAACTATAACACAATATATTATATAAAAATATGAACATATAACGGAAGCGAATTCAGTGAATGTGTCTATGACTCTCATGAAACATCTTCACTGTGTCCTTACAGAGGCAGTTATTTCTGTTAGGCAGTTTGCAGATTCTTGATCATCTACACCCCGTGCACACCCTTCTGAGTACCATCAGTACAGGTACAAGACAGGACTAGCTTCACGAAAGTACATACAAAAATAGCACTTTCAACAGCAATAGCACCCTAACAGTAATCTTTTGCAAACCTCAGAGTGCTGAACTAAAGTCCCTTTTCTGCATTTTAATGACTTGTTTGAAAGTAACAGCTGCCTAAGACATTAAAACAAAACAAAACAAAAATGCTGAGTTCTGCTTGGTGTTTCACTTACTCAAATCTCTAAGAATGTTTACTGTGGTTAAAGTTACCTTCAGGAAGGGTCAGCATTTGCAAAGGCCTTACTATTCCTACGGAATGTATCTTTTGGCAAAATATCCCCAAATCTATGAGAAATCATTTATGCAAGCTATGAATTTAGTTAACAAGTAATCAACAAGCAATTCTTACTTTAATCTAAATCTTCCAAAGTTAGGATTCAAATCAGTCACCTGCTGGCTGCCTGGACACATTCCACATCTCGGTCCCTTAATCTCAGTTTGAGCTTTGGGTCTGCTTTTCAGATAGAACCTGGGCTAGTTTGTTTTTTTCAAGTTTTTGCAAATCACAAATTCTACAATCATATGATACGTATATGACCTATCATAGATACTGGGAATTTAGGTTTGCAGAGCTGCACGATGGTGGCTATTGGGCCAAATCTATCTTGAACACTTCTTAAATTTGGATCAAAGAATTTCAGGAGGGGAGAAAACACTTCCTTTAAATTGAATGGCTTCATTTAAAAAAAAATCCAGAGATTTAGGCCTAAAGTCAAATTTCACCTTCTTACAAACAAAAAATCAAAGGTCTAGCAATCTTCAATTCAGCAGTTCCATATTGACAGAGCACAATTTCCATATTCATAGACTACAGCCCTACAGGGAGTAAGACATCCATGGATGTCAGCAAGAAATTCACATATAATTACTTGCAAAATAAGTTGATTTATCAAATAACATATCTTGGATTGATTTATGTCATTCTTCCTCCTGGAATATTTTTGCCCTTTATCCTTCAAGGCATAAAGTCTTGAAGGTACATCTAAGTATAATACCACTTTATCAGAAATTCAATTCAACACATCTCTACAAGAAGTAAGATAAATAAATAAATAAATTAGCCTGGCGTGGTGGTGTGCCTGTAGTCCCAGCTACTTGGGAGGGCTGAAGCCAGGGGATTGCTGGGCCCAGGTGTTCAAGGTTATAGTGAACTATGATCTTACCACTACACTTCAGCTTGGGTGATGAAGTGAGACCCCTGTCTCTAAAAACAAACAAAGGAACATTTCATAACGTGAAAATTATATAAAATTTGAATTTTAATGTCCATAAATAAAATGTTATTGGAACACAGCCACACTGACTTGTTTATATATTGTCTATAGCTGTTTTACACATTACAAGGGCAGAGTTGAGTAGTTATGACAGAGACTACATGGCCCACAAAGCTGAGAATATTTACTATCTAGCGCATGTTATGAAAAATTCTGCTGACCCCAGCTTTAGGAAAGATCATGTCTACTAGGAGGAACAGTGACTCTGGACCACAATAAACATGATTTTTTTTCCCATTAATATTCCATTTAGCTTTAGGCAAGTCATTTAAGCTCTCTGAGCCACTGAATTCTCTACTGTTATATGGGAATGATATCTATAATATAGGATTTTTGATGCAAAGATAAGCAGTATTTTTTCATTGCAGCAGTGGCAATGCAATAAATGTTATTTGATATTATTATTGCATATTGTTTACTTAGCATTGCATCAAACTTTTAATTACCTCTGACTGAGGAATCATAATTTATGGGAAGCAGTCTACTATGGGATTTTATTCACTATAGCCTCCTATATACATGGCCTGAAAAATAGGATGGAATTGTCGTTATCTTCATGGTAGTTGTGAATACTGGTACCTGTGTTCAGTTATCTGGTTTGAGCAAATAAATGCAAGTATTAAGTCTGAGACAAAAGGTTCCTATTAATCTGTGGAAGGTAGTAACTTCAAAAAGAGGGGGAAAAGGGGGAATCAGTATAATGCCCACTGGATCAGTTCTCATTGAGAGACAATTCTCCAGCAAGTATTTACTTTCTACCCCTTCTTCAAATAATTACTCACCAAAGCAATATCAATGGGAAACTCAACAAAATAAGCAGCAAAGAGCTTTCAAAAACCCCATGAGGCAGAAAAAAAACATTAGATTCTTTTATACTGTTATTTATTTTCTCCTATAATAGAAATAATGGCCATAGCACTGAGTATTCTCATTTGTTTGGCTGCATAATCAAGCAAAAAAAAAAAAAAAAAAAAAAAGAAAGAAAGAAACATGTCATTTGTGGCCTTGTATATACTGCAGTAAAATTATTCCTTAATGAAAAAATAGATGTTCACTCAGAAACCCACACAGTACACTGTTCAACAGTCAATGCTTCATAATTATCTACATAATTATGCTCCACTTAATACCACTTCTCTCGTTTTGTACATATGTCTGAGCTTAAATATCGCTTGCAAGTGTGCAGACATTTGCTCACACACACTCATGGGATAAGAATGAAAAGTTCTATTTTGCCATAGAGTGAAGAAGTCATGCAAGGTATTTTAATATCCACTAAAAATTTAATAATGAAAAACTTATTTGGAGACAAAATCTAGGAGCTCTAAAGCTTAAGGCTAACGTAAAAACACACAAATGTTGCCATCTCCCTTTACTTACTGGGTGACATACTCAGACTGCCCTTTAAATCAAAAAAGTTTTCAGAACAAGACAGAATGAATGATGTTGCCATGAACAAAGTAAAAAAGGAAAAGACTATTCCCAGGATTCACGTGCTTTTGGACTAAAACTTTAATCGTACCAGTGCTTCCATGTCCACAAGTGACACCAATCAATGTCACAATGGCAGCAACTGATCCCAGAGTTGCCTGATGCCTTAAGTTCAGCCAATAGCAGCTTTCACCACAACCTCCCTGCTTATAAGATTGGAGGAGCAAATAATGTACACATGGTTAGAATAAACAATGAGTAACTAACCAGAGCCATTTATAAAATGGCAGCCTACATATTCCACTCTCTCAGGTCAGCAGACACTAGAAAGCTGTCCAGATAAAGAAACCAAACAGTCACAAAGTTCAGGGAATATGGTTTCATGTGTTAACACACCATTTCACACCCCCATAACTAGCCCTCAAGAGCTTCCACAAATAAGGGCTGGATCTTCAATGGCTGTCCGAGCAGTCCAAAAAAAAAAAAAGAGCAGCTTCCTAAAAAGATATAGTTTCACGAGGGCACTCACCACTAGCTGAGGCCCAGGTCAGCCTGTGCAAAAAGTTTGTTTTGAACTGTCCTTGTAGTTAAGAGGAATAAATTGCCTCCTATTAAAGTGACAGGTAGGAATATTACTTTTGTCACCCCTAGTCCTATAAATAAAGTAAGCCCAGATGGTATAAAGAGAAAGTAATAAGTCAAATGCCAAGACTTGCTTACTTCCTTAGTTGCCAAGCAGAAGTTGGAAACACATTGGGAAGTCTAATGGCCAGCTAGGGGTACAGAATTTTTTTGACTTTTTTTTTTTTGGTCAACATCAGGTTTATTATTTTCCTTCTTTTCAAGTGATAAATATCAACAATGTAGTATAACCAAAAATCAGTGTTTAATATTTAATAAAGTGTTATTTTTTCAAAACTAATAGAACATTGAGGAAAGATGTCATATTCACCAATATTTCAGCCTTAACCGTCTAACATGAAATCACATGTGCATAGTGAGATCACAATGATACAAAATTGGACAACTGAATTTGTAATGCAATGGTAGTGATAATATGCTCCAATAATTGTCAACAATTTGACAGACCAAGGAATCAATAAAAAGGATGTTGAATAATCTTCATTTATGTATTTATCTACTGATAGAGAAATAAATTCTAACAATCTCTCCATTTCTAGAAGTCATTTGCCATTTCACTGTACATTCTTCAAAGAAATTAATATGATGTTTTTGTAGCCATTATTAGTTGGTCTTAGGGCAAATGAAAAAACTGGCAACCATTACACAATCAGCCACCTTAGGAAAATATCTGGGCTATACTTTTCCCTACCACAGTTGGCAAATAACTTCTAAAAGTTGTTCATTAACGTGACACTGCTTTAAAATGATAAGAATAATACCATAAAAGATAAAATGACTCTATCTTCTCCCATAGTTTCATCCAATTACACAACCAGATGCTTATATATGTAGGGATGCATGTGTAACTTGATTTTTCTCTACTGCATATAGTTCTTGCAAAATAATTTTAAATGCAAAATATCTCTATTTAAAATAGTATCCAGTGTTAGATTTGTAACCACAGAGTTCTTTCACTATGCATTGTCTCAGACTTAGTATTGGTTGATATTCAAAGGAAGCAAAATGCAGAGAAGTGAAAATAAATTGTTTTACATACCTATCTGTGGGAAAAGAGAAAACACACAGCAACTTAGGCCTAACAAAACAAGAGCAGTGAGCTCTGCCAGTTCTCAAATTAAAATATGCAACCATTTTTCGAGTTAGAATTGTGCCTCAAAAGTAATACAGAATGTAGAAATGGTCCTTAGAAATGAATATTTTCTTATGTTCAAGCTTTGAATTTCTGGATGTGGGGAGGGAGTTGGGTATGTGGGAAGTTTGAAAAGAATAAACACTGGAAAAGTCCTCTAGTTAATAGAGGAAGGGACCCTCAAGGGATACCCCACAGGATTTTTCACTCCATAGAGTCTGAATGTTATATCAAGCAAAAAGAAAATTTTTAAAACTCAGAGGAAACAGAACATAGAAAGTATGTGGGAGATAGACACTGCACAGTTGAAATGAGAATTACAGAAAAACATATGTAAAATACCTCACACAGGGCCCACCTCTGAAGATGGTCAAGTGATAGTGGTCATTACTTGTATGCAAGCTTCAAGACAATGACTGGCAACTGATAATCATGAGGAAATGGCCTCTTTCCACACTGGTGAGCATTTTCATACCATCAAACTCATATCATTATTGGCAAGATGGCATACACATACTATAAAGGAAATACACATCCTGTTTAAGGACCCAGTCTCCCAAATACTCAGTAGTGGGTGAAATAAATCAGCAAGAATTATTTGACGCAAGAAACCATTAGTATGTGTTCACTATTCATTCCGAAAGAGCAGTGTACAGTCTTCAAGAGGGAAAAACAAGGTAGGTCAACATAGCAGCCAGGGCTTGAACATATCAAATATCTACACTGTGAATGAAATTCTGATTCACTAAGCCAGTTGGCATGTCAAGGAAATTCCTAGCCAGTTGATCTCAATGAACCCTCAAGTTTTGTTTGACTTAGAAGCAGCTCTATCTGAAAGAAATCATTTTCCTTTCAGCAACCCAACCTTCCTGGGAAGTTCAGCGTTTGACCATTCACTTAAGGCTTTTCACCTTGAGAACACTTATTAGTTGAAAATCTTCAGAGATATTTTCAAAAGACAACTCTCCTCAACTCCTCTCAGTGCACACCCAGGTCTTTGTGCACACACACATCTATCTCCCAATCGCTGATAAGTATCAACAGTCTCTCTTACCCACCACCAAGGAGGAACCACTTGGTTCTTTTCTGTAGAAGAATGTACAACACACCATACAGATGAAAGGCTTAGTGCAGCTGAAAACCCCCTAGATGAAAATTCAGGCAGTCTAGAAAAAGCTCTACTGAGTCAATAACAAGCTATGTGACTTTGAACAAGTACCTGAAATGCTCTAGATCTCACTGTGCCATCTACAACATGGGCAGGCCTGGAATGCACACAGATATGCATGTAAATACAGTTGACTTCTGAACTACACAGCTTTGAATTGCACAAGTCCACATTTGCATGGATTTTCTTTTGCCTCTGCCACCACTGAGACAGCAAGAGCAACCCCCCTTCTTCTTCTTCCTCCCCAGTCTACTCAATGTGAAGACAATGAGGATGAAGACCTTTAGGATGATCCACTTCCACTTAATGAATAGTAACTACATTTTCTCTTCCTTATAATTTTCTTAATAACATTGTCTTTTTTCTAGCTTACTTTACTGTAAGAATACAGAATATAATACACATAACATACCAAATATGTGTTAATTGACTATTTTATTGGTAAGACTTCTGGTCAACAGTAGGCTCTAAGTATAACAGTTAAGTTTTGGGGGAGTTAAAAGTTATACATAGATTTTCATACTTGGGGGGATGGTCAACACACCTATTGAGATGGGGCAGAGATCCTTCTTAGGGGCCTGCCAGGCCTTCCCAAGCATAGAAGTAAAGAAAAATCTTGAGTTCCTTCAACGGAAATTCCAGGCGCTGAGCTAGCCCTGATAAGTAAATGAGCAACTTGGTAAGTAAGAACATAGTAATAGCTTAAAACAATATCCAAGGAAGTTGGAGTCACAAGATGTCTGGCTCCTCTAGAAACTAAAGACAACATGTTAATATATATCCCTGAGCTGTTTTTCAGTAAAAGGGACCTTTACCAAATGGAACCTCTGGCCTATAGACCTCAGATAAGGGGGAAATGAGGACTGAACCCTGGCCACAGTTCCTGCTTCTAAATTTCTTCCTGAGGGCCCCAGAGGAAGTCATGCCCACAGGCCAGACCTTAACAGTCCTTTCTCCTGACTCCAAGTTTTTAGACAAAGCTTCACTTTCTTAACCAAACTCAAATTAGAGAGCCAGAATCCATCTAGGAGAGGGACCTGTAACCTCCCTCTCCTCTTGCTTCAAGATACCCACCTTTTTAGGCCAAACCAATGTATAACCTGCATGTGCTGACTTACGATCTGGCCTTTAACTTCTGCTTTTCTGAAACTTATCACTACCTTTAAAAACTCTTGCTTATAAGCCACTGAGGAGATCAGGTCTTAAGTGTGAGCTGACCAATTCTCCTTGCTTGGCTGCCTGCAAATAAACACTCTCCTTTCTCCCACTGCAAAGCCTTGGTGTGGATGTTTGGCTTTACTGCACCAGGAAAGCAAACGGTTCATTTACTGAACTGTCCGTTCAGTAACACTAACACCCATATTGTGCTAGGGTCAACTGTATACATGTGTACATGTCAGTAAGTATAATTCAGTTTTATCAAAGTATTACGGACCTCAATGTATTTTCTTCCCCCCTTAAAGCCCTACATTCCAGTAATTCAAGGCTTCCTACTCACAAGCCTCAGTGGCTTTTCCTCAGACATCCTCTTCTTCCACCTCTCCCTTTTCCTGAACTGCTTCCTCAATTTCCATGACATCCTGCTGCACTAGAGATCCTTCCACATCTCTGTTCAATCTTTTGTAAGCTCTCCCACTTCACCCTAGGTTCCAGCCTGCCCCTTTCATTTAATTCTCCATACTTCATCCTTAAACCTTCTCCTCTGTTGCTGTCACCAGGCAAACACCTCCCTATCCTGATCTCCTGCAATGATACCCACCCCTTGTGAATATACCAGCTTCCATTCTTTTGCTTTCAACAGACTTCCTACTCAGGGGTATTTAAAAACACTTTTATGTGATGAGTACTTTAAGACAGCTTAACACTTAGGCAACAGTCAATTAAATTCATTTGAGTGAGCACTTTATTTGCAGGAGTCAGTTAACTAACCAACAGATACTTTTGAGACTGCTATTTTAAGAACAAAATAAAATTGTGGGTTGTATTTAACCTTAAATGTTTGTTGAACTCTAATAGCACTTGCAATATATTTTTTAAGTTCCCCACATGCCTTCTTAGTCACCATGCAGCTTACAAAATATCCAATATGCGGAGTAATCAATGATCAAGGTTATAAGAACAAAATACACCAACAGTGTCTGCATCTTTTACTGATTCTCACATGCGTACTCTGATAAACTGTCAAGATTTAAATGGTATAAATGAAAAGCAATTCAAGATTTAGTCTGCTGCAATAGAGGGGATGATTTGAAATAAGTTTTTCTGTAAAAACATGGAGGATGTCAAGATTTATATGCAGGGATCAGTGACATCTCCATTCCACCAGTATCAATGCTATCAAATCATATTACACTGTGTACAAATACTACAGAAGAAATGACAGCCACTTGAGTTTATGGCAATTGCTTACTCGAAGTGCCACATCCAACACCACAAACTCACAAAGTTCCAAATCTGCTTTGAGATTAACTGCAGTCCAGAGGCATTCTTGATCATTTTCTCAGTGATTTTAAGAGTGGTGTTATTAAACCCACCAAATGGAAAATACTCCTCAATCATTTCAGGAAGAACTTGAAAAGTTTATTTTGCTTTCAAAGCATTCCTTAATCACTATTAAGGGAAGACTAGTACAGAAATTCATTCACATTTGCATGACATAGAATGGAAGAATGCTATGATTGAAAGCATTTGAAGATGTGTGTCAGCAGTCTTAGGCTGTATTTGCATACACTGCAACTATCACTGTGAAAACAAGCAGCCCAAATATGTGAATTTTGTGGGCATATGTTGTCCATGACTAAATCTACAATACTAAAGTAAGCCATTGTTCCTGTTTGGTGACCATGTCTTTTATCCTTCACTATAGTATTGATAATTTTTAAAAAATAATTTCATGAAGGTAATCTAAATTCTCTCATATAGTATGATCTGTAGTCTCAATTATAATAGGCTTAAGTGTATATTTATATGGACATAGGCCTCCACTGCCTTTCTAATTCCCTAAAGAGGAAAATATAAAGTTCAGGGGTCCATACATTACATATATTTGCATGTATAATTACACACACATGGAAACATATCTACATATATGTGCAAATATATATAATTACATATAATTTGTCACATGTAAATTAATCCAATTCTCCCTTACAAATCCTTATAACGTTTTACCACCATATCTAGAGAATAAGTTGACCTTTAAATTCTTTATGATGTCTTCACATCTTACTAAAGTGGACACTGCTTTTTCTATATATTTGTTCGTAAATATGTAAAACATTTCTCAAAAATGCTGAAACACAATACAAATTTCACATAATGTAAAATTACAACTAAAAATGTGAAACCTTTTAAAAGCTGATCTCATTTTCTTTTGCTGCCTTTCTACTTTCTAAACATGTCTTCCTCTTTCTGAGTATGTCTTTCTGTGAATGTCTCCTCAACTATTTGGAAAATTTCAACATTGCTTTTACAAAATTTCATATCATAAACAGTAATACTGCTGCAGTACATTTTGTGTCACTTTTGCTCCTTTTCCTAAAACAGAGATTATATTTGAAACTTTATAAATGAAGAAAAGACTCCAAGAATAAAATATTTTACCATATTGAACTTTTTCCAAAGCCCATTTGAAAGTCAGAAATTTTTAAACAACTATTCTTTTTGTCCTCAGTACTTGATGAGTAGCAGTCAATGAAAATGTTTTAGGAACAAAATTGAGGCATCACAGTAAAAATCTGTAAAAACTACAAAAAACCTCTTTCTTTTAAAAGTTAAAGATTTTAATCTGTAACTATTATTGATTATGGATTTTTGCTATATATTATCATGTAAATATTTGAAGCATGTTTGAACTTTGACATAAGAGCCTAAAAGTCTATTCCAATCTATTCATGTCTTTAAATAACATGTGTTTTACCTGACTACTCCATTTGGCCTCATTCCGCACTCATTTTCTTCTTTTAGAAAAGTCTCAAGCTACTTTTTTCTTAGGTTCCTCAGGTATCATGAAGAAATTATGTTTATGTAGAAAAGTGGTCTTCTAAGGAGATGAGTATTAAATTTTAGGAGTAATGCTTTTTATGACTTACTTTCAAATGGGTTAGCCAAAATAAGTAGACAGATAAAAAAAAAAGGAAAAAGCACACATTCACACACATATATACAGAAGAAATACAGTAAAATGGTACAATAGCTACATCTCAATAATACCTACAGATGTATTCATTCATTGTATTATTGTTTCAGCTTTTTTGGTGCTTGAGAATATCATAAAAAGAGGGAAAACAAAATAAAATAAACAAAAAGTTAGTTATATATACACTATTTTAAAAAAACTCTTCACTTACTTATTTCTCCAGAAAATAAAATAAAATTAACAAAAGAAAATACAACAAATGATTTGTAATAGTTGCTTTTGTATGTGTCAAAGACGATAATTTTTTTTCATTTTTTCTTTCTACTTTATTCTAAATTTCAAATTTTCCAAAATTAAAAAATAAAATTGTATCTATATTCAGTTTTGGTCCTTTAGATAAGTTATTTGCTAAAAGTAAAACATATGAAAATACCAGCACTTTTTAAATTTATATGCTCCTTTGTATGTGAGATCTCACCTCTTTAAGTTCCTTTGGAAAAAAAATGTCACAAATTAACATGCTCAAATTTGATGTTATATTCATAATACCAAAGCATAATATTACAGTAGATCTGTAATATCAGATGTCATTATATTTGCTATGGAAATAAAAATGGCTTACAAAAATAAGGGAAGGAATAAGAACCCAATTATCAGATTAGAGAATTTAAATTTTCCTTTTGGGAGGAAAAACATTTGTTTTTCTTTGCTACTGGTGGAGTTTTATTTCAACATCTAAAAATTATGTAAGCATATGACTCGAGTATACTTCTAACCTCAACTTAGAAAATATAGGATTTTTTTTTACCTCCTAAGCAGCCAATGAATGAAAGCAGGATCAACTGTTTCCATGGAAACATCATCTTTAATTGCCAAATGCAAGAGTAACTCTTGTCCAGTCTCTGATGAATAGAATGCTTTCTCTTCAGGTAAATCCTTTAATCTGTAAAATATATGTACAAAGAAGTTCGTTAAAAAAAAAAAAAAAAGCTGCTTTAAAAAAGAGATTTTCTTCTTTTCGTAAAAACTGTTTATCATTTGGAGACACTGAAAACCCTCAGATAAAACAAATCTGTTTTGATACAAAATAGAGGACGCTTGAAATGTAGATACTTAAAAAACATGTAACTCATAGGTAGATGGAAACGATCTTATAGAATTTGAAATGTTTACCAATATTAAAATATTAAATTTTAATATATTAATTATTAAAAATTTTGCTAGATAATTTCAAGAAAGAAAACATTAACCTAAAATTCTAACTTTTTCCATTTTCTCTAACGATAGCATTCTGGCAAAACTAACAGAGTCAAATAAGCAGATATCTTGAAGCACTAATTTTTGCAGTTTCTGAATTCCTAATAAAGCATGCAAATTATAGATAGCATTATCAATGTCCATCTTAGACCTATTTTTTTAGAAAACTGCAGAAAGCTCCCAATTATGTATGCTGTGTAAAACAGATTTTAAAATGCTAATGGTAGAAATGTTCAGTCTGAGAACCTTGCAAATGAAACCATTTTCTTTTTTGCTTTAATTTTCATAAACTTGAATATGTTGGTTGAGAGGAAATAAGTATGTGAAAGTCTTGTGTCATTTTGAGTGGCCACTTAAAACTAGTTAAGCTTCATGGTTAATGATCAAGTATGCGCGATACACAGACCTAAATCTCTGGACTCCTACAATTCAGTTGGTACCACACGGGGAATTAATGATTTTAAAGTTTGCTACTTTAGTAAGGAACGGGTACAACTCTCTGATTCAGCAGCTGCTACTGATTGAGCTGTTTTAGTTGTCACTGACCCAAAGAGAGAACTTGGCCTCCTGTAGACAGTGGTTCCCAACAATGGGTTCCTGACATGTGGCGTATGCAATCAGATATTATGTACGTCCCAAATAATAAGAACTCAAATAATAAAAATATGACAACTTGAAAAATATGTACTTAAAATAATATGTTAAGTCATCATTCCTATAATAATATTCTTAGGTGCCTGCAATCTAATATATATTCTTGGGTAGGTTGTAAGAGATGGAATTGCGGCTAGAATGCCTAGGCATCACTCCCTCTAGGTCCACTGGAATCTGAAACAAATGAAAATACAATTGAGAACTGCTGTTCTAAGAATTGCAGGTTAACAACTTACAGTAGTAACATTGACCTTTAACCTTCACTCAATATCCCCACTGCTGCAAACTGCATGTCTCAGTTTGGGTTCCACAACACAAATAAGACAAAATGAATTCAAGTGCAAGTAATTTACTTGGGAAGTGAAGGACAAAAACAGACAGGATGGAGAAGTAAGATAGGAAAAGGAAGGCAGCCTAGAAAGGGTGAAATATAAAGCCTTCTAACACCATGGGTGACTGGAAGTCCAGTTCCTATAGAACCAATGCCTAAGAGTCATCCAAGAGTCATCCCTGAGTTATTCTTGCAAAGGGGCAAGGCAGCACCAGTTCCCATAATAGTAGTAATTGCCCAGTACTTGTAACCTCCTACTAGGGCAGTAAATAACTCCAGAGGTGGAAAAAGGAAAAAAAAAAGGAAAGAAACATATATGCTAGCTATTAAAAGTGGTGTGTGCACTGGAGTGATGAAGGCAAGAGGATGAGTAGGGCACACGCAGTGTCTGCTACACTGTGCATAGAAAACAGGCTTTTTGAAGTTATTTTTAACAGCACCAGGTCCCACGTGATTGATGGCCAAAATTACTGAATAATTTAAATATACGAGGGAGAGACACACATTCCACCTCAATCAATCATTATACTGCTCAAGCCTTTCCAGTGGCTGATTTTCCCTGCTTGGACCAAAGGGTCTCAGGTATCTTGCCTTCCTTTCTTCCTTCCTTCCTTCTGCTCAATCAATGACATATCCTATGTCCACAATTATTTTCAATTACTAATTTAAATGATAACTGAAATCATTCTAGATTAGATTTAATTTATAACTGGCAGCCATAGTTTTTCTTCTAATCATGCATTTGAGGAAACCGTGGTCCAAAAATCAGGAGAAAGATGAAACACACACAAACATGCATACACATATAGATAGATAGATAAGAGTGGAAAACCAATAATGTTTTTTAAATTATCTAATAAAATACAATGCTAACTAGTCATAAAAGGCATGTGAAACATGAGATACATTAATCTGATACATATATATGTCTAAGACTCATGAGAAGCTAGGAAATGATAGTAACATGCACTAAAGTCTAGGGACAATGGGTAAGACTAGAACACTGCAAAGGCTTGAGGAGTACATTGATTGAACTGGTACTTCCTTCTTCACAGAAGTTATAGCTATCCAGTATATACACGAAATCTAACTTAGAAGGAATTCGGCAATAACAGAATAACAGACTTAAAAAGAATAGGTAGTTGGGAATTTCAGGAAAGGAAGGGGAAACTCTAGCAAACAATTGTGCAGTAACCTTGCCATTATCATCCTCATCTTTAATATCAAAAACTATTCAAATAAATATATGAAGCTCTGCCCTATGTCATTTGGAAAAAAATACATGGTCTGCATCCTAATATTGTAATGGGAAAAGAGAATATTATAAACTCTTATAAATAAGGAGTAAATTACTAGATTGATTGATAAATCTCTGAAGGTAGAACCACAGTTAACCCATCACTGGTTGCTCCAATGTTCCAAATACCCTTTCACAGGAGGCTTTCAAGCAATGTTTCTTGCTGAGCTTTAAGAACAATGAATGAGTCACTCAGGAGATTAAATCTTTGCACCGGACATCAAGTGAGTGAAAAGCATTTCTACTGGAACCAAAGGATAAGTCACAGCATGGGAACTGGCCACCATGTGAAAATTGTTTCAGGAAAGTGTATGAGAAGGCATAAAGAAGGTGATTGTTTTCAAAAAACGTTATCTTCCCAACAATCCATCCCCAAGATAACATGTACATTGGTTACATTTAAAACATATAAATGTGTTCCAAGAAGCTCTAAATTATTTTTGAAAACTCACTCATTCAGTAAAAATTTACTGAGTACCTCTTCGGTGCTGGGATTACAATTCTAGAGGGAGGTGGAGGTGGTGATGAGATTGTCAGGAGACTGATAATCCCCGTACTCATAGAGTTTATCAACTATTGCGAGTGACACCTTGTTTAAATGAGTATGGGGTATTTATAAATTGCCCACATGAAAGGTACAGTAGAGGGTAGACGTTTCTATGAAAGCCTAAATGAGAACAGTCCTCATCAGGAAGGTTAGGGAAAACTTCTCTGAGGAATTGGGGTACAGAGGAAGAAAAGAAGAGATGAAATAATGAGGTGTGTGTATGTGCTGCAGAGTGAGGGAAGGAAATTTTCCTAGTGTAGACAAGTACTTGGTATGGATTTATTAGGTGGCAGATAGGCTTGTGAGTAGCTAATGTCTGGACACCACTCCCCCATCAACTACTACTTATCTCCATGCTGTCCCAGGACCCCACCACACCTCTCTGGAGCCAACCAAAAGGCTCAGCAGAGGGCCTCCAGAATTCTGCTCTAGCCCATGTCACTTTGGATTGATCAGTATGCATGCCCTACTGCTGGTTAAATATTTTAACAATCACCTCTGGGCATAGGAAATAGAATATGCAAAGGCCCTGTGGCTTAGGTGCTCATGGTATGTTTTTGCTCTCGGGTTGCACAAACAGAAAGAAGACTAAAGAGATGAAATACACGTGGCAAAGCTCAGCGTGGTATGAAATGAGACTGCAGATGTATGGGGGTCAATCTTGTATGTCTGGCTAAGGGTATTAGTCGCAGAATAATACCCTTGAAAGGTTAACTGCAAGTTTAATCAGGGAGGTGAAATAATCATATTTGAAATAAACATTCAAATTAGAAATATTATAATCTGTGTCTGGCTTAACAAGATGAAAAGAGAACACATTTTGCAACATACCAATGTTACTCTCACCCACAAATTCGTAGAAATTAGAAACTAGAAAACAATAGACAAAGAATTTGATTTAAAAGAAAAGATATGTTAATATCATATAATATTCATTTATACGTACACACATGCATACACTGTAAAAGGTTTGAAGATAAAAAGAGATGTCATTCAGGAAGTTTTTTTTAAATTATGTTGCTTATTTTTAATCAATGTTAAAGTAGGACATTGGCTTTATAAATAATGAAGGTAATTAATACTATCACAATCTGACTTCTCAGCATTGCCATGTATCATCACGGAGAGAGGTGACATATTAAAGCTCTCCCCACTTCTGAAATCACAAAGCTAAAATAAATACAAAGGAAGCTACTGAAGCAAGACAAATACAAATCAAAATATCATCTGCTACAATAAGAATATTCTACTATTCACAGGAATGTTTTAAGCCAAAGAAAAAATAGATAACCTTTAGAATTTTCCGTGCTAATAGACATTTGCATTTAAGGGCTAAAGCTTAATATATTCACAACACGTTCTCATGGCAATCTTTAAATAGCCCCCAAATTTAATGCATATTGACAACTGTACTATCTATTCTTAATGTCAGCTGAGCTAAAAAATGCTAGACCTTGGACTCAAAACCAAAAATGCTCTAAATAGTTGTGCCTGGTTGCTCTAAAAGAAGGAAGAAACCATTTGTGGCTAGTCATATACTTTACAAAACTGCTACTAAGACTGCAGATATCATGAAATATTGATATGTATTTATTATTTTTAATGTATACAGACAACCTTGAATATCATCTTGGCAAATGCTGAGAGTTACATTTCTTTATGTGGAGAAAGTTTAGGTGTGAGAATGATTTGGCAACATTTCTTTCAGATAACATGTACCTAACAAACATTTTCTTTCTCAAAGAGAAAAACCCTACAGCAATTTTAACTGTAAGGATTGCTTAATACACCACCCTCTCTTGCATCTACAAAAAGTCATCTCCAATTTCGATACTTCAGAAATGAATTATATTTATGAATATATATTATTCCTAATCTTCACCAAAAAAAAACTTGAGCAGCTTACCGACATTTATTATAGTAAAATATTCAATTATTAGTGGATAAAAGTTTGATACCTTTGGGTGTTGTACTGTGAATCTTCTAGAACTTACATTAACTCACTCTCATGGTATGCAACCACACTAGCATGGTAGTCAACTAGTTAATGAGTATACTGGCTTGTTGAGACTGTGTATCCTGTCAGATCAGAAATCATGCATCACATAACTGATTTGTTCATTCATAGTCACTCACTCATTCACTCATCCATAATCTTCACATCTTCCAGAGATGTAGTTCATCCATTCTGCATGCTGACCCTGCCTCCCTCCTGCCGAAAACTGGCCAGATAGGTAATCAAAGTTACATGAACTCTGGGCTCCAAATCCAAAATTCTTAAACAGCTCACCCATCTTTCCTGCACTTCACAAGTGTTCAGCAGCAAAGAAGGAAGGATATCATGTGCCCAGTTTGATGTTACCTTCCATACCCACAGTTCTGTGTTGACCACAGAACAATGGACAAACAGGGTGAATGCCGGCTGGAAGTCATCCCATGCTCCCATGAACACCTACAGCACTTTATATTCTCTCCCTTGACCCTCAACACTTCTAACACCTTCTATTGTATTATTTAGATTATGGCTTCTCTCTCCTACTAGATAATAATCTTCAAAAAATAGTGATTTGTAACCTTTCATAGGTTAAGGTCCCTTTTTAGAATCAGCCAAAACTATGAATGCATCTATCTCTGCAGTCCAAATGCACATAGACAGACATAAGCTAACTTGTGTGTACTCTATGCTTTATTACACTGAAAAATAATTTCTTTTACATAGGAATCATATGTATATATGTGTATACCTATATAGATATGTGTGTTCATGTATGTATATTCAAATATTTCTTGCTTATTTTTCATGCATAAATTAATGAAAATTTTATGAAAATGGAAATAAATCTAAACTATACAAATTGAAGAAAAGGAAAATCCTGTTCAAAGAAACAAATATTCCTGAGGTTACTGTTGAAAAATTTGACAAATAAGTTTAAATAATGAGATTGTTTTTTATATGGTGAGGTATGTCATCTCTGACATTCTGTTAATTTTTGCTTCTGGTCTTCTAGCAATCACTGGACAAAAGTAGTAGCAAACAGAATCAGAGTTCTTGTTGTATGTATATTGCAGTAGATGGGGCGGCAATACAAAAATATTGCCAGAACATTCTGAGATGCTATGTGTTGGTTTCAGAGCTTCTTTCAATTTGTCCTCAACTCAAAGAGATCTTCTCTGGCAAGACCAACATCACTGATGCTATGCCAGAAAAAAATTACAAAGCTGTTTTTCAATTGATTCCACTAGTTTCAACTAAGTGCAAGCTAAAGGGACAAGACACAGTTACCTAATCATGCCAACCGACATGCTTCAAAATGTTAGATAACATGTCAACACTTTTTAAGTATACTTTACAAAGGGTTTGCTTCAATGCTCTTGCTTTGCTTTAAACCTCAAATTAACTTGGCCAATTCCACGTCACACTGCTTTACAAGCCTCTCCGCAATTATGGATGACTATTTGTACTTGACATGCAATAATGTCGCTTGTAGCATGTTTCAAGACAAGCTTTTTGTTTAAGAGCAAGTCTGAGTTTCAACAGTGTTGCAGGATTTTGAAAGCAAGTCTTCATCCCTGAAGGAGAACAGCACTGTCTAATGCTTTTCCAAGGTAGCCAAATCTAAGGTGCTTTTTTGGAACATTTTTTAAGTGTCATTATTTTCCTAAAAATAACCTTTACACATAAAAGGAACTTAGACTTTAGGGTCTTACTACATATAATAATGAAAGGAAAACTAAATGATAAGCAAATTCCATGATCTCTTCTTTTCCAAGACATCTTCCAAGTTAAACATGAAACAAAATGAACAAAGACAAATTTAAATAATTATAAAGGGTATGTAGATTTTCCTTCCCTTTGATTCAATGGAAAATTATTCCAGACCTCCTTGTACGATAATGAAGAATGTACCTTTCCTAAGTCTACATAACATTCCTTGCCACCATATATTTACTTAGGATTTAAAAATAGCTTTATAATATAATATAATATGAATGTTTTTCTGCAAAGACAATTTTGCAATACCAGGAAGGAAACTAAATAGTAATGTAATAATACTAACTTTTATGGAGTGCCCATTATGTGCCAGGCACATTTACCAACTGGAAAATGTAGTGGCAACTCTAAGAATCAATTTTGTTTTAGCTTGACATGTATGTAGGTGCCATAAATTCACTTTTAGAATTAACCCACTATAATCCTCACAACCACTCATGGGGATCTTTCTGTTATCACCCCCCATTTTTCAGATAAAGAAATAGAGACACAGGTGGGTGAACAAATCTGTCAAAGAGAAATAAAGATAGAAACTGTGTACTTACAACCTATTTTCCCCACACAATAGATACCAATGGAATGCTTAAGTAATCAGATCATTAGAGAGCCATGAAGTATAACCTGATATTTTATGTATTTTCAAAGGTCTGTATTAATATAACCGGCAATTGAAAGTTTAATTTCAGTTACTTCCTCCGTAAAGGGAAAGGACTTGACTATTAACATAAAAATTCCACTGCTTGATTTCAAGCACATGCACTGCAGTAATGCACCATCCCTATAATAGGCACGAATGTAGAAGAATGCAGCAACTCTCTTTGGGATGAAATGAAAATACTTCAAAGACACAGTAAACCACAAACATAAGGTGCAAAACACTGTGTGAAAAAGAAATATGGGTATTTTTGTCTCCATATTTGCTGTTTATAGTATATATATATACAGCACATATATTTATAACTATACAAAATAGTTCTTGAATGATATATGAGACCTGTTAAAAGCAGCTAACTCTGGGGAGGAAAACTGTGGGGTCAGGAAGAGAATAGAAAGATAAAAATTTTCAATATACAGTCTCTCAAAAATTTTAAATATTCTTCAGTGTACATATATCTATTATCCAAAGCATTAATAAACTTTTCCAATGGATTAACAATAGAAAAGTAATGTATCTTCCACGTTAAAATATTTCAAACAGTACAGAGCTCAACACGTGGCACTGAAATTTTGTTTGCATAGTCACTACCTCAGCTGCCTGGGTCACGTGTTTAGAAACTTTACCAACTGGAAAATGTAGTGGCAACTCTAAGAATCAATTTTGTTTTAGCTTGACATGTATGTAGGTGCCATAAATTCACTTTTAGAATTAAAATGTTTTTATATAGTTATCAAAATAATTTACTTATTATTTGAGTGGTTCCTCAGTCTCATTCTGAAGGTTTTCTGAAACTACTGAGAGGTTACCACTAAGGACAATGTCCCAGTAATCTGCCACAAAAATTTGTAAAATCATTTATTACACTAGTGTTCACAGTGGTATAAATTATGAAATGAAACATTTTTAAAAGAAAAAAAAACAATTTATTCCTAAAATGATAAAATGTGAAAAATCTGTAAACAATATTTTTTTGGGAGTTGAATAGAAAAAGGTAAATGAAATGAAAAGTCCTAAAGAGAACTTTTTGGCTTAAATAGAAAGAGTTTCAACATTGAGTTCTAACTGTGCACACTAGCCCAGACCATTCTGTTCCTCACCTCATAATCATGGAAGGAGAGTGATCTTGGGGAAAAACTCAAATTCACTGAGTAGAAAAAGGTAAATGAAATCAAAAGTGCTAACGAGAACTTTTTGGCTGAAATAGAGTTTCAACACTGAGTTCTAACTGTGCACACTAGCCCAGACCATTCTGTTCCTCACCTCATAATCATGGAAGGAGAGTGATCTTGGGGAAAAACTCAAATTCACTGCATGCCTGCAGCATGTCAGGTATAAGCACAGAGAAAGAATATTTTAAAATAAATTCATGTCTTCAAGGCACTGACACTCTCAAGTAGCACACTGACCATAAATATAATTATACTACATTTTAATAAGAGATTCTAGACTGGAAGACAGAGGTCTGTAACAGGATGCTCATGCGAAGTTTCCTGGACCACCAATACTCAGCAGGTATTACATCCCAAAGGGAGGTGCCAGAAAGAAGTGCAAACATTTAAAGGAGATCCTGCAAAACCATTTGCCTGGTTCTCACAGCTCACTCACATCAGAGTTGTCCAGAGACTGAGTAGAGGATTTGAGAAAGGGGTGACTTTGGAAAGAACTCTTCCTCACAGAGAGGAAGGCAGGTACTCCTTTTTAAGTTGCACTTTAAGGTTACACATCAAGGAGACCACAGAGAGCTGCCTTTGGAGGGATGCAGTGGTCTGGGATGATACTAAATGAGACCACTAAATGAGAATGAGAGCACGCTGGAGCCAAATAGTGGGTTGCAACTGGTGAAGGAAAGGGATTCTCAGAGATGTTAGGGGCACAGAATACATGACGTTTCCTGTGCGCCAGACACACAGGGGTGAGTGCCTGTGGAATGTGGTTATTATATATCCTGGGATGGAGAACCCCCTTCTGGGGAAAAGAGACCTCACAGAGGAAAGCTAGGGTATCTCTGGACTTGTGGGGGCTGAGAAAGAAGGAAGTGGCTAGCTGGGGTGGGGAAGAGGGAGAGTGCAGCACTACATTCAGGGAACTGAGGGGGAAATATCCCCAGTGTTTTGGAATCTCAAGTGAACCCATGGAAGAACCACTGGAAGAAAACGCCAGTTCTGCACTTCTAGCAAGTCCAAAGTGACATGACGCTAAGCCACTGCAACAGGATCCATCAAGTTGAACTTGCTGGTCTCCTTTCTTCTCTTCCGGGCAAAATACTTAGCAGAATTGGAATTACCGAGTTAGGAGGAAGCAGTGTAGGTGAGCTAGGTGAGAAAAGAAGCCAAAACATTATTTCTTTAACTGTAGACCTTCGCTCCACACCAGATTAGCACCAGGGAGGGAGATTAGTTTTCCCTTTAAATCAAGTTTTACCTTTTAACTATTACATAAGACAGGACGTTTTAATTTTTTTGCTTGAAATTGTATCCCTTACCTAAGCATTATCAGAAGTGGAGTGGGTGGGGCTACCTGAGTTTTCATCTGCAGCAGGAAAGGAGCTAAGAGAAGAACTCCCATAACAGGCAGGAAAGACTAGAAAGCTGACTTAGGGTTACATCTCATGAGTGGTGCTTCTTCCATGTACAGTTATAGACAGGAAGTACAACCAACAATTAGAAAACGGGGGATATCACAGCACCATCCTAGAACAGGTAGCATCTGAGGTAATTCTTAGAGAAAAAGGTCGGCTTACCTAGGAGATAAGGAAAGAGATAAACACAGGGACACAGAACAGTGGAAAATCTAGACCAGATAGGTGATTCATGAGAGTGAGAGAAATGACTCGGGGAAAGCCCACAAAGCACTGGGCCGAGGGAGAAGGTTAGAGAAACCCAACGGTTAAGGGTGTGAGCAGAGGAAGATGAACTCCCTTCTGAAGAAGACAAAAGGAACATTCTGAGAGTCCCAGTATGACTCACATGTGGACTGTGTTAGGAAAGCTAAGGGTGCAGAGTGTTCAGTTCTGCAAGAGAGTGACAACATTCAAACAGATAGATGTCCTGGGGCTGGGAGTGGGATGGGGCATAACTGCAAATGGGCATGAAGGTTCCTTCTAGTATGATGGAAACATTCCAAAACAGGATGTTGTGATGGTCGACCATCAAAGTTACTAAGGCACTGAATTGTACACTAATAAGAGTGAATTTAATGGCATGTAAACTTTACCTCAATAAATGTTTTAAGTCATAAAGAAACAGAAAAAACAGGAGAAGGAGGGATAAAGAGAGGGAGAGAGGAAAGAGGAAGGAAGGAGAGAAAATTAATTTGCTAAATAAATGCTTTTCGTGATGTTATCAAGCCCAGATTCAGTGGAGTCTTTGGGAAGGATCAGCCACATAGTGGTGGGTAGATGTGTGAATAATGGGTGAAGAACCAGAGAAACAGAAAGAATCAGCTATTCTTTCAATAAGTGAGAATGAGAGAGATGGGATCATGGCTAGAAATGGGTAGAGGGTAAAGAGACAGCCATGATTAATGGTTTTCAGTTGGAAAATTCCTGAGCATACAGTAGACCCCCTTATCTGTGGGGCATACATTCCAAGACCCCCTGGTGGATGCTTGAAACTGCAGATAGTACCAAACCTTATGTATACTTTATTCTTTCCTATATATACATACCTATGATAAAGTTTAATTTAGAAATAAGACAGAGATGAACAACAATAATCAAATAGAACAATTATAGAAATCCACTGTAATAAAAATAAAACAAGGGTGATTTGAACACAACACTGCAATATGGCAACAGTTGACTTGATCATTGAGATGACTCCTAAGTGACTCACAGGTGGGGAGCGTCCACAGCGTGGGTCCCCTGGATAAAGAAAGGATTCAATTCCTCAGCCAGGAAATAGCAGAATGGTGTGAGATTTCATCACACTGCTCGGAATGGAATGCAATCTAAAACTTATGAATTGTTCATTTCTGGAATTTTCCATTTAATATTTTTGGACTACAGCTGACGTTGGGTAACTGAAACCACAGAAAATGATACCTTAGATAAGGGGGGACTACTGTATTCATAAAGTGAGAAGGAAAATTCAAAATGCAAGAAGAAAAAGGTCTGATTTTTCTAGAGGGAAGAGTCTTCTCAGGATTAACTTGCATGATAATGATTCCACCTTAGCCAAAATCACATAAGCAAAGTCAAAAGTATGCTGAAAAGGGAATAGAAGTGATGAACCCTATCCCATGGCCAAAACAGAAAAGCTGGCTCTGGGATGGAGGCATTTTCTGGAGAACCATCAGGCTCGTCTTGGAGGCTCCTTATCAGTGTCTCCAAGAGGTCACAGAAATGATGATGCCTGGCCAGTGCCAGATGCTCAGCATGTCCTATGTGCCTGTGGTTGTATTTTCATATTCATAGGTAAATTAATTTAGAAACCATAGTTTGATTTTATAGAGTCACTCCATTTTGAGGAGCTCTGGAAACCAACTGCGTACTACCACCACACTTCCTTCTCTTAACTCTGAAACTACTCAGGGAGCTCTCTTAGGCTAAACATACAAGCAAACATGCTCAAAGCACTCAGACACATTTAGGAGCACTAATAACTAAACATAATACTAATGCAGCACTTCAGAGGATCACTTCACTCCCCAAGATATCCAAACCACAATTCTGGCACTATGGGTGGTAGGTAGATAATAATGGCAAACACTCAGATTGAACATGTGCCAGGCAATACTCTAACTGCTTTTATAAATATGCACACATGTTATGTCATTTACTACCACCACCCCCATGTTACAGATGAAATAACTGAGGTAGAAAAACATTAACCAACATTCCCAATTTCATACAGATGCCTGAATCTAGTATTTCCTAGTCAATCCCTGGGTATTATTATTTGGCTTAATCTGTTTCAGGTTTACCCTAAGGCTTGGGAAGAAAGTGATCCTCTGAAGCTTTGTATTTTTGTTCAAAGCCTAGAGAGGCATAAATGCAAAAATGAGGTAATATTTTTGAGCTCTAGTGCAGAGATTCTCCATTGAGAGTGACCTGGGCTCCCAGCAGACACTCAACAATATCTGAGGATGTTTTGGGTAGCCACTTGCTGGGGAGGGATACAGATGAGCTACTGGCACCTAGGGGTTAGGGTTTAGTGATACCACTAAATACTCTGCCATACCACAGGACAGCCACCCACTGCAAACAATTATCCAGCCCAAATGACAATCATGTCAAGGTGAGAATCCCAACTTCAGAGCAGCTTAGCATCATCAGAAGACTGGAGAATCAGCTACCATCCAGCCTGGCTACTTTCTGTTCGGAACTTTACCAAAGAAAGGACACACTTCATCCTTCACATGTTCTGCTCTCATACAACCAGGAGTCTTCTGGGAAAACAGGATCTAAGAGCTTGGTGCACTTCTTAAAACTGACCTTTTTACCATGTGAAATTCCAAACAAATTAAAAGTAAACAGAATAGCATGAGCCCCTTATGCCCATCACCCAACTTAAAAAAATCAATATTAATATTTTGCTATTCTTGTTTTGTCTACAGCGCCACTCACCCTCTCATATCCCCACTTTATTATTTTTTTTCATTATTTGCACACAGGTTTTATGTAATTTGCTTACATCAAAATGTAAAAATCTTATCTGTACCATTTTTTAAACATGGAATCTTAAAGAACTATTTTTATTGTAAAATACAGCAAAGATCTTTCCATTTTATGTTAAGCTTCTAAGTCAGTGTTTCTCAAACTGTAGGTTGTGTTTAAGATGCTGTATGTAGAGTTTTTGTTTGTCTTAAACAAATGAAGTAGAATAGAACAGAAACTATTCAGATATACTGAATTTAATGAGTTAGCACTGCTTTGTAAAATGATGCTATAGAAGTGCAATGTACTGTTAAGTATTGAGCCCTAAAATAACTTGTGTTTCTTACTAAGAGAACATTTTTAAATGTATAAGAGGCAGAATGACTTACAGTTAAGTATGATATATACATATGTAGTCTTGGGCGAGTTATTAGATTGGTGCAAAAGTAATTGCGGTTTTTGCCATTGACCATAATGGCAAAAACAACAGTTACTTTTGCACCAACCTAAATACTTAAACCTCTTTAGACTTTAAATTTTACAACAGTAAAATGGGAATGGTATGCACATAAATTGGTTATAAGAATTAAGACTGTGATTACATGCTGAGCTGGTATTTGAGTTGTGATGGTTACTGCTATGATTTCAAAAAAATTAAATATAATTGACACCTTGTCTGGAGATAAAGTCTTAAATAAAGCATGGACTCAAACCTAGGTCTCTAACTCATTTTGAAGAGACAAACGCTGCTTACATCTTTTTGTTTAAACACTTGTTCAGCTTACCTGTGTTTTTAAAATTTGCTTTATCACAGCAAATTGAGTGATTTTGACACCTTTTTGAAATGCTAATCATGGCTATGAATAGTTATCTGCTTAGAATTCACACCTATTAGGGGCTGTATCTAGGTGTATAAAACATTCACTCTATCAACACAGAAGTGTAAATCTAAATTGGGGCAAACTGTGATAGCAGCTTGAATTTACACCCACAGTATCAACTTCAGCTGAGGAAAGATGGGAGAAGTACTCCCAAACTCATGCAGCAACAAGCCACCATTTGTTTTTATACAAATAGCAATGATTCACGATGATAGCATAAAACACAATGGGAGGGAGAGAGAGGGAAAGACACAAACTGACTGCCTGTATGTAATGATCTGCAGATACCCCTGAGTCTGATAGGCCAGATACAAAAGCATATGGAGGGTGGAGACTGAGAACAGGAGTGTGTGAGCACATCCAACTCAGCCTTGAGGGCTGTCAATGCGATACAATGCGAGCCTGGGGCTGCCAGACAGCCTGATTGTGAACTGCCAGACTGACTGTGAACTCTTTATTTCAGAAGACCCTGGACTTCCAGAGTTTTCTAATGAGATCTTTCAGTTTTTATTTTTGTAATATATTTTTTGATCTCCCAATTTTTAACCTTAGCAAGCCACGTTTTGAAGTCGAAAATCACAACTTCAAGACATTCGTGACGACCAAACCAAATATATCTGCAACTCAGCTGCAGCCCGTCTTGAAACCTCTAACCAAAATGTATTTTCCCATCTAAAATTCTAAAACCTAGGGTTGGTCACTCCATTGCTCCAGAAGAAATATGCAACACTACGTATTAGAAACAATTCAATATTTTCCTCTATTCAGGAATAAAATTTTTTAAAAAAATTTCTTACTCTTTTTACTGAAAGAAGTGGGACACTGAGAGACAGGACGCATCTCTTTCACTTTTCAGAAAAAGACATCTCTGTTATGTAAGAAGGTATTACATTTTATTTACGGAGATGGTCCTCATTCATCCCTGAATGAGCTCCCCTGTAAGAACCAAAACTTTGCAACAAATGTTCAGAGGGTCCCAAAAACGGTGCCAGATTGGAGATCTCCTTAGCCCTGTGTCAACAGGATGCCGTAGGCCACAGAAGCCTCCCCTCAGTACCTCAGTACCATACAGATATTAACCTTTTCTAATTGTACCCTATACTAAATATTAGGAAGGTATTTGTAACTACTAGCAGGAAAAGTTTGAGGACCTTAATGAAAACACTAAAGTGAAACTGAGAGTTGACACATTTCAGATCACACAATAGTAATCAATGTGGTTTCATTTCCCCCACTTCCCAAGACAGATTTAGGAGACAAAATTGAATTTACTAAAAAGCAACAGTAGAGATCCAACTCTGAATACCAGACCAGTGTTGTTTCTTCGGTACCTAGAACTCTGCCTGGACGAATACATTTGTAATAAATATGCTCCTGGAATGAACTTGGCAATTTCTGGTTTGTTCAGAGCATGGACTCCACTTACTTCCTGCTTACTTAGACCCTCCGATAAGGTACTACCATGTGGACATTTGGAGACATTTTATTTTGTAGGAGCAGAACAAGTTCCCTTCACCAAGCCTATTATTTCAGAGTAACAAAAACAAGTGGAAGTTTTCACAAACACATATTCCAATTTTCTCAAGGTACTTAGAATCTGAGGATATTAAAGAACCAGGTAGGCCTTATAAATCAGAGCAGAGTGCCAGAGGGGTGGTGGCACTGAGCTGCCAGGTGCCTACCCACTCACTAAAGAGGGACGGCTACTTCTCCGTTTTAGACAATTATTGCAAACCTGTCATACTTTCATTTAAAACACACACACACACACAGCTGGCCTAACAAAACTTGCCTGTAGACAAGATGTGTCCTGAGACCAGGAGTTTGAGGCCTCTGAATACATACTCTTATGGAGGAGGAACAATAGTACAATAGATAACATTAATAACAACAAGAAACTATTAAGAGATTCCCCTTCAAAGAAAAATATGCTCTGCTGTGCTCACTTTCCACCTAGCCATTTCCACGTGCATCCTCACAAGTACCCAAAAGCCAAAAGCCTATCATGGTGCCCAGGCCATAGCAGACACTCAAAACAATATGTGTTGAATTAATGAACATCAGATTTAGGGAAGTAGTCGCCACGCTTGGCTCCATATCAGACCATGTGGGGGAACTATGTAAAAACAGAGATCCCCTGGTCCACTGAATCATAATTTCCAGGCACCAGGCCCAGAATTTGTATTTTTAAAAAACTTTCCAAAGTAATTCTGCTGCAGGGTTGTCAATGCATTTGGGAACCACTAGCTAGGACACAAGGAGCTTCCAAATTCCAGTCCTAACTGTCAATAACAAGACTCAATGGCATCTTTGCCTCGGTTGTTGTTTAACCATTTTTAACTTGGTTTTATTTTCCCTGAAATCTCCCCCTTTTGCCACCTCTGTGACTCCTTGCAGTAGGGAAGGCAGAGGAAGGATGGAACAAAACTTCATGTTGTTCCCCAAATGAGCTGTTTTCCGAAAGCACAAGTAGTTTCCAAAAAATCACTGAGACTATTCAACAAAAGCCTCAGCAAGAAGTACATTAACAGAGAAGGGAGGATTTCCTTCAAAACCAATATTTCCCAGAGATGGAGGGATGGAGGTCTACAGGGGAATGGCAAAATTGAAGAGAAGAATGGTAACCCAGAGCTTGCAAGGAGATGGATCTACAAGAGATTCCAAGACCCAGAAACAGAGAAGGGCAGCCCGAGGGGAAGGGACGGTGGACAGAGACAACCTAGATAGATGGATGAATGAATGACCCATGGCCCATCCTTCTAAGTCTTGCTCATCACACATTTCTTAATTCATAAGCTCTGCAATGACTCAGAAATGTGACAGGATACCTGGGGAAGCAGGATGAGAGTTTGCCCACCAACAAAAAAAAAGCTGAGTTATAGAAATACAGGAGGCACAATTTCTTGTGTCATCTGAGCTGATGAGTTGCATTTGAGATCCCTAACACCCAACTACAGTGAGGCTTTTTATATAAACTTGGGGTGGGTGTTGATACTTAGTTGAAAGGATTTTGTGCAGATTAATTAGTAACTGTTTGTGAAACACTTTGTTGGGTGCAATAAGAATGTTCTTTATTTTGGTTACATAATCCACTAATTTTACAGTTTTAAAGCAGAGTGATCAAGGTTTTATCACAAGCTAAGAAAGCCGAGAACACTGAACTTCAGTTAAAATTCTCTCCCTGTGTATGCCTCCTGAGCCCAATTATTTGCAGGGTCAGAGATCTATTATTTTACTTAGCAAAACGGGTGCTTTGAGACATATTTTCAAGGAACAACAAAAAGGATGGATTCCAACGTATCCTACTAAAAGTCTTTCTGTTTAATGTTCATTTTGGAGATGCTCTATTTTATTGGAGCATGTGTATTTGAATAAATAAAGGTTGTTATCATTTGAGCATTTTGAAAACATACATATTTTATGCTATCAAGGATATAAAGGATGTATGGACATCCAGACCTTTGGTAGGTGGTGCTTTTCTGTGAAGTAAGCTTCCCTAAGGCAGTAGTGGAGGACAGAAATCAAAAACAAAGCTGCTGTTTTTATAGAGACTCGTAACTGAAAGCCAAGAAATTGCTGAAGATCTGTAGCCACAACCCAACCCTTGCATTCACTAGATTCCAGGTTGATATTTAGCCCAGGTGTACACAGCTCAGCTGTGCCAATTATGCACAGCTGTTGCCCATTTTAACTGGGCAGTACCATGGTCTTTCAAAAACATATTAAATGTCACCCTTCTCACATTAAAAAAAAATACTTCAGTTGATTTTTCACCTTAAAAAGGACCATCTAAATGGTCTTTTTCTAATATTTTAAAAAGAAAGCCTCCCATTAATTTCGATATATGCTAAGATATTTTCTTTCCACCCTATGGTCTCCCACAGACCTGGATCTGATCATCAATAAACACATATCTAGCACAGGATAGATGAAGACACTGAGATCCAACAATTTAATGTGCCATTTTAAGCAGGACTGTCACTTAGGGACATCAGGGTTCAATTTATTAAAAGTATTTAGTACTGAATATTGGTGCTAAGAAATGTTTCTTTTTTAAGTATTAAAAGTCAAATGCTGATGGTAATTCATGTCATTTACTGACTATCTTGTGCCCATTGATGAGGGTGTTTAATCTTTCCACCAGCCATATGAGGGAAGTACTATGACTATTCCCATTTACAAAGAAGGAAACTAAGGCTTAGGGCAATAAAGTGATTTGCCCACCATCACCAAGCTTCTAGAGTCTACTCCAGTGGAATCTTAGAATTTGAGCTGCTATGTTTCCACCTCCTGAAATAGCCACGTGACTCCTTCACCAGTTGAAAACACCAGTTTCTTCTGGGATGAAAAAAAAAATTAATACGTCATCATCCAGGCAGTCCCTACATAGATATCTGTAGATGGGATTCCGGTGCTGCTTTTCTGTTAAGTGCTGGTTATCCTTCTTTCCTATTTTCACATTTGAGCTTACTGACACATACTTTGCTCCATTAAGGCTCTAAGAAGTGGATAGAGTGGGTGGGTAAAGAACTAGGATTAGAAATGAGGAGGAAAAAAGAATGTGCAGTTACAATGAAAAGACCCTTAATACAGTCCAAACGTACAGGCTTTATTTCCCATTTCCACATTGTATTTGTTCGGAAAGGAGGTTCCATTTGCTATGAAGAGGTGACAGAAGGACCCAGCAGAGAGCCTTCCAGAACTGCACACATAAAATCCAGACCTGTATGACCCGCCATGAAGCACATTCTATTATGGAAGCTTGCCTTCTACAAGGTTACCACTCCAGGGGACAATGTTTCTAAGAACTGGGAAAGTGCACAGTTAGCAAAACACGTCCCTTCTTGAGGGCTGGCAGCCATCCATGTTTGAAGAAGTATATAGCTGAAATAGAAAGCTGGCTGCTCTGTGAGCTTCCTAATTCTCTGATTTCTATTTGTGTGTATACATATACCCAAGATTTTCTTCATGGATTCCCTCTCATTTCTCTTCAATAAAAGTAGTGGGGGCATGTGGAGAAGTGTGAATAGGTGTAAGGAACAGTTTTAGATTCTAAAGTTTAGGGGATTTCCTTTGCATAGTGCTTAACGGTTAATATTTCTTTCCACACCACAAGTTGATATGAACATTGATTTGGTTATAAACAATGAATTGGTCTGATTTGGGCACTTAGAATATGTCTTCTTTGTTTTTTCTTTATGTATATCCTGTTCCTCCAAGCAGATGGTAAGCACCTTAGTTAACAACAGTCAGTGAAGTTTGTTGAATATTTACTTACTATACGTCAGCATCTACACAAAGTGCTTTATATGTATTAATCTTCACACTAACAGGGTAAGTACTACTGGTATACCAATTGTCAGATGAGGAATTTGAATTTGAGCAATCAAGCAATTTGCACACGGCTAAGTGACATATTGGTAGAAGGTCCCCAAAGCTCTACCTCTCTACTTCTCTACACTGCCTCCTACCTGCCAAAAACTTTCTTCTGCTTCTCTTTTTCCAAACTACATACCTCATCCCTAATTCAACAAGTATGCAAAAAATAAATTAGAAAGCCAAGTGTTCCTATTTAATCAATACTAATAAGTAATCATTCATTCTAGTTTATATGTGCATATATACACAGGCAGTATATTTAATTTCTATGTTTGCAATCATAAGAGTGCTATGTAGCCTATTTCTTCTATCAAAATACTTTAAATTTATTGCTTTAATTTAGTAATACAAAACCACTGCATAAAATATAGAAAACCAAAAAGAGTAACATCAAATATTACTGAAAATCTCACACTCTAGGTAAAACTAATAGCAGGAAGTAAAAAGTTACAGGGTATCAAGTGTTCATGAGTCAGTGAAACAAAAGGAACTCTCATATCCTGACTGTAGGAGTGTAAGTCCATACTAACCATGTTGGAAAACATCGTGCCATCGCCATTTTCATGCTGAAATGGCATAGCAATTCCATTTCAAGCTGAAGGCATAGCAGTTACTCTCCTTGACACCCATATGAGAGAAACTCTTGCCCTTTTACACTACTCAACATGCACAAAAATGATCATAGCAGCATCATAGCTAATAGCAAAAACATAAACCGATGTCCTTCAATAAGTGGGCAGATAAATGAACTGTGGTAGATTCAGTCAATGGACTACCACATAGCAGAAAGAATCAATGAAGTACAGGTTTACACATCTACCTATTCAAAACTCAAAAACATATCAAATTGAAAAAGTACACTGCAGAAGAATAGAGTATATTATTTATATAAAATACAAAAATATAAAACTTAACAATTGTAGAGTTACATGAATACATAGTAAAACTAAAGGAAAAGCAAGAAAATAATAAATGTAAAATCCAAACAGTAGTGACCCTAAAGGCAAGGAAAGAGCCTCAAATAGGGAGGAACATAAATTAGGGTTCAAAGTCACAGACAATGTCCTATTAAGCTATGTGCTGGGGTCATGAGAGTTTATTTTATTGTTCATTATAAGTTACATACATGTATCATATATTCTTTTGTATGAAAAAATGTTTCACTATAAAAGAAAATAGCATTTTTTTTCTGAACTCTATAAAGCTGTAGATTAGAACAAAGAGTTCAGGTAGAATACAATGGAAAATTGTTTGTATCTCACAAATTGGTTTTCAACTCTCACTGCTTGTTTGTAGCTTTCAGAAAAACTGTGTTTAAACATGTAGTATGGACTGGGTGCAGTGGCTCATACTTGTAACACCAGCACTTGGGAAGCCAAGGCAGGAGGATTGCTTGTGGCCAGGAGTTTGAGACTAGCCTGGACAACATAGCAAGACTCTGTCTCTGAAAAAAAAATTAAAAATTAGCCAGGCATGGTGGTGCCCACCTACAGTCCCAGCTATTTGGGAGGCTGAAGCAGGAGGATTACTTGAGCCCAGGGAGTAAAAGGTTGCAGTGAGCTCATTGCACCACTGCACTCTAGTCTGGGTAATGAAAAATAAAATAATTTTTTAAATGTAGCATACTCTAGCCTCTTCAGAGGTGAAAAGGGGCTTAATGAAACACTGAAAATTATAAATTTCATCCTATAGAGATGAAGAGCCACCAAGGCTTGGAACAAAGATTCATTTAAAGAAGTGATTTAAGAAAATGAACCTAGAAGCAACCTGCATAATTATAAGAAGATAAATCAGACTATTAAAATAGTGGATTTAGTACTAGGGAGATTTTTCAAAATCCATGTGTATTTCCTCTACCCAAGCAAAATCTGAAGCCTGAGAAAGCACATTTTTGAAAAAGTTCTTAACGCATACTGATCCACACAGTGATGTGAGAAACATTAAGTACACTAACATTAACTATTCAGCTAAGATGCATTAAGTAGTACTAGATAATATGATGAATGACAAACAATTAACTTTTCAGTTTGACATGACTGGGCCATAATCACAGTCTTGACTGTAGCTAACAGTGTAAATTTGTCAATCATATATATTGTTTAAACAGTGTTCAAAAGATTTGAGAATTTTGTTCCTGCTTACGGCTTTCTACTTTTAAAATTGAAAAAGTTCTCTCATGGCTTTATATTTTCTTTATAATGTAAAAAAATTACTGATTGAAAGAATGAATTTTTGGCCTGTTATCCCAGCATTTCGGGAGGCTGGGGCTGGAGGATTGCTTGAGGCCAGGAGTTCCAGACCAGCACGGTCAACATACCAAGATTCCCATCTCTACAAAAATTAAAATAAAAATTAGCCAGGCATGGTGGCATGTGCCTGTAGTGTAGTCCCAGCTACTTGGGAGGCTGAGGTAGGAGAATCCCTTGAACTCATGAGTTCAAAGCTGCAGTGTGCTATGAGTGTACACCACTGCACTCCACCCTGGGCAACTGAGCAAGACCTTGTCTCAAATAACAAAAAAAAAATTGTGTATTAAGTTTCAAAGGATTCAACAGGCAGAAAGTACATGAAATGCATGAAAAAGTAGGATATAAACAATCAAGATAAAATTGAATATAGGAGTATTTAAGAAGATGATGCGACCAAAAAATAAGATTTAAAACTAGCGTATCATTTATTGCTTGGGAATGTTAATTTCTGATGGGAACAGGTCTTCTGAGAACATCTCAGGAGTGACCTGGTCAAGATAGGGTTTTGGTATTTAATGCTCCAGGCAAAGTGCTAGTTTGGATACTTATCTCTGTTTTCTAAAAGAAGGTGTTAGAATGGTGTGAGAATGTACTCTTAGATCCAAAATGGAGAAAGATGAAAATACAGATTAATAGGAAACATTAATGAATATAAATAAGCTAATGTATTTTCCAGGTAAAATGATATAAACTAATTTAGTAGTAGATCACTGAAAATACTACATATTAGATCTTCAGTATTATTTTCCAATTTTACTTGCAGATTTCACATTTTACGTATAGATATTAATTTGTACCCCTCCTCCTAAAAAAATACTCTAAGGGTCACAGTCATCAAGGCAGCCACAAAAATATGAGCAATATATAGTCAAACAAGTAAGTGGGCCATAAATGACTTCACAGCCCCATTTTCCCATTCTCAGAAAATCACAGGAACACTCAAGCCAGGAAGAAAAACTGAGACAGTCGAAAAAAAGAAACTGGGGAGGGCAGTGATTTTGTGACCACCTAATCAAGTCTTCATATTCAGAGTTTTTCCAGTTTAAAAGAAGGCCAAGTTCAAAGACTGCTAAAAGAACGTATTTTAAAAACCCACTTCTCAAAAATAGTTTTTAATCATATTTGAATGACAAGTTCAAGTTAAACTTCCAATCTGCAATGGAGGAGTTTGTAGAGTCATTGAGGCAAAATTAATCAGAAACTCCAGGAATGCAAGAGTCAGAAAGGACACAAACTGATTTCTCTGTATTGATCACAGACCACGAGGCAGAAAATACATTGAGGCAACTGACAAGGGAGGTCAGGTTGGCACTGAAAGGGAAAAGGCATTATTAGAATTTCTTCTCAATATATTATGCTATGAACTTAAAACCTTATGATATAACAATGTAACTGAATAGCTCAAGAATATAACATGCCTGACTCTGAGAAACTTTGAAGTTGAAAAGAGCCTTTCTGCGTTTTCAGATCATATTGTTGAACTCTTCACTGAACACACGTCAGAATGTTTGGCTTTTAATGTAGTATTTATAGCACAGTTTTATGAACACAAGAAGATTTAATGATGTACAGATATCTTCAGCTTATCCAGAGTCCCTTGGGGCACTTATTTAAAAATTCAATGACAGAACCCTCCTCCCCACTTGGACTAACTCAATGAAAACATCAGTGTGAGATCAAGGAATCTTCATTTAATACACGTATCCTAGATGAAACTCTTTTTTTGGTGGGGGGAAAGCAGTGCGGGGGACAGAGTCTTGCTTTGTCACCCAGGCTGGAGTGCAGTGGCGCGATATCAGCTCAAGGCAACCTCCACCTCCCAGGTTCAAGCGATTCTCCTGCCTCAGCCTCCCAAGTAGCTGGGACTACAGGTGCATGCCACCACATCTGGCAATTTTTTTGTATTTTTAGTAGAGACAGGGTTTCACCATGTTAGCCAGGATGGTCACGATCTCCTGACCACATGATCCTCCCACCTCAGCCTCCCAAAGTGCTGGGATTACAGGCATGAGCCACCATGCCCGGCCGATGAATCTCTTGCACAATAAGATGGGGAAGTAATGGAAAAATCTTGATAACAATTTTCAGGCAAAGAATAAGCCATCCCCCAAAACATTACATCATTCCAAAATACCATATGCAATATGACAAAAGTTCTAGGGATGGTTGTTGGAGTTCATGCAGGGTTAATGCTTCAAATACTCTCTAGTATTAGGTTGGGGTTTAGGCAGGTTAATGTTTCAAATACCCTTTGGTATTAGTAAAAGTAATTGTAATAATAAAACAAAAATAATAAAAAGTAATAAACTGCAATTAAGTATCTATTACTCCAAACTAAAATTAGGATGTCTATTATTTGTTTTTAAAATTTCTAAATAGAAAGCTACTTAAAAAGTCTCCAATCTCTGGTGGGATGCCAATTTAGGCTCTTCAAAACTGTCAAAATAATTTTCTGAAGATATTTATGCTGTGTGGCCACCTACATCCTCCTCAATCGTTAAGACTCTGTGAAAACTATCTTTTTGGAATCCCTTCACACTCCTTGATATTTCCATAACTTTAAATCCACTTGGTGTCAGTTTTATGAGATTTAAATTCCACCACCATGTCTGAAGTGTTGTAAAACCCCATCTGTCTATTCACAGACATCACTATAATTATTTTATTTATATAATCCCAGTTCAAGTAGCTGTACTAATTTAGGCTATAAGTTCACTAAGGTAAAAGGAAAAGTAATTCGTTTAAATAGTGCTTCAGGAACAAGTTCTTGATCTTGCTTTTTTCTGATACAGGATAATCTTTAAATATGAAATTTACTTTCTTAGGGGTACCCAGATATTCAGTGATACAAAGCAAATAATGTCCATTTTTAAAATTATGTTTTTGTTGTTTGATTTATTACCAACCCCCACCCCCAAAACTGATAAGATTTTTAAAGAACGATTTCTATCACAATGTCAATATGGATGTCTTGATCCTAAGTAGTCTACACTTTATGCATTGTCCCCAAAGGGAAATTTGAGACTAGGGTCCAATCTCTGCTCCTTGACATTCAACCACACCATCTCTTACTAAATTTTAAAAGTTTCTTCTTAATTTGGTTTCATTTCTTGAACTTTTTCCTTTCTTTTTTTTTTCTTTTTGAAATGGAGTCTCGCTCTGTCACCCAGGCTGGAGTGCAGTGGCGCGATCTCGGCTCACTGCAAGCTCCGCCTCCCAGGTTCATGCCATTCTCCTGCCTCAGCCTTCCGAGTAGCTGGGACTACAGGCGCCCGCCAGTATGCCCGGCTAATTTTTTGCATTTTCAGTAGAGACAGGGTTTCACCGTGTTAACCAGGATTGTCTCGATCTCTTGACCTCATGATCAGCACGCCTCAGCCTCCCAAAGTGCTGGGATTACAGGCATGAGCCACTGTGCCCGGCCCATTTCTTGAACTTTTAAGCAACCAGTCTGTGATGGTTAATATTGAGTGTCAACTTGATTGGATTGAATGATGCAAAGTATTGTTCCTGGGTGTATCTGTGAGGGTGTTGCCAAAGGAGATTAACATTTGAGTCAGTGGACTGGGAGAGGCAGACTCACCCTCAATGTGGGTGGGCACAATCTAATCAGCTGCCAGCACAGCTAGAATAAAAGCGGGCAGAAGAATGTGGAAAGACTAGACTGGCTAAGTCTTCAGGCCTACATCTTTTTCCTGTGCTGGATCCTTCCTGCTCTCAAACATCAGACTCCAAGTTCATCAGCCTGTGGACTCTTGGACTCATACCAGTGGTTTGCCAGGAGCTCTTTGACCTTCGACCACAGACTGAAGCCTGCACTGTCGGCGTCCCTACTTTTGAGGTTTTGGGACTTGGACTGGCTTCCTTGCTCCTGAGCTTGCCAACAGCCTATTGTGGGACTTCACTTTGTGATTGTGTGAGTCAATACTGCTTAATAAACTCCCTTTTATATATACATCTATCCTATGAGTTGTGTCCTTCTAGAGAACCCTGGCTAATACACAGTCAAATACTCATGTTCACAAGCATTCAAATAATTTCAAGTTTTCCATTTACTTTATTTCATTTCTCCTTATTTTGTTGATTTCGCAAAATTAACTTTTTATTTTATGACTTATGTTCTCCACTTCACTCATGCTTCTGTCTATACACATCGCGCTGTCATTCCCATCCACTTATCCAGGTTAACAAACTAATAGAACAAGTATTCTTCCATAATTTTCCCTAATTTTATTAATTTAATTTTATTTACACATACATATATTCATTTACACGTACACATTCATGCACAAACATATACATACATTGAGGGTTTGTCAGTGGTTTATAAAATTTACAGATATTGTTTCTACAGCAACTTGCTATTCTTAATAACACCTGATGAAAATTTCTCCATATCAACTGGGATAATTCTAACACTTCATTTTTAATGATTACCTATCACTAGTAGATGCATCAAAATGTATTCAACCTTTTCCAATGTTTCGATAGCCGTCAGGTAACACACATACACACACATTGACACCTTTATTTATATGGGGTAGATTCCCAGAAATCAAAATATATGTAATTTATAATTTTTAAAGTTATAATAGAAAAAACATTATTTTACTGAAAGGGTGAAACTATTCATATTTCTACCTGGCAAACAAATGTTATCACTTTTTTACTTTTGCTATGACCATCCTGAATTTGAGCATCTTTTTACACATTTAATAGCTCCCTGGTTTTACTCTTCTATGAATTGCTGGTAGGTTTCCTTGTTCATTCATCTACTGAGCTGTTTATATAGAAATATAATTTACAAACCTCAACTTGTAAGACATATTTGTACACTATAGATATTAATTCTCTGGCTGTTATGTACTTCACAAATTTTCCTTAACATAATTTCCACTGATTCTCTTTATGCTAACATTCTCCATATGATAGCTTTTAAGTTTTACTTAGAAAGTATGCCTAGATTTTCTAAATGGCTATCTTGATTAAGAATGTTTCTCCCGCCACAAAATTAAACATGTAGCCTCCTAAACATCCTTCTAAGAGTTTTATTTTGTTCATACTTAGTTCATTAATCCATATAGTACATTTTCATGTATATTAGAAGGTAAGGGCCCCACCTTTAGTTCATTCCAGATGGATAACCACTTGCATCAGTGCTACTTACTAAATGAACCATCCATTCACCATTAAATTGAAACACTATCTTTGGTATACAATCGACCACCCCAAGATCTATTTCTGGATTCTATATTTTAGTCCACCAATCTAACTGTCTATTTTTATAACAAATCAGATGGATTTGGTTACACCAATCTAATTGTCTATTTTTATGACAAATCAGATGGATTTGGTTACATGATGTCTCTCTAAATAATGGTGATGAAAAGAATCTTTGACAATTTCTTGATTTTAATCTCAGTAGTTGGCCATTTAGATGAATATATATGGGTTTTGATAGTTTTTGGTAAATAGTCTTTGTCATATCTACTTTATATTTCTATTTTATCTACATATTAAATAAGGAATGGCAACTGAACATTATCAAATGCTTTTTCAGTATCCATTTAATATAGGCATATGGTTTTTCCAAAGAATTTGTTGACTCTGACTATATAGTAAAATACTTTAGTAATCCTGGAATAAACATTCCTTGCTCATTGTTATTATCCTTTTAATACATTGCTAAATTTTAATTTTTAATATTTTGGTTAGAATTTTTTAGATACAGCAAGTCCTCAATGTCGCCAATAGGTTCTTGAAAACTGACTTTAAGTGGAACAATACATAATGAAACCATTATTTTTTTCATCAACATTATAATTGAAACAACACTGAAGGGAATAACATTATTCAATGACCTGCTGTATGCTGTTTCACTGAGAAAAAGTTCAAAGTTTCTAAGAACCTGCTGGCTTTGAAGACTTACATACAATATTGGCTTTTACATTTAAATTATGTAAGCTTCATAATATGAATTGCTGAGCTTCCTACATTTCTCTAGAGCATTCATTTGGGATAGACAACAATGTACATTCATGGTCTTACCCTAGGGATATGGTAACTCTTTCACCCATTGACATGATATACTCTCAAACAACCTAGGTAACATGGACATTCTACAGAATATCACATTGGTCCATTATATGAACAACATCATGTTAATCAGACTGATACAATTTGACTCTGTGTCCTCACCCAAATCTCATGTTGAATTGTGATCCCTAGTGCTGGAGGTGAGGCTCTGGTGGACGGTGATTGGATCATGGGGGTGGTTTCCAATGGTTTAGCCCCAACCCCCTAGTGTTGTCTCGTAATAGAGTTCTCACAAGATCTGGTTGTTTGGAAAGTGTGTAGCACCTCCCCCTTTGCTGTCTCTGTCCTGCCAGCCACGTGAAAATGTGCCAGCTTCCCCTTCGCCCTTCCGTCACGATTGTAAGTTTCCTGAGGCCTCCCCATAAGCAGAAGCCTGTACAGCCCACAGAACTGTGAGCCTATTAAACCTCTTTTCTTTATAAATTACCTAGTCTCAGGTGTGTGTGTCTTTATAGCAGTGGGAGAATGGACTGATACACAGACCAAATGAGCAACATAGGGCAAGTATATTAGAGGCCTTGACATGTGTTCCAAAAGATGGATGGAAAATCCTAACAAGATTCAAAGGTCTGCCTCCTAGCTGGACTTTTTTTTTTAAATGGGTTCGGTGATCTGGGGCTTGTTGGGACATTTCCATCAAAGTAAAGGAAAAATTACTGCTTGTCAAACCTCCCATCACCAGTTAGGCCTCTTCTGAATACTCTAACCTGTGCACCAGGGGACACAAAGGTTGCCAGTGTTAAATGGGCCCAGATCAGGAAAAGACCTTGCAGCAGATTAAGGTGGTGTGCAAGTGACCCTTCTCATGGGGTCATACAACCTGACAGACGCTATGGTATTAGAACTACGAGCAAGAGGTAAATGCATTGTAGAGTTTCTCGCAAGTTCCAATGAGAGAATCACAGCATACGCCCTCAGGGTCCTGGAACAGGCACATGCCATCTGCAGTGGAGAACTATATACCATTTGAAAAACAGCTCCTAGAGTGCTGAGTAGAGAAAGATGCCTGTTAATGGTACATTACATGATGATTCTGACAGAACTGCCCATCATAACCTTGGTTCAGTCAGATACACCAAGTCATAAGTCTAGGTAGGCACAAGAGAAATCCAGCACAAAATGGAAGTGGTAGATTTGGAATGGGGCATGAGCTGGGTCAGACCATCTAGCTGCACATGTGGGTTCAAGTCAAAAATAAATTCCTGCACCTCATCTTCAATAAGGGTGATGCTGCAAGAAAGCAGTGAATGGAAATTTTCACCATGAGCAGGGCATCCGTTTTCTGTTAAAAGAAAAGGAGCCCAAGGGAAGAATACATACGAACTGAGCGACAGTGGCAAGCAGTTTGGCTATTTGGTCAGAAGCCTAAAAGAAGAGATTGGTAGATAAAGAATAGGTATGTGATCAGAAACATGGGAGTGGGCACAAAATGTGAAGTTCTTAGTTTCAAAACTTAAGGAACACCAGAAAGCATCTGCAATTGCATTGGAAGAGGCACCAAATACTCAGGTAAGGAAGAACTGCTTGGTCAGCTGATAGCAGCCACTTTTTGCTCCTGTTGTTGTTGTTGGTGTTATTATTATTATTATTTGAGACAGCTCTTTCTCTGTCACCCAGGCTGGAGTGCAGTGGTGCACTCATAGCTCACTACAGCCTTGAGCTCCTCAACTCAAGCCATCCTTCTGTCTCAGCCTCCCAAGTAGCTGGGACTACAGGCATGTGCCACCATACCCAGGTAAGTTTTCAAAATGTTTTTGTAGAGATGGGGTCTTGCCATGTTGCCCAGGCTGGTCTTTAACTCCTAGGCTCAAGCAATCTTTCCATCTTAGCCTCCCAGAGTGCTAAGATTATAGGCATGAGCCACTGTACCGGCCAGCAGCCAGCTTTTATCATCAGCCTCCATAGGGCTGGCAAAATAAATGCATGAATAGAGTAGCAGCACAGATGGAGGCTACAGATGGGCCCTAAAGCATGGTCTCTTCACTTAGCAAAGCTATGCCAGCCTGCCATCAAGAGTCCAATGTCGAGTCCCCAATACGGACTAGCCTTTAGGAAACCAACATGCCACTTGGCAGTAAGTTGATTACATGAGACTCCTTGTACCTTAGAAGGTGCAGTAATTCATCCTGACAGAAATTGATCCATATTCCAGAAATGGGTTTGTCTTTCCTGTTCGAGCCTTAGCTAACGTCACTATCCAAGGGCTTACAGAGTGTTTGAACCTCCAGCCTACTTTACAGCAAAAGAGGTGCAGGAGAGATGCAGGCACAAAGACCACTTATCTTAAATACACTCCACGACACTCAGAAGCTGTCAGACTGATAAAGAGGTATAGGGTCACTTTTTATTAATAGGTTTTATTTTTAGTGGAGTGTTAGGTTTCCAGCAAAACTGAGAAGAAAGTACAAAGTTCTCCTGTCCCTCAACACACATGCACACATCCTCCCCGAGTATCAATATCCCCAACCAGGGTGGTACATTTGTTATAACTGATGAGCCTACACTGACATTTCATTATCAGTCAAAGTTCATAGTTTACATTAGGGTTCACTCTCGGTGTCCTACATTCTATGGATTTGGACCAATGTATCCACCATTACAGTAACATGCAGGAATCGTTTCACTGCCCTAAAAATCATCAGCATCTCACCTATTCTTCCTTCCCTCCATCCATCTAACCCTTGGCAACTATTAATCTTTTTACTGTCTATATAGTTTTGTGTTTTCCACATAATTGGAATCATTTAGTATGTAGTCTTCACAGATCTGCTTCTTCTTCTTCTTCTTCTTTTTTTTTTTTTTTTTTTTTTTTTTTGAGATGGAGTCCTGCTCTGTTGCCCAGGCTGGAGTGCAGTGGCGCGATCTCGGTGCACTGCAGCCTCTGCCTTGTGGGTTCCAGAGATTGTCCTGTCTCAGCCTCCTGGGTAGCTGGGATTACAGGCACATGTCACCACACCCCGGTAATTTTTGTATTTTTAGTAGAGACAGGGTTTTGCCATGTTGGCCAGGCTGGTCTCAAACTCCTGACCTCAGGTGATCCACCCACCTCGGCCTCCCAAAGTGTTGGCATTACAGGTGTGAGCCACTGCGCCTAGCCGGATCTGCTTCTTTCACTTAGTACTAAGCATTTAAGGTTTCTCCATGTCTTTTCATGGCCAGTGGCTCATTTCTTTTGGTACTGAATAATATTCCACTTTATGGTTGTACCACAATTTATTTATCCATTCACCTACTGAAGGATATCTTAATTGCTTTCACATTTTGATGATTATGACTAAAGCTGCCATAAACGTCCATGTGGATATTTTCGTGTGGACATAAGTTCTCAATTCATTTGAGTAAATTCCAAAGAAGTGCAACTGCTGGATCTTTCGGAAAGAGTATGCCTCATTTTTTAGGAGACTGCTAAATTGTCTTCCAAAATGGCTGTACCGTTTTACATTGCCACCTAGCAATGAGTGAGAGTTCTGTTGCTCCACATCCTCACCAGCATCTGTGTGACCTGTGTTTTGGATTGTGGCCATGGTAATATATGTGTGGTGACATCTTGCTGCTGTTTTAATTTGAAATTTTCTCTGGCATATGATGCTGAGCATCTTTTCATACACTTATTTTCAATCTGTAATATCTTTTTTTGGAATGTTGTCTCATATGATTTGGCTCTGTGTCCCTACCGAAATCTCATCTCAAATTGTAATCCCCACGTGTCAAGGAAGGGACCTGTAATCCCCACATGTACAAAAGGGGAGTTGACTGGATCATGGGGCCGGTTTCCCCCACGCTGTCCTTATGATAGTGAGTGAGCTCTCACAAGATCTGATGGTTTTATAACTGACAGTTCCTCCTTCACAAGCTCTCTCTCCCTCCTGCTGTTTTGTGAAGAAGGTGCCTGCTTCCACTTCTGCCACGATTGGAAGTTTCCTGAGTCCCCCCAGGCCATGCAGAACTGTGAGTCAATTAAACCTCACTCCTTTCTTTTTTTAATTGTACTTTAAGTTATGAGTTACATGTGCAGAACGTGCAGTTTTGTTACATAGGTATACACGTGCCATGGTGGTTTGCTGCACTCATCAACCCGTCACCTACATTAGGTATTTCTCCTGATGTTATCCCTCCCCTAGCCCCCCAACCCCCACAGGCCCCCGTGTGTGATGTTCCCCTCCATGCATCCACATGTTCTCATTGTTCAACTCCCACTTATGAGTGAGAGCATGCAGTGTTTGGTTTTCTGATCTTGTGATAGTTTGCTGAGAATGATGGTTTTCAGCTTTATCCAAGTCCCTGCAAAGGACATGAACTCATCCTTTTTTATGGCTACATAGTATTCCGTGGTGTATATGTGCCACATTTTCTTAATCCAGTCTATCATTGATGGACATTTGGGTTGGGTCCAAGTCTTTGCTATTGCGAATAGTGCTGCAATAAACATACGTGTGCATGTGTCTTTATCATAGAATGATTTATAATCCTTTGGGTACATGCCCAGTAATGGGATTGCTAGGTCAAATGGTATTTCTAGTTCTAGATCCTTGAGGAATCGCCACTCTGTCTTCCACAATGGTTGAACTAATTTACACTCCCACCAACAGTGTAAAAGCATTCCATTTTTTCCACAACCTCTCCAGCATCTGTTGTTTCCTGACTTTTTAATGATCGCCATTCTAACTGGCGTGAGATGATATCTCATTGTGGTTTTGATTTGCATTTCTCCATTTTTTCATATGTCTCTTAGCTGCATAAATGTCTTCTTTTGAGAAGTGTCTGTTCATGTCCTTTGCCCATTTTTTGATGGGGTTGTTTGGTTTTTTTCTTGTAAATTTTTTTAAGTTCTTCGTAGATTACGGATATTAGCCCTCCGTCAGATGGATAGATTGCAAAAATTTTCTCCCATTCTGTAGGTTGCCTATTCATTTTGATGATAGTTTCTTTTGCTGTGCAGAAGCTCTTTAGTTTAATTAGATCCCATTTGTCAATTTTGGCTTTTGTTGCCATTGCTTTTGGTGTTTTAGATATGAAGCTGTTGCCCATGCCTATGTCCTGAATGGTATTGCACAGATTTTCTTCTAGGATTTTTATGGTCCTAGGTCTTACATTTAAGTCTTTCATCCATCTTGAGTTGATTTTTGTATAAGGTGTAAGGAAGGGGTCCCTTTTCAGTTTTCTGCATATGGCTAGCCAGTTTTCCCAATGCCATTTATTAAATAGGGAATCTTTTCCCCATTGCTTGTTTTTGTTAGGTTTGTCAAAGATCAGCTAGTGGTTGATGTGTGGTGTTATTTCTGAGGCCTCCGTTCTGTTCCATTGGTCTATATATCTGTTTTGGTACCAGTACAATGCTGTTTTGGTTACTGTAGCTTTGTAGTAAAGTTTGAAGTCAGGTAGTGTGATGCCTCCAGCTTTGTTCTTCTTGTCCAGGATTGTCTTGGCTATGGGGCTCTTTTTTGGTTTCATATGAAGTTTAAAGTAGTTTTTTCCAATTCTGTGAAGAAAGTCAGTGGTAGCTTGATGGGGATAGCATGGAATCTATAAATTACTTTGGGCAGTATGGCCATTTTCACAATATTGATTCTTCCTATCCATGAGCATGGAATGTTTTTCCATTTGTTTGTGTCCTCTCTTATTTCCTTGAGCAGTGGTTTGTAGTTCTCCTTGAAGAGGTCCTTCACATCCCTTGTAAGTTGGACTCCTAGATATTTATTCTCTTTGTAGCAACTGCAAATGGGAGTTCACTCATGATTTGGCTCTCTGCCTGTTATTGGTGTATAGGAATGCTTGTGATTTTTGCACATTGATTTTGTATCCTGAGACTTTGCTGAAGTTGCTTGTCAGCTTAAGAAGATTTTGGGCTGAGACGATGGGGTTTTCTAAACATACAATCGTGTCATTTGCAAACAGAGACAATTTGACTTCTTCTCTTCCTATCTGAATACCCTTTATTGCTTTCCCTTGCCTGACTGTCCTGGCCAGAACTTCCAATACTATGTTGAATAGGAGTGGTGAGAGAGGGCATCCTTGTCTTGTGCCGGTTTTCAAAGGGAAAGCTTCCAGTTATTGCCCATCCAGTATGATACTGGTTGTGGGTTTGTCATAAACAGCTCTTATTATATTGAGATACGTTCAATCGATACCTAGTTTATTGAGAGTTTTTAGCAAGAAAGGCTGTTTAATTTTGTCAAAGGCCTTTTCTGCATCTATTGAGGTAATCATGTGGTTTTTGTCATTGGTTATGTTTATGTGATGGAATACATTTATTGATTTGTGTATGTTGAACCAGTCTTGCATTCCAGGTAGGAAGTCGACTTGATCGTAGTGGATAACCTTTTTGATGTGCTGCTGGATTTGGTTTGCCAGTATTTTATTGAGGATTTTTGCATCAATGATCATCAGGGATATTGGCCTAAAATTCTCTTTTTTTGTTGTGTATCTGTCAGGCTTTGGTATCAGGATGATGCTGGCCTCATAAAATGAGTTAGGGAGGATTGCCTCTTTTTCTGTCATTTGGAATAGTTTCAGAAGGAATGGTACCAGCTCCTCTTTGTACCTCTGGTAGAATTCAGCTGTGAATCCGTCTGGTCCTGAATTTTTTTGGTTGGTAGGCTATTAATTATTGCCTCAATTTCAGAACCTGTTATTGGCCTATTCACAGATTAAACTTCTTCCTGGTTTAGTCTTGGGAGGACATATGTGTCCAGGAATTTACCCATGTCTTCTAGATTTTCTAGTTCATTTGCACAGAGGTGTTTATAGTATTCTCTGATGGTAGTTGGTATTTCCATGGGATCGGTGATGATATCCCCTTTATCATTTTTTATTGCATGTATTTGATTCTTCTCTCTTTTCTTCTTTATTAGTCTTGCTAGTGGTCTATTTTGTTGATCTTTTCAAAAAACCAGCTCCTGGATTCATTCATTTTTTGAAGGTCAACCTCTTTCCTTTATAATTTACCCAGTCTCAGGGAAGTTCTTTATAGCAGTGTGAAAATTAACAATACGGTGTCTATTTGGGTCTTTTGCCCATTTTGTAGTGGGGTTGCTCATTTTCTTATTGCTGAGTTTTATGAGTTCTTTGTCTATTTTTGTTAACAGCCCTTTATCAGAAATGCAAATGTTTTTCATAGCTTGTAGCTTGTCTTCTTATTATGGTGATAATGCCCACTTTTTAAATAACCAAGTGGTTTATCAAGGTATACTTCACACACCATAAAATCCACCCTTTTAAGTGAATACTTCAATGGTTTATAGTATGTTCAGAGTTGTGTCACCATCATCACTATCTAAGAACACTATCTAATTTTCATCACTCCACAAGGAAACCTTGTACTCTGTAGCAGGCTCCCCTCTTCTCTTCTCCTCCCAGTCACCAGAAACCATTCATTTATTTTTTATTTCTATGGATTTGTTTATTCTGGGCATTTCATATAAATGGAATCATAAAATATGTGATCTTTTGTAATGCCTTCTCTCACTTAGCATAGTATTTTCAAGGTACATTCATGAAATGTTAGTAAATTTTGTTTTGTAGCTGAATAATATTCCACTGTATGGATATACCATACTTTGCTTATTCATTCATAAGTTGATGGACTTTAGAATTTTTCCTCTTTGGCTATTGTGAATAATGCTGCAATGAACATTTGTGTACAAGTTTTTGCATGGATGTATGTTTTCATTTCTCTTGGGTAGATATCTAGGAGTGCAAATGCTACTTCATATGGGACCTCTATATTTAACATTTTCAGGAACTGCCAGACTGTTTTCCAATGTAACTCCACCATCTTACTATCCCATCTGCAGTGTAGGAAAGTTCCAATTTCTCCTCATCCTTGTCAACATTTGTTATATTTGTCCTTTTTAAAGTTTAGTTGTCTTAATGGGTGTGAAATATATTTCACTTTGGCTTCAATTTGCATTTCCCTAATGGCTAATGAGGTCAACCATGTTTTCATGTGCTTATTGGCCATTTGTATATCTTCCTTGGAGAAACATCAATTCAAATCCTTTGTCCAGTTTTCAACAGGTTTGTCTTTTTATTGTTGCATCGTGAGAGTTTTTTTGTATTCTAATATAAGTCCCTTACCAGATACATAATTTATAAATATTTCATCCCATTATGTGGATTGTCTTTTTACTTCCTAACTGGTGTCCTCTGCAGCATAAAAGTTCCTAATTTTGATGAAAATCTGATTTTTCTCTTTTTTCTTTTGTCACTTGGGGTTTTAATGTCATATCTAAGAAACCCATGCCTAAATCAAGGTCCTGAAGATTTATATTTACATTTTCTTTTAAGAGTTTTCTAGTTTTAGCTGTTGGAGTTCTACCTATAATCCATTTTGAAATAATTTGGTAAATAGTGTGAGGTAGTGGTCCAACATCTTTGGCAGATGGATATCCAGTTTTCCCATCACTGTGATGGCATTTTGAAAATATGATTGAAACATCCACTTGTAGAGGCCTTCTTGCATGGATGAGGCATCATCCTCCAGGACATCGTACACACCCTGAGTCAATGACTAGTATATAGTGCTGTGTCTTCAACAGGTAGGACATACAGGTTTAGGAACCAAGGGATAGAAGCAGAAGTAGCCTCAGCAATCCATATGGGAAATTTCTTTTTTCTATTTGCTGAAACTCTAAGGGCTTAAGAATTCTTGTTCCTAGAAAGGTAACATTTCCGCCAGGAACACAGCCAGACACGATTAAGTTTTATGCCATAATTTCCACCCTGTCACTTCAGGCTTCTCATGCCAGAACAGCAACAGATGAAAAAAAAAAAAAAAGAAGGAAATGCCAGTCAGAGAGAGCTTGGAATGAATATTAAAAGACAGAAATAGTAACTGTCCATTTCCACCTTGAGGCCAGCTGCAGAGATAGAGTATTTTGTCCTATTAGCTGCTCCCTGGTAAATTTTTCCAGGTAGAGAAACCAACAAGAACACTGAAGAAGCTGTTTCCAAACTCTATTAAACAAAACAAATGGATGCATGGAACACAAGGGGTGGACTGTAATAGTTCCCCTTCAGAATGAAATATTCTTTACCCCAGCCTCTAGAAATACAGGTGGCTGATGGCTCTCAGCTTAGTCTCTCCAGGAACTGCCCTCGGCCAGAGTTGCCCCAAATTGTATCTCCCTCTTTAGGGATAATCTTCATGCAATTACTGGTTTTTGCATGATATATGAAAGCCCAGTCCCCTGCCTTAAGATGAGACAACTCTGAAGGGTCATTGCAGTCCAGAACCCCCCATAGGATGGGCTAAGCCTTTGATACTACTGCATCATAGTTCACCTTCCTCCCTCTTCTTAATCCTACTTCCTTTATTTTCACACAGGAGTTGATCCTGAGGACACTCTCAAACAAACTTCGTATATGCAGATCTCTGTCTCAGAGTCCATTTCCCAAAGAATGCAATCTAAGAAACTTATTAGGAGTAAATTTTTGCAACACTCCTCACAACTGTTAGTCTTATCTACATATCCCTAAGCTATATATTTAAAATGATAAACTGATGTATGCAGAGCCTTCTTGCTGAATACTTTTAAAGACAGACATATATAATTTTAAGAATCAAATGGGAAACAGAACAGCATAGAGATGGTCTGCATAGTCTTTGGTGTATTAAACCTGAATTTGAGTCCTTGATCCACTATTGACTATCTCTTTGCCCTTCAGTAAATTACTTGACATTTTATATCCTAATTTGTTCATCTGTAACATGGAATTAATAATAGTAACTGCAGGCCAGGTGCAGTGGTTCACACCTGTAATCCCAGCACTTTGGGAGGCCGAGGCAGGCAAATCACATGAGGCCAGGAGTTTGAGACTAACCTTTCCAACGTGGTAAAACCCTATCTCTACTAAAAATACAAAAAAATTAGACAGGTGTGATGGCATACACATGTAATCCCAGCTGTTCTGGAGGCTGAGACATGAGAATCATTGAAACTGGGAGGTGGAGGTTGCAGTGAGCTGAGATTGTGTCACTGCACTCCAGCCTGGGTGACAGAGTGAGACCCTGTCTCAATAATAATAATAATAATAATAATAGTAACTGCAGTCAAAGTTCATTTTACTAACTAAATAACCTAAGGCATAGAAAAGAACTAAGCATAGAGCTCAATAAAGATTAGCTATTATTAGTATCATAATTAATATTACTACTAGAAAGAAACATACCTGAAAGGGCCTAAACCCCAGTTCTGACACTGGTTAAACTTTACAAAGTTTCCTTGTCTACCTTGGACCTCCCTTTTCTCAACAGCAAAATGAGGAAGGCAGATGAAAAGTCGCTAAGCTATCTTTCTGCTCCAAAAAGCTGTGATTCTTTAGATGCAAGGACCCAGTGATTTGCATCAGTGGTTTTTCGGTACTAACAACCCCTGAGATGTTGACGATTCTTCCGCAGTGAAGGAGAAGCAATGGCCATCCCTGCTCCTTTGGGGCCTCATTAGTGCCCGCTCCCCAGCAGCTCAGAGGATTCCTTGTTATCAGGAAGCTTTGGCGTGTGGCAGTTGCTGTGTACCTTGTGCTTACACAGCCTACCTCTACCAGCAGGGAGCCTGTGGCTGGCAGTCAGTCCTCACAGAAATGAAGGGTAAACATAAAAGATTAAAATAAAATGAGACACACACAACCAACTTGGACCAAAAAAGAAAAGAAAAAAAAAAAGCAGTACTGAGCACAGTTTTAGTACTTCTGCATTGCTCAAAGGGGGAAAAAGGAAAAGATAGAAATTCTGACTTCTTAGAAAAAATGAAGGTGCAGCCATCCTATTTTATTTCAATCTGTTTTCTTCTCTGTAAATGACTTCCTGATTATACCATGCAATTGCTTAATATAATAACATACAAATTTTGTAGTTTCTCAAAGTGTATTTCAGTGACCGATAACCAGAATTATGGAGTCAACTCTCTAATGTGTGATGAAATCATTAACATCTGAGACACTGGGGCACACTAATATCCCTAAATCCAAAATATTTCACCTAGTTCAGAATATGCACCTCCAAGGAAACTAACATCATGCATCATCCATTCAAAGAGTGGCAACTCAACAGGCATGCTATTTCTGCAGTCACCCAAATGTACTGCATGACCATAGAGGATGTCAATATACGGTATCAGTCCTGCTCAGGCTGTGAAACGAGATAGCCCAGGGTGCAAATTTCAGCAGCACACTCACTGGCTAGATACCATCAAGCACATCATCACACTCTTTAATGTATAAGTTCCTTCCTCATCTCTAGAACAGGAATAACAATGGCACACACCTCTTGAGGATCAGATAAGTTAATACCTACAGAGCATTCAGTGCAGGGCATGGCACAGAGTGACTGCCTGATAAGGGTTATCACTTATTATGGATGTTGTTGTTATTGATGGTAATCTCATATCCACAGATGACAGCTGGCTATTATACATGCCTTAGATGTCTTACTTGCTTACAAATGCCTTAAGAGTTTAAATTTTGTGTTTAAAAATAAAATATATAATAAAAATGACAAGGATACATATATACAAACATATGAATACATGCACATATTTATAGAAATTTAGAAATATTCCATCTATCCATGCTCCTCTACCTCCAGGCTAGCATTCTAGTTCAAACCACTCTCATCTTAAACTAGTACAACCATTGTGGAAGACAGTGTGGTGATTCCTCAAGGATCTAGAACTAGAAATACCATTTGACCCAGCCATCCCATTACTGGGTATATACCCAAAGGAATATAAATCATACTGCTATAAAGACACATGCACACATATGTTTATTGTGGCACTACTCACAATAGCAAAGACTTGGAATCAACCCAAATATCCAACAATGATAGACTGGATTAAGAAAATGTGGCACATACACATCATGGAATACTATGCAGCCATAAAAAATGATGAGTTCATGTCCTTTGTAGGGACATGGATGAAGCTGGAAACCATCATTCTCAGCAAACTATCGCAAGGACAAAAAAAACCAAACACTGCACGTTCTCACTCATAGGTGGGAATTGAACAATGAGAACACTTGGACACAGGGTGGGGAACATCATACACCGGGACCTGTTGTGGGATGGGGGGAGGGGGGAGGGATAGCATTAGGAGATATAACTAATGTAAATGACGAGTTAATGGGTGCAGCACGCCAACATGGCACATGTATACATATGTAACAAACCTGCACATTGTGCACATGTACCCTAGAACTTAAAGCATAATAAAAAAAAAATAAAAAAAAATAAAATGAAATCTTACTTAAAAAAAAAACTGACAGTTAACTAGTCTGCTTCCATTCCTGCCATCCTCCTTGCTATTCTCCTCCCAGCAGCCAATGTTCAAAATCTAAATCAGAACTTATTTCCCTGCTTAAATGTCTTCAATGGTTTCCCATTGTCCATGAAATAAAATTCTGCCTGCAAGAGCCACATGTTCCAGTTTGTGTCTTTCCCTTTGACCCTCTGACTTCTTCACCACATCCAGATCCCAGTGGCTGCCTTTTTGTTCTTCATATGCGTCAAGTTTATCCCCTTCTCAGGGCACTTGCACTTGTTGAAGTCTATCTACAAAGCTCCCTCATGCTGCAGTCTCCCATGACTTGCGTTTCTTCTCATGTTTCTGGTCTCTGCTCAGCAGAGGCCTCCCGCACAGAAGTGTCCTTCTTCCCCTCACGTCCCCCACTACAAATCATTGCTGTACTTTCCTCAGATCAATTATTCCTTGGATTTATGATGTTCATTTATTTCTGGGTTTAGTGTTTATCTCATTTCAACTAGAATGAAAGCTACAAGAGACTGAGCCTGTGTACCACTATCATATCCTCACCACTTTCCATGATACTTCATGCATCATTAGAACTTAATAGGTACTTTGCAATGAATGGATTCTTTAAACCATCTTTTAAAGAAGGAATACCTCTTCATGCCAAAACAACACATAATCATGTCTTTTAATTAAAATTTATTTTTATTCTTACTGACACATATTTCACAAATAAGAAAGGTTGCATTGGATTTAGCATTCAAAACACAGGTTCACAAGATCTTTAGAAAAAACTTACAGGAGGTACGAAGTATGCTGTTCTCCCAAGCCTGACTCATCTGAGACAGTAATTCACTTAAACCCTTGGGACCGAGACTCCATGAGGCTCCTGGCATTTTCCCCATATTTCCACCAGCCACATCATTCTCTATTCTTATTCCCAGCAGAAAGGATTGACAAAACAAAGTGAAAAAAACTGTTAACATGTTTGCAGGTATGGATTCTAGCACATATGACTAGCTGTGAAAATAAACACATTCAAAGTTTTACAAAGTCAGAATTAGGACCTGCTTTCATTGCACTGGTGTTATTTTCATAATTTCCCAAAATGTGTTTTCCTCTCTTTGTAAATTTTCATTGTGTGTTTTCTTCCCTTTTTAAATATTTCTTTCAATGTTTGCTTCATATACTTAAAAAGCACACACGTCATTATTCCTTCTGTGTTTGCCAAAGAATTAGATGCTATGGCAACTGCATCCAGAAAATGATTATTGAAAATAATTAAGGCTTAAGCATGGACACAAATTATATCCAGGTAATAAACTCAAAAGGGAAAACGAGAGGCTAATGATGAAGGCAAGTGCTTTTGCTCCAAAATGAGTTCATGGTAGGCCTGTGAAGGTTTTTATATCTTGGAAACACTGCCTGCACAGTTTCTCCTCCTCTGCTACCATGGCTTCCACACTGAACTCATCTGGATGCTTTATGTTAACACACTATCAGAATGCTTTCTCCCAAGTCATTAGCGGCACCTCTGACTTCCTCCCTGCTCTGCCTGGACATGCCAACTTTTCCAATCCTTTCCTTCAACTAGTTCAGACAGAAGAAAAAAAAAAATACTGTATTTGACCTTAAAGCGGATCACTTGAATTTCAGTGCAATTAAAACCAGTCAAAATGTAAACCCCACAGTGAGCTAGTATTAGAAAGGCTAAGAGACACTTAGGCAGCCCTGGCATGCGAAGAGATAATGCCCATTTGAGAATAATGATAAAGCGGCTGCAGATGTTCAGTCAATTAGATTGCCTGATTAGCTCAACATTCCACTGCATCATGCAACTCAATAACAGATCGTCCCACTGTTCCTTTTCTGGAGGAATGGCTTTAAACAGCATTCCCACCACAGCTGCTGGGTTCCATCTATTGGTTTCTATACATTCCGCCACTCAACCCACATATTCCTAGTGCTTCTTTCGGTTGCCAAGTCGCAGATGTTTCTGCTTTCTCATTTCTCCTCTTCAGAATACCTTTTTCACTTGAAACCCAGTAAGCCCAAAGTGGGGGAAAATGCTACATTAGCTCTTCGCATTGTGGAAGCTAAAACACAGACAAAAAAGCTTACATCTACAAGTGCCAAATTCCAGAATGTTTATTATGAATTAATAATGGCATACGTGGTAGGATCCACAAATGCAAACATGTTAACAGTTTTTTCATTCCATTATTATTATTAATATGTAATAATTTACAGTTACCCTAACATTCCTTTTACTGGTCGAGTGGGCTTTAGCATTCTATCTAGACAGCCAGTAAGTTCTTACAAATAAGAACTGTCCCCAAGTTCTGAGGCAGAATACCCTGGAACAAAACTCCAATTGCCAGAAACCTGTTTTCCTAGGCTCCCTTGCAGCTATGGTATAGCACATGACCTAGGCTCTGAAAAGGAAATGCACCTACCCCAGATTTTGAATGGGAAGCTTATGGCACAAAGACACACAGACTGACAGAATTCATTTTAGTGCAGTGGCACAGTTGTGGTGGTACTATCTATTCACCACACCATTTCCTGAGACACTTCGTTTTCATGACAGTCTAATTCCAGGGCTTAACACAGAGCCCGTTCTCATTGTGTGTTTTCTGAATAAACCCTGAATTAACTCTATCTCCCATCCAATTTTTAGAGCCTGGGAATATTAGCCAATATTCACATTGCTCTTGGGCTATTTGTTTATCTATTCATTCATTCAACAAAGATTTACTGGGTCTGCACCAAGCCAGGAGCTGCAATAAGCCCAATGGATAGGAGCGGTCCCTGCTCGCTGATGATGTTCATATTATAAAGAAGTCAGTCAATAAAAAATGCGATGAAATATTGTTAGCCAAGTGACAAGGGAGATACTCTGGTGTGTACAATGCTTATGCTATGGAGGAGATCAAGGATGGAGTCCCATCCCAGCAAGGTGATATCCAAGCTGAAATAAGAAACAATGAGCAGGTCAAACAAAAGGAGACAGAAGAGTGGGGATCCCAGGCCAAGGGAACAGTTAATGGTAAGGCCAGGAAGCAGAAGAGGTGGAGGAGGTTTGGACCAAGGATGGGAGTGGCTGCTGACACCTACAGGATATGGTACAGAATGATGAGTGATGAGAGAGGAGATCAGGGCTAGAATATAAGCCTTTTCAATTGGTAAATTCCAAAAACAAGAGAAGCTGTTGGAATGTTTTCAGCAAGAAAGTGGCCTCATGATTAGATATGTGTGTTTGCTGCCCCAGGGAGAAGGTACTGGAGAAGGGCAAAGGCAGGAGACCAGTTACAGAGCTGTTTCAATAAGCCATTCATTCCACCAACACTTATGAAGGATCTAGTAGGCACAAGGTCCTGTACGGGTACTGGAAATAGAATAGAGAGCAAAAAGAATATAAAAGGACAGCAGAAGTTTCCAGTTCTAGTACCTGGATCTTAGGTTGGTCCTGATATTCATGATACAAGCTGTGAGGTTCATGGTGTTCTTAATGTTCTTGGCTGTGTAATCTCTTGGCTTAGCCTCAGATATTTTCTCCTTGATTCATCCAACATCCTTTTAACAGACTCTCTCTCTGCTTAAACAGCCAGAGTCTGTTTCTACTGCTTGCAATTAAGAACTCCAAAGATACCGACATCGTGGAACAATGAAATGTGATGTTAGAGAACAGGCTGGTACTAAGACAGAATATTATTTCTTTCTCTCTACTTAACAACCCAGAGCTATGCTACCAAGTGAGCCATGGATCTAGGTTCCTTCTAACTTGCTCCACCATCCTCCTCTGCAAGGGCAAATCTACCTTCTACCACTTCTACATTTCAACCCAAAAGAAAAGAAAAAGACATGGGTGGAGAACAAGTAGTTTTCCTTTTTGTATTTGTTTCCTATTGCTACTATAACAAGTTATCACACTTACTGGCTTAAAACGCCACAAATGCAATGCCTTAGTGTCCAGGAGGTCAGAAGTCTGAAACTGTCTTCTAGGCAAATTCAAGGTGTCAGTAGAGCCACTCTTCTCCTGTAGGCTCTAAGGGAAAATCTGTTTCCTTGTCTTTTCCAGGTTATAGAGGCTGACCACAGTCCTTGCCTTGTGGCCCCTTCCTCCATTCTCAAAGCACATCATTCCAAGCTCTGCTTCAATCGTCACATCTCCTCTACCACTCTGATCCTCCTGCCTCTCTCTTAGAAGGTCCCTTGTGATCACACTGGGCCCAAATGGGTAATCCATGACACTCTCCCCATCTCAAGATCCCTAAATTAATCACAGATATAAAGTCCATTTTGCCATGGAAGGTAACATATTCATAGGTTCCAGTGATGAAGATGTGGACACATTTCGGGGACCATTATTCAACCTACCCCAGAATGGAACCCAGAAATGAAACCTATTATTTTCACTCACAACCTCCAACGTGACATTAGACACATCCAACTGCAAGGGGGCTTGGAAATTTCAGTCAACCTTGGTGAGCCTGTGCCCTGCCAAAATGTGATGATAATTGTAAAGGGGGAAGGTTGCTGTAATTGAAAGAAAAATAGGAAGAATGAAAACTGGGTATATCCTGATGTATTGACATGGTTTGGCTGTGTCCCCACCCAAATCTCATTTTGACTTGTAGCTCCCACAATTCCCACATGTCATGGGAGGGACTGGTAGGAGGTATTTGAATCATGGGGGCAAGTCTTTTCCATGCTGTTCTTGTGATAGTGAATAAGTCTCATGAGATCTCATGGTTTTATAAAGTGGAGTTCCCCCACACAAGTTCTTTCTTGCCTGCTGCATTTAAGACATGCCTTGCTCTTCTGCTATGATTGTGAGGCCTCCCCAGCCATGTGGAACTATGAGTCAATTAAACTTCTTTCCTTTATAAACTACCCAGGCTCAGGTATGGCTTTATGAGCAGCATGAGAACAGACTAATACAGTTGTCCTGGCAGGAACGGGTACAATTGAGGAGAGTTTAATAGAGGGACTATTCACAACATATGAACAAAGTTAAAGGAAACCAACCTAAGATGGTGATGCAGCCTAAATTTAGCAACAGCTGAGAGCTGTTACCACCCCCAGGCCACCTTCGCTTTGAAGGGAGCAAAGGGAAGGTGTATTCAGTTCTTAGGGCTGCTGTAACAAATTACCACAAACCAGGTGGCTTAAAATAACAGAAATGTATTCTCTCAATGTTATAGAGGAGAGATGCCTAAAATGAGTGTCAGCAGGGCCACACTCCCTCCAAAGGCAATAAGCAGAATCCTTCCTTGCTTCTTCTAGCTTCTAGTGCTTGCTCAGGATTCTGTGCCTCCTTTGGCTTAGGGCATCTTAACTTTAATCCCTGCCTCTGTCTTCACATGGTCCTCTTCCCTGTGTCTCCTCTGGGCTTCACATGTCTCTCTTTTTGTAGAGACACCAGTCATTGGGTGTAGGGCACACCCTAATCCAGTAAACTCATCTTTACTTGGTTACATCTGCAAAGAGTCTATTTCCAAATAAGGTAACAATCACAGGTACAGGGCATTATGACTTATATCTTTTTGAGATACACAATTCAACACACAGCAATAGAGGCTACAAGGTCCTGGAGATAAGAATTCCAGCTCAAGAAAAGCTGTGGCATTCCATACAGGAATGCAGACAAGTTATGGCAATCCTACATGAAAGAAGGTGATGGAACAAATACCCTCAGTGCACTCTCCTCCCACCTTCTGATGTCCTGCTTTCCACTGGCTGAATCCAATTAGAATTTCAGGAGATATGGCCAGAGATGCCATTATAGCAGTCCATAGAAGTCAGCCTCTTGGGGCACAGAGCAGGCTGGAGAGCGTAGCAGATACGACAGCACAAGCACAGTCTGTACAAGGGGCCACATAATGCGTCTACCACAGGAGCCTTATAAGCACAATGTGGCTTCTTCTTTTTTTTAATTTATTTGAGACAGGGTTTTACTCTGTTGTCCAGGCTGGAGTACAGACACAATCACAGTTCACTGCAGCCTTGACTTCCCAGGCTCAAGTGATCCTCCCAACTGTGCCTCCTGAGTGGCTGGGACTACAGGTGCATGCCGCTATACTCAACAAATTTTTAATTTTTTTTTTTTTTTTTTTTTTTTTTGTAGAGAGGGGGTCTTACTATGTTGTCCAGGCTTGTTTTGAACTCCTGGGCGCAAGTGATCCTCCCACCTTGGGCTCCCAAAGTGTTGGGATTATTAACATGAGCTATCATGCCTGGCCTAGCATGACTTCTGAATCTCTGATAGATGACTATGAAATAGCTGAAATTATTTCAACACGTTTGAGTTCCTGCTGTGTGATACATACCACTTTAAGCACTAGAGTGACTACATAACCTAAAATCTGATACCTACAGATTTGCTACTAGGGAGCAGGGGGCACTTGCATATCCTCCAAGAAGGGACCTTTTTGAATCTTGAGAAGACAAAGAGTGGATCATTTCCTCTGCTGACAGTCGATGATGCTTCTGGGTACCTGTTTTCAAGATGCTCAGAATAGCATGGAGGAGATACACAGTTAAACAAAAACAATTTGAGGGGAGTTTTAAGAGTATGTGAAAGCGCTAGGAGAATACAAATGAGGAAGCAATTAGCTAGATTCAATACACTGTTGGTTATAATTTACTAGATTCCGCCTCCTTGAAAACTTGGTAATCTATGAAAACTAAATGGGGAAAATGTGCGTTAGCAAGATTTTAACAATTCCCAGTCATTCTCTGTAAACTGGGAGTTACTAATTGAGGCCCTCTGGGTGACTGTTCCCAAGAACATTCCCAAAGGCAGCCCCCACTTTTTCTAAACCAAAATAGAAAGAAATTTCTAAGCATTTTAGAAGTCATCAACAGCAACTTTCTATTTTTGAAAAACAGATTCCCAGTGGGTCCAATTCTCACGCCTATGATAACTTAAAAAAAAATTAAATGACATTTAAATAGGAATTACTTAATGATTTAATGAAGGAAAACAGGAATATTCTCACCTGTATTAAAGGAAGCTTAATGCTGCCGCTAAGTATGCCTATGATCTTTGCAGCCATATGTATGCACATGAATGTCAGCACATGTATATGTGTTTGGGGAAAACATTTTCTCTCACTAGTTCGTCCAAGTGGACAAAATTCTTTAACTTAATATGGCACCTCCTTATTGCCCTGCTCCATAGGATATGGGGAGACATAATTGCTGGTATATCTGGAAACAGTAAACTGAACAAACTCAGCCTACTCCATGCTTCTCTCTCCCTGGCTCCAAGCTTGCTCTGCAGCTGTTCTGAAGCAGGTCCTGGGATGACAACCTAATGATGCTTCTGGGTACCAGTTTTCAAGATGCTCAGAGTAACACGGAGGAGACATAAAGCTAAACAAGGCCTACCTCAACCCATCTCTGCCTATAAGTGGTAGATGTAACTACTAAATTCTGGACGTCAGCCTTACAACAAGCCCACTTAGCCAACAAAACTAAAGTTCTGTTCTCCAACCTGGCTTCTACCAGTAATACATAGGTGATAAAGGCTTCCACAGCCTCTTCTTTGTTTTATTTCTCATTGTATTATAGAATGTGAGCGGGCAAAGGGCTTCTGTTTCTTGGGGGCTCTCTCGAAGGCCTCAGCCATTGGTGAGTTGTCTTGGAGTACTATGAAATACACAAAATGTCTAAGTTGGTGAAACAAATGTGCTTTTCTGACACGACCTGTGGCTTTGGGTCTTGGACTTTAATGTGTGGGCAAAGGAGATGAACCTTGATGGGTGGATAAAGCTTACAGCCCATGAGGTCAGAAGAATTTAAGAGCAGTGCTCTGGGAGGGAGGCTTTAAGCCCGGAGCCATATGGTACCTTGAACTTGGCAGATTAAGCAGATACTCCTGATATTCCACCAAGATCCATTTTAGAGCATCTGTATGCCTAGCTCCCATTTTCTGTCTGCTCTGCCTCTAAAGACTCATATCTGTTACCTGTGACTTCTTGTACAGGCCTGCCCTCATATTACCAGAACTGTCTCACCTTCACAAGCATTAAACTGAAAATGCCTGGGAATTACACCTCTTGGAGTGACCCAAAGCCGATGGCTGATTGGTGTGGGAGGATGAAAGCCAGCTCCCTTACCACAGAATGGAACAAACTATGGGGTGTAATCTACACTCCAGAGATCCCTGAAGCTGTATCTCTCTTGCTATTGAGCATTTTCAGCTCTGTGCCTCAGCAGCTGTTCTTACTGTCTCGCGTTATAAAACTGCCCAAGCCCAGTGTCTCCCAGGGAACGTTTCTCTTGGGAGAGAAAGCTCACTCTCAACTCAGCACTTCAGTGAGTGAAAATGAAGAGAGATACACTGAATAATAAAGAAAAGTATCTTAAATAAGATCTTGATAAGGACCACCATCATTGCAGATTTTTCTTAAGCTTTGTGTACTGATTTTCTATTGCTGCATAACAAATAACCATGAACTTAGTGGTTTAAACAGCACACTATTTTCACACGGTTTGCATGAGTCAAGGGTCTGAGCACATTTTAGCTGTGTCCTCTGCTCGGGCTCTCAGGTGACTGACATCAAGGTGTCATCTGGGGCTGAGATCTCCCCTGAGGCTTGAGGCCCTTCACCAAGCTGACTCAGGTTGTTGGCAGAATTTAATTCCTTGAAGTTGTAGGACTAGGGTCCTCATTATCTTGCTGGTGGTTGGGTTGGACAAAGGCCAATCTTACTACCATAGGATGCACTTGGGAGTGTCTCCTTAGGTGGTTCACAACAGGGATGTTTGCTTTTTTCTAGGCCAGAGGAAGCTCTTATGCATAACCCCCACAGCCGGCTTCTGCAAGCAGCCTGAGAAAAACCTCTGCTTTAGAGGGTTCGTCCAACAAGGGTGGGCTTGCCTGGACATCTCTCTTTTGCCATATAAAGTAATAACATCATAGGATGTGATATCATGGAGTATCATGGAGTTCTACCCATACCCAAGTAGGTACTACAAGACATGTATATGGAGGGGGAGGAGGGGAATCCTGGGGGCCATCTTAGAATCCAGCCTACCATACTTGCAAAGTAGCAGTAGTGCCTGAAATGCCATTTTCTGAGTTAGGAAACAGTACACAAAAGCGGATTTTCTACCAGGTATGGCAAATTTATAGTATTAACCTCTTACTACAGAGAGTATTCTGTTCATGTAGAGAATTCTGCAAAGAAAGTTGAAATCAAGAAACTCTCTTGATTTCTCTCAACCCTCGTTGGTCTTAGAGAACTGGCTCTCTCGCAACATTAAATGCGGGAAAAAAAAATCACAAAAGAAGAAAAAAAAAGAGTGTCTTCTAAGGACAAAAAAAAAAAAAATGATCCTACCTGGGATGACTGGCAGTGCCCTAGAGAATACAGACTGGCAATTTTTTGAATAAAACTGATTATGTTACAGTGTGGCCAATGCTATGTAAAATTTTTATGTATCATATTAACTCTTTGGCTCTTTAAAAACTAAGGATATGAGAGTCTTGGTCTCAATTTCTGAGGTCTTCCTCCCTCAGCCGGCAGCTGCTGAAGAATCACCAATTCTCTGACGTATCACTTAGAGTAAATTGGAGAGATGGATGTGGGCTTCTATTTTTACATAATAATTTCGAACTTGTAACTGAAAGACGAGGAATTTGACTGTAGAATTTAATTCATTTGAACATGAAATGTGTTTGGTATTCAACTCCTAAGGGGATTTAATCTGTAGACTTCACTTTTTCCTTGGAAATATGATAATGAAAAGTTAATTCACGTTTGAAGTAGAAGCATCTGTAAGATAATAAAAGTATAATACAATAGAATAGAACCACCACAGTGCATTTGCAAAGATAAGTGCTTTTCCGTGAAACAATAATTTCTCCATTACATATATCTGTATATTTGTACTTGTTTATGATATAGAATGCAATTCTTCCCCTAGGTTGCAGTACAAGTAGTTTGAGAGCCATTTAATACATATGAAGTGTTGAATATCATTTCTGCACATCATAAGCATCACCGTACTGCAGATAGTGTTCTAGCAGCAGCGGCATCCACAGCAGCAGCTCTCCACTTGAGTTAGACATTGACTCAGCTGGGGAGCATTAAATCACCAGGGGATGCTGCCTTCTAACCTGCAGGATTCTCATGGGATTGGCCTGGGATGCAGCCTGGGCATTGGGCTTACATGAAGGAGATTAGCTTAGCGGTACAGACCTAAGAATTGGATCCCATCTCTACCCCTCATTGATTGTGGAACCCTGGATACGCTACCTCTCATGACTTCAGCTCCCTCATCTGTAACATGAGAATTCTTCCATTGCCTGCTTTTATGGGGTGATTAGGGCTAAATTGCACAATATATGGAAAGCACTTAGCAAAGTTCTTGTGGTATATGTTCACAAAGTGGTAGTTATTATTCAGAAATAATAAAAACTACTACAACAGGAAACTTGAACTCACATATTTATTGGTGCTTTTTGTCAAAAGAATCCTGCCATTTATTTAGATTACATATATTAGAAACCATCATTTTATACTTAGAAACTGGGAAGCAAAACTTATAGAACTTGGGATCGCTCACTAATATCAGTTATGAATACTTTATTAAAAATGTTTTATCACTTTTCTTGTCCAACTACTGGTTACCTAAGTTTGTCTTCGCTCTTTCTGGCCTTGCAGTCTTTTGCAGCTATTCTCACCTACCAGTCAGGGTATCATATGAAATATCTCATTGGTGGCTTTGGGTCACATAATGACCTCTGTCTTAACTACTCCTAACCTGCCCTCCACCTGCCACTGGCTCCAAGCCTTTGCAACTCTTCTCATCAACTGTTTTTCCAGGTCAAGTAAGTTAAAAGAAAATACTTTATCATTTTTCACCCATCAAATTAGCAAACATTTAAAAATCTGATAATATCAAACACTGGTGGGAAGTAAGCCAGTAAGTTCTCTTCTGTACTACTAGAGGAAGTGAAATTAGTACTACAACTTTGGAAGGCAATTTGAAATGAGCAAAACTTAAAATGCACTTATTCTTGTACAATACACTTCCTGATTAACCAGCAATTGCACTTCCAAATATCTAATGTCAAAGAAACCTTCCACATTTGAAGAAGGAGGCACAGCCCATGATACTCCCTGCAGCCCTGCCTGTAATATCAAAACTATGGGATCAACATAAATGTTTATACAAAGAAGAACAGCTAATGAAACTATGATAGACTCCACCAAGAAATACTATGCAGAAATTAAAAGGGAAGAGTTCGATCTATTTATAACAAAATATAATGTTAAAAGAAAAAAGGAAAACGCAAAATGGTATACAATATTGTTCATGTAAAACACATATACAATACTTAACATGTTCTGTGCATATGTGTGTAAAAAGGGCACCAAACACACTAATTAAACTCTTAAATTTGATTTTCTCTGTAACAGCCAGGAAAGCCTACCTGTAACTTTTGGATTTTATTAAATAACATATTAATTACTTGCATAATTAAATACTTGCTTATAAAATTCCACTTTCTAAAAGCAGAAAAAAGACCTCTGTTTTGCTCTTCCCCTGATGGCAGAGAATCTAATGATGGGTGAGAACTTATGAGAAGCCAGGGGAAGCCCAGGACAAGAGGTAACTGCCTGTATTGAAGGATGCACGTTATCTAGAAAACTAGGAGGGTCTAAGACTTCATCTGCTGTTCATGGAGGTATACATGGCTGCCCGGGCAGTGCCATCTTTAAAACACCACATTGAAATGTACTTAGACCAGGGTGGGGAGTGTGGATGTTCATGGCCTCAGCTCCATTACCAGGGCATTTGAGGCAAGCCTCGGAGAGTAGATTCCCACAAGGCACGTGACTCCCTGCCTAAATGCCTGCAGCCCAGAGCTGCATGCTCAGACCCATGAAGGGGACCCACAGGAATCTAGTGAATTGGGAAAGACCTAGTCAACATGAATGTATTAATATCCTCTAGGCCTAAATGATCTAGGACACCCCAGGCCTCAGAGAAAGGGGTGGGAAGGACTGGCAAAGCAGACAGTGTCCGAGGGTGCACAATTGAAGAGTGCTTTCTTTTTTTTTTTTTAGCCTGTCCCATCCCCCACTCCCATCCCATGCCAATCTCAAAGAAAATTATAAAAGTCTTAGAAGAAAACATAGGTATAAATCTTTGTGACTTTGAATTAGGAAATGGTTTCTCAGATATGATACCCATATGAGCATGTGTGGACTTCATCAAACTTAAAAACTTTTGTGTTGCAAAGGACACCATCAAGAAAGTTGAAAAGACAACTCAGAGAATGGGACAAAATATTTGTAAACCAAGTATCTGTTAAGGGTTTGGTACTCAGAATACATAAAGAATTCTTATATTGCAACAATAAAAAGACAAATAACCCAAAATTAAAATGGGAAAAGGATTTGAATAGACATTTCTCCAAGGAAGATACACAAATGGCCATGAAAAGATGTTTAACATCATTGGTCATTAGGGAAATGCAAATCAAAACTAAAATGAGAAGCTACTCCACACTCACAGTGATAGCCGTAATTAAAAAAAAAAAAAGAGGAAAATAACAAGTTGGTAAGAAGGCGGAGAAATTGGAACACTCCAATATTGCTCATGGAAATGTAAAATATAAAATGGTGCAAACTCTCTGGAAAACAGGCTGGCCATTTTCCAAAAAGTTAAACCTAGAGTTACTATGTGACCAAGCAGTCCTACTCATATTCGTATACCCAAGAAAACTGAAAATACATATTTACAAAAAAAGTACACAAATATTGAGAGCAGCATTGTTCATAATAGGCAAAAAGTGGAAACAACCCAAATGTCAATCAACTGATGAATGGATAAACAAGATATGTTATATGAATAAAATGGAATATTATTCAGCCATAAAAAGGAATAAACTATTGATACATGCTATGACATGGATGAACCTTGAAAACATTATGCTCAGTGAGGAACCACAAAAGGCCACGTATTTTATGATTCTATTTTTATGAAACTTCCAAAATAGGACAATCCATAAAAACAGAAGGTAGATTAGTACTTAGAAGAAGGCAGGGGGAGAAGAGACTGGGGAGTGATTGCTAATGGGTATGGGTTTCTTTTAGAGTGATGAACATGTTCTAGAATTAGATAGTGGTGATGGTTGTCACAATCTGGTGAATATACTAAAACCCACAGAATTGTGCACTTTAAAATGGTGACTCGTAGGGTATACTGGCTTAGAACATTTTATCAAAACTGAAATCTAACTTCTAAGATCCCTGCTTTATGTTTCATTAAATTAAACCACGTTTAGGTTTAGTTTAATAAAACACAAAGCCATCTAGGTTTGCTCTCAATGGTAAAGCATGAACCATGGAAGCACTACCCATGGAAGTCATGCTGTTTTTCTCTTGTAAACTGTTTTTCCCAGTGCTACACATATAACTTCAATCATTCCACTTGCAATAATCACCTTTGGAACCATGTTACCAAACTGGGTTAACTTCAAGTTGCATTTTGGAAAATTATTGGAAAAATCAAAGGTTATAGCTTCTGCCACACATTTCCTGAAAAATCTACATTACCTCTATATACTTAGTCTTATCACTGAAAATGATAAAATGGCTGGTGAGAAAGTGAAGATGGGATGTTAGAGAGAGGACTGCTCACTGTGAGAGAAAGGAAAGCAAATGCTTTTCCCAGAAGCATTTTCTTTTTTTTTTTTTCTGGAGACAGGGTCTTGCTCTGTCACTGAGGCTGGAGTACAGTGGTACAATTATGGCTCACTGTAGCCTGGACCTCCCAGACTCAAGCAATCCTCCCACCTTACCCTCCAAAGTAGCTGGGACAACAAGCATGTGCCACCCTGCCTCATTTATTTCTTTTTATTTTTGTAGAGACAGGGTTTCACTATGTTGCCCAAGCTGGTCTTGAACTCCTGGGCTCAAGCAATCCTCTCACCTCAGTCTCCCAAAGTACTAGGATTACAGGCATGAGACACCACCCAGAAGTGTTTTCTATCTATTAAAGATGAGTGATTAGATTAATATTTTTTTTGAGATGAAATCTCGCTCTGTCACCCAGGCTGGAGTGCACTGGCGTGATCTCGGCTCACTGCAACCTCTGCCTCCCAGGTTCAAGCGATTCTCCTGCCTCAGCCTCCTGAGTAGCTGGGATTACAGACGGGTGCCATCATGCCTGACTAATTTTTATATTTTTAGTGGAGACAGGGTTTCACCATGTTGGCCAGACTGGTCTTGAACTCCTAATTTCGTGATCTGCCCACCTCAGCCTCCCAAAGTGCTGGGATTACAGGTGTGAGCCACCGCACCGAGCTGATTAGATAATTTTTGAGATATTCAACTGTGATTCATTTCCTCTTCAGTCTCTCCCAACACACACACACACACACACACACACACACACACACAGTTCAAACTACACACCCAGGGCTTTTATAGTCCTTTGATTTAGGGGGAGGATATTTGGGGGAAGACATCAACTCCTGCTCCCCTTTTCCCTCATCTCTTTCATTTTTCATAGTGGCTGTCTTAAACCATGTGAAATTGTTCTAAGAGGCTTCTCAGCCCAGTGATTTACTATGAAGATACTAACTGTCCAAGCCCACGTGGTTCCTTGGAATCTAGTGCCTCTACTGTTTGAAAGACAAGCCCAGGTGGGTAAAGTTTTCAGAGATATGCCCAGGTGGGTAAAGGATGGCCGACCTGGAACCCAGTGTCCAGCTTCCCTAGCTCCACCACAAGTACTTCCTACACTAACCAACCCCTCCCCTAAGTCTCTTCAGAAGAGTCTGCCTCCTGTGGAGTGTTGGGCCCTAGGCGTCTGCTCCTTCCAACATTCCAGCCCTCTGCCTCCTAATGTGAAGACCCCTTCTCCCGCCTCTTTTGGCCTCATTCCCCTCCTTCCTTGTCTCTTTCCTCTCTTCCATTTTCCTTCCTTCAAATCTACAGTTGCAAACTTTTCCTGGGAGGTATTACAAAGGAATACATTAGGAACATCACACAGATTCATTTCTTCAAAAATTATTTTGCCATACATATATGTGAAAACAACACAGTCCCCTGAACTTGAGCGTATCAAATAAACTTCCAGTGTTCCCATCTCCATAGCCTCTTCCTTCCCACTTAAGAATAAAAATATTCAATGTTACAGATAATATGTCAAGTAAAAATGGAACAACAGAAATTCATTCCCAAAACTAGACTAGAGTACACACAATTTCTTGAGCAGAGAAAAAAAAATAATTCTTAACCTGGACACAAGCAAGGAAGAAAAAATTTCATAAATCAATAAGACTTGAAATTACATTAATCATTTATATGTAAACTAGAAAAGAGGTTCTTTTTATGTAGCTGAGGTAAAAATCAGAGTGATCACACTTATTCTATTAAAAGTACCCTTAAATTTTTTCTATTATTTGGAAAGTTTTCTGTATTGTTCAGATTGTAATTTTAAATTTATGGTAGGTAAAAGAAAAGAAAAAAATCTCCTGACCTGTAATGATTTTTTTTTCTATTTAGAAATGTAGGAAGTATTCCTTCCTACATACTGTTTTTTTACTAGTGCATGTTTTTCTAAAAATAAATTCAAATAAAGCCTTAAATCGTACTTCCCTACTGGAAACATACAATATTTATATTCTGGGCTTAAACTCCCACTTAAAAGCTTATTTTACTACTTCTCAGGTAAATCAACAGTGTCTGTCGAATCTTAGTGAGCAACCTTGGCCTTCTAAGGAGAGGCAGCAGTGACTTGGTAAGCAGTCTTCTTACCATACTTGAGGGTGATGTAGATAAACACTTCTCAGAGTTTACCCTTCCCAGGCTTCATTCAAAAAGGAAAACAAAACACATACCTCTCCCTAGAGAAGATACAGTTACTACACCCAAGACACAAAGTCAAGTCATCACGACCTAAATTTAGGAAAAATGCCATTCAGGGAGCCATGCCAAAGATGTTTTAGATGAATGGACAAACTAATATCAAATGAGTATCAAATGCTTCCATGCACTACAAAAATGAAGAGATATTTCACTAAAACAGGTCGTTAATCCAAGTGATATCAGCAGTTTCTTTCTTGGAAGTATGATTTCTAACTGCTAAAACTTCCCAAGTGATTGCATTAAAATATATCTTGGTTCATTCCACAATTGGCTACCCAGCATTACTTATTCTATTATACTTTCTCAAGAGTGGGGGGGAAAAAGAATTAGAGTACGTGTATGTTACTGAAATGACCTCAAACCCAAATAGCATAGTTCTCTCTCATTTAACCAATGCATATTTCATTTTTACTACCTCACAAGATCTCAAGTTATTCTAAATTATTCATGATCACTCCTTCTCGGTAACATCCATATGTTCTCATTCACCCAAAACAGAAAGCCATATCCGTTCTTGATTAGTAGCATTTGCAACCTATTGCCTTTTTTTTAAGTGAAAGAAGGTTGACTATCTCAAAAAATAATCATGATAATATGGGTAAAAGTTAAGGTCTTGGGTCACATACTAACATTAATTTTAGCCAAAAGTTTTATCTTGAACTAATGATAGATGTTACTGACAGAAATCCATGATTAGATATTTTAATATTAATTACATTACTGAAACATATGCAATTTGCAGAATCTTGAAACATGCCTGGCACAAGGCAAGCATTCCATATGTATTTGTTAAATGAACAAATGAATGCTAACTCACTGATGAAAGTTGCATTTTAAATGTAAAAAGGAGATATATTTATTTCAAATGTTCTGTACTTTTATTGAAATAAATTTCTAATAAACCCCTGCCAATTTGCAAATTAAACACTGAAAATATCAACCTCCTTACAAGGTCAAGTTGACGCTATTTAATATTTATTAACTCCTTATTTAAGAAAGCATGAATGACTACATATTTGAAATCCACATTTTTGCTCAGTAAGTTATTAGCAGAGGTAAGACAATTAAATAACCCCTCAACCAGACTCTGGTTATAAGATGTTTTTTTAAGCTGAAACTATACCAATACTACTGGAAAAAAATACATTAATAAAATAAAATCTGGCAACTTATTGCTAAATGGCACAGTCCAATGTTTCTCCACTGTTGGAAACTGATGTAAAAAATTTAAAGTAACAAACAATTTAAGGAGATTCTTGTGCAATGCATCACTTTTCTTAATAAGTTAAGGTGAAATAAGATTCTGTGAACTACTTCTAGGTCAGCTAGAGTTAAATGAGAGGACTTTTCTTACATACAATGAAATATAGACATCTGTTCTCTACAAGTCCATTTTGCAAGTTCATTTACAAGAATATTATTAACCCTCAGACTATCCCATCATAAAGTTAGGTATCATTCAGAACTTATAGTGGGCTAAAGAGGCAAGGTACAGAAAGGCTAAGTGATATAAAGGGTCTCATAACTTTCTGCATTTCCATGTCTCCTGGAAAGGGTAAAAATTCACAAAATTTTAATCTCTAGTTGCAAAAGTCTTAAAAGCTTTACTAGCCTTGATTTTCAAACCCTGTGAATTCGTCCCTTCCTCAAAAGGACTCTAGTGATGTAATACATCACTTTCATTAGTGAATTAATATGAACTCACGTTCCCTGAAATACTGCAAGGCAGGATAAAATTAAATGACACATTCATTGGTCTATGTATAAATACCAATACATGATATGTACACTCAAACATATCAATAACTGCATTAAATGTGAAGAGAATATCTGCTGCAATTAAAAGGCAAAGACTATCAGGGTGAAAACAAAGAAGCAACTATATGCTCTTTACAGAAATATACTTTAAATATGGGTGACAGATGTCTTGAAAAAAAAGAGGTTGAAAAAATTTCCATGTAAACAATCAGCATAAGAAAGCTAGTATTTCGTGCCAATATCAGACAAAGTAGACTTCAAGGCAAACAATACAAAAACTAAAAGTCCTTTCCATAATGATAAAAAAAATCATGTCATTATGGAGGAGATAACGATTTTGAATGTGTAGGCACCTAACAACAATGCTTCAAAATACAGCATGCACAAATTGACAGATCTAAAGAGAAAAATTGAAAATCCACAATAATAGTTGAAGACTTTAAAAGCACTCTTTCAGTTATGAATACAACAAGCAGATCCCACCCCCCTCAAAAAAAAAAAAAGACAGTAGAGACAGAAAAGGCTTGAAAAACAGAATCAACCAGTGTTCCTAACAGGCATTTATGGAATACCAACCCAACACCACTAGAGCATATGGTCTTTTCAAATGCATGTAGAACATTCACCAAGACAGATCATGTTTTGCTCTATAAAACAAGTTTCAAAAACATCACCCAATTGAAATAATAAATAGTATGTTATGTGACAACAAATGCATTAAATTAGAAATAACAAAGGGTAAACTGATCCACAGATATTAGAGAACTAAACAACATACTTCTAAATAACCCAAGGGTTAAATTGGAAATTAAAGATAAAATAGAAAATATTTTAAAATCAATAAAAATGAAAACACAACATATAAAAATTGTATTTGCAGTGGAAGCGTTGTTAAAAAGAAGTTTATAGTTTAAACTCTTAATAGAAAAGAAGAGAGGTTTCTAAATCAACAATCGGAGCTCTCGCTTTAGGAACAAAAGAAGAGGAACAAATGAAACTTAAAATATATGTAACAAACAAAACATTTTAAAAGGACAAATAATAGAGAAAATCAACAATGTAAAATACTGTTTCTTTGAATATATATATAAGTAGAATTGATAAGTCATTACCAATACTGCTGAAAGGGAAAGGAACAGAGAGGGAGAATGCAAAATCCAAGTGCAGGATGAAAAGGGCAACATCACAACAGATGCTACAAACATTAGATGACAATAAGAGCAGACAATAATTATACATTATCGGTATAAACCAATAAATTCACGACATTTGATATAAAGAACAAATTACTTCAAAGACACAATTATCACAGTTGATGCTAGGTAAAGTAGAACATCAAAATAAATTTTATCTATTAAAGAAATTAAACTTGGAATCCAAACCCTTCCCATAAAGAGTGCTTCAGGCCAGAGACCTTAGTCGTGAATTCCAACATTAAGAAAATATCAATCTTACAAAATCTCGTTCAAAACATAGAGGAAGAAGGAACACTTCTTAACTCATTCTATGAGACTGGCATTATCATGATACCAAAAAGCTAACAAATATTACACGGAGAGAAAATTACACAACAATATTTTTTCAAGAAAAAATTTTTAAGTCCCTTGAAGTCCTAAAAAATACAAAATTCCTTAAAAATATTACCAAATCAAACACATTCGTATATTTTAAAAACGCAGTTGTCCCAGAATACAAAATTGGTTTAATACTCAAAATACCAATCAGTGTAAAATGCCACATTAACAAAACGTAACTATCTCAATAGATTAAGAAAGTGATTAAGACAAAAGTAATCACCTTTATGATAAAAATTACCAGCCAAGTAGAAATAGAAATGAACTGCTTCAATATGATAAAGAGTATTAACAAAAAACCTACAACTAACATCATACTAGTGGTGCCAACATGGCTTACTGCAGCCTGGACGTCAACCTCCTGGGCTCAAGTGACCCTCCCACCTCAGCCTCCCATGTAGCTGGGACTACTGACGTGCACCATCACAATCAACTAATTTTTAAATTTTTTGCAGATGGGGTCTTGCCATGTTGCTCACATTGGTCTCAAGAATTCCCAGTCTCAAGGAATCTGCCCACCTCAACCTCCCAAAGTGCTGCTGGGATTACAGGCGTGAGCCACCATGCTCAGCATGACTTCATTCTTAATGGGGAAAATCAAGCACTTGTGCTCTACCATCAGGAAGAAGGTAAGGATAACCTTTCTCAATATTTCTACTCACCATTATACTAAAGGTCCTACAAGGAGTAGTAAGTCAAACTAAGAAAATAAAAGGCATTCAGATGGAAAAGAAATGTAAAACTGTCACACATAATGGGACTGTGTATTTAAAAAAAACATAAAATCTATAAAAGAAAAAAACTACTTGAATGATACTGTGAATTAACAATGCTGCAGAATACAATACAATGCCAGTACATTAAAATCATTAGTACTTCTAAATATAATAATGAAAAAATAGAAAATAAATGCTTAAAAACCATACTTGCATTAGCATATAAAAACATCACATAACCAGGAATTAACAGATATGTGCAATACTCCTACACTAAAACCCACAAATATTGCTAAGATAAATTAAAGATAATCTAAATAAATGAAGAGAGATGCTATGTTCATTGAGTGAAAGGTTCATCATTGTTAAGATGTCCATTCTCCCTAAATTGCCTTATAGTTTCAATTCAATTCATTTCGAACTCCCAATAGGTCCTTTGAAGAAAGAGATAAGATGATTCTAAAATGTATGTGGAACTGCCAAGGATCTTGAAGAGCCAAAAGAAATTTGAAAGAAGAACAAATTTGAAAGACTTACACTAACTGATTTCTACCTACGACAATTTAGACAGTGTAGAATTTGCATAAAGATAGACAAATAGAGCAAGAAAAAAGAATAAAGAGTTCAGAAAGAGACCCCACTATTAGGTCTTTTCTTTTTAACCAAGACACCAAGGCAGTGCACGGGGGAAGTCTTGTTAATAAATGTTGCTAGAAAAAAAATGAATACTTACATTTTTAAAATTATCCTCAATCTTTATGTTACTTTACACATAAACATTTATTTGACATAGATCATAGGTCTAAACATAAAACAACAAATCACAAAATATTCTCCAGAAGAATATAATGAGAATATTTTCATGATCACAGAGGGACAAAATGTTAATCTCAAAACTTAAAAAAGGACAAACTAGATTTCTCCCAAATTAAACATTTCTTCTCATAAAAATATCATTTAGGCCAGGCATGGTGGCTCACGCCTGTAATCCCAGCACTTTGGGAGGCAGAGGTGGATGGATCACAAGGTCAGGAGATGGGGAACATCCTGGCTAACACAGTGAAACTCCGTCTCCACTAAAAATACAAAAAATTAGCTGGGTATGGTGGCGGGCGCCTGTAGTCCCAGCTACTTGAGAGGCTGAGGCAGGAGAACGGCATGAACCCGGGAGGCAGAGGCTGCAGTGAGCCAAGATCACGCCACTGCACTCCAGCCCGGGCGACAGAGCGAGACTCCGTCTAAAAAAAAAAAAATCATTTAAAAATTAATAGACAAGCCACACTCTAGGAAAAATATTAGCAGTACACTTTTATGAAGAATATAGGTAAATAAATAATGAAAAGATTAAAAGCCCCATAAAAATAGGCAATACTTCAACAAACACTTCCCAAAAGAAGATCTATACATGATAAATTAGCATATGAAAAGAGGCTTACAGCATCAGCCATGCAAATTAAAACCACAGTAGGATATACTTTCTTCTTTAATAGGATGGCTAAAATAAAAGAGACTGGCAAATGTTAGCAAAGAAAGTAGTAACAGGAATCCCCAACCTTGCTGGTAGGAATGTAAAATGGTGCAACCACTGTGGATACCCATCAAGTGCATGTGTATGCATTTGTGTGTGTGTGTGTGTGTGTGTGTGTGTGTGACCCTACGACACAGAATTTCTACTCTTAAGCATTTACACAAGAGAAAAGAAAACATATCCACCAAATGACCTGAACACAAATGCTTATATAATCCATATTTACAGTTGTCTCATTCGAACCTGTGGGATTTTAATTTACAGAAGTGACTCAATGACAATATGGAGAGGCTGACACCATGCCACACAGGGCTACATGGAGACACACCAGAGTTGGTCAGTATCCAGAAGCAGAAGGCAGGGCTAGAAAAATAGTTTAGAATGGGCTATTTCGAGTAATTCTAACAGGCTCTGGGGCATAGCGGCTGTCAGTAGTTGTTTGGTACCTGGACTAGAGTGATTCAGGGCAGGGGAAATCCTGGTTTGGTGTGTGAGAGTTAGGTGAAGGATGTGGTTCAGAGTGTGACCTCTGGATCGCAGGTTAGATGCCAAATAAAGAAACACACAAGCTAAGTAAACATAAGTCAAACAATAATAACTCGAGTCTGAAATGAAACAAATGTCCATGAGCAAATGAAGGAATAAACGATTTATGATCTATCCCTAAAATGGAAAAGTTCTTAGTAATTATGAAAAAAAAAACCAGTGATACATGCAACAACACCTAGATAAACCTGAAAAATAGGATGCTCAGCAAAACAGCGAGGCTCTAAAGAATACATACATTATGTTTCCATTTACATGAAGTGTGAGAACAGGCAAAACTCTACTGTAGCAGGATTTAGAAGTGGCTGACTCGGAGGACGTGGGGAACTGGGGAGATAGAATTGACTGGAAATGACCATGAGAGGAATTTCTGGATGAATGCAAGTCTTGTATACCTTTCTATGGGTACCTGTGACTAGCTGGGTATAATCAACTGACAAAATGCATCAAAGTGAAAACAAGATTTGTGCATTAGGTTGTGTATTAATCATACTTTAATTTTCAAAAATGAAAATAATCTATTAGAGAAGATTATACATTTTAAAGACAGAATTGCTGTGGCTATTTTTCCTGCTTGTTTTCCATTTTTCCCCCTCATTTAGGGTGCACTAAGAGACAACAATTAATTGCAGTTGTTCCAAGCATAGGCTTTATATATAGACAGACCTAACTTCTGGCCCTAGCTCTTGTCCCTGGTTCTTATCTTGAAATCTGCATGACTTTTGAACCAAGGAACTAATTCTCTCTGAGTCTCAGCTTTTTCATTTGGACAAATGGAGGGAACAATACTTATTTCTTTCCCACATAAACACTCTAGCAATATCACAATATATTGATAATAGTAATCACAGCAAAGCTAATATTAACGAAAATATTGTTAAAAACTACATCAAATATATCTCTGGGCTAGACAATTACATGTGATTTTTTTATTTGTATTTTCTACAACACAATGAATTTTGCATTTCATTTTTTACAATAAAATATGACACCTTACATAGCTTCATCTTTGATACCTTACATAGTTGTTATAATCCAGATGAGATAATATATAGGAAAACAGCATGTCCATTATAATCTTGTGATATACTTTTGATATTTGTCCCTTCTAAATCTCATATTAAGATTTTATCCCCAATGTAGGAGGTGGGACCTAGTGTGGAGTGTTTAGATTATGGGGATAGGTGCTTTACGAATGGTTTGGTGCCATTCTGAGGGTAACGAGTGAGTTCTTGCTTCCTTCTACTCTCACCATGTGACGTCTGCTCCCCTTTCCCTTGTGTCATGAATGGAAGCTTCCTGAGGTCCTCACCACAAGCAGATGCCAGCACCATGCTTCTTGTACAGTCTGCAGATCCGTGAGCCAAATAAACCTCTTTTCTTTATGTATTACCCAGACTTGGGTATTATATTTCCTTCAAAGCAATGCAAAAACAGACTAAGACATCTTGTTTCACATAAGGTCTGCAATGTACTTTGACGTGTTATATATGTATTATTGCATATGATCCTTACAGCATGCCTATTAAATAGATACTATTATTACTTCCATTTGAGAGTTGAGAAAACTGGGGCTTATAGAAATGTCATGCTCCAAGATGCAAGGTGGAGAAGCAGTACAGCCAGGATTTCGATCTTATCATTAACAACCCTGGCTCTTTCCATCTTCCATCATAATATCCTCAGTAAATTGGCCAATCCCCTCATGATTGCAAGATGGTTATAGATCAGGCATCACATATTTACACAGGATCCAAAGTCCAGAAAGAAGAAAGAAGTCTTTCCCTTTTTGTTCCTTTATAATCTAACCAGTCAGGTAACAAATACAGAGTGTTTCCACCATTTTATAATTCTTTTTGAAAGAAGGTAAGTAGAAAGTGGCATATCTACGTTTAATAAAATACTGTAGCTGACATTTTTACATACATGGAGAGTGATTAGATTTAAGGATTCTGATGGGTTAGTATCCATAAATCACAAAGTGTGGACATGTGCAAATGAAACCAAGCTAGAGTTACTGGGAGAATCACAAATTAAGTTGTAAATTCTGTATTGCATTTACATACGATCGAAACAAAATTGAAGTATGTAATTCATATTATTTTAAATATTAAAGGATAACTATATATAAGCCCAAACTCCATGGATTTTCTGTAAAAGAGCTGAAGGAATCTTGGCAAACTACAGAATTAACCATTTATTGACATTTGTGGGCTTAAATTGCATCAGATTTCTTATTTTGAATTCAAGTTTTAGAGAAGTAAAGTATTACAAGTAAGTGACCATCCTATATAGTATAATGAACTGAATCATATTTCATATTTGTTTGACCCAAAATATCTTATAAAGTAATATCGATCTTTTGTAGGACCAAATACCAAAAAGTTACACGATGACTTGATCACTAAATAGTAAGTATATATACACTTTTAGGCACACTGTAAAATTAAATTCAAGACACTTAACTTGACAAAACATTTATATTCATGATCAAAAATACCAAATGACTGTCTTAAAAACACTCTAATGATTTTTCTATTTCAAATAATAAAGCTAAAAATGTATTTAATGTTGGATAAATATAGACAAAAAATGGATCTATTCATGTCCATTTATGACAGTTTTCTTACTGTCAAAATGAGCTACAGAAGAACAAATGAGAATTGCATTCTTTTATTTCAACTTTCCACAGAGGCACAGTACGAAATTCTTTTCTTGTAACTTCCTTGTTAAAATTACCATGTATCAAGTAGAATACCAACCCACTGGGATAATGGTAAAATTACTGTCTTGGAATTCAGACTTCATTCCTCAAAGATTTTGGAAGTTGTGACAAGCTGCTAGGTGTCTTCAAACTCCAAAGAAAAGCAACATATCCTTATCTTGGCTGGCACAGGACAAGACAGCAAACAAAGTAGGGCAAGTAGCCCCAGGCAATTATTTTTCTACAGAGATTCCAAATCTGAGAAAACCTCTTATGAAAATATTTGTTCCTCTATAGTGATAGGGGAGGTTTCTAACTAAACATGTAATGAATATTTCATCAAAAAAATATAAAGTCATTAATAAAATGAGAGACTGAAGGGAAAATGCTAAAATATACATTGTACCCTATAAACTTCTATACCTGGACTGACTAACAGAAACACTTCCCCTCATTTGTAGAATTAATACGCCTTCTCTGTCTTTTAACCTGCAATACTGATGAAGAATATAATACGCAATTTAAGGCAAAATTTATTAAGAAACTCTATCAAGTGATTGCTTTATAATTTATAGAGCACAAATTTGGACTGGCTGGGTTCAAATCCCTGCTACAGAACTGTCTAGCTTTGAGACATTGGTTTTTAGTTACTTCCCTCTGTGAGCCTCAATTTTCCCATCTAATCAAAGGGGTTAATAGTAATATCTACCTCATGAGTTGGTTACAGCATTCAGTGAATTCATATTCATAAGGCACTTAGAAAGTACCCAATACATACTGTAATAACTACTATTAGTTAGTACACGTTATCTACTAATAACATAATAAATGAATGAATGATTAAAGCCATAACTCAAGCAGGACCCTATCTTGAACACTACCCAGAACATACCAAAAAAACAGACAAAAAGATATTAAATGTCTTTTCTCAAGTAATTCTTAATCTAATTAGGGAACACCGAGGTATCTGTAGTGTTTGCCTGCCTAGCATCTATCCTGCCTTGACTTGACTATGGTGAACTGCCTCTCCCAGCTACTCTTATTTTACATAATTCAGGTGGGACTTGCCCATTTCTCCTTGTCTCTCAAAGATGCAAGGAGAGAAGTACAGTCCAAACCCAGTCAAAAAGAATTAATTTTATTACTTGGTATGTATAGGAAAGTGACCTCTATTTCCATGGAGGGGAAAAAAAGCAATAAAAGCATAAGAGTAATGTAATGTGGGTGGGAGGTGGGGGCAGAAGGAGGCAGGCAGTTAAGGATAGATACAAAGGAAGCCCAATTGAGTTCAACATCAGGGCTTATTTGTTTACAAATGTCATTGTTTTCCTCCTCATTCAGACACTAGATAGAACTATACACCACTTTGAATATAGTCATGTCCATAAGACTGTTTTTGGGCAATGAGATGTGAGGAGAAGTGATTTGTGTCTCTTCTTGGCAGAAACTTGAAAACAACTGCACAACTTATCATGTTCCCTTTTTACGTCATTACAAGACTGGAAGCACACATCAAAATTGTGATTCCATCAACTTGGGTCTCTGTGTAACTACAATGGGCAGATTCCATCTGCCACTTATGGTGGATATGCAGTATGGGAAGAAATAAGCTCTAGATGCATTAAGCTATAGGTGATTTTGAGGACTTAACCTGTTGTACTGATACATGAGCAAAGACAGAAAAAGAGATATACAGGCACAGTTATCCGAAAACCATCGTAAAACTCCAGGACTTCTTAAGGAGATTTTGGGCTGAGACAATGGGGTTTTCTAGATATAGAATCATGTCATCTGCAAACAGGGACAATTTGACTTCCTCTTTTCCTAATTGAATACCCCTTATTTCCTTCTCCTGCCTAATTGCCCTGGCCAGAACTTCCAACACTATGTTGAATAGGAGGCGTGAGAGAGGGCATCCCTGTCTTGTGCCAGTTTTCAAAGGGAATGCTTCCAGCTTTTGCCCATTCAGTATGACATTGGCTGTGGGTTTGTCATAGATAGCTCTTATTATTTTGAGATACGTCCCATCAATACCTAATTTATTGAGAGTTTTTAGCATGAAGGTTGTTGAATTTTGTCAAAGGCCTTTTCTGCATCTATTGAGACAATCATGTGGTTTTTGTCTTTGGTTCTGTTTATATGCTGGATTACATTTATTGATTTGTGTATATTGCATCCCAAGGATGAAGCCCACTTGACCATGGTGGATAAGCTTTTTGATGTGCTGCTGGATTCGGTTTGCCAGTATTTTATTGAGGATTTTTGCATCAATGTTCATCAAAATCTCCTTAAGCTGATAAGCAACTTCAGCAAACTCTCAGGATAAAAATCAATGTACAAAAATCACAAGCATTCTTATACACCAATAACAGACAAACAGAGAGCCAAATCATGAGTGAACTCCCGTTCACAATTGCTTCAAAGAGAATAAAATACCTAGGAATCCAACGTACAAGGGACGTGAAGGACCTCTTCAAGGAGAACTACAAACCACTGCTCAAGGAAATAAAAGAGGATACAAACAAATGGAAGAACATTCCATGCTCATGGGTAGGAAGAATCAATATCATGAAAATGGCCATACTGCCCAAGGTAATTTATAGATTCAATGCCATCCCCATCAAGCTACCAATGACTTTCTTCACAGAATTGGAAAAAACTACTTTAACGTTCCTATGGAACCAAAAAAGAGCCCGCATCACCAAGTCATTCCTAAGCCAAAAGAACAAAGCCGGAGGCATCATGCTACCTGACTTCAAACTATACTACAAGGCTACAGTAACCAAAACAGCATGGTACTGGTACCAAAACAGAGATACAGATCAATGGAACAGAACAGAGCCCTCAGAAATAACGCCGCATGTCTACAACTATCTGATCTTTGACAAATCTGAGAAAAACAAGCAATGGGGAAAGGATTCCCTATTTAATAAATGGTGGTGGGAAAACTGGCTAGCCATATGTAGAAAGCTGAAACTGGATCCCTTCCTTACACCTTATACAAAAACTAATTCAAGATGGATTAAAGACTTAAACGTTAGACCTAAAACCATAAAAACCCTAGAAGAAAACCTAGGCATTACCATTCAGGACATAGGCATGGGCAAGGACTTCATGTCTAAAACACCAAAAGCAATGGCAACAAAAGCCAAAATTGACAAATGGGATCTAATTAAACTAAAGAGCTTCTGCACAGCAAAAGAAACTACCATCAGAGTGAACAGGCAACCTACAAAATGGGAGAAAATTTTTGTGACCTACTCATCTGACAAAGGGCTAATATCCAGAATCTACAATGAACTCAAACCAATTTACAAGAAAAAAACAAACAACCGCATCAAAAAGTGGGCAAAGGATATGAACAGACACTTCTCAAAAGAAGACATTTATGCAGCCAAAAGACACATGAAAAAATGCTCATCATCACTGGCCATCAGAGAAATGCAAATCAAAACCACAATGAGATACCATCTCACACCAGTTAGAATGGCAATCATTAAAAAGTCAGGAAACAACAGGTGCTGGAGAGGATGTGGAGAAATAGGAACACTTTGACACTGTTGGTGGGACTGTAAACTAGTTCAACCATTGTGGAAGTCAGTGTGGCGATTCCTCAGGGATCTAGAACTAGAAATACCATTTGACCCAGCCATCCCATTACTGGGTATATACCCAAAGGACTATAAATCATGCTGCTATAAAGACACATGCACACGTATGTTTATTGCGGCACTATTCACAATAGCAAAGACTTGGAACCAACCCAAATGTCCAACAATGATAGAATGGATTAAGAAAATGTGGCACATATACACCATGGGATACTATGCAGCCATAAAAAATGATGAGTTCATGTCCTTTGTAGGGACATGGATGAAATTGGAAATCATCATTCTCAGTAAACTATCACAAGGACAAAAAACCAAACACCACATGTTCTCACTCATGGATGGGAATTGTACAATGAGAACACATGGACACAGGAAGGGGAACATCACACTCTGGGGAGTGTTGTGGGGTGGGGGGGAGGGGGGAGGGATAGCATTAGGAGATATACCTAATGCTAAATGACGAGTTAATGGGTGCAGCTCACCAGCATGGCACATGTATACATATGTAACTAACCTGCACATTGTGCGCATGTACCCTAAAACTTAAAGTATAATAATAAAAAAAAGTATAATAATAATAAAAAATAAATAAACCAAAAACTCCAGGACCTCACTCCACTCAGTTACATCTATCCTGAACTTTTCAATAAAGAAAGTCAATACATTTGGAAGGGAGTGGAGGATAGAGGCTTGAGCCAATTTGACTTGGGTATCTGACATTTGCAACCAGAAGTATACTTTCCAATTCAGGACAGAACTATATTCATGTGGGAAAAGTAAAGTAAACATATACAACTATAACACAGATGCCCAACTATCACAAGACACTTTTAAGCAGACAATGGACCAAATGGTAAACTTTAAGCACAGATTAGCATTTGAGAAGAAGAACGGGTGGTGAATGAATGTACAACACAGAGACAGGGACGCAGTGCTCAGAGCAACTCTGGGCAGTGCTCAGAGCAACAGCTCTTGGAGCTCCTATCACTTTGGAAAACATATGGGGGCATTTTAGTTGACTCATTGATTGGGGAATATACCAGGGTCTTTAGAGGATACAGGCCATGGGGCTAGATGTCCTGCAATGCAATTGCCATATGGCTTTCAAGTGATGGTCATATGAGAGAAAAACCTACTCATTGTTTTCTGAGCTTACAAATAATTATTTGCATTATCTTAACACATAAAGATGCAACTTTTATGCCAATCAAAGGAAGACTGAATTCATAACATTCAGATGTCACTAAGAGTTGTGCAACATATCAGAAAACACATCAACAGTTGCAACTACACCTTCAATGGGAACCCAGTCAACAACTTGACTCAGTGATATTGGTCTGCTGCTGCAGCCATCACATTCACTGTGATGCTATAAATATATACAAATATACATAACTAGTTATTTTAAATGTCAGATATGAAGAAAAATGACTCAGATATTTAGCTGACTACTATCTTATTTCCCTGAAATCCAAGCTTAATTATTACAAGCAGATGCAAGCATTGGCAACCTCATCTTAGATTCCGGTGTAGTCACGGCTAATCATTTACAGAGTAAAACAACAGATTATATTACAAATTAATGTCCCCGTATTTCTACTTTTATTATACTTAGGGCCTTATGTTGGTTTTTTTGAGGTCATGTGAGTAAGTTTGTTACATATTCTATTTATTTCATGTCCGTACATAAAGGGGATGTTAGAAATTATTAGTAATATCAATGAGGTTTGAAAACCACTGACTCCAAGAAGAGCAACTGAAGGAATAATAATGTTTGTCAAAATGTGGGAAGCCTTGAATGCCAGGTTGGCAGTTTTTTTCTTGTGAGTGTGTTTTATTTATTTATTTTTATTTTTTACATTTCCCTGCAAGAGGCAGGAAGTTATTACAGTTTTGCAGTGGGAAAGTGGTGTGAAGACAGCTGTGTTCTAAGATAATTCATACAGTACTGTGTAGGGTGATCTGGGGAGAGGAGAGACCAGAGAGGCAGCAGCTGTAGTCACTGTAATGCTATAATAAAGGCCTGGAAGCGGGGAAACAGCTGGCAAGATGGAGCTGAGGAAAAATGCAAAGAAGACTCCATCGAGATAAGTGAGTGGCCTGGAGAGGTGAGGAAAGAATCAATGGTAACTCCAAGGTCTCTGGCTTTCCTGACAGGGAAGATGTATGGTCCTGAGACAGAAATAGGAAAGGGTAAGGCAAGAAGCTATGTCTGGGAAAAAGGATGAGTTCAGGTTCAGACATCCTTGAGTTGAAATCAAGAGCGAGACATTCAGATGGAAATAGTGGGCCTTGGTTGGCAATGTGGAACTCAGCCCAAGGAAGACAGGATAGATAATCAGGACACAGAAGCACCAGAGATGTAGAGAGGATGGGCTCCCTATCAGGCAAAAAGAGAGGAAAGAAAATTCAGTCCAGGCTGAGGCTCAGAAAAAATCTACCAGCAAGCAAGGGAAGAAGGCTAAAATATCAACCAGCCAGAGCAGCAGCTGGAGACACATAAAAAATCTCCAAAAGTTCAGTGGTATAAAAGTCAAAGCAGCTAAAGTGGTGGTGAAATCCATGAAGAAATACCACTGAGATCTTAGAAGGAATGAGGACCAGGACTCAACCACAGAACTTGACATTAAGAAACTGCTTGTGATCCTCAGGATTGCCACTTCTGTGGTGGCCAGATCAGAAGGCAGACTGGAAGATGATCAATGAGAGAGGAGAAGAAATGCAGGGGGCAGGAGCAGGGCACCTGTTCTAGAAGCTCAGTGGAGTAAAGGAGTTTAACAGGTCACCATTACTGACTGCAATATAGAGTATGATGAGAAATGTTGATTTATGTAGACAGCAGCTTCAAATCAGACTCAAGAATTGTTAAAAAAAATACGCTTACTCTAAAAATCACTTGGCAAAAAGAAAAACAGAATGAAACACACACACACACACACACATACACACAGTATCCAACGATTCTTACTTAAGAAGTCAAAAAGAGGAACACCAGCACTTTTTCTAGTTCCTCAGACTTCAGAAAGTAGCTGGCCTCTATGGCTTGGCCATGAGAGTGATATGCTGAGTCACTGTTTTCCTGAAGGAAAATGAGAATAAAGTGAAAAATCTTGATAGAAATTTCCTTCACAGTAAATGTGGGTCACATCTAACCCACATCTAACAAAGAAGTTAATCTTTAGAATAACCTCTCTTGTTCTTAATAAACTGATTTTTTAAAAACCTTAAACAAAACTTTACATTTTATATGTCACACTGATCATAAATTGCACTTATTTTTGTTGTGTAAACTCCCCAAAAAGAGATTCTCTTATTTTACACAAAAAATAAGTGAAATTCACTAATTCAGCAACTGCTGCCTTTAATCACTTCATAAAACTACCAGTTATTCAGTACCTAGTATATTCCAGGCACAACTATAGTTTTAAAATAAACTTAGCTTTGTAAAATATAAACGAATATGCAAATTGACTCAATATTCTAATTTATATATTATGGGATGCTGAGTTTTTGTTTTGTTTTGTTTTTAGAAAATGTCACACCAATGCTGACTAGCAAATTAACTGAGAGTTTTATAGCTTGGCAAATTTGTTTTCACTTTAGAACAATTTATGACAAGAGTCTATAGTGCATTGTGGCTAATTAATGACTTTTTGGGGTTTGACATACATAATACATTAGCTTTGTGACAGTTTCATCTCAGAGCCTCCTGAATCATCTCTCTCTAAAATTTCAAGGCATGTAAGTGGTTGAAAGAATACAAACTCTATTTTCTCTATTGTTTCGTAACAGCTTCTGGTACAAAGGTGATTTGCTTATAAACAGCAAAGAACAACGGACAGACATAGAGGGTTGATAGAAGACAACTTCGTGTGACTTTAAATTTCCAAAAATATAAAAATGTAACATAATTAGTCTAGAATTCCTAATGGTGCTATAATGTCTATGTGCTCATATGGAGGGAAATGATTTGCATTAATGTGAAAAATACACTACTTCTGTTTGAGTAGAATAATTACAACTATCAATGATCGAGTACCTCTGTGCCAGAAACTGTTATTTTTAATTTCACAAGAGTTATGACAGGTTGATTATACAGATGAGGAAACTGAAGCTTAGTTAAGTTTAACTTTCCAAGGCTACGTAGTTAGGAGGGTGAAATTGTTTACGGGTCTGTTTCTTGATTGGGACAAATGGGATAAATATTAGCTGCTGCTTTTATTATTTTAGCATCTGCTAAGAGGAAGCCCACTGTGTGAGAAATGCCTCACGGACTTGGAAATTCTAATAGAAAAGAAATATTAAATATATATCTCTTCTCCCAATACTCTCCCACCTCTGGGCCACCCTAGAACAGAGTAACTTGGAACAGAGTGACTGATAATTCACTCTATGGAGGTGGAGAAAAAATATAAGACTTTGAATGGAGGCCACAGAGGGGATTGAAGATGTAGGCAGCATGGAAGAGAAGATATGAAACTCCAAACAAAACATTTTATTCTCCTAGCTACATACCCAGTAAGAGATGGGGATGCGCTGAGAAGGGCAGGCAAACTCTGAATAGATTGTAAGCACTGAGTCTGTTGTGCACTTCCTAGTGTAGTCTGTGTGGTCTTGTTAGGCTCTAGAGTTGTTTGCTAATGGACAATTCCACCAGTCTCTAGCACTATTAAACACATAGTACTAGGGTTAGATATCCAAAACTGTATTTCTTTTTTTCTTTTTTTTTTTTTTTTTACTTTTTTTTTAATTATTATACTTTAAGTTTTAGTGTACATGTGCACAATGTGCAGGTTATTTACATATGTATACATGTGCCATGCTGGTGCACTGCACCCATTAACTCATCATTTAGCATTAGGTATATCTCCTAATGCTATCCCTCCCCTCTCCCCCCACCCCACAACACTCCCCAGAGTGTGATGTTCCCCTTCCTGTGTCCATATGTTCTCATTGTTCAATTCCCATCTATGAGTGAGAACATGCGGTGTTTGGTTTTTTGTCCTTGTGATAGTTTGCTGAGAAGAATGATGATTTCCAATTTCATCCATGTCCCTACAAAGGACATGAACTCATCATTTTTTATGGCTGCATAGTATCCCATGGTGTATATGTGCCACATTTTCTTAATCCAGTCTATCATTGTTGGACATTTGGGTTGGTCCCAAGTCTTTGCTATTGTGAATAGTGCCGCAATAAACATACGTGTGCATGTGTCTTTATAGCAGCATGATTTATAGTCCTTTGGGTATATACCCAGTAATGGGATGGCTGGGTCAAATGGTATTTCTAGTTCTAGATCCCTGAGGAATCGCCACACTGACTTCCACAATGGTTGAACTAGTTTACAGTCCCACCAACAGTGTCAAAGTGTTCCTATTTCTCCACATCCTCTCCAGCACCTGTTGTTTCCTGACTTTTGAATGATCACCATTCTAACTGGCGTGAGATGGTATCTCATTGTGGTTTTGATTTGCATTTCTCTGATGGCCAGTGATGATGAGCATTTTTTCATGTGTCTTTTGGCTGCATAAATGTCTTCTTTTGAGAAGTGTCTGTTCATATACTTTGCCCACTTTTTGATGCGGCTGTTTTTTTCTTGTAAATTGGTTTGAGTTCATTGTAGATTCTGGATATTAGCCCTTTGTCAGATGAGTAGGTTGCAAAAATTTTCTCCCATTTTGTAGGTTGCCTGTTCACTCTGATGGTAGTTTCTTTTGCTGTGCAGAAGCTCTTTAGTTTAATTAGATCCCATTTGTCAATTTTGGCTTTTGTTGCCATTGCTTTTGGTGTTTTAGACATGAAGTCCTTGCCCATGCCTATGTCCTGAATGGTAATGCCTAGGTTTTCTTCTAGGGTTTTTATGGTTTTAGGTCTAACATTTAAGTCTTTAATCCATCTTGAATTAATTTTTGTAGAAGGTGTAAGGAAACCACCATGATCAAGTGGGCTTCATCCCTGGGATGCAAGGCTGGTTCAATATATGCGAATCAATAAATGTAATCCAGCATATAAACAGAACCAAAGACAAAAACCACATGATTATCTCAATAGATGCAGAAAAGGCCTTTGGCAAAATTCAACAACCCTTCTTGCTAAAAACTCTCAATAAATTAGGTATTGATGGGACATATCTCAAAATAATAAGAGCTATCTATGACAAACCCACAGCCAATATCATACTGAATGGGCAAAAACTGGAAGTATTCCCTTTGAAAACTGGCACAAGACAGGGATGCCCTCTCTCACCACTCCTATTCAACGTAGTGTTGGAAGTTCTGGCCAGGGCAATTAGGCAGGAGAAGGAAATAAAGGGTATTCAATTAGGAAAAGAGGAAGTCAAATTGTCCCTGTTTGCAGACGACATGATAGTATATCTAGAAAACCCCATTGTCTCAGCCCAAAATCTCCTTAAGATGATAAGCAACTTCAGCAAAGTCTCAGGATACAAAATCAATGTACAAAAATCACAAGCATTCTTATACACCAAAAACAGACAGAGAGCCAAATCATGAGTGAACTCCCATTCACAATTGCTTCAAAGAGAATAAAATACTTAGGAATCCAACTTACAAGGGACGTGAAGGACCTCTTCAAGGAGAACTACAAACCACTGCTCAATGAAATAAAAGACGATACAAACAAATGGAAGAACATTCCATGCTCATGGGTAGGAAGAATCAATATCGTGAAAGTGGCCATACTACCCAAGGTAATTTATAGATTCAACGCCATCCCCATCAAGCTACCAATGACTTTCTTCACAGAACTGGAAAAAACTACTTTAACGTTCATGTGGAACCAAAAAAGAGCCCACATCACCAAGTCAATCCTAAGCTGGAAGAACAAAGCTGGAGGCCTCACGCTACCTGACTTCAAACTATACTACAAGGCTACAGTAACCAAAACAGCATGGTACTGGTACCAAAACAGAGATATAGATCAATGCAACAGAACAGAGCCCTCAGAAATAATGCCACATATCTACAACTATCTGATCTTTGACAAACCTGAGAAAAACAAGAAACAGGGAAAGGATTCCCTATTTAATAAATGGTGCTGGGAAAACTGGCTAGCCATATGTAGAAAGCTGAAACTGGATCCCTTCCAAAACTGTATTTCTTATTTCAAAAAAGGAGTAAACAATGCATACCAAAAAACACCTCAAAATACAGTATCAAAATTGAAATCAGTGGGCCTCTCCCCTACACAAATCAGTGAATATAAAATAAAAATGTGCAATGGACTTGACCACCACGGGTTCTTCAATCTGGAAATGGTATAATTCCATCATCAGAAGATATTACTATTTAAGAGGCAGAGATCCAACATCTTCAACATTAACATCATTATGTGCCATAAGGACAGCAAACGACCTGGGAGTAATCCCGTTACCTTCCAGTGAAGTATGACCAATGTTGCCCTGAAATTCAGTTGGATCCCTCCCATGTTCCTAATGACACTGGCAAGTAGGCAATTTAAACACTCCATCCATTCCATTTACATAAAATTCTAAGGTTACAACTTAATGAGAGGGGGGAAGGAAACTCCAGTCTCTACCCATTAGTTCACAGGTCTGACATTTAAAAATTTGTTAATGCATATTGTTTGTACACAAGCTTCTCTAAATCAGACTCATACTCACTTTAGTTCTAAAACAGAAAATCATCTTTTATAACTATTTCAGAAAGAGTTTATCACTGTCCTTAGAATAATGATTTCGTTAGCTATTAAACCTTTTCACATGATTTAATGGATGTAAAAACTCTCTGCACTCAAAGATCTTCCCTAAGCAAAAATCTTTCTAGAACTACATGTTATCAGGCAGTTTTTTTAATGAATAAAGAGTAACCCAGACGTGGTTCCTTCTAGCTACTGAGCTGTGGCTTTGTGAAATGGAATTTACAATTACTAAAAAGAAAACAGCCCCAAATCCCACAACTCCTTTCACTTAATTATTCATGATATTGATCAGCACATTTATTTTTAAAAACAAATGAAGTTAGAGCAGCACTCATATAGGAAGAAAACTTCTTGCTAACTTGCATTACTGTGGACTGGGGAGTTTCTTTTTCAGGGATTTGTACTTTGCATATGGAAATTTTAAAGCCAATCAAACATCATCACAACATATTTAAAACAAGCTTACAATGTTAAAAGCCGTCTTTGCAGGTGATACTTCTAATTTACTCATCAAGAGAAGTTTCTGTTTATTGTTCTTAATCATAAAAATTAGATAACTCTAGCAATACTAAAAATAAATGTGGTAATGATGAAGAAAATAGGAAAAGTCAGCTAGGAGCTGAAAAAATTTCTTCAAATTTTACAAGTCATGTTCACTTTCAGTAAATCAAAAGACATCAGATATAAAACTTCCTACTACCCATAACAATTAAGTGTATCTTGCAAGCTTCTAGAATAAAACAAAGGAAATATGTGGGCTCAAGTAGTTCCTTAGAGTGGAAGATTATAAAGATGATAGCCTATGATTCCTTTTATGGTTTACATCATGCTGCTCCTCCCCAGAAAGAGTAGAGTCTGTTTCTCCTACTCTTGATTCTAGACTGGCCTTATGACATGCTTTAACCAACATAAAGTGGGGAGGTGATGCTCTGCCAGTCCCAGACTTAGACTTAAGAGATTTTCCAGCTTCCACCTTCCCTCTCTTGGAATATAAGAGAAAAGAAAGCAAACCTGGAAAGCTGGATGATGATAAGTGAGAGACACCAAGCCATCCAGATCCCAGCCATTTCGGTTGCCCCACCGGAGGCACCAACCTTGTAAGTGAAGACATCTTGGATTCTCCAGCCCAAGTCAAGCTATAGCAACCAACACCATATGGATCAAAGATGAGATGTCTTTGAAGAGCCTTCTTCAAACTCCAAACCCACAAAGAATTGTAGGTAATAAAGTAAATTTTTAAAAATTATTTTTATTTTTTTTGTGGCCCAGGCTGAGTGCAGTGGCATGATCGCAGCTCACTGAAGTCTTGACCTCCCTGGCCCAAGCCATAGATAATCAATAAATTTACAGTAGAATTCAATATAATGTGATTTTAAGTTATAGTGAAAGTTACTGTGTCCTTTAATATAGTAAGAAATTCATACTAATTCTATAAAAAAATCAATGAAAAATACTTCCTGAGACATCTACTACATATAAGGCACTAAGATAACATTAATTCTAGTAATATCAACCATTTAATGTGAGCTTAAATATGATTAGTTAGTCATCAAATATGTATGAAATGTCTAGTAAGATCCAGGTAGTGTGCTGGGCACAGGTGACCAGCATTCAGAGAAATTTCGCAGTTTAGATAGGTATACAGGCAAGCAAAAGGCAAATATAATACAGTATAATAATTGCTATCATAACAAAGAGTTAACATTTAGATGTAGAGATATTTTTAAAATCTAAATATAACTATTTTGAAGCAATATGAAAAGCATCATAAGAAAGGTAGCTACACTGCTCATTTGTTGTAAGGACTGAAGTGGTTAGCATAACACTTAACACATAATTAATCCACATTGAGTGATGCTAAAAATCTGAACTACATAAATGGTTGCAAGAATTCAAGCAGGGAGAGATCATGAGTGGTTTGTAGGTTATTTATGGATTTTATCTAATTTGTTCAGTAATTTGGAGAACCTACTCTATGCCAGGCACTGGGATACAGGGGTAGCCAAGAAATACAAGTTTCCTGCTTTGATACTGCTCAATTTGGAAAACAGACATGAAATAAGGGTAATGAGTGATAAAGAAAAGCAGAGCAAAAGACTGTCATCTGTTCAAGAGAGTGCCATTTAATCTGAAACTTGGTAGATGAGTAAGAATGACCCAGGTCAGCACTCTCCAACCTTTTTGGCACCAGGGACCGGTTTCATGGAAGACTATTTTTCCATGAACCAGGTGGGGGCCAGGGATAGTTTGGAGATGAAACTGCTCCAACTCAGATCATCAGGCATTAGATTCTCATAAGGAGCATGCCACATGTAGATCCCTCACATACGCAATTCACAAATGGGTTTGCACTCCTATGAGGATCTCATGCCACCACTGACCTGACAGGCGGCAGAGCTCAGGCAGTGATAGGTAATAGTAATAGGATACAAAAAACCATGTACAAGCCACCAAAGCCTCTGTGGGAAATGACTAACTGAATGTGAAATGTTCATATTGCATCAGCCAAGGCAAGTCACCTGACCAAGCCTTCCAACATCAATGGGGCAGAGAAGATGCACCCTCTCCCAGAGGTGAGTAATGACTCCCAATGATTTCTCAATAGCAATAAGGCAAACATTTGGATAGATAGGTCTAGATCTTTACATAATGCTGATGGGACTACAGAGACATGAAGAGAGAACATTATGTTGAACCTTAAAAAGGATGGGTGTGATCTTGACAGAAGTAAAGAAAACCATTAAGAGCATTCCAGGCATAAATGTAGGGCAATGAAAAGGAAAGCACAGTTGGTTGATGACAGTTTTTTATTTATCTCCATGTTTCTCTCTTTACAAGTGAGGAAGAAAAAAGAGAAGGAAAAATGAATTAATCATATGTGGGATAAGAAGAGTGGGACAATCAAGGGCTCTCTGACCTAAAGAGCGGAGAAAGAGGGAGAGCCTTGGAAAGAAAGGAAGAAAAAAGGTTTAAGGTGAATAGGGGAGTTGAAAGACGTCCTGAAAAGCAAACTCAATTTCAACCCTATAGATGAAATCCTATAAATGTGGAGAAAAGTGGGACCAACTTGGGGTCTGAGATCAGTAGAAAAGTTCACTCACAATCACTACGGAGGAAAAAGCAATAGTTCCCATTTACAGTTATATAAATTTTTCTTCCAAGTGGAGGCTGTTCTAGAATGAAAAATGCACTGCTTCTGGACGTGGGAAATATGGGTTTCATTTCTGGTTTGGTCATTAACCTGTTATTTGACCTGAGGCACTCTATGAATCTTTTTAGTCTCACTGGTAAAATGCATTCTAAGACTTGCTTTATAAGATTTTTTGAATGAAAGTTAAAAGCTATCTACAGAGATAATTCACCCAGATCCAACCCCCCAGTGTGCAGTCTATTACTTTAGATTCAAAACAGGCCATGACCTCAGATTTACCTTCACACTCTAATAACATTCAAGTAGTCAACACTACCCAAATCATGGCCTTTCACTATAGCAACTAAAATTCACCAAGTAGCCGCTAAAACACACTCTCAAATCCAACCATGGAAGTGATTCGTGGGTTTAAGAGCATGCCAGGCCAGATTTTTTCAACCAGAAATCCTGTACTTTGACTTCCAACTCTCCAAATCTGGAGGAGTCATCAATCCTACATTCATATGAAACCTTCCTTGATCATTCTACCTCAGTTTCCTTTAATTCTTCCCAACTCTCTGTTCTTTTAGCATACAGCATCTCTCTTATTAGGTTAGTGTTGTTGTCTTTATTATTCACTACATGAGACTTACATATATAAACATATGTATATCATATATATTTACATATATAATATATGTCCTATATTTTTATATTTATATAAAAGTCACATGTAGTGAATAATAAAGACAACAACACTAACCTAACTGCAGAGCTCAATGGGTAGCATCTAATGAGTTTTGCTAAGGGCCTGGCCTTATCTCATGGATTCCTTACAATAGATTTATACAGTAGAAACCATTATTCCAACTTTACAGGTGAAGAAACTGAGACTTAGAGAAGGCAGTTAATTTGCCCAAGGTAAGAAACTATCAAGTGGCAGACAGAGATTCCATGGAATAAGAAGCATACAGATTACTACTAGACAAAACTAACTGATACTCTTCACTACATTTCCAAATACATATCTGAGTTCTTTTAATTGAACGGTACACTCTTGAAGAATTTCATTATATTTCCCACCTCTGTGTGTTATTGGGTCTCACAAACGGCTCCTTCACTTAGGCAGTAATTAGAGGTATAATTTATTCATAAGCAATAAAGTGACAGTTTACATTTCCTGTTTCTAATTTGAAAGGCAACTAAAAACTAGAGGGCATTTACAATGCTTAATGGATGTGAGGTTTGGTGGTATGACAGATTGCATTATTGGCCCAAATTCTTCACCCTTTTTTGTATTTATGCTTTCGGTCATGTGACACTGCAGTTCCTCCCACTAATGAGGCAGAGGATAATTCCCCACCCTTGACTTGGGTTTGGCCATGTTTTTTTGTTATGGCCAACAGTATGAGGCAGAAGTGGTAATATTCCAGTAGCAATACAAGATCTTAAGAGACCTTGTGTGTTTGCCTCTTATCTCTTTGCATCCCTGCAATTGGCATGAGAATAATTTCCATCAGGGAGCTTCTCCTTCAGAATCAGTTCCACCATGAGACATATGGAAACAATAGAGCCAGACAGTCCTGCAGATTGAGCAAAGTAACCATACCAGCCCAGCCTAGATAAGCCAACTCCCAGCTGACCCATAAAAATATGAACAGGCCAGGCATGATGGCTCATGCCTATAATCCCAGTACTTTGGGAGGCTTGAGACAGGAGGATCATTTCAGCCCCAGAGTTCGAGACCAGCCTGGAAGTACAAAAAATTAAAAATTAGCCAGGCACGGTGGTGCATGGCTGTAGTCCCAGCTACTTGGGAGGCTAAGGTAAGACGATCACTTGAGCCTTAAGCCTAGGAGTTCAAGCCTGCAGTAAGCCATGATCGCACCACTATACTCCAGCCCAGGCCACAGAGCAAGACCTGGTCTCAAAAAAAAAAAAAAAAAAAAAAAAAAAGAACAAACAAAACTTAGTTCAGCAGAACCACCCTAGCCAATGTGACAGAGTGAGAGATATATAAACATATGTTATTTTAGACTATTGAAATTTGGGGAGGGGGGCTTTTTTCTACATAGAATTATTGTGGTAACAGCTAATTCATGTGGGTAAATGGTATTTTTGTTCGCAAATATTCATTATTCACTCTCAGCTTTAGTGGTTTGGTTTAGTTTTTTGTACTTCTGCCATAAGCTGTAGAGACTATAATAAAATCTCAGACTTCCAGTCAGATTACTTGATTAGATAAGAACTTTTGGGGCATAGTTCTTGTTAAGGGTGTGGATGTAATTTATGTACATGTGACTAAGAGTATATTTTGTGTGTATGAGATCAAGAGAGGTAGAATACACATATAAACTATACTACTGTTTGTAAGCACTTGCTTACCTCCCCTTCCTTAATTAGCCCTGTGACTTCTGGCCAATAAAATGTGAGAAAACTTGACATATGACCAGTCGTACCAAAGTTTTGAATACAATTGCATGGTCTAGCTAAGTCTCTTGTGTTTCTGCCCTCACTAATGTGAACAGAATGTCCCAGATAAGGGTCATTCTTAACTTGGGCTCCTTAGAGACAAAATCTGAAATGAAGAAGGTTTATTGAGGAGTGCTCTTGAAAGAAACTACTGTAAAGGCAGAGGGGGACCCTAAAACTTAAAGTACTTGCAACTGAGGTCTCAGCTGATCCTTACTCCAGGGCTGGGATGGCCCCTCTTGGCTACCTCTCTTGATCTCATACACACAAAATATATTCTTAGTCACAGGTATATAAATTACATGCACAGAGTTGTCCAAATTAAGCCAACTCCAGTCTTTGTGCTTTTGCAACAGTCAGTCACTGATTATGGACCACTACTCAGAGGAAGCACAACCTTGGCTGAGACAGTTCCCCTAAGGCAAAGGGAAATTCCCAGTGGGGAGTGAAGATGTCAGCTACATGGCAGCTGATATTCCAGTCAGGTGGTGGATACATATGTGGTCCTTAAATAGTGGGCCTGGATTGGGCACCACAGTATCCACTACAAAACTGTCTCTTCAACCTAGATCCTAGCAGAATAAGCCACATAGAGCAGGCACATAGCCAATGCACAATATGGAAGAGCAATGCTGATCCAAAGCTGACCCACAGCTCTCATGCAACGCAGATGAATAATGCTTGCTAGAAGCCACTGAGATTTTTGAATTGTTATCAAAGCAAAAGCCGACTGTTACATTTATACAACAACAAAAAAGATATCTCACATTTTTAAGCAGTTACTTACTTTTTTTAAGTACTTTTTTTATACTGAGTTTGAAATGGAAGAAGATACAAATAAATGGAAAGATATCCTACGTTTATGGACTAGAAGAAATAATATTATTAAAATGTCCATATCACCCAAAGCAATCTACAGATTCAGTGCAAGTCCTAACAAAATTCCAAAGACATTTTTCACAGAAATAGAAAAAAAAATCCTAAAATTTATATGGAATCACAAAAGACCCTCAATAACCAAAGCAATCTTGAGCAAAAAGAACAAGCTGGAGGCATCACACTACCTAACTTCAAAATATGCTACAAAGCACAGCAATCAAAACAGCATGGTGCTGGCATCAAAACAGAACGCATATCCCATCAGAACAGAACAGAGAGTCAAGAAATAAATCCATGCAGTTACAGTCAACTGATTTTGACAAAATTGCCAAGAACACATAATGAAGAAGGGACAGTCTCTTCAATACATGGTGTTGGGACAACTAGATTTATGCAGAAGAATGAAATTAAACCTTTATCTCACACCATTTACAAAAATTAACTCAAAATGAATTAAAGGCTTAAACACAAGACCTGAAACCATAAAACTACTAGAAGGAAGCACAGGGAAAAGGCTCCATGACAGTGGTCTAGGCAATGATTTTTTGGATATAACCCCAAAAGCACAGGCAACAAATGTGAAAACAATTAAATGAGCTCAATTCAAACTAAAAAGCTTCTGCACAGCCAAGGAAAGAATCAACAGGAAGAAGAGACAATCCATGGACTAGAGAAAATATCTGCAAACCACACATCTGTAAGAGGTTAATATTCAGAATGTATAAGGAACTCAAACAACTCCATAGCAAGAAAACAAATAACCTAATTTTAAAATAGGCAAAGATCAGAAAAAACATTTATCAAAAGAATACATAGAAATAGCAAATGGGTATATGAAAAGGTGTTCAACCTCACCAATCATCCAAGAAATGCAAATTAAAATCATAATGAGCTATCACCTTACACTCATTAGAACAGGTATTATCAAAAAGACAAAAGGTAAATGTTGGAGAGGATGTGGAGAAACCTTGCACACTGACAGAGGGAATGTCAATTACTGTAACCATTATAGAAATCAGTATGGAGGGTCCTCAAATAATTAAAAATATAACTACCATAGGAACTAGCAATAGGAATACTGGGCATATAGTCAAAGGAAACGAAATCAGTATGTCAGAGATATCTGCACTCCTGTGTTCATCGCAGCATTATTCACAATAGCCAAGATATTCAATACAAATTTAAGTGTCCAACAACAGATGAATAAAATGTGGTATATACACACAATGGAATATTATGCAGCCATTGAAAAGGAAGGAAATTATTTCAATTGTGACAGTCTGGATGAATTTGAAGGACATTCTGTAAAGTGAAATAAGCCAGACAAATAAAGACAAATACCACTTGATCTCACTTACATATGGAATCTAAAAAAGTTGAAATCATAGAAGTAGAGAATAGAATGGTGGTTACCAGGGGGGTGAGGAGGGAGGTTTAGGGAGATGTTGGTCAAAGGATACAGAATTTCTGTTGGACAAGAAGAATAAGTTCAAGAGATCTATTATACAACATGGTGACTATAATTAATAATGCATTGTATTCTTGAAAATCACTAAGAGAATAGATTTTAAGCTTTTTCACCATACAAAAAATAAGCATGTGATATAATATGTTATTTAGCTCAATTTATTCATTCTACAATGTGTACATATTTTAAGACATCATGTTGTATACAATAAATATATATAATTTTCCAAATTAAAAGTAATTATATTAATTTTTAAAAAGTTTGTGTGTGTTATTGCTGCATAAACTACCCCCAAAATAAATAGCTTAAACAAAGAATTTATTATCTGATGATTTTGAATTTGACCTGAGCTCAGCTGAGCATTTAGTTTGGTAGTTTTGCCCGGAGCCATTCGAGTAACATAAGTCATCTGATAGCTTAATTGGGACTGATGGCCTCACTCACATCACTGGCTACCAGTTTTGGCTACTTGCCAGCTATTGGCTACTAGCTATCTCTGTGTGACCTGTGTTTCTCAAGGAGGCTTGCCTGGACTTCTCCACAGGGCAGACTCAGTGTGCAAGAATAGAAGCTCCCAGGCTTAGGAGCAGAATTCACAATAACGTCAGTTGAGCCACATTTTATTTTTCAAATTCAATAGGCTAACTCAGATTCAAGGGAAAGGGAAATGGACTCCATTGCTTGAAGGTAAGAGTGAGTCACCATGCAAACTGCCAAGGAAGGTATTGTGGCCACCATCTTGCAAACAGTCTATTATAGGCCTGATGTGTGTTTTATCTTTTTCTGAAGTTATTTTTCTCTAAATAGCAAACTTAATACATTTTACATCCCCTATTCCCATCCTGCCCTCTCCCCTCAAAAAAAAGTGTGAGTAAACATATGCAATTTTTCCACTAGAGACCATTGAAAGCATTCAGCCACTATGGGTCAATACAGAAGAGTCTATTCAAAAACACAACCAAAAGCAAACAGGAACACTAAAAAAAGGAAAAGAAGAGGGAGACGGATACAGAGAGGCAGATAAAAAGATGGAGGAAGAAGCAGCAGAGGAAGAAGAGATTGAGTAACTTTAAAAACAGGGGCATATTAATCTTATATACAATCTAAAATGCCTCCCCATCATTTGATTTTAATCTCTTCTGCTTGAACGCTTACAAGATGTCTGTAATTCATCCCTCACAAGTTTATGATTTGGGATTAACTCTATCCCCTATCCTAATCTATGTCTTATGCATTTTGTGTGTGTGTCCGTGTGGGTGTGTGTCTGTGTGTGTATACATGCACACATGTGAGAGTATGTATGTGTGAATGGGTGGGTTGGGTTATTGAAGGTCAAAGTAGGGTAGGAAGAAGAATGACAGAAATAATCATATTATAAAAATAGAATATAAAAAGTCAAAACTCAGAAAAATGCCCTAACTCTGAAAAATGACAAAAAATGATATTTTCCAAGCAAGTCATAATATAGAACTATTTAAAGCAACAGACAATTATGGCACTATCAGATTAAAAAGGATATTGACTATATTCTAGAATTTGCCATTATATGGAAATACACCCTTCACTTGTAAGTATCTTCATAGAATGCATGGTTTGTTTCACAATATAACGAAACCCATATATTAAGACCCTTTTGTTCTTTTTAAAAACTAATGTTGCCACTAAAGTTTACAGACTTAATTTCACAGGGCAACTGCTGCTTAACACTAATGAAACAACAGCGCAATACATTACTACTAAATAGAAACATGTATATCTCCATATTACATATGAAGAAAAAAATTTATGTACTCCAATGAATAAAAGGAGAAACTTGGGCCTGCATGGCTCACATTTCAAAACCATACAGTCCATGCACAAAGCTTTTGATCAGTTTTATTTAAAATAAATAGAAGCCCTAGTAAGAAGAGAAAAATTAACCTGCCTCGTATATGCAAATGTGAAAGCTTCTTAGGCAAAGGGAATGCACAGGGGCGAGGGAGGTGCAGTCACACACAGCCGACTTTGGTACAAATATGCCTTATCTGTATTCCAGAGCTTTCAGAATATTCACCGGAATTAGTAATTGGTAATCAGCAACTTTCGGCTACTTTACATTCAGGGAGGCGGCCAGACCAAGTGAGTAGCAGGCATCAGATTAGATCACTAGCTATATTGTTCGGGTTGATTTTAATTGCCTGAAAAGTGTCATTACCATCTTCTGCAATGCATTAAGTTATTTTAAAAGTGACTATTTCTATGCAAGAAATAAAATGAACTGCGATTGAGTTAGAACCTGCATGAAGCATTCAGTTGGGGCCCTGCCCTAGTGGCATCAAAATCCTGCCCAAGCCTGACCACACTGATAAACAAACATATTTGCTATCTGCAGAACTTTTCAAACGTAGCATGGGGAAGTCAACACAGATTCCCAAACCAAAGACACAGAGAACCACCCAAATGTTATATCCTGGCTTATAAAATCCCAAGATTTCCATTTCCATACAGGCATCTGCAAGGTAAAGGAGTTCATGATATTTAAGAACAAGACAAATATTTGCATGGAAAAAGATCCATGGAAGTGGAATTTTTCAATGCTAGAATACAGTTGCAAAATTATCACATTAGTGTATGCTGACATGGAAATGTCACCTCTCAGGACATTTGTTCTTTAAGTTAAAATCCTAGAAACATGAACCTCTACATGGGATAAAACCGTGTAGGGCTATACACATATTCATGAAATCAGGTTTAAAAAATGATGACAACTGAATAAGGTCTGCAATCTAGTTAACAGTAATGTACCAATGTCAATTTCCTGGTTCTGGTATTGCAGGACAGATATATACAATGTCACCATACGGGGAAGTTGGATGAAGATTATACAGAACTCTTTGTACTATGTTTTACAACTTCTGTGAGTTTAAAATTACTTTAAAACAAAAAGCTAAAAAATGCAGATTAGCAAGCTGTACCCCAGAGATGATTCAGAAAATCTTGTAAGGGCTAAGGTATCACCATTATTTCAGCAGAACCCCAGTTAACCTTTCTGCAGAAACATCAGAAGTTGAGAAACAGTGCAAGTGAAATAGACTATTCTCGGCTCTATGACAGGGGCTTCCTCTTTGAAGGATGACTGGTGAGACTGTTTAATGCCTACAAAATTTCCCCCATTTATAAGTAATTATTTATGGTTTAGGAAGATGTGCTTTTGATTTGTTGTGATGCAGTCATTTAGTTATTTCTTTCATACGCTAATGTTTCACTCCAATAAAATAATGAATTTTGAGAACTTCCCATTACTTCCTTGCACTAAAATCAGCTCATTACTTCAAGGACCAGTCCTCGGTGCTCACAACCTTTGGCTTATGCTTCCTTTAGAGCATATGTTTGTCACAGAATTTTCTAAATTCAGATCATATCAAGATGTTCATCTGTTGTCAACTAATGATTTGTCACTCAGAAACTCTGCAAAATAAAATAAAATCTTTATACACTAAAATAAATTTTAGCCCTAGAAAAAGAAGCCCCACTATAACTATAGCTGCACTTCATGCCAATTAAAAAGATTAGACTTTCTATCTTTCCAGAAATATTTACCAAAGTCTTAACATGTGCATGCTACTCCATCAATAGACTATCAGGAAAAGCAGATATTAAACAATTTTACAATATTAATTAGATTATAATACATTTACCCCCTAAAGGAGAAACAAAATTTAAATGGTCGATTGTAGATAGCATAGAGGTCAAACCTAGTCTAGGGGGACAGTCAAGGCTACCTGGAGGAATGGCTAGGTTGGGTATCACCTTGACAAATGGTAAGGTTGGAAGTAAAGAGCTTTCCTGAACGAAACAACAAAGAATTGAGGGTGGAAATGAGTCAACACGGGAATAAGGAGAGTGGAGTGGAAGTCATGGGTGTTCCAAGCACATGCAAGAACACTGAAGCAGGGCCATGTTGAGTTTTCAAGGAAGTTTGAAAAGACCCATGTATTATAGCTGGAGTGTTAAGTATCAGGGGAGAATTAGGGAGAAGTCACATACAGACAGGCTGCATCAGTAGCATATTTTTCTCTATGCAGTGGGTGTCCAGTGACCCAAGGGGTCGGCCTCATGGATTAATACAGCACTGCGTGTCAAATAGATTGGAACAAGAAAGAGAGTGAGGAGAAAGTCATTTCTTAATCTCCTGCATTTAGGTGAGAAGTACTTAAAACCCAGCCTGGCACATTGCTTGAATGAATGTTCTTGTATTTTTAATCGGTGGACTGGCTACAATGGCAAAGGGAGAAGATGGTGACAAAGACCACTGACTCCAGATGCCTTGATGACCCCAATGATAGCTAAAGGAAGAACAGACCACCTAAGCTCTTAGGAAACGGATTGAGAGGAAAAATGATAATTCCATTTTGGACAACATTGGTTTGAAGTAGCAGGTGTCCAAGAGATGTACGAGATCACGGGCAATGTGACAGAAAGAATACTGTCAAAGTCAGCTGCAGACTTCTGCTGAATACGGACCTTCTTGACAGGATCTTTGGTTACATATGGCAAGCTCAGCAAACCAATAAGCTTAGTTGTCATAGGTTTATCAAACTCCACTGTGGGCCAGATACTTTGACAGAAGCTGCTTTGCAATAATGCATAAAATAGATGTGGTAACTGCTTACAAGGTACTTACAGAATATAAACATACAATCAGGTAAGGAAATGTACAGTTCCAAGTTATACTAAGCATACCAAGGAAATGAACAGAAAGAGCCTATCAGAAGTGCCCTCATTCAGGGTAGGAAGGAAATCAGAGAGCCCTCTCTAAGCAAATGATATTTACACTGTGGCCTAAGGGATGAGTAGCAGTCAAAAACTCTATGTGGGCCAGACTCAGCGGCTCACACCTATAATCTCAGCACTTTGGGAGGTCGAGGTGGGCAGATCGTTTGAGTTCAGGAGTTCAAGAACAGCTTTGGCAACATGGTGAATTCCCATCTCTACAAAAAATCCAAAAATTAGCCAGGGCATGGCGGTGTGTGTCTATAGTCCCAGCTACTCAGGAGACTAAGGTGGGAGAATCACTTAGCCCAGGAGGTCGAGGTTCCAGTGAACCATGATCGCACCACTGCACTCCAGCCTGGGTGACAGAGTGAGACCCTGTCGAAAAAAACAAAAATGAAAAAAAAAACCCTGTGAGTTTGTGTGTGTGCACACGTGTGTGCGTATGTGTGTTTAGGCGTTAGGGCTGGACAGGGCTACTGGGCAAAAGAACAGAATGATCCCTAACATAGGAAAGAGCTCAACACATCTGCAGAAATGAAAAAGGGTCTAAGAAGCTCTTGTTCCTAAAAGCTTGCTAGGAATTGTCAAAGGGACAGTAGTGTTTAAATCCCACACAGCCTTGCAGGTAATATTTAATAGTTTGGATTTTATTCTGAGTTCAATGAAAAGCCATTTAAGCATTCTGAGTAGATGAGTACTAATTTAACTTACATTAAAAAAAAAAGAAGTCTTGGCTGCTATGCAGGATGATTTGGGGGAAGAAGTACGAAAGGAGCCAAGGAAGCCAGTGTAGTTATCCCAGGAGAGAAGATGGGGACTTGGAGAAGGAGGACGTGGGTGAACATGGAGGGAAGTGGGCGAATGTGAGAGATATTTCAGGGTTAGAACCAAAAGGACATATAAGGTCTGAGTTGTACTAGTTCCCCAAAATAAAAGCACTTGAAGTATTGTGATGGTGTCAAGATTTACCCTATTAAAACAGTATACTGACAGCCTCATTTATCAGTAATATAATCAAGCAGTTTTGAAATATGGATCTCATATCTTAACATCTGAAAGGTAATCAAAGTCAAGGGACTTAAAAAACAAATGGGACAAAATTGTTCTCTTGTTTTAGAACATAGGAAATTTACAAGCTGAGTTATAAAGGCACCTAAGAGAATGCTATGGAATCACTACAACATAGATAATCTATGTCTTCAAATGCCAATAGGTCTGCAACAAGAAATATGCAAACTCACTGAATTATTTTATCCTACTTAAGAAAATAGTCATTTTTCCTCATTCCTTGCAAGGCAGGTTCTTGCACAGTAAAGATTCTACAAATATTTACATTCCAAGTAGCAAAGCTGTTTGAAATGCTATAAAGTTCTGCCAGCACTTCTATTACAAACCCTTATTTCTTGTTTATAACATGTACATAAAAGGGGGAAAATAAAAATGTACTATGGATTGAAACTTGGCATACAAAGTTTCAACCAGGGAGTGCATTTCTCCTGCAGCAATTTTTCCAAAGAAATGTCCCACTGTGTTTAAGAGATGAGTGCAGGGGAGACTATAAGATAAAAACCATTTACAACACTCGATCCATTTCTGAAATGTTTATACAAATTGGATATGAGAATGAGATCTGTCACCCCTCAATTTCAAAGAAATGTTCTATCTTAAACTGTTCCGTGGCCCCATATTCTCTTGCCAACTATCTTTGCAACAATGATATTCTCCATTGCACTTTTTTCAAGCATAAGAAAGGAAACTGTCCACCAGCATTAAGTGATTAATTATATATGCATGTTAAAAGTATATGCATATGCATGTGTGCATATTAAAAACTACAAGTGAGCACCTTAAAGATGCTCACCTTCATAGAGACAAAGTACCTTGCTAAGATAAGAAGGCTTAAAGGCAGACTGGTGGTGACAACTAAATCAGAGACAGCAGGCAAACATGCACAGCATCAATAAATCCTCCTGCCATCTGAATATATTCCACTACATAAAATTAACATTAGTTTTACTGCTAACAACTTACTAACTGGTGATTGGAAACCAGTCAAAGCTTCTCTGTTTTGTAGTATTGCCACAGTATAGCGATATACAGATCTGACAGTTTGGAAGCAGCAATTATATCTATATACTATTTCAGCATGAACCATATTAAGAGTTAATGAGAACTTCAAGTTGGACACTTAAATTTTGCAGTAAAAACAAAGCTGGAAGATGTGTACTGAATGTGTGAGAAGGAGTTAGGAACTTGTAAAAGAGAAAGATGCATATTTTGCAAGCAGAGAAAAGAGGCTATTAGTTTGTAATAACTGGGCATATATGAAATGTGACAGTGATAAAATTGAACATAAATCAGCAAAGGAAAGGCTACAGCTTGTTGTCCACGGCTAATCTTCTCTCTACTTGAAAGTGCTCAGCACTTTGCTCCTATTAAATGCTTTGTTGCCATTTTAAGGTACACTTGGGCTATCTGGTTGTGTTGTGAAGAATATTTAAAAGTTAGAGTTCTCCTGGAGAAATGAACTTAACATCTTCATGTCTTCGGGCTGACATTAATGACATCCAGACAGTGAGGAGGACATGAGGCTGAATGTTATTGTCTGTGGCGGCCACAGCCTGAATCTATTACCCTGCATATCAATTAGACACTCGGTGTCTCGGTTATCCTACTTTTAGACAGAAGGGCCACTTGCATGCATTCAGCCTTACTATTCATCTTATAAAAGTGTACAGCAATTTGCTATATTTCCCTGGTGGATACTGATCATTTTGGGGGTCCTCAAACCACATGTTTACTCTCAACTAATTTCAAGCAAGTATTCAAAGACCAATAATTCCCAACCCCACTCTTTATTATTTGCAAGCCAACATCCTTCCATTTAGTGAGGCTGAACCCGATCAGATTTCTTTAATGAACATTCACAAGGACCTCTCCCATTGCAACCAGTGACATGCACGTATTAGGCATCTTACAAATGTTGCACAAATTGATATGAATATTAACCTGCAGTCAACTTTCTCCCTAGTCCCATGACCCACAAATGGTTAAAACCATGAACCAAGATGCCAGGTTACTGCAGCCAAAGTCAGGTTACTGTTAGTAAACACATCTAGCAAAGCAAAAGTAACACATTTGACTTGATATTGAGATATAAGCTCTTTCAAAGGCAATTACTCCTCCTTTCAATCTCTGAAGGGCTCTGACTCATTGTTCTGATTAATTCCTGTTTTTAATCTATTTACAGATCAGGATTCTTTTTCAGCTAGTGTGATATTCATCTCTGTGGGGGTAGACAGAAACCACAGCACGTACAGTCTTCCTACTTTTTTTTTTTTTTTTTTAGTTATTCTTGCTTAATCATTTTAAAATTATTTCTGGATTTACCTACTCACCATATGAGCTGGGGTTTCTGACCTCCCTCCTGCACATCACGCCCTCCTTGTCTGTTGCTTTTTCTAGCTCTGTTTCCCTGCATCTTGGGTTGAGGTTAGCAGACTGGCTACCCCTTTCCCAGAGCTCTGTTCCCCTTTCTTTGCCTCTGAAAGGAGGTTTGCTGTCCTTACCGTAGCGGACACCGTTTGTTATTAAATAATACCTCTGGACACATCTCCTTGTTGTAAATCAATAAGCAAATGCAATACAGGGAAAGACATACGGATTGGAGAGTTGTACGGAGCTTTGCACAAGCAGAGCCCAGAAGCTGTTCGTTCATTTCACGCGACCAGAAAAAATTCCTGATGGTGCTATGACCCCGGTGCCCGGTTGGCACTTCCTGGTTTTCTGTTTCTGCTATTCTGTTACCTGCTTGGTTAGCTTTGCAGGCTCCTCAGAGAACACAGAAACAGCTGAAACCAGGGTCCGAGCTCAGGAAACCTGGACTACAGCGCAGCAGGGTAAACCTGACAAATAAACGCGACGGGGAACTCCGTCCCAAGCTGCTGATCTGTGAGTAGAAAGAAAATGCAGCTTAGAAAACTTGATCGCTAATGAAAGAATCGGCCACCCTAGCTTTCTCAGACCTGGGAATCTGGGCCTGGGGGGTGGTTCCAGCAAAGAGGTATCACATTCCCACATTCTGCATCATGCACCTGGAATTGTTCCTCAGCATCCCTAGGAGTCACAACTTTTTTCCCCCAACTTTAACTGGTCAAATCCACTGCGCGAAGGGCAAGCCCAAGGGACCTACCACTCAATTTTCAGCGCTCCAGCTGGGGATGCAGCCTTCCCAACCCGAAACCAATCCTCGCCCCAGAAGGGGAAAAATAATCTCCCCAGAGCAAGTCCGATGAGAGAAGCATCTTTTATTCTCGACCCGTCAGGTGCATTTCCCTGCAAACAAACTTCGGGGCTGAGGAGCCATGAAGCCAGGGCGTAAAGTTTGCCCTGGCAGGTGGCTCATCCCTGTGGCCCGGCCGGCGCCAGGAGTCGGGCATCCCGGACTTACCTGGTCTCTGCAGCTCGCCAGACGCCCGCCCCGACGGCCCACTCGCCGCCGCCGCCGCCGCCGCCGCCGCCGCCACCGCCGCCGCCGCAGTTAGTCCGGGCCCGGGGGGCCGCCGTGCGCGCCCGCGTAAGCCGCCGCCGCCGCAGGCGCAGCACCCTCGTCCGCACGGTTCCCGGCCCAGTCCACGGCGCCAGCCCGCCCGCCGCTGCCACCGCCGCCGCCGCCAAGCGCCAGGCTGCTGTGGCTGCTGCCGGCGCCTAGCGAGCACTGCCCGTGCCTCCGCCACTCCGGCTCCGGCTCCGGCTCCGACGCGGACGCTGGAGGGAGGGGAGACCGGGCGGACTGGAGGGAGGGAGGGGCGGGGAGCGCGGCGGAGCAGCCAACTGGGTCCCGAGCCTCGCGTCTGCGGCGCCCCCAGCGCCTCTGCGCCGGCCGGACCCCGCGCGGCCCTGCGCTCGGCCGCGTGCACCCACGTGTGTCCGGCCTCCGCAGGGCCCTGGGCGGCGGCGCGGGCTGGGCGGCGGTCACCGTGTCACCTCCGGGTGGCCTCGTGCCACGCAGTTAGGGCCCTCGGAACACGGGGTTAAGGCAGGAATTCCACTTCTAGAAAAGCCTCCTGCAGCTGCGCTCCCACAAGTGCGCAAAGATTGCCAATTTTAATATTAAAGCGGATAATTATTAAGGGCTCACTAGGTAGCAGGTCGTGGACTGCGCTAAATCAATTAGTTCATGCAGTCCCCAGAGCAACCTGGATCTATTATTATTCCCGGATTTAGTGATGAGGAAATTGGTTTGCTTAAAGTTTCAATGAGTCAGTTGTGAGAATAATCGCAACTATATTCTGTCAAGGACCCTGTGAAGTAGATCTTACCACCTTTATTTGCCCAAGTATACACACAGTGGTGGGTTGGAGAACCCGGACTTGAATAAGCCTGTTGCAGTCCTGAGCCTTTGCGCTGAACCGCTGGTGACTTACTTCCAGTCAAACCCGTGCAAACACTGCAACTTTAGTTGTACGAAAAACAGTTGGGAACAACCTACCTGTCCTTCATTAGGAGAGTGGCTGATAAAATACAGTGGAGACATACAGCGGCAGAGAGAAAGGTGCATCTACTAGTATTGGCATAAATGACCTCCAAGAGGTATCCTTAGAGGCTGGGCGGAGGTGGGTCACTCCTGTAATCCCAGCACTTTGAGAAGCCAAGACAGGTGGATCTCTTGAGCCCAGGAGTTTGAGACCAGCCTGGGCAACATAGGGAGACTTTGTCTCTGCAAAAAACAAACAAACAAAAAGTTTAAATTAGGTGGGCGTCATGGCACGCACCTGTTGTCCCAACTACTTGAGAGGTTGAGGTGGGAGGAGCACTTGAGGGATCACTCGAGCTCAGGAGGTGGAAGCTGCAGTGAGCCATGATTGTGCCACAGCACTCCAGACCAAAAGACTGAGGGAGACCCTGTCTCTAAATAAATAAAAAAATAAATAAACGGTATTGTTAGGAGAACTTGGGACATGTACTGTTGATCGGCACAGGAAAGTTGGTACCTGTACCGTTTTTGTGCTTACAAGCACTTACACACACACACACACACACACACACACACACACACGCACGCACCCTTTTGTGTGTATGTATCCATATTTATGCATTCACAATTTCTGAAAGGATGTCTAAGGATACTGTTAACAATTGTTAGTCCTAGTGAGTGAGACTGAAATTGGAGCAGAGGAGACTTTATACTTTTCATTTTATAATTCTCTGACATTGTTTTTAAAATGTATCACGTTGTCCCTTCATATTAAATAATCTAGTCACATTTAATTAGACTTGACAGTTTATGGCCCTGTTTCCTCTCCTTGATCCTCTCCCTGTGATTCCTGCAGATGGAATGAAGCAACACCTCATCAAGAGAAGCAACCTGGGCAAACCAGGCCTGGTTTAACTGCACTTTCTCACGTTTGATCATTTTCTCAAGAGATACGTGCGTGGTCCTCTGCAATTCAGAATGAAATCTGAACTTCTGGAAAAACTCTCCTAGAGGGGGTTTGAGGACAAGAGGTAAGACCCAGGTCAGTCAGATGCAAGGTGCCGCTCCCTACAGCAAAGTCAGCATGTAGGCCCCCTGCATTTCCAATTGCCACAAAGAAGTTGCTTGGTACTTTGGAAGACTGAGGTGGGAGAATCCCTTGAGCCCTGGAGTTTGAGACCAGCCTGGGCAATACAGTGAGACCGCCTCTCAACAAAAAATTTAAAAATTAGCTGAGCATGATGGTGTGTGTCTGCAGTCCCAGCTGCTTGGGAGGCTGTGGCAGGAGGAGATCGCTTGAGCCTGGGAGGTCCAGGCTGCAGTGGGCCATGATTGAACCACTGCACTCCAGCCTGGGTGACAGAGCAAGACCCTATCTCAAAACAGAACAACAACAATAACAAAAAAAGAAATTGCATGAATGGCTTGACCAGGTGATTTTTCCCTAGTCCCCCTTACTCTATGAGCATACAACAGGATTCTTGAATACATTAGGGAACTTCTGGCCACATTTGCCCTCTCTCACTTTATCAGGAAACTGCTCATCCCTACAAGAGTAATAGCTGGATTACAAAAAATTCCGGGGTTATTTATGTTTTAAAAAGAGGTTGGGGGAGACAGGAATAGATAGAGCACGCTGCTATAAATAAAAATCATGTGCTTTTTCCCCATCAGAATTAAATTGCAGTAAATTTGGACTCCTTAAGCTTCCTCTACTTAGCCAAAGGAAAAAGAAATAGAACAGGTACAGAAAGGTTGTTTATGGTTGTTTCAGTTGTTACTGGTTACTGTAAATAATCTTTTTGCTTGCAATCTGGGAACATGTTGGCAAACCCCCTGCAGGTGACAAAATGTTTTATTGGGTAGAACTGGTGTGTTCTGGAAGGAGCCGAGAGAACTTTACATGCAAATTATGCCCATGCCTTGCCCCTAGCAGGTGCAATTACTGCCATGCCCACATCCATCACAGGCATGGCTCTTCTTTTAATATTTTCAACTTGATGTCTCCTAATACATTTTTCTTCTAATACATACATATATACCTTGTCTAATGGGAAGGGAAAGAGCATTTTCATCAAGGAGGGGGAGCTGGCCACAGGCAGCAAAATGACAGGGAGAAAGACAGGAAAGAAGCTCCTTTAAATTAGAAAGAAATCTAAACCCTAACCCCTTCCAGCCCTCTCCAAATAATTAGTCATTTCTAAACTCAGATTACATTGCCTGTGCTAGTAAAAGCTGATTAGTGCTGGAAAGGGATTTAATGGAATTTTGAGTCTTATGGTTGCAGTGGGGGGGTTGGTGGGGGCTGGCAGATCCTAAAAATTGTAGAAATAATGATGAACATTTAATATAAGCCACAGTCTCATAGACAGGTAAAAGGTGTATAAATATATGTATATAGAGAGACGTGAATCATTTTATACCCTCCCTTTGCCCAAAATGTAAAGCATAATGTGAGTCAACTGAAAGCCTGGTATTTACCAAAAGTTGATACACAAGGGCAGTTTTCAATACAATTTCCATCCAATTTCTGGGCCGGAAGCCCAGGAAATTAAAAAAAAATTAAAGGCACATGTGGGTCTTCTCAGTGTGAATGCCGGATGGAATTTTTATTGAATTTGGCCTCAACTGATTGTAGCATTATAAGCAATTCTGCAGTTAAGTTTCAGCAGCCATTTAGATGGCAAATCCCTTTTTTAGGGTATTATAACTAATAATAATAACTTCCTTTTTATATGGCACCTTTTATATCAAGCACTTTAAAGTGTGAGATCATCTTCCCATTATTAAGATACCCCATCTGTGTTGGAATATAGAAGCTATTTCATGCCAGTGACACCACATAACAGTTATTTGTTTGCATGTTTATTGTGTAGCAAAGGGAAATGAAGAAAAATATCTACTAAACCCAAAGACTGAAATTCTTAGGTAAAAGTATAAATTGGAATATAGCCAAGCTACTAAGTTAAACACATCTTTTTCTATAAAAGGGGTTAGGGAGTCTTAATTTCCACATATGGAAATAGAAGTCTTATTGTTATCACCATGGTACTGATCCAAAGTTCTAGTTTATATCTAGATGCTGTGATTAAATTGTAGGGTGTATGATACTGTTATATTATCTCCATTGCTGGGGTGGATGGCTCTGAGAGGTTTTTTGAGTCAGACTAAAGAGTAATAATAAGTTTTCAGCATCCAAATTGGAGTAAGGCAATAAGGTTGTTACAGTAAGTGCATAATAGTGTCAAAAATTCTTTATATGCATTCATATAAAATTGCTTAGCACTATGACTGGAACTTAGCTCCACATACTAATCACATAATAACTAATTCAGGTATCGACTCATTTCTTTTCTTCTCCAAAGACGTTTTCTGAATTTCCTGTCTATAATAGCACTGCTGTCATTCTCTTTACTTCATAGAGCAAATGGTTATGTGACAATTCTTTACATGCCTTTTTTTAATTATTGCTGATTTCCTTCACTACAATGTAAGCTTCATGAAGGTAGGGGCTTTGTTTTCTGTACTGTTGCATTCAGAGCTCCCAGCACGAATCTGACATGTACATAATGGGTGTGCAGTAAATGTATATTTCATGATTGAGGAACTTCCAATATGCCAGGCACTGTATTATTTGCTTATTCTCGGCACTTTGCAATCTTTACAACAACTTCATGAAGAAACTACTGTTTTATCACCTTTCTACAGATGAAGGAACTAAGACACAAAAAAGGAAACTCATATATTTGGAAGCTCAGCCTTCTGAGGTTATACAAACTGTAATCCAGACATTTAATGCCAGATTCTCTGCTCTGTGCTGTACACCCTGTGAGTTCAAATGGATTTTATCAACCATCTAGTCTAGCGCTTCTCAAACTTTAATGTGCCTATGAATCACCTGGAGACCTTGTTAAAATGCAGATTCAGATTCAGCAGGTCTAGGGCGGGGCCTGGGACTCTGCATTTCATCCAAGCTCTTGGATGATGCTGGTGCTTCTGATCCACAGACTGAACTTCGAGGATTTAGGATATAATCCAAACCTTTCATGTTCACATATAAGCCACTTGACACATCCCAGATGTTAGAGGATCGGACTAATGGAAATTAAAAACAGTATTGGAATTACTTAGTCATAAAAATCATAGAATTCCATTTAGAATTATTTATTCTAAGATAACAGTGGCTAGTACAGAGTGAAATCTCAGCAAATATTAATTTTCTAGGCAGAAGAAGAAACTAAGACACAGAAAGATTATGCAACTTTCCCCAGTTCATTCAGGAACCAGCAGGCCCTGAAGACTGTCTTCTCTTTCTGACCATAATACCCTGGCTCCGCTCAATTAGTTTTTTAAAGGTAGATTTCATGGAAATTTGAAATAGCAACACACTGACAAAGTTAAGAGAGTTGGTAAAGAAGGTGTGCACCAATGTGGTTATCAGTTGCATTTTGGTAGGAATGAGGTTGTTGCAACCTAAGGAACAAAAGAGATCAGTTGAAGTTCACAACGATTGAATTGAAAATGTGTTACATAAAATGCTAAAGAATACTATATATAAAGACTGTTCACCCCAATGTTTGTGATGTACTCTTTCTTGGGTACATAAGTTTCTGAATTAACAATTCTGTCTATGTTCTCTTTTCCCCAAAATATTAATGGGTATAATACTATCTTTTCCATTTAAATATCATGTTTTAAAGAAGAGATTATTATGCACATAGATTTATCACTTCGTTGAAAGTAAGCTTTTGTATTAAATTATGTATCTTTCATTAATTTAGCTGATCAGTTTTTTAAGGTAGATTTCAACAAGCATCTATTTTATCATCTACCTAAAATGTTCATTCCAAGACTGTCAACCTTTCTTGGAGTAAAAATGAAGATTTTTTTCATTTGTTAAAATGTACAAAACATTTCCTTACTTATTTGTGTTTTAGTTCTGCTCATATTGTTATGCTACTTTTCTGACATTAGTAAATGTTAAGATTAAACTTCTGCTTTATGTGTATCTTTAAAATGTTTTATATCTAAATAAACCTTAGTTGATATGTTGAGAAAAAGGATTTTCTTAAAACTTAGGGTGAAAGAAAGTTCTTCACAGGGTAGTTTAACAGTGGGGAAAAAATGGCTCCTCATATATGAAGGATGGCTTGTATTAGGCAAAAAAGTATCTTGGATGAAGTATAAAGAATGAAAGTAATGGTTACCTGAATCAACTCCAGCTGTTATAACAAATTACCATAGATGGGACGCCTTAAATGACAAATATTGATTTCTCATAATTTCTCTGGAGGCTGGAAGTCCAAGGTCAGGATGCCAGCATGGTGGCGTTCTAGCGAAGGCCCTCTTCCTGGCTTGCCATCTTCTTCTTGTATCCTCACAGGTGGACAACAGAGAGAGAGGAAGCAAGCTCTCTGGTCTCTTTTTATAAGGATTCTATTCTCATTCCTGAGGGCTGCACCCTCATAACCTAATTACCTCCCAAAGGCCCCAGCTTCTAATGCCATCACATTAGAGATTAAGATTTCAACATATGGATTTTGGGAAGACAAAAACATTTAGTCCACAATAGTGGTACAAACAAAGTTGAGGTAAAATACTATGGGAGATAAGAAGCAGTTATATAGAAGACCAAGAGACCGGCCAGGCACTGTGGCTCAGGCATGTAATCCCAACACTTAGGAGGTTGATGTGGCTGGATCACTTGAACCCAGGAGTTCAAGACCAGCCTGGACAACATGGGGAAACCCCATCACTACAAAAGTAGAAAAATTAGCTGGGCATGGTAGTATGTGCCTATAATTTCAGCTACTCTGGAGGTCGAACCTCTTAAGCCTGGGAGGTTGGGGCTGCAGTCAGCTGTGATTGCACCACTGCACTCCACCTGGGTGACAGAGCAAGAACCTGTCTAAAAAAAAAAAAAAAAAAAAAAGAAGAAAAAGAAGAAGAAGAAGGAGGAGACTAAGAAACAAGCAAGAAAAAGTTTACGTTTATTTTCATTTATAGATCCCGACAGAATCTATAAGGTTGTATGACAAATAATATTATGACAACATTCATAGGCATCTGTATCAAGGGGGTGTTTTGGGCTCTAAAAAAAGAAGATAAAAAGAGTAGTTTTTATTTCAACAAATTTACCTCCATTGAAATGGTTTTACTTTAATAACTTACTGCAGCCTTAATATGAGTAATCATTGGTATAAAAGATCACAAAGTAATTCATTTGTTCATATGGTTAAACTTCTCTCTATGGCCATTTGATCTATAGAAGTAAGGTCCTGTTTCACTATTTGCTACCAACTGAGCAGTGTCTTGGGGAATGAGTAATTTCCATACCAAGTTACAACTGAACAAAGCACAAGGAATCCTTTGTTTCCTCCAGAGATCGGAGGAAAAGCAGCTGATGTTGAAAGTTCTAAAGGCCACCTTTGGTGCTCTCTCATGGCCCCACATACAGCATGCATTAACATGTTCATTGAATGAACACACCTCAAGTGGTTAGGTTTCTAAAATTCTAAAATTCTTTCTTGTCATTTATTTGGATTACTGATTTTTGAATTTTCTTTTCATTTTTGTCAAAATCATGAAAGAAGAGATTTTCCTCATTGGAACACATACTTTATTATGCTAAAATATTCCTTTGGAGAAACCGATCACTAGAATCCTTTAGTGATTCTGAGATTTCACTGCACATTAGAATCACCTGGAGGACTTTAAAAATATTGATGCCCTGGCTTCACCTCACACTGATTAGTTTAGAATCTCTGAGGGGCAGTACCCAGGCATCAGAATCTATTTAAATTGTCTGTGGGATTCCAATGTGCACATAAGTTTGAGTTGTATTTACTGTGGGTTGAATAGTGTACCCTCAAAAGATATGATGAAGTCCTAACCTCAGGTACTTGTGAATGTCACCTTATTTGGAAATAGGGTCTTTGCAGATATAGTTGGTTAAGATAAGGTCTTATTGGATTATGCTGAGTCCTAATCTGATGACTTGTATCTTCAGACAAGGGAAATTTGGACACAGACATACAAAGAGGAGAGAATGCTATATGAAGACACAGAGACAGACAGACCCAGAGAACAGATGGCCATGTGACCACAGAGGCTGTGATTGGCATTGCATAGCTACAAGCCAGGAAACTCTGAGGATTTCCAGAAACCTCCAGAAGTTAGTAGAGAGGTATGGAATAGATTCTCCCCATGCCTGAGCTGCCAAGAAGGAACTAAGCCTGCTGATACCTTGATTTTGGACATCTGGCCTCCTGAACTGTGAGAGAATAAATTTCTGTTGTGTTAAGCCATTCAGTTTGTGGTACAACAGCCCTGGGGAACTAATACAGCACTTCTTAGTCAACCCAAGGAGAGGGCTCATTTGCAGGATGGAATTCCTCCCCTTTTTAACATTTAGCCATCTAGTCGCAATGGTGGGCAGGTTCTAAATTGATAGCCATTTCCACTGACTTTGCTAGAGTAAATATTTTGCGTCCTCCCATCCCTCTCTCATGCCCCACCACTGTCATTAAACAAGGCAGAAGAATTCAAAGCACTTACCTTGATGAAACATTTCTTTGGGTCATTATAGTTTCAAGGATTAGAATTTTCCACTTGTTATTCCAAGCATTTGTTTGCCTGAGCACTTTCTATCATGGTCCATAAAATACTGTGTAAGTCTCATCACTCCAATAGTTTCTCTTTTAACCAAGTCCAATTGTTCCAGGATACAATCAGTATAATCAAAATATTTCAAAAGTTGAAATCAATGAAAAACAGGTGGCTTTCTTTTTCTTGAGTCTTTTGTCCAAAATGATGGGTTCACACATATATTTTGCCATGAAATAATTTCTTCCATTATTTCTTTGGTAATTATGAAATAATCCTAAACTACAAGCAATTTTAAAGATGAGATTCAAAAAAACTTTAAGTGATTTTTGGCATCCTTAAACTATTATGACAATTATCTCAATCACTGGAAGAAAAGTATAGGTGTGGTTTGGACACAGGTGCAAATAACATAGTAATCAAAATGCTGATAAAGCAATCCTCTTCCCAGTCAACCATTTGACTAAATAAGTAACTTTAGGTTTGACCTCAATTAATGAGGTATATTCAGGTTTCAAAGCAGGTTTAGAAGTGTATGAACTATGAACTATGACTCCCAAATATAATTGTTACCTATCTGATACCCAAGCTAGCAGAAACTATGACTATCAGTGCAGTTATGCAACTATAAAAAGCATCAGGAGAGTTATGCAACTATAAAAATCATCAGGAGAGTTATCAAGTAAGATGTTAGTTGACCATTTAAGACAGAAAATAGAGATATCTTAAAATTAGAAGTGAGTCACATGAATAGAAATACCACTGGTGGAGAGGGAGAAAGCTTCTAACTTTTCTTACCAAATATTGCTAGTTCCTTGAAATAATCATTATTAGTATTTTGGCTAATCTTATTATTGCCACTAGGAAAAATTCCTTAGGGTATTTCAGCCTTTAACATCCTTAGGATCCTGAGAGGGGGAAACACACAGAAAGGCAGAAAATTAGGATTATGTTACTTAGATGATTGGAGAAGAAGATCTCTTCCCCTATGAAAGCCAACATATTTTATACATAGTTCATGGCTGATTACATAATACATGGTGTTCAGTGAAAAATGAAAATGCAGGACCCCTTGTTCAAAAATCAGGAAACAGGTGTTGTATATGAACATTTTTCCTTTCTTTCATGGCCTTTCTTAAATTGTCATGATGTTTTTCACTTGTTCTTTAATGTCATTCTAAGTAAAGAATAATTAAAATGTTAATTATTAGCATGAACTTCACTATTCATCTTTATACTGTACCATGCCAGTTTTAAATGCTAGTTTAAATATAAGAGCACTTAACTCAAACACAGAATCACTGAAATTATACAATTTGTAACTTGTAGTTTCTACATGTTTATGTATTTTTCTTACCAGAACAATGGAAACACTGAACAAAGCTGACTTGGATGTTGCTATTTAGTTTGGTATGCACACATTCTACCAATGCTCTCCACTTTTGGCTTACTAACGAGTGAGGAATGACTGAAAGAAAAAGGAACACGAATTGCATTATCTTTCACTGTTCTTCTATGTCATAATTTTCACATCAGTGGTTGACTAATGCAGGGAAGTAATACAAATGAGAAAAGATATAGTAAGGTTCCTTGGTCATTAGTATTTCTTAGAATATAATTGGTCTCTTTCTGAAATTCTAGCGAAATTCTGATTCCAGTTGAAAGTGTGGCCTCTCAGGGCTATCTGCAATTGCTTACTTAGTTGTCTATTGCTTACTCAATTGCTTACCCCAACAACCAGCTTACTCTTTACTCAACTGAGGTCTTGCTGAACCTCCACACATACAGCACCAGTGCACTGGAAATCTGTGTTCATGGGCCTTGAAGAACATTATCTGTGAATGGCACAACAAGGTACGTCAGACATGCACATTGCACATATATCCTGTACTCAAGCATATGCTGCATTGTTTCGTTGCATTTTACATACAAAAGACAAGTTCAAAGATAAAATAATTAAGAATTTCAAGACAGCTACAGCATAGCATTAAAGCAAGCACAGGACTCTTCTGAGCATGTGGTGCTATGAGAATGGGCAGGCCATATAACCTTGAAGCTTCTCTGGGCAAAGCCATTACATAATTACAATTTTCAAATTTAATTCCACCTTTCCACTAACATAGGATTTTCTGGATTTAAATTTAACGTTTGGGGTAATGGTGAAAAACATTCAAGCTAATAGGTTACTTGAGTGGCATAAAAAATGCTTTGATTTTTTAGCTATTGTATCTTAATTTTGATTTAGTGAAGATCAATTGCTTTCTTGTGTGAAATAGGTAGGCATACTCTTCATTCTTATTTTTCCCTTTCCAATTTTTTTTCTTTGATTCATGCTGTAAATTTGCTATTGGGAGCTACTCATGTTCTATATTCTGGAGGTATGAAATCTATTTAACAAGGTGTGGGCAATTCATGTTTACTAGAGAACAATATAATTTCACGAACAGTTGCACCCTCCCTCGTTGAACACATTTATATGCATTTATGTATTTTTTAAAAACTTAGCATAGGCCAGGCGTGGTGGCTCACGCCTGTAATCCCAGCACTTTGGGAGGCTGAGGCAGATGGATAGGCTGAGGCAGATGGATCACCTGAGGTCAGGAGTTCGAGACCAGCCTGACCAACAAGGTGAAACCCCCGTCTCTACTAAAAATACAAAGCCAGGCGTGGTGGCAGGTGCCTGTAGTCCCATCTACTCAGGAGGTTGAGACAGGAAAATTGCTTGAACCCAGGAGGCAGAGGTTGCAGTGAGCTGAGATCACGCTACTGCAATCTAGCCTGGGTGATGGCAGGAGACTCTATCACACACACACAAACACACACACACACACACACACACACACACACACAAATACTGTAATTATTCACATTGATGTCTTTCTCTTAAGGAACAATTTTTATATCATATGTTTTATAAAATGATGATAAGGTTCTTAGACACATGGCTATATTATTCAGTGATAGATCCTTTGAGAGTAAACCTGCCTTTTCCCCAATGTTGATCTACTTTTCCCACCACTCTTTTTTAAAGGATTCTTGCATTTAAAATTTAGATCATTAACTTCGAGCAAAGAATGGCAGAATCTCAAAACTGGCATACATTACAAGAAAGCAGCCTGGAGGCTACTCATACTCTTCCAAGTTTTACTACTCCCAGGTGCTGCTTTTGTTGAAAACACTCCAGCTCTACCCTGTATTTGGTACGCTGCCCTGCTTACCAAGAGTGCAAATCTATTGTAAACCTTATTCTTAATAAGGCTACCAGGATCAGAGCCAATCAAAAAAGGAATAGCCTTCATAAATATTCACACCTCACTAGAGATTTAGCTGTAACAAGTAATGAATAGTCATAGGGAATCTCATCATTGACTGAGACCCATCAATGCAAAAACAGAACCCCATTTCTAAAACCAAATTAAATGAAGTGTGTCTGTAAAAGACAGGCAAAAACTAGTATTATGAGAACATTATTTTAAGATAGAGATGTTTATATTATATCCCATGTATCATTTATTTTCTCCCCCCAATTAAATATCAATTTTAAATATAAATATCTCTTTTAAAACATATTTTTCCAAATATACCATTATTTCTTTTCTTCTACTAGAATAACCGTATTCCTATGCCACAGACAGCAATACGATGCATTCATTTTCTCTGTGTAGCACATCTGTTTGCTTACAGGACTCATGGGAGAGTAGTAGGTGATTTTTTAAATGGTTTCTGGCTTGTGGTAGAACATTTCATCCTGGAAACTGGAAAACCACTTGGTCCAACTACCTTCAATTTGAGAATAAAATATTTGGTCTTAAAACATAAAGTGGGTAGAGGCATATGGACTACAATGAGTCAGGAAGTATTCTGGACATTAAATCTGGGAGAGCGGGGGAAAATGTGTCTCTCCTTCCTTATTTCTCTCTTTACTGCTTGCTAAATAGAACTGTCAAAGCCTCCAACCTCCTGCATCTGTTGCAATATTTTGTAGATTAGACATTTGGAAAGCACTATTGTCTTTCTGAATCAGTCTTGAATGTGATCATCTCTCTATTCTGAAACCCATGCAATTAAAAAGTGTTGTATAGATATGTACGACAAACAGGACGCCTCTGGTTGTCTGACATAATTTCTCTATCCACACCTCCACCCATCTGCATTATCAAACTGTAGAAGTGACTTAGAGGACTGCTACATATTTTAGTACATACGTAAAGTAAGTCTAGAAAGAATTTCCTGATTTATCCATTTAACACTCTTATTATCCACCCATCCATCTCTCTCTCTTTTTGAAGTAAATTGTAGTTGACTTAACAGCAAATTCATTTCACAGCTTGTGACCACTTCTGTACCCTACCCAACACCTTCTATTCAAGAAACTTGCAACTGCCTTTTAAATTAAATACAAATTTCTCAGCTTTACATTCTGATTTTCTCATTTGGACTCTATCTGAGTCAGAAAGCTTTGGACAACAAACAATAAGTATTCAAAGAAAATGTATTTCTTCATAGAACTAAAAATACCAGGCCTAGCATTAGCTTCAGATACAGCTAGATTCAGAGCCTCAAATCATCTCATCAGCAGTGTCTCTCTCTTCTTTCTTGCCTCTTCTCTTCATTGTATTGAATTTAGTATTAAACATATCTTCTCCATTTGGTGACCTCTCACAGCTGCGGTCTTACATGTTCTCAGCTTCAAGTCCATGAGGAAGAGACTGCTTGTAATGTAAATATTTTCAATATAAGTTCCAGAAGGATGTCTTGATGCACTCATTGGTCTTCCTTGATTTACCCACCTATCCTTGAGCCAACCTCTGAAATTGGAGGAAGATGAATGTCATGACTGACAGACTTGAGCCGTATTCTCACCCTTAGAACTAGTCATGCAATCAACTCTACCTAAAAAATATTAACTGTGATACTCATGGGAAAAGTAAGATCCTGTAGATGAAAAGTAGGCATCCATCAGAAGCCACAGCCTACATTTCCTGTCTTGTCTTCTCAATTTTCCTCCCAACACCCTGTAATCAAGTCCTCCCTGATTTTACTTACCATGCAACCAGGGGAATGGCAGTGGAGATTCTTTGCCTAATTGGAAGTTATGAGTTTCAGTCATGTCTTAGGAAGGCATAGTCATCCTCCTAAGAGACTGCAGTTAACCATGTAAGGGCTTTCAAGAAATCTTTCTACCAGTTCTGAGCCCAAAACATAGCCTTGAAATCAAATCTCACTGTTAAAGACAGTTGTCACTGGGGAGACTGGACTTCTGTTAAGGTAGAAGCTTAATTTTGGCCTCAGAGTTTTAGTGGCGGTGGCCTCTCTGAGATGTTTAATCATATATTCAACACAGGTTTAGTCATGTATTGATCACAAAGAGCAGATAGTAAGCTAATTGTTCCAACCCCTTGGGCTTCGCATTTGAATTAAGCACCTCAGACTTTCACTGCAGTGCAGTGGTCAAACAGGAAAGTCTGAATAGTCCCCTGGTTGCCTACCCCATTGACTTATCCAAAGGCTATTTCCTAAAGTTATGATTCTGCTAAGCAGTGGATCCCCAACAGAAAATAGGATGCAAAGGCAAGTTTTTGATGTAGACGAATTTTTGGAGTCTAGCCCGTGCCTGTTTCCCACAAGTCGCAGCCACCCAGAAAAGCTGGACAAGCAGTATAGGCATTTTCTGGTGTCTTCTAGACCCTTGCTCCTCAAACTCTTGCCTGAAGACCAGTAGCATTAGCATGATTTGGGAGCTTGTTAGCAATACAATACCATAGGTTCTACTCCAAAAAATCTCTCTGATATTTATAGCTTTATGGTGATAGATCCTAGTGGATGACTGTAATGAAGAGCCAAGCTTTATAGTCAGACTTGATCATTAACCTTTTTGAACATTTTGTTTCCTTAGCTTTATAATGCGGATAATAATGATAAATACATTGCTGGCATGAGGATTACATTAATTAATGGATACAAGTATTTTGAATAGTGTATGGGACATAGTGATTCCCCAATCAACATGACTTTTTATAATATAATTATAATTATTCCTATCATCTTGTTCTTGAAATCAGAAATGAGAATGACCTGGGGGCAACTCTTCACTCAAGGCATATGCAAAGATGTAGAGCTACCCTCAAGTAAGTGAATACAGCATCTTTTCCTTCACACTTTTGAATCATTTTTTGTGAGTGTGTTTTGTTTATCCAGCAGGGAACATTTTGGTCATTCAGCATTGATCTGTTGTTTTTTTCCCCACCTTTCAGGAAACCTGTCCGATAAAATACTTTGTCCTTTGTGATATTTGTTTCGTTTGGGTCTTGGGATTGCTTTTGTTGCCTGTCCTATGCCCGCTTACCCTCTAAGAAGTTGGCCTTAGCAACACTCTCTAACTTTCGATCACATAGAATTAACCACATTATCTTTGTCTCTTTTACTACACCATTGCATTTACCAGCTTATGTGCCTGCCACATTTTCTTATTTTGTGCCCTTCAAAAGGCAAGAACTATTTTTTTTGTATCCCCAGGGCCTAGATCAAAAATTTCAGTCCATAATTCCTTTTTTTATTTTTATTTTTTTATAGAAACAGGGTCTTGCGTTATTGCTCAGGCTGATTTCAAACTCCTCACTTCAATGATCCTCCTGCCTCAGCCTCCCAAAGTGTTGGGATTACAGGTGTAAGCCACTGCATCTGTTCCATAATAACTTTTTATAATAAGAAATGGAGGGAACAATGAGTTGACTGTAAAACAAGTTCCCTGGAAGAAGAATGGATTCTGACATATTGGTTAATTATCACCATATTAATACTTGTAACAAATTGCCCCAAGACTTGGTTGCTTAAAAATAACCATCTATTCATGCTCATATGTCTGTGGTTCAGCTGGTCCTGCTGGCTTGGCTGTACAGCTGCGCTTCCCAGTGTGGGTCTGCCTGGGCTGGGCTCGGCTCCTTACCATAGATTTGGCCGTCTGTACCATATGCATTGATTATGAGGACCCAGCTGAAGTTGCAGTAGTAAACCAGGGAAACTTTTCTTATGGTGATGGCTGAGGTGCAAAACAGTAAGTTTTACCATGTAAACCTATTTCAAACCTTTGTTTGCATCATGATACTCCCATCCAGTTGGGGGGGGGCGAGTGGAAATAGCAAAATAACTAAGCCTAAAGTCAATGGGGTGGGTAAAAATACACTTTGAGCCTATGAGAAGAAGCGAAATATCTTGAGACGAAAGGCATAGATACAGGTAAAGGTGAAGAATTGTGACCAACATTTCAATCTGCCTTATCAGGGTATAAAGAGAATGTGTGAAAGAAATAACCGTCCTAGAGTTGGATGGTTTAATTTAGTCATTGCTGTTCTAGGATTTATTTGTGGTCTGTGTCCAAAATATCTAAGGAAGATTCTACTTTAAATCACATGTGAAGGTCTCTTGAAATAATGCTTGTAGAGTTGTGTTTTTACTGCATTTAAAATAAAATTGTATACATTTATTGATACAAGAATATTGCTGCGCTATGCTTACTAAATATAAGATTAGATTCTTTCATGTCTAGGTTGTCCTTATTATGATCCTGGTTTTGCAAATTCCCCAAGTGAAATTGCCTCCTCAATGATTGCTAATAATAACGACCCTCTCCTCAGAAAGGTAATGTTAATTAGCCTTCTTCCTAATAACGAATCACCCTCCATAAACAGTTACAGATTTTTTTTCTTTTGGATTTACAAATCACTGTGATTTTAATACAAGTTTTTGCAGCAGTTTCAAGGTTTACTATTTTGCACCCTCTGCTGGGGGAAAAACAAAGAGAATGACAGCAGATGTGGAGAAGTAAGTAATATGGGATATGAAGTGAAAGACTTAGATCAGAAGAGCACTTGCCTCATGAACGTCTTTCATTTTGCAATTACATTGAGAATACGTTTCTATAACTCTTCTTACATAAACAACATATTATGAAATTTAAATTCATGAACATTAACCTAAAAATATCCAAACTTACAATTTATGGAATTCAGAGATCTGAAATATTTCTTTTAAGCCTTCCCTACGGGTGGATTTGGAATATACTTAGAGTAAATTCCATTGATAAAGAACCAAAATAGCAAGAAAAGGAAATATTAAGTATCTGAAAAACTGAGGCTTAAAAGGTACTTTCCATTAAGAAAGCCACCACAAGCTAGTAAATTTCTGTTCTGAATTTCATAGAAGAGGTTGTCAACTTATGCAGTACTTGAATTATAGGGAAACAAATATCTTTTTGCTTAAAAGGTAAATTTAAATGCTGTAACCTCTTACAGTGAATTACTAATAATGCTAATGGCATTATTCACTGACATACCCTTTTATTTAAAGGTCTTCATAGAGTGGAAAAAGCAACCTAAAATTTCTTCAAGTTAGGTTTAAAACATAGCATAAATCTGAATTCCATAATGCTTTACATCAGATGGAAGAAAGTAGCTATCTCTAAAATATTCTCACACTCTTATTCATAACAAGTGAATAATTTCATCAGAGTGAAATCATCACTTGGAATGACAAACATTTTAAATGGAAGAATGTTAGTTTCAACAGACTTTGTTTCTAATTCTGTCTGCCTATACATCTACAAACATTTGTGTGGCTGTCCTAGTTTATGTTGAATGCCATGATATATTGCTGAAAGTGGTCAAACTTATCCATTTCCTACACTTTTATAATCCACAGTTTAAAGAATATTTCAGCCGACACTGCTGTCTCAGTAGCCCCTGGTGCAACACAAGCCTGATATTTTCTAATCCGAGGTTATTTTTCAGGTCATCAATTCTATTTTCAAACATCTGACAGACTCTGGTGTTCTTAATTAGAATGGTGTCACATCCATCGATCATTATCTTTATGACTTCAATTTTCTCCTCAACTTGTAACAAGTTCTGATTCAGGCTTTCATGGACCTTGTGTGTTGCTTTCTGAATCACATCTCCTAGCACTTGCTAAGCCAGTCTGACATCATTTGATAAGTAAAATAAGTATTCTCAGATGTGAAATCAAAAATAGAGTTTACCACCAAGGAAGGGACCTTGAAACCAAAGTGCAATTTCTGATGTTTCTCTTTCTCTCCTCTTCTCTGTTTCTCTCTCTCTCTCTTTTTTCTACATAATGCTACATAGTTATACCAATATTAAAAATCATATACCAATAAAACAAAATATAGATGTAAATAAAGTTACATTTCCGTATCTTTTTATTGGTAATCTTTAATGATATAGGAAACATAAATATGTGACCTTTGTAAATACAGCCCTCTTAGATAGAGCCGTAGATGACAATACAGGAGAAAGGACCACAAAGTTTAGTTAGCTGCATTTTTTCCAGGTTGATGCTATAAGATTACTTCTTATAATCTTGGCTCTCCTTTCCAATCTTTCTACCACATTTGACAATTTATACTGGTTTAGCAGACATTAGTGCCTTCAAAGTCTCTTCAAAATGTCACCCTTGTCTGTTTATTCATGTGTTATAACTTGGCTGGAGTATCTTCTTTCCTTCTCATTTCTACTTCTTCACATTAGATTAGCCCAGCCCATGTACAATAATTTACCATAAAACTGTTTTTTTCAAAAATATCATCATGCAGTGATATTTTTTTCCTAATGTTAGGACAAATCTAATTAATTATTTAACTTTTTTCAATTAATTAGTTAGTTAATTATGTCACATATTTGTCTCTTCAACACAAATTTGGGTTGAGTTGATTAACCTTTGTACTTTCAGATCTCTTTTGCAATTTTCTCCTGAGGGAGCTAAAAAAAAAAAAAAAACTCTTCCATCCAATGACACCCGTTGAGTTGATTGTCCCAATTTATTTTCTTGCCACATAGAGAAAGATCTTAAATTAGAATTTGTTTTGTCCTCATTATTAGCACTTGTCAAGCTTTTTCGTAAACATTTCTACCTTTCTCTTAGTCTGGATTCTTTCAGTTGCAAGTAATAGAAAACACAATAAGACTAGCTCAAAGAATTTATATATCCATAATGTTGCAGCCAATGATACAGGCTAGTTCTCAGAATGAAAAGGAGATCTAAGGCCTTAGATACTGAATATGAAGAGTCAGTGTTTCGTGGATTTTTTCTGTATGTGTCTGTGTCCTTCTCTGCATCTCCTCCCTACACTGGCCTTTATCTCCAGATCAGCAAAGCTCTAGGTATGTAGTGAGGATCATAGCTAACCAAACCACCAACTTAGCAACTCTGGCAATGAGCCTGTCCCTCATGGGACTAACAAAGAGTAATCCAGGAAAGGCATTTGATTGGCCCTGTTTTCATTTCTATACTCACATCTTGGATCAATCACAGCTGCTTGGGTTGAAAAATTACTGGTTTGAACCATATGTGATTCCTGTTTCTGTAGGTTCAAAATGGTCAAATACAGGCAGTTTCAGATGGTTCAACCGGAAGAGGGTCAGGCCCAAGTCACATGCTACCCGTGCCATAAGATAGTCTTCTACTATGATGTGAAGAAGGGAGTGAGAAAACTGCCAGCCAACTGAAAAAATTAGCTATTATAGTTACAATAAAATCTTTTTTTTTAAACTTAAAGCTAATAACATTGACTTTATTACATGAGGATTTGACCCATGCAACTATACCTGGATCAATATAAACCCGTTCTTTTCTAATATGAGGTTATTTTGCAGGTCATCAATTGTGTTTCTAAGAATCTATAAAGCCTTTGGGAGAACGAGGCAGGTGGATCACCTGAGGTTGGGAGTTTGAGACCAGCCTGACCAACATGGAGAAACCCCATCTCTACTAAAAACACAAAATTAGCCAGGTGTGGTGGCATGTGCCTGTAATCACAGCTACTTGGGAGGCTGAGGCAGGAGAATTGCTTGAACCCAGGAGGTGGAGTTTGCGGTGAGCCGAGATCTTCCCATTGCACTCCAGCCTGGGCAACAGGAGCAAAACTTCGTCTCAAAAACAAACAAACAAACAAAAACCAAAACTAAAAAGTTCTGTTATTCTTAATAAGAATGGTAAAGACAGTTATACATATAGTCATACATTTATTCTTCTTACTAAAATGGATTTTGCTCTATGATCATGTTTCATATGCTAAATCTAATGGCAGTTCATACCCAATTCTCAAGTAATTGAGGGCCACATTCTGAAATGTTTCCTATCTTTATCTTCTTGCACAAAGCCAGTATCCTATATTAAAAGATGAATGTTTTTTCACTTGGGATCCTGTAATGAAAGATATTTCAAAAGTCTTTTAAGTAACTCATAGGTATGAGACTGATATTATTTCCTTGGAGTTTGGTTGTTTTGTCTTTTTTTGTTTGTTTGTTTGAGACAGTTTCGCTCTGTCACCCAGGCTGGAGTGCAGTGGTATGATCTCAGCTCACTGTAACCTCTGCCTCCCAGGTTCAAGCTATTCTCCTGCCTCAGCCTCCCAAGTAGCAGGGATTACAGGCGTGTTCCACCATGCCCAGCTGGTTTTTGTATTTTTAGTAGAAACGGGGTTTCACCATGTTGGTCAAGCTGGTCTTGAACTCCTGACTTCAAATGATCCACCCACCTCAGCCTCCCAAAGTGCTAGGATTACAGGTGTGAGCCACCGTGTCCAGCATTTCCTTGGACTTTGTGAGTATAATGAAGAGCACAGGTTGATACCAACTTTATTCAATTTGAATAAAATTAATGATTGAACAAGCCATGTGAAATTTCCAGTATCCAACGATTTTTGGCTTACAGAAATGGCAATTTCCTGTCATTCCAACTGTAGTTGATATATGGTTTTTTATGTAGGTCTGAAATCCCTACCCAGATGTAGCTTAAGTCATTTGTTTTTATCACTGTTTTTTTTTTTCCCCCGAGATGGAATCTTGCTCTGTCACCCAGGCTGGAGTGCAGTGACGTAATCTTGCTCTGTCACCCAGGCTGGAGTGCAGTGACGTAATCTCGGCTCACTGCAACCTCCACCTCCCAGTTTCAGCCTCTCCAGTAGCTGGGATTACAGGCATGCACCATCATGCCCAGCTAATTTTTGTATTTTTAGTAGAGATGGGGTTTCACCATGTTGCCCAGGCTGATCTCACTGACCTCAGGTGATCCACCAGCCTCAGCCTCCCAAAGTTCTGGGATTACAGGCGTGAGCCACTGCACCTGGTGACAAAGGATGATTTTTTTAGTCCAGTGTAGATATGGGTGTGAGATTATATTGTGATTCCCAGAACTCTCTAAGACAACAGAGGCCATGCCAATTTTGTTCATTGTTTTGTCCCCAACACCTAACACAAAAGTTGGAACAAAATAGGCAGTTAATATAATAATTAGGTAGATGAAAAATAAATATACGTAGATGTTTGAATGCATTTTTATGTAATTCTCCTGATTAAAAACCATACCCTAAGTATATGAAAAATTACATTAATTAGGTGCATGATATTTCTCTGATGTCTTTGGTGAACAAGTTGTGAGATAATACACCTGAAATTAAATGCTATCTGTGGAAAAAATAACAAAACTTAAAAGTGAATGAAGAACCTATTGATATCTACATTTTGAATCTTAGGAAACTGAGAATTAAAGCAGTTAAATAACTTGCTTAAGGGCCCACAACCAGCTAGTAAAGAAGAAAGGACTAAAACTCAGGACTTGTAAATCCTCCTCCAATAGTCTTTCCATATTTTAATTAAAAGAGAATATTGCCTTTTGGGACTTCATTCTACTATGTTAAAAGCAATCCTCTAAGTGGACTGCACTGAACTAAGTGTAATACATCAAGTCAGAGGGTACTCTGGGATATATTTTTATTGAAAAGTTTGTAAAATGTTTCTTAATATCCATTTTAGAAAGGACCTCAGACTTTTCATTACTTCTCTACACCAAGTAACATTGAAGAAGGCAGGGTATGTTTTGACCTTGAATATTTTTTATCTTGAATGTTTTTTATAAGTTTAAGTTATTAGCTTATTTTTTATTTGATTCTAGATATACACATTAATTAAAACTTTGTATTGATTCTTTCACTTATCCACTGTGTATTGAGGACCTACTGTGTCACAAAGCAACACTAGTGCTGGAGCTACAAAGGTGCACAAGACATCGTAATTCTTTGCAATTTGAAGCTTAGAGCCTTGTGAAAGAGACAGACAAAAAATAGAAGACCAATGAATATATATAAATATGCATATTTTGTATTATGAGAAGTCCCCTTAAGAAAATTGAGTGGTTGCTAAGACAAAGAATGATGAGGGGTGTAATGAACACAGGGTAACCAATTTAAATGGATAGGTAAGGAATCTGTCTTCTAAGGAGGTTACATATAGCCTGAGGCTGGAATGATGAGAAGGAAATATTTAGAGATTGAAGGAAGGCATTCTTGTGAAAAGAGGCCAGAATGGCTGGCTGGAGTGCTTGAGCATGAAGGGTGCAGATAGAACAGCTTACTTATTGAGGGCAGGGCTTAGGCTTGGTTTACCAAGAAAATCTCTCTTTCTCTTTCTTCGTTCTTTTCTATTGTCTGATCTGTGTTTGAAGAGACAGTTCATAGAGGCAGTCTCTCTTGGGCCTTTTGTTCTTCTGTACATCTGGCTGGCTGTGTAGTGGCTGCAAGCTCTTACCCAGACAATTTATCAGGAATTTTTATCCAACTGTTAACCTTAACCTTGAGAGATGAGGTTACGTCTTGTATGGACAAGAGCAGGTTTGCTTACTGTTATGGGCTAAATGTTCACGTACTTCCAAAATCTGTATGTTGAAAACTTCACTCCCAGTGTGATAGTATTAGGGGGCGGGGCCGCTGGGAGATGATGGCGTCATGAAAGTGGAATCCTTTTGAATGAGAGACCCAAGGGAGCTCTGTCACCTCTTTGGCTATGTGAGGACACAGTAAGAAGATGACCATCTTTGAATTCAGGGCTCTACCAGACATAGAATCTGCTGGTGCTTTGATCTTGGATTCCCAAACTCCAGAAATGTGAGAGATATTGTTTAAGCTACCAGTCTATGATATTTTTGTTGTACTAGCTCCAATGGACTAAGACACTTACTGTTTGCTATATGAGTTGTGGGTTCCCCAAGCTCAGTGTTTTTCACTGCAGTACAAACCCACTGTGTGTATAACACTCAACACATTGCCCTCTCCATGGAATGTGGGGGCAAGGGTAACTCATATAAATATGTGAATACTCATGTTGCTTGCTGTGCTATGAGTAACAGTCTGTGTCTGACCCAGGAGTCTCAAGTCTTAGGCAGCATCCTTGAAAAGTACAGGGCCACACTAGCTTACAAGTAGTGTAAAATTTAAATTCCAGGCCTGATAATATGTTTGTTAATTCCTTAATAATTCAGGTGAAATAACAGAAAAGACAAGACTTTGCCTTTTAAAGAGTTTCAGCAACAGATTTGATTGAATACGGTCACGTTAACTTTAAGTATGATTTTTAATGAGGAAGAACATATGAGAATATTATTAATGTTTAGTTACCATCTGTGAATAAGTATAAAAATATCATTTTATTATTTCCACAGGAATAATTATATATTATTTTTAGAAAAAAGAATTTCTATTCGTTGTAAGTGAAGTTTCACCTTGAATTTATGTTGAATACAAATGGACAAACACTTTAATTTTGTTATGCACAACTGGGAAATCTTTCCCCATTTTGTCGAAGTATTATATTGGTGCAAAAGTAATTGTGGTTTTTGCAATTAAAAGGAATTAATATCTGTACCATAGATACATTTTTCTTATGACATTCTGATTTCTACAGTTTTTATTTAATTTTCATGATAATATATATTAAAATACATAGATGCCTTAGGATTCTGTCATTAGTGCAAAAGACCGGACGTTATGCTATTGTGTTTATTTTAAAAGGTGTCATTTTAAAAACTTGTGTTGAACTCTCAAAAATTCTCCAAGACTCAAACTGCAAGGGAATAAGTAGTTTATTCAGGTCTTTGCAATAGGAAAAACGCTCAAATGGAGTGTCTCCTTGAACCTTGGAGATCAGAGGGTTTTACAGGTGATTGAAATAAAAGCAGCAAAATGCCTGCTGCAAGTTTGGTGGGCTCAAGTCAAGCAGGTGCTTGAATGGTGCAGAAAGGAGAGACTGTTCTTTGTGATTTGGCCCAAATCAGCACATCATATCCTGATCTTGAAATTTTTTACTAAAAGATGGAAATTAGAAAGAGGTGGTTTGTCTATTGATATAAAATTATATTTGAGTTATTTTATCCCAAAATATTCACTTGTGTTCAAGTTTCTTTTGAAGGTTGACTAAAGGACCAACATCATTTTTCTTAAAATGTATCACTTAGTATTACAGATGTTGTAGCCAGATTGTCAATAAACTTATCTTAAAAGTAAACTAAACTCAGAAACCATAGATGAGCAGATAAAAATTAAATTACATTTTAAAAAAAGTAAACTAAACTTCTAGATAAATGTAGTTATTTCATATTCGACAAGATATGTTTTGAACCTTTCCTTGTGAATTTTACATCAGTGAATATTTCACTGATTAACTGAAACAGTGATTTATTCTACTTCAAATTTATAGTTTAAATATAATCATCTCATTACTGGTAACAGATCACCTTAAGAGCAGTTACAGCTAGAATATTTCCTCACAATCTGGAATGAAACGTTGAATACAACTTTCGGTTCTATCTCCCTTTATCATGCTGCAATGAAACTGCAGGTTAATTTACTTCCCATCTGCCTTTATTTCTTATTCTGTCGATCTTATACGTTTTTCTTTTTCACTTCCATGGGAACATATTCTTTCTATTTCAAACCCCTTTCTTTTTTCCACTTGCATAATTAGACTAGTGATTTTCAGTAAAACATCACATTAAAGGGCCATAGTTTCATTAATATAATGCAAACTCTATCTTTCTCTCTTCCAATTACTCAGCTAATTTTGTAATTTGAATTTTTGTTTTACAGCAACTTTTTTTTCTTTTTCTTTTATAGTAGAACAGCACTTTGAAACTTCTGAAAAAGCAAATACTGCCCGGACTGTGTGAATTAGTCATTCTAAATGGTATTCATATAACCTAGGCATATTTTTCCAATAATGGAGCTATTAATACCTTTGCCTCCCTTTAGACTGTCAATACTAACTAGGATATGATACAATGATATCTGCATCTAAGTCTATTCTAGGAGACAATCAATTTAACAACATTTTTAAAAAATTTCAATTGGAGATATTATCAATTGGAAGAAAACTTGCTGATGGGATGTGTGCTGAGTTTAGATCACATTTCAACCAACCTCTGTCAAACTGTAGGGAGGATACAGACATAGGTTTATGGTCAGTCCCGCCTGGTGACTCTAATCTTGATTCCTTATTGCCTGGATCTGTAAGCTTGGGCAAATATCTAAGCCTCATTTTCTTATTTTAAAAAATGGGGATCATGATACCTAAATTAAATAGTTGTTTTTAAGAATACAAACACACACACACACACACACACACACACACACAGTCCCTGACTTAACAATGGTTCAATTTAAAATTTTTTAACTTTACGATGATGCAAAAGCAATACACATTCGGCACACTCCTTGACTTACAATGGAGTTACCTCTGGATAAACCCATCCTATACTGAAAACAAGCCAATTTAATGATGTTTTCCATTTTGAATGGGTTTATCTGGATATAAGCCCATGTAATTTGAGGGATATCTATCTATCTATCTATCTATCTGTCTATCTATCTGTCTATCTATCTATCTATCTATCTATCTATCTAAATCTACATTTAAATATCTGTAATGTAATAATTGCATAATAAACTTTATTGCTTTATTATTACTATTACTAATGCAGTAATGCCGAGCAACTGGAGAGTGACTATTCACTGACTAACCTCGAATGCATGTGTTGGAATGGTAGGACAATTAGTGTCTACATATTACACACACAATGTTTTAATTATCCTGTATAAGCCATAATATTTAATAATAAATCTCAAAAAATGTGTTATTTTGGCCTCAGTTTACATTGCTGGAGCGTATGGATTGTGAACTTTGACATTTTAAATTTATTCATCTTAGTGCATCAGATACTTTTAGCCTTTTTTAAAATTGTATTAAGTAATCCTTGTTTTGCTTTACTTTAAACCTGACATCAGTGCCTAAAAACAACCCATACATTGTTGACATTATTATATTACACAGATAAGGAAAAGCTTATATTCTTCCTTTTTTTTTTACAATTTATGTTTCATCTGCCTATTTTCAAGTATTATATTGCTATAAAGTGATTCCTGCAAGTTTTAATTAAAGACTACATAATGAGAGTGGCAACATGAAATCATGAGAAAAGGGCATAAATTGCAGTTGGAATCTTGGAATCACACTCTTTCTTTGCTGTCTGGTCATGAGGTCTTGAATTAGTTATTCACACTTGAGGAATGTTGGTTTCCTCATTTCATTTAGTACCTGAGAATGGTATTAAATGAATACCATACCCAAAAGATTATAGTGAAGGTTAAAGGGAGAAAAATGTTGTAAATAATAGAATATATAAATGTCTATTGCAGCTTTGAGAATGACCCAAATCCAAGCAACACATACTAAATTTGCTGGTAAAAATGTGACATTTTTGTTTGTTTTTAAAGTAAACGCTTTGTGACTCTATGTTTGTTATATATCTGTTATTTTGTGTATCTATATTTGTTAGCCACTTTTATTAATTTTTTATGTGTTACTGACAAAGCTGGTCCCCTCCAAAAACAGGGTCTTTCCCTGTTCAGTGCTGCAAAGCCAATACACAAAACCAAAAGTGAGCATCTATTAATGCAGGCTTAATTCTATGACCATAGAATTGAGAAGCAGCAGTTGGGTTCACAAATCAACTTCTCAGCTCCTGAGAGCCAGGAAGCCACAGATATAGGGCATCTTTAAAGAAGAGGCTCATCATTAAAAGCAAGAGGAGGAATATTCATGTCTTTCTGGGAATGAGAGGGGAACTCCTCGAAACCTTTCTTTTTGTCTTTTTATGGTTTCTTCACGTCATTGTCATGGTGATTATCAACTGTCATGGCACTGGTGGGAGTGCCATTTAGCATCGAAATTAGATTATGATGAAGTTAGAGGATTCTTCAGAGGTCAAGTGAGCTGCCATCTTGAATCCCACCAGTCTTAGCCAGTTTGGGCATGATGGGGAACTTTTGGCCTCAGGCATACTGCTTCCCAAAGATAAGCAGAATTAAGGTGGTGTAGAAATTCACCTATATGAATACACAGGCATTTTGGTTTGTGACATAAGTTTTGCCTTATAAGAATAATTATTTTTATTTTTAGAGATCGGGTCTCATCTCATTCTGTAGCCCAGGCTGGAATGTGGTGGCATGGTCACAGCTCCCTGTACCCTCAAATTCCTGGGCTCAAGTGATCCTCTCACCTCAGCCTCCCAGTTTAGCTAGGAGTATGGGTGAGAGATACCACACCTGGCTAATGATAATTTTTAAAGTGAAAAATTAGTATCTCACACCCATTATGATAGCTATTGGAAAAAAAAAAGAAAATAACAAGTACTGGTAAGGATACTGAGAAATTGAAACCCTTTTGCACTATTGGTGGGAATGTAAAATGGTGCCACTGGTATGAAAAACAGAATGGCGTTTTTCAAATAATTAAAAATAGAATTTTCATAGGACCCAGCAATTCCACTTCTGGGTATATATCCAAAAGAATTGAAAACAGAATCTCAAAGTGATATTTGTACACCTATATTCATAGCAACATTATTCACAATAGCCAAAATATGGAAGCAACCCAAGTGTTCCTGGACAAATGAATGCATAAACAAAATGAAGTAAGTACATAAAACAGAATATTATTCAGCCTTAAAAAGGAAGGAAATTTTGACAGATGCTGTACCATGGGTAAATCTTGAGAACATTATGCTAAGTGAAATAAGCCCATCACAAAATGACAAATACTGTTCGATTCCACTTATATGAAGTAAAGTAGTCAAATTAATAGAGATAAAAAGTAGAATGGAGGTTGCCAGGGTCTGAGCAAAGAGGGGAATGAGGAGGTGTTGTTTAATGAGAATAGTATTTTAATGTTTTGCAAGATGGAAAGAGTTCTGGAGATTGGCCGCACAACAATGTGAAGGTATTTAATGCTGCTGAAATATGCAATTAAAAATGGTTAAGATGGTAAATTTATGTTATACGTATTTTACCACAATTTTTAAAAGTCCAAAATTGGTGTTTGGCCATCCTAAAGCTAGTCAAAGCCTAATAGCACTAAAGAGTTCTGACAGGGGTGTTGGACAAAGCTTATTCCATTACTTACCTAAGGAATGATTACCTCCATAGTAAATAACTCTAAACTTGAGTTACTGCATCTATAAATTGGGTGGGATTAATATATCTACTTCAACAGTGCTGTTTGCGGGCTTAAAATATATTGCTTTTAAAGCATAGCAATGCATTTGTATTCGTTTGCTAGGGCTGTCATAGCAAATTATCACAGAGTGGGTGACTTTAAAAAAATAAATCTATTTTCTCAGAGTTCTGGGGGCTAGAAGTTCAAGAGCAAAGTGTTGGCAGGTTTAGTTTCTCCTGAGGCCCCTCTCAGTGGCTTGCAGGCAGCCACCTTCTGACTGTGTTCACAAATGGTCTTTCCCAGGTATGCACATGCCTGTGTTCAAATTTTCTCTTAGAAAGACACCAGTCATGTTGAATTAGGACCCACACTAAATACTTTAATTTAATTACCTCTTTAAGGACCTTATCTCCATACACAGTTACATCCTCAGGTACTGGGCACTAGGGCTTTAACATATGAATCTTAGGGACACAATTTATTTAAAAATAAATATACAGTTTACATTTATTCTACACTTAAGATGTATGAGAATCTTGTTATATACTTGTTATATACTGTTATATCTCATACATCTTAAGTGTAGAATAAATGTAAACTGTATATTTTAGCTCCATGGATAAGTGTTTCTAGTAGGTATGTAAAATATATTTGTCATAATTCCGATGTTTTGAAAATAAAATGTGATGTGAATGAGGTCATTCATTCAGCAAATTTTGACTCATCAATTAGTTGAGTAGATGACTACCCACTATGAAAAAATAGGGATTAAAACATGGTTCATACTTTTAAGAAACTGAAAATAAAAGTCACTATTTTAATCATATTTACACAGCACTCTACATTTTACAAGGTTCTTTTATACAGTGTCCTATTTAATGCTCACAAGAATCTTTTGAGGAAGATGTGGGCCTATGTGTTAAGGTTATATGTTTATTTCTATCACACCTGGTTCTGGGATGAATTTTGAAGGTTTTAAAAATGAATCCACTGTATTATTTCAAAATAGACGTAATTGAGACAATCTTGGCAAAGGGAACTCAAGGGTGAAAACATACACAAAATGCATGCTGAGGAATCTGAATTCAGGGGGAAAAATAAGCACATGCCCCTAACATCCCCTTCTGTCCCACATCCCTTGAAATTTGAGAGAGGGAGAGGTGGGGACAGAGAGAGAGAGACAGAGAGAGAGAGAGATCCATAAAAGTTTTATACATAAGTGAAACATAAGAGAACAGAAACAAACTGACAGAGCAAAGAAAGTGACAGAAAAATAAGAACAAAGAAAAATAGTGCAGAATTCACAATGGGACCTAAGGCCTGTTTTCTGAGGGTGCTTCAGGCTCAGAGTCAGTGGAGTGGGGGGCAGAAAATTGAAGGTAACTTGAGTGATTAATTGGGTCCCTACATTTACGATGGTCGAGTTAGTGATCTCTGAGCCTTCCTTAGCCTGTGCTGTTTATTCAGGGCTGGAACGAGTCAGTGGGCCTTGTGTCAGACAGCTGGCCATTCCCAGGGGAACAGGATGTTCTCTCCACAGCAGATAAGCTACTGGCACATCCAGTCCAGAGGCTTGTTGTGCTACTTTCCTCAAATGGCTGAGGCCGAGCTCCTGTAATTGTTATCAGCTTCTCAATTTGCAATGTGAGTATTCAGCAGACAAGTATTGGAAGAAAATCGACACAATGGAAGAAAAGCACTAGAACTTGGGGGTTAAATTAAGAGAGGAATCAGAAGATGCTTTAATGATCTCTGAGAGATCAAGGAGGATTAATATCCTAAGCACAAAAACAGGCTGGAAAAGCAACCTATTCAAGAACTTATAGTTCTTAAAAAAAAATCCTGTGAAATTAAAAAAAAAATACTAAATAGCAGAATGAACATAATTAAAGTGAAAATTAAAGAGCTGGAAAGGGAAGCCAAGAGATTTTCTGGAAATGCAGTGCAAAGGACAAAAGAGGTAGAAAACAAGTATGAAAAGATATGAAGGATAAGAGGACTCATCTAGAGGCTTCAATGAGATGCAGATGGCAGGAGAGAAAATGAGGGAAAAATGTTCCATTTGACAGCAGGGTGAATGAAGCAAAAAGTACCCAGTTTTTCAACATCCCAGAGAAAGTATTCTAAGGATTAAAAAAAAAAAAAAAGAGTTTAAAAGGCAAACAGTGAGTAATAGAAACGGAACAAAGCAACACGAATTACCTACAAAGAAATGAAAATTTAAAGGGCATCAAGGTTGTTTTCAGTAACAACAAATATAAGACAGCAATAAGAGAAGAATTTTCAATCCAGAATATTCTCTAAACCAAATTAAGATTCAAGCGTATGATCAAACAAAACATATTTTATCATGGAAGGAGTCAGAATTTTAATACACAGTGTTTGTCTGGAAGAATGACTCCAGGATATGTAGCGGCAAAGCAAAACAACAAAAACACATCCCCCCCCAACACCCTTCCCCCACAAAAAAAAAAAAGAAGAAGAGGAAACTAAAAGTTTGGTTATATGAATTTGCCATAGGCAAGGTCAGGGGTGGTGGCTCACGCCTCTAATCCCAGCACTTTGGGAGGACAAGGCAGGTGGTCACTTGAGGTCGGGAGTTTGGGACTAGCCTGGCCAACATGGTGAAATCCTGTCACTACTGAAAATACAAAAATGAACCGGGTGTGGTGGCCTGCGCCTATGGTCCCAACTACTCGGGAGGCTAAGCCAAGAGAATTACTTGAACCAGGGAGGTGGAGGCTGCAATGAGCCGAGATTGCATCACTGCACTCGGGCCTGAGCGACAGAACGAGACTCTGTCTCAAAAAAATAAACAAATAAAATTTAAAAAAAAAGAATTTGTCATAGGCAAAAAGAAAAAAAAGCCATAAAACTTGCTTAAAGATAAGTCTGAAAATTCATGCTGCTAAAAATTTTATATACAAGTGAACACAAATTCCAGGTCTGAGTTAGAAATAAGAGGAAAAAAACAGGGATAAACACAAATAAGAAGGAAAAAAGGGAACAGTCGTTGATATGGAAAAAATTTAAAAGTAAAAAGTGAATATCATCTTGACTAAATTCATGAATTCCCAGGCAAATATTTTGTGAAAAAACTACCACATGTATGAAATTTTGATATAGGTTTGTATTTCCTTAAATATTTGCATGTAGAAAGAAAAAATATAGGGAATGACCATCAAATAGAAGCCAGGGATACTAAGCTCTTTTTTATACATGACCATAACCAAGGACCTCCTGCTCCCACCCAGCCCTGCAAAAGCTTCTATAAATTAATTTAAAGATCCAAAGTAGAGGAAGGATCTTATAAAATGAACATGTTTTAAAAGGCTATGAGAAAGGAAAGCACTGATAATATCCACTGAAAAGAGGTCAAATGCATTTGAATTCCTTGAGGAATCAGAGGGAGGTTTTACATTGAAAATCTGTAAAAGTCCTGATGTTTTTCAAGGGAGTAAATCAGAGACCTGTTTCAGTTCCTTGAGTTTTTAACTCATAGAGCATGAAGTTCTCTTAAATATGAAGTTCTTTTAATTGTGAGGAGGAAAGGTCTCATCAAAATAAATATTCTTAATTGGCTCAAGAAATATCAAGCCTGCACAAGTGAATATCTGAAAAATAAATGGAAAAACTATTCACAAATTTGTCACTAAATCATGTACAGGCTCAAGTATGTTAAATTCTATAACCTGTTCAAAAAACAGATACTTACTACATTTTGTAAGCATAGAAAATAAATAAATATCCAATGGCAGGATCATTGGATAAATTCCAATGCCCAATACCATAAAATAATATGCAGATATTTTACAAGGAGACAGAACTCTATGTATTAACATAGAGGAATGGTCAGGACAGAACATTATATTAATATAAATATTTATGGGAAAATATGGCATTTTAATTTATATCTTTAATTCACTATATATTTATATACGCATTATTTAAATAGATTATTAATATATTTATTTATTTTAAAATATATTTAAATTATAAAGGGGGCAGGAGGGATGTGTGTGTGTGTGTGTTTTGAGGGGGTAAATTAGAAGACTGGGGAGAATTGAGACATTCACATTAGAATTTACATATTTGTTTTGTTAATATTTTAGAATAAGAAATTTTTATGGTTATTTTGTGATGAAAATACACTTAAATCAATAAGATAAAATGGAAATCACGCCAAGGCATATTATTTTCATAGAGATGAAATCAAAGACTTGGACTTACTAAGCTCTTTGCCAAGTCAGGAATCTGGACTATCACTCAAACTCAAGCTCCAGTTTTTGAAACCCATCCCAGTTTTTGTCTCCCCACTTTAAAGTGATATATTTATTTCTAACATTAAAATTATTTTTATTTTATTATATGAATACCATAAATTTCATTTTTTGGAGATTATGATTATAAAGCTACCATACAGACATCCTTCATATATAAATTGCAAAAAAATCCAGAGAATGGCACAAATAAAGATCATTCACTATTCCATCACTGAAAGATAACTAATGTTAAAATTATTAAGGGTATGCTTTCAGTCTTTTATTTGTGCTCATGTGTACTATAAATATTTTTAAAAGTGAGGCCACATGTACACATATATTTATAGTTTTTACATACATGTACCTATATACATACACATGTACACATGTTTACAAAATAACATTCACAATATACTTTATGGATTTTTAAGCATACTTTATAAAAATAATTGCCATGCTGCCGAGACCAGCTCGGTCAGAGAGACCCTAACCCAGCGGCGCTAGAGGAATTAAAGACACACACACAGAAATATAGAGGTGTGAAGTGGGAAATCAGGGGTCTCACAGCCTTCAGAGCTAAAAGCCCCGAACAGAGATTTACCCACATATTTATTAACAGCAAACTAGTCATTAGCATTATTTCTATAGATATTAAATTAACTAAAAGTATCCCTTATGGAAAACGAATGGATGGGCCGAATTAATTGCAGCAGGAACATGCCCTTAAGACACAGATCGCTCCTGCTTTTGTTTGTGGCTTAAGAATGCCTTTAAGCAGTTTTCTGCCCTGGGTGGGCCAGGTGTTCCTTGCCCTCATTCCCGTAAACCCACAACCTTCCAGCGTGGGCGTTAGGGCCATTATGGACATGTTACAGTGCTGCAGAGATTTTGTTTATGGCCAGTTTTGGGGCCGGTTTATGGCCAGATTTTGGGGGACTTGCTCCCAACACCATGCCATTAAGCAGTCTTCTAAAAGCTCCTTACATCCGTATTTTATCTTTTGTATGGATGTGGCAAGACTTAGTCAACCAATTTATTATCATGAATTTTCACCACATGTGTCTCTGAGCATTTGTTTACACCAAACTCTACAAGTAGAATTTCCTGGTCAGAATTCATACTTTTAAGGTTTTCGATAGATCTCAGAACTGCTGTCTAGAATGATTTTATCATGGTCAGTTTGTAAGCAGGCTATTTTCTCTCACTCCAGACAACACCAGGTAATTAAAATAAATTGTGTTGTCATTTGAGTTTGCCAATATGATAGATGCAAAAAAAAAACGATATCCTTCTGGCTTTCAAACTCCAACAATTAGTGCTAGTTGAAATGCCTGACAGAATGTGTAATACTCAGGGCAAATCTTTACTGTAAAAAACAAGTAGGTTTCCCAACTTTTAAAGAATCCACTTAGAAGTAGGTCATTTGGGAAGAACTACTAAGTACTAGTTTTGTTCCAGGTATAACCCAGATAACAACTGAAGTCATTCATCCTGTCCTGTGAGATTCAAATCAAATTAGTTGCAATCCATCTTGTTTCCATAGAAAGCATAATATTCCCTCTGAGATGTAATCCCAAAGAGCATATGCTTTCATGGTAACCTTGTTCTCTGATTTCCCGCTGCCTCAGAACTATCCCCGTTACTCTCTGTGCCTGCAGGGCTGTCTTCCCATAAGTGCAGTGCTGATGTAGCCTGGACCACGCTCTGCACACCACTCAGGCAGCTCATTGGCCTGTGTAACAGGGATGTTGTTGGGGGTGTGGAGTGGAGAGTTTACACTCCGACTCTACACAGACAGTGACATTTATGAATTATGAATTTATGAAACAAATGGAAATTAAATATTAGCCATTTGCATTTAAAAAACTCATTCAGCTAGGAATTTCACATTGCCCTGGTTTTGCCTAAGGCCAACACTTGGTGACATACATCTTACCCCTCAGTCCTTCTCTGTCTTATCCTGGCCTCATTTTTTTCTGTTTCTCCTCACTCCCCTCATGCAAGTCAAACACACATTTCTTGTATGGAATAGTTTTCACAATTGATTTTTCTATCTCAAAGCCATCCAGCCAGAACCCAGGTGACTTCACTTTCATAAGTAAATGTGCCCATTCAGGAATGTTCTTGGACAAAGGCAATTTTTTTTTCCTAGACAGGAATATTACAGCTAGCATTAAAAGAACACATTCTGCCTCTTCACTGTTTTGAAGACAATGCTGGGAAGGATTTTTTATTCCAGGAGGACAAAAGCTGATTCCTGTTCTCCAAGCTTTCTAAACATAGCATCTCTTTCTAGTCTTACGCAGAACCAAGGTATTCTTGCAGGCCTTTGGCCACCTGCTGACTTTGATCACCATCTCTGATCCTGAGCGGTCCATATCTAGGAGGAAATTTAAAAGACGAACACAGGGGAATATACTTCGCTCAAGAACCATGGGTTAAATCTGGTACACCAGTGCCATTCTTGCTGGATCTGCAAGTCCCTACATTTTGCTATCTCATGTACAGGGTCCTGGTCATTACTGACCATCTCTTGTTACTACTCTTGACTCATTATGATGCCAGGAAATTTCTATGCCAAATCAGCATGTGTTGAGCTTATTCAACTTGCATATGGTCTTTATCCCATTTAGCATTTGGAATGAATATATATTATTTAGGACACTTTTTTTTTTTTTTGAGATGGTGTCTCGCTCTTTAATAGCAGACATCCAGCCCAAATTACCTTAAAGGAAAAGAGAGTGTACTGATTCATGTCATAGGGAAGCCCGGTAGTGGAACTCACTTCATATATCCTCTCTCTGCGTCTGTTTTTGTCTCTGTCTATCTTTCTTATTCTGTGTGTGTGTGTGTGTGTGTGTGTGTGTGTGTCTGTCTGTGTGTGTGTCTGTCTGTCTGTCTCTCTCTCTCTCTCTCTGTCAGATCTGTATAAGGGATAAAAGAGGCTGAGCAGTTGGCTGCAAGAGATGATCACTACAGAGCTTCAGGCAGCATGGCATCCTGGAGTTCTGATTTGGCAGTTAGTACAATGGGTTCTAGTTCAAACTTTACCCAAAGACAGTTGTATTTCCAAATATGGATCTTTCTAAAACTTGGATTCCTCATCAATACAGTAGTTCACAATGAACTCTATTAGAATTACCTGGGGAGCTTTTTGAAAAGCAGGTGCTTGAGCTATTTGGCAAATCCATGAACTCCAATCTCAGGGGAAAAAGTTACAGATTCTGTGCACAACAAGATGATGCTGATGTGCTACCAAGTTTGGGAAACACAGAAATAGTCCATCTTTTTTGGAAGTTTTTCCCACATACAAAATGTATGACACTAGGAAGTTGTTGGAGGGTCAGATCTACCTACATACTATTTTGTAAGTTCATCATAAAAAAAGACAATATCATTATAAATGGTTATGAAAGAACCCGATGTCCCAACTAGATTGTACATTTTTCTGAGATGAAATAAAAGGGAAGTGTTAAAAGCTCACAGAAAAACCCTTTTCAAATACGCAGGGAACATGACATGCATGCATCCTTCATATATAACCAACATAAAGATGAAACAAGAACTTGTAGAAGAAGGAAAAGAACATATAGTAAAGGCTAAATTAATTGGATATAGAACTCCTGGTAAGCCAAGATGGGAATTTTGGTGACAGGATACATGATGGATACAGGAAAAAGTAATATAACTTAATAGGTAAAGAGGGAGAACCAAGATAGGCCTCAACACTCAGAATGGTGGTCCTGACACTTCTCAGTGCAGCAAGACCTTTGATGCCTTTTATACTTAGCTTAATAACTACACTTTAGGCCGGGTGCAGTGGCTCACGCCTGTAATCCCAGCACTTTGGGAGGCCGAGGCAGGCGGATCATGAGGTCAGGAGATGGGGACCATCCTGGCTAACACGGCGAAACCTCATCTCTACTAAAAATACAAAAAATTAGCTGGGCGTGGTGGCGGGCGCCTGTAGTCCCAGCTACTCGGGAGGCTGAGGCAGGAGAATGGCGTGAACCTGGGAGGCAGAGGTTGTAGTGAGCCGAAATCATGCCACTGCACTCCAGCCTGGGCAACAGAGCGAGATAATGTCTCAAAAAAAAAAAAAAAATATATATATATATATATATATACACACACACACACACACACACACGTATATATATATATGTGTATATATATGTGTATATATATGTGTATATATATATGTGTATATATATGTGTATACATATGTGTGTGTGTATATATATATATTTATATAAAATCATTTAGGTTATCTTAATGGAAAGTTCAAAAAATTTTACACCCAGGCTGTCTATTTGGCGAAAGAATCCCACAGTACCTTTGATCATGAATTAGTTATCCATTTTAGGAGGGACAAAAACAAAAAAAAAAAAACAAAACCTTATCCTATGTGAAAGCTTATACTTTGTATTAATCACCATCCTCAGGTAGATTGATTTAGTTTCCTACTTTTGATGCTGCTTTTTATTTTTTTATTTTTATTTTTATTTTTTAGTTTTATAATTTTTAGTAGAGTCGTGGTTTCATTATGTTGGACAGGCTTGTCTCAAGCGCCTGACCTCCAGTGATCCACTCACCTCAGTCTCCCAAAATGCTGGGATTACAGGCGTGAGCCACCGTGCCCGGCCCGATGCTGCTTTTATTGTAACAATCTCACTGACTTACTGGCTGTTTTACTTAACAGGTACCAATCATACAATGCAAACGAGCTTAGGCAAAAATAAAAGCAGGGGGTTATGTGGTTCACATAGTTGGAAGTCTAAAGGTCTGTTTCTGACTCAGCTGGGTCCAGGGATAAAATGCTGTCATCAAGAAATTGTTTTCCTGTCTCGGCTCCACTTACCTCATCTTGGCTTCATTTTGATGTAAGCTTTCTCTGTTTGGCAGCCAGATGGTAGTTGGCAACTGAAATAGCAATTATCATTATTGAAGTACTAAGATTGAGAATAGTTTACTAAGTATCTACTCTATGCTAATGCTCTACATGTATTAACTCTTTATTCCTCACAGCAGCTCTGTGAGACAGGTTCTATTATTTCTCCATCTTAACTTTTTTTTAAGAGAGGGTCTCACTCTGTTGACCAGGCTAGAGTGCAATGACCTGATCATTGCTCACTGCAGCCTCCACTTCCCTGGCTCAAGCCATCCTCTCACCTCAGCCTCTCAAATAGCTGGGTCTACAGGCATGTGTCCCCACACCCAGCTAATTTTTTAAAAAAAGTAGAAATGAGGTCTTGCTATGTTCCCCAGGCTGGTCTCTAACTCCTGACCTCAAGTGATCCTCTTGCCTCAGCCTCCTAAAGTACTAAGATTACAGGCATGAGCCACCTAGCCTGGCCTATTTCCCCATTTTAGAAATGGGAAGACTAAGCCACACAGAAGTTAAGTAACTTACTGGAAATCGTACAGCTAGTGAGTGGTGGAACCAGTATTCTAATCTAGGCTCTCTGGCACCAGAGCCCTGGTTGGACCTGGATCGCTTGCTCTTGGCTTAAAGGGAGAAGACTGGGTCCACTGAATGTTATAACTCAGCATAATCATTACAAAAATAGAAAGTGAGGAGATGGTTTCTTCAAAGGAAAGATGATGGAGAGGAAAAAAAAAACAAAAGACTAAGACAAACTTTTTCTTCCCATAATTAAACAGTATATCCAGTGGAAAAAAATGCATTTGGTTGAAAGACTAATATAAGAGTTAATTAAAATTAACCTAAAATTCAGGGAGAACTGTAAGACAAATTAACTTTGGTGGGAGGAAGTGTAGTATTCAGTGAGACTGTTAGAATAAAAACAGCATCAAAAGTAGCTCTTTGATTTAAACATAGGACAAATACATTGATGTTCAAGTCTTCAGCAAGGCAGAATAGAGCTGAAAGATAAAGGAAAGTGAGAAATAATTTGAACATATTAGTTTTGGTGTTTAACCAAACACACACAGTCAGTTTTCTCTCTCTCTCTCTCTCTGTCTGTCTCTCTCTCTCTCTCTCACACACACACACTTTTTTTTTTTTTTTTTTTTGGTAGGAGCATCAGAAGGGAATGTTTCTTTATAGTAGAATCAAGACTGATGGTATCTTTTAAATGATGAATTTCTTTTCCTCCAGAAAAGCCAATATTTCTTTATCCTCTGTGCCCAGACTGTTTGTTGTTTAAAAAAATATAGATTCCGAATCACACCAAAACTCATCTGAAAACAGTGAGAGGATACAAAAACAAAACAAAACAAAACAAAACCCAACTGGAGTACAGCTATACAATTCAGCATCAGATAAAGGGTGGAGTGGGCACTTTTCTTCAGTGTCTGTGCTTTACCACTCTTATCTGGCTTTCATAGCAGAGGTCAACCTGTCATTGTTATGGTAGTAAACTTTTTATGTAGGACACAGATGACAAAAACAATCATTTTTACTTTCACCACTAAGCAATACTTTGGAATAAGGTATAAAGGATGGCTATAAAGAAAAATGTAAACCCTTCTCTCTCCAACAACGTATTACACTTATTGGTGCAATATACTAGATGGAGGATTTTTATTTTCTAAAAATATTTTCATATGTTTTTCCATTACTCTTTGAATATTTTGGATGGGATTCAATAGAGGATAGTGGCAATGAATAGAATGACTTAAAGCAGAAAACTTTTTGTTAGCATGTTGGAGGAATGTTTTCTCTCAGAAATCCATCACCTGCTGGGTGTGGTGGCTCATGCCTGTAATCCCAACACTTTCGGAGGATAAGGCAGGAGGATTGTTTGAACTCAGGAGTTCGAGACCAGCCTGGGCAACATAGCAAGACCCCGTCTCTTCAAACAATTTAAAAATTGGTCAGGCATGATGGTACGTGCCTGTAGTCCTAGCTACTTGGGAGGCAGAGGCAGAAGGATCACTCGAGCCCAGGAGGTCAAGGCTGCAGTAAGCCATGATGGTGCCACCGCTCTCCAGTCTGGGCAACAGAGTGAGACCCTGTCTCAAAAAATAAATAAATCCATCGCTCTTTTAAACTGTACTAGACAACTATATGTATAAAATGTATATTTTAAAAGGTGAACATATTCATCTCGTAAAGAATATAGGAAGATATATCAGTGTGATTAATCCCTTGCTAATCCCACCATCCCAACACTATGTCATGTTACCTAAATGAGGATGATTACATTAAACCCAGGTTACTACTCCAATAAGGAACTTTTTCCTCTCTCAGGGATCTTTTTTCTTATCACTGCAATGTTGCCATAATAAGAGATAGGATACCTTAAAAAGATTAAGAACAGTGTTTAAGATCAGCTTGAGTCTTCTCAAAGCAAAATAAAATCTGACTAGACAAATATGAAAACAATAGATTGACGTATTTTTAAAACCAGATATAAATATTTGCTTTTGAGTAAATCAGCGAATTTGATGGAATGAATGTATATTGAATCTATTGTGTGTGTTTATAGATGTGGAGATACAGAATTTTAATGGTCAAAATTATGTTATAATATAATGTCCCTTGTGGTTTTAAAAGAAATTAATTTTACTTCTTTTCATTTCATAATATTGAATTCTGATAGTGATATGGTGTGGGCCAGGGAAGTTCCGGGTAGAGAAAGCCGGGGTCCCTGGCCAGGGCTCTACCTTTGGGCCTATGTCCATGGACCTAAATGAGGACAGGCATTTCTGTTTTCATGCCCCAAAAGTTGCCTTTTGGCCCACCATGCCCCCCATCCTGTACCCATAAAAATCTAGGACCATAGTGGGCACACACACAAGTGGCTGGATGTCAAGAGGAGCAGAAGAAAACACCAGCAGACGCCGGCAGACACTGGCAGGTCAGCAATCATGAAAAGATGCATACGTCAAGGGGAATTCAGCCAGGGGTGGTCAGAGGAGAGTCCAACCGCTGGGCGACCCAACTCCAGGGGAGAATCACCTTCCTACTCTATCTCCCTTCTGGCTCCCCATCCAGCTCACTGGGAGTTACCTCCACCACCCAATACAATCTTGCACTCATCCTCCAAGCCCACAAGCCCACATGTGATCCCATTTTTCTGAGACATTAAGGCAAGAACTCAGGATACAGAAAGCTCTCTGTCCTTGTGATAAAGCAAAGGGTCTAACTGAGCTCATTAACACAAGCCACCTGCAGATGGCAAAGCTGAAAAAGCACACTGTAACACACACCCACTGGGGTTTTCGGAACTGTAAACACTCAACCATAGACACTGCAGTGGGGTCAGAACCCAAAAATGCTCCCCCCACTACCTGCCCATCTGCATGCTCCCCCTGGGGGTTTGAGCAGCAGGGCACTGAAGAAGGGAGCCACAGCCCTGTCGCACACTCCCTGCCAATGGGATAAGGGAACTTCTCCCATTTCAACAGTGTTTTCTGAAAAACTTTTCAAATTTAAACATATTTTCATGTGAACCTACAGACAGGTACTCATCAGAAAAATATGAAAATTAGTTTCTCCATTTACCAATTAAAAGTGTAATTTTCTTCAAACCGAATGTATTCATTCTAAATTTATCTTTGAGAAAATGGCACCATGTAATATTAGCGGCACTATACTTCACTGCAATTTTTACATATTTTTTCAAGTTACACTTCTATATTTGCTTTACCAGGCAGAATTTTATTTATTCTGTCTAAGAAGAATTCCCAAGTTTTGGTTAGCTGTCAGTAATGTGGGCAAATTAACTTTCTTTGTATTATAATTTTCCACATTGTAATCTTCACAACTGAGTATTAGTTTCTAAGGGATTTTTTTAAAATAATAAGTCTTCAGAAAGATTACTCTTAATTATTTTCACTAATGTTTAGTATAATACCATACTTATCTATAAAAGAAGGCAGAGCTTGACATCATTTACTGTCATTCAGATGAAATTTGTATATATTTCTGTGTATCTATGTGCTTACCCACTAGAGTTTTATGTTTTAACTATTTAAGGTTAACTTACTGAATTAGAACTGGTAGCACATACAAAGCTGAATGCCACAGGATTTGGGTATGCTTTAAACAGCCAACAAACATACACTTTAGAGACTGCAGTGGTTGATTATTTCTCATCTTGCCCAAACCTTTACACTATGAGTATAGCAGCTAAAGTAATTTGGTTTTCAAATATTGATTCTAGATCAATCCCAGGCTTCAGTGAAAATACCAAGAAAGAGGTCTGATCATAGTAAAACTTTTGTGTTGACCAATGTTAAAAACGCATCGATATGTTTAAATACATCAATTACAGAATCAGCATGAAAAAATGGAAAAATTTTATTTCAAAAAGCTTAAAACATCTCACATACTGGAAGCTGGAGGTCTATGCGGTGTCATTACTCATTGGTTATTGTGCCTTCTTCTTCTTCTTTTTTTTTTTCTCTTGATAGTGATTTGACACCAAGGCTTTGAAGTCAGGTATAATTATGTTTGCGTCCTGTTTCTACCTCCTACTAGGTTTTCATCAATTTCCTGACTTATACATCGTAGACAATAAAACCTACTTCATAGGGTTGCTGTAAGGATCAAATGACAAATATATAGAAACCCTTGGCGTACTGCCTGGAAAAAAGTCAGTGAATAATTAATGCTGTGGCTGTTACCATGTTATAGTTGTTGTTATTGTTGTTGTCTCCTGCTGGTAAGATGGTTTCTTAATCAGGGAGTTACACTATTTTGATCACTTAAGATAGTAATAATTAATTACCTATGAATGTCTGGGGAAGCTAGTAAGGATAAAATATCTTAGGGTATTTATATTTTTATAATCAAATTCTTTTTTTTTGAGTTGGAATCTCGCTCTGTCACCAAGGCTGGAGTTCAGTTGTGTGATCTCAGCTCACTGCAACCTCTGCCTCCCAGGCTCAAGAAATTCTCCTGCCTCAGCCTCCCTAGTAGCTGGGATTATAGGCACACACCACCACGCCTAGCTAATTTTTGTATTTTAGCAGAGACAGGGTTTCACCATGTTGGCCAGGCTGGTCTCGAACTCCTGACCTCAAGTAATCCACCAGCCTCGGCCTCCCAAAGTGCTGAGATTACAGGCGTGAGCCACCATGCCTGGCCTATAACCAAATTCTTAATGCCAATCTTTAGCTCACTCTATTTGCCAGGATTTTCTTAAGCACAGAAAATGGGAGAGGGAAGGAGTGACATGTGCTATGATCTCAGCCACTTGAGCAATGATAAAGTGCTCCCAAGCCATCAGTGTGACTCCATGCATAGACTTTAGAAGTGGAAGACACTTGACTCCATTGGAGTACTCAAACCTATTTGTATTCTATCACATGCCATGGACACGGGGACCAAATCTGTTTTGTTTCCTACTGAATCCTCAGTTTCTAGCATGGAATCCAGAATATAACAAGCACTAAATACATGTTTATTGAATACATTTATCAGAGAGGGCATTGAAAAACAAAACTTTAAAAAAATTTTTTCTTGGAGACAGAGTCTAGCTCTATCTCCCAGGCTGGAGTGCAGTGGTGTGATCTAGGCTCACTGCATCCTCCACCTCTTGAGTTCAAGCTATTCTCTTGCCTCAGCTTCCAGAGTAGCTGGGATTACAGGTGTGCACAACCACAGTCAGCTAATTTTTGTATTTTTAGTAGAGACAGAGTTTCACCATATTGGCCAGGCTGTTCTCAAACTCCTGGCCTCAAGTGATCTGCCAGCTTCGGCCTTCCAAAGTGCTGGCATTACAGCTGTGAGCCACTGCTTGGCCTGAAACACAATACCTTTGAGAAGTTTCTACTCTCCTAGCACTCTGAAAAAATTAGCAAATTAATTTTCTTATCCAGTTTTCAAGTGATTTTTTTTACCTTATTGCAGACATATAAATCCATATTCCTTGGTACTAAGTATTATTCTTTGTGTGGCAAAAGGAGGGTGTATTAGAAAGATACTGGGTTACTTCACTAAATCTAAACAAAAAATTGACAATGAAGGGTAAGAAAAAGAGCACATTCAAGAGTATCAGCATAATGATTCAGCTTCCAATAGCTTCCAAACACTCTGTCTTTAAATTTTCAAGAAAGATGATCTAATCATCCCAGCTTGGATGAACTGTCTAACTTTGGACCCATCAGCAATAGAAGGGTAGCGTCACCTCTTTACAACATGTTTGTTGAGAGACTATCCCTGTGGGTAAACTTATTTCTGGGTGTGTTTGTGAGGTAGCTAGTTTTCAGCAACTAAAAGAGCTGGAAGGGAACTCATATCTATGAGAAAAAGCTAAGTTAGGCTTTGGTAACAGCCTTGAAGTCTCAGGAACTTAAACAAGTTTTAATTCTAATTCTCAGCACATTTGCTGGAGATTCTGTTCTAGATCATTCTCTAGAACCCAGAGACAGCCGCCAGTACCTATAGCTATGCTGTCCAATATGGTAGCCTCGAGCCACAGGTGACCATTTAAATTTAACTGCTGATTAGTTAAAATTGAATAAAATTTAAAATACAACTCCTCAGTTTCATTAATCATGTTTCAAGTGTTCAAGAGCCATATGTGGCTAGTGGCTATTATACTGGATAATGTGGAGAATACTTCCATCTTTGCAGAAAATTCTACTGGACAGTGCCGACCTAGAACACTGCTGGTCACTGTAGCAGAGGAAAAGAGACTTTTGGTAGGTCTTGGGCTGGCAATGAAATGCTTTAGCTCAAAAGCAGCATACATTACTTTGGCTTACAATAATGATCCCCCCCAATTTCATGGCCCCAGCCAGCATCAATAAAGTCAGGAAATGCAATTCTGCTGTGATGGTAAATTACATGTGTCAACTTGAATGGGCCACGGGATGCCCAGATATCTGCTTAAACATTATTTCTGAGTGTGTTTGTGAGAGTGTTTCTAGAAGAGATTAGCATTTGACTGGATGGACTGAATAAAATAAATGATTCTCCACAACCTGGGCTGGCATCTTCCAAACCATTGAGAGCCTGAATAGAACAAGAAGGCGGAGGAAGTTTAGATTTACTTTCTGCCTGATTCCTCCTGAGCTGGGACATCAATCCTCTTCTACCTTTGGCACTCCTGATTCTAAGGCCCTCACACTCGGACTGGAATCTACATATTGGCTCTTGCCCTCAGGCCTTTGATATATGTACAAACATATCTATCTTCTATTGGATTAAACAAACTTGATTCCTTTTTCTATCAGATACCCCATTTATAAGGGTAATTTCCTGCCATTTACACATGTAAAGCATGGAATTTGCTTTCCACATAAAGAATTACGTTTTGTTCTTAGTACTCTAGAGGTTATGAAAATACACTCTAGTGCTTTAGAGGATTTTCCACTGGAAATCACTGAATCTTAATCTACTTTCTAAAATTTGTCTTATTATTTTTGCTGATATCCATTCAAAACAGATTTCTGCCTATATTCTGCAAGGGAAAACCAAATAATTATCCAAACTAGTATACACACACACACTGTGTGTATCTATCTATAATATACTATACATATAATATACTGTAAATCTATAATATACTGTAAATCTATAATATACTGTACATATACTGTATATCTATAATATACTGTACATATAATATACTGTATATCTATAATATACTGTATATATTATATACTGTTTACATAATCTGTATACAGTATATACTGTATATATCTGGGCAGATGTCTGGGCATCCCATGGCCCATTCAAGTTGACACATGTAATTTACCATCACAGCAGAATTGCATTTCCTGACTTTATTGATGCTGGCTAGGGCCATGAAATTAGGTGGGATCATTATTGTAAGCCAAAGTAATGTATGCTGCTTTTGAGCTAAAGCATTTCATTGCTAGCCCAAGACCTACCAATATAGTTTATACTGCATACAGTACATACTGTGTAGAGTATATACTGCATACAGTATATACTGTGTGTAGAGTATATACTGCATACAGTATATACTGTGTGTAGAGTATATACTGCATACAGTATATACTGTGTGTAGAGTATATACTGCATACAGTATATACTGTGTGTAGAGTATATACTGTGTGTATAGTATATACTGTATACAGTATATACTGTGTGTATTGTATATACTGTGTATAGAATATACTGTGTGTATTGTATATACTGTGTATATTGTATATACTGTGTATAGAATATACTGTGTGTATTATAGACTGTGTGTAGAATATACTGTGTATTATACACTGTGTATATTATATACTGTACATATTATATACTGTGTATATTATATACTGTATATATTATATACTGTGTATATTATATACTGTATATATTATATACTGTGTATATTATATACTGTATATATTATATACTGTGTATATTATATACTGTATATATTATATACTGTGTATATTATATACTGTATATATTATATACTGTATATTATATACTGTATATATTATATACTGTGTATATTATATACTGTATATATTATATACTGTGTATATTATATACTGTATATATTATATACTGTGTATATTATATACTGTATATATTATATACTGTGTATATTATATACTGTATATATTATATACTGTGTATATAATATATATACTAATATACACACACACTATAAATGATTGTTTCTTTGGAGTACCCTGATTAATACACCTACCATGTGACTAAATGCAGAAACCAAAACTATTTGGTGAACTAGCATTAATAACAACTACACAAACCAACAGGCCTTTACTACAACAGCAAAATTAGGAACTATGCGATGCTTAACAATTATTTTTCTCTGTAAAATATTTTTGGCTTCTACTTTCCCTAGGGGAATAATGTCACACATAAAATCTTTATTTTTGACCTGGAATAGTTACACTATCAAAGAACCTACAAACCTCTGCATGTGGAGGTAGGGGTCATAACAACAATCTCTTGGGTTCTCTTACTTTTGTATATACATATATGTATTTAGACAGGGTCTCACTCTGTTGCCCAGACTGAAATGCAGTGGTGTGATCACAGCTCACTGCAGACTCAATCTTTGGGGGTCCAGCAATCCTCCCACTTCAGCCTCCCGAGTAGCTGGGAACACCGATGCATGCCAACATCATACCCCACTAATCCTTTTTTTTTTTTTTTTTTTTTTTTTTTTTCTGTAGAGACAGGGTTTCACTTTGTTTCCAAAGCTGGCCTTGAAATTCTGGGCTTAAGCAATCCTCCAGCTTCTGCCTCCCAAAGTACAGGGATTACAGGTGTGAGTCACCTGGCTGGCCAGGTTTCATTACTTTTGTATAATTATTCTTGAGAACAGTATTTAAATTATTTGTGTCTGCTCTTAGAACACTGACTTCATATGACACTATTAGTTTGGAGAACAAAAAAAGTATCTGGTCTTAGGAAAGCAAAGACAACAATTCTGCTTGGATGGACTACACCTTACTGTCTCCAACTCTGACAGCAGCCATAGTAACAAAAGAGAGTATTCACTATGTGCCAGACATTATGCTAGCTATGTTACATAATTAAATTATGTAATCTTCATCACATCTGAATTTTATAAATAAAGAACTGTTAAATAGCCGCCTTGAGATCATAAGGCTAGAAGACGTCAGACATGGAGCTCAAACCATATCTGTCTGACCATTCTGGAATCCCAGTCCATGTACTTAGTGGCTTTACAATACTGTTCTTCATTGTTGCCGTATGTTCTCCTTCTTGGCACTAAGATGATAGTTCTGATTAAAGAGCAAATTTTCAAATCTTAGATATGCTGAAGACCTTTGAACTCTTTTTGAATAACTTATCTTGCAGATGAAACAGGAGGGCTACATGGGGTTAAGGCTGTTGATTAAGGTCACAGAGGTAGCTATTTGCAGAATTAGCACAGACTTAAGCCTGCTAAGCAATGTGGCTGTTTAGATTTATAGGAGCAAAGGAAAAGATGATCAGTCTACAGCTTCCTGGTATATTTTCATTCATTTATTCCTACATTAATTCATTCAGCTGATATTGGAGAATATCCTACATTTCCAGCCCTCAGTTGGGTCATAAGGACACCACTCTAATCCGGCATGGTCTCTACACTTACGGGCAGTTATTAATTGTGGCATAAATTTAGTTACTTCTTCAAAACTTTGAGGTGTTTTCTCTCTTTTGAGCCTTTGAGACTTTAAAATAAATGCTACTTGGTGTTAGCACCTTTCTATCCTAAAATCACCTCACTTCTCCATGCTCAGAAGAGCACAAATTCTTCCTAGTAACCAGGAAGTGATAGAATTTATATTCTGTATCTGACCTAGTTACAATCCCTGACACTTCCTGTTTTCTCTAAAGGGTTGATTTATTGTTGCACAACAGATCTTTATACATTTCTTCAGTCACAAGATATGCACTGGTGGCTACTCATGCACTTGTTGTTTGAAGACATTGGTTTCCAAATTCTTTTAATGCTGAACCATCTATCTTGAATGCTTGGATTAAACAAACATGATTCCTTTTTGCTATCAGATACCCCATTTATAAGGGTAATTTCATGCCATTTACACAAGAAAAGCATGGCATGTGCTTTTCACATAAAGAATTATGTTTTGTTCTTAGTACTCTAGAGATTGTGAAAAATATACTCTAGTGCTTTGGAGGATTTTCCGCTGGAAATCATTGAATCTTAATCTACTTTCTAAAATTTGTCTTATTATTTTTGACGATATCCATTCAAAATAGGTTTCTGCCTGTTTTCTGCAAGGGAAAAAAACAAATAATTCTCCAAACTAATACACACACTATATATTATATATAATGTATACATTTTATGTTATGTAATATATACATTATATATGTGCACAAATATGCAATATGTAAATATGTGTGTATATATACACATGAAAAACATAAAGGAAGGCAATTATTAACATTTAGTGTATTATTAATCTCTTCCAGAGTTTTGGAACCATGCCTCAATTACATAAAATCATGTATGTGATATCTATTATAACACCTTACATCTATCTACATGGAGCATAATTTATTCTTCATAAATATTTAGTCATTTGAATTGAGAAGTGAAGCATACAACATAATGGATGCCATTGGTTTCCCACCTAGATTCTGCTTTTACAGCCAAGTGCACCCATTTAACAGCTACTGTGAATGGTGGCAACTAACAGCTGGCAGCTACGCCCTTCTCCAAAGACACTGCTTCAGTTGATAGAAACTACATCCAGAGCCCACTGTGGACCAGGTCAAGCCTAGACTTAACTGAGACCACCTCCTGCTCATCTCCTTTATCTGCCCCATTCTTGCTCCCCTCACTCTTTTTGATAGCTTAGTCATATTGGGAATACAAAGCTTTTACGTTTTTTCTTTAGGTTAGGTCTTAGAAGACAATAAATAATGTAGCTGAGTATGAGAGGACATATATTTTTTCCCCAGGTTCTTGGGGACAGAGAGCTTTGAGATTTGAGTAGAAAATGTGCTCAGTGGCTGAATATTGGAAAGGGCCACTCCAGTAGCATGATCAAATTTCTAAATTGACCACAGTGATTGATCATATTTACAAAATTTATGATAATGTTTTTCTCCCCAGTTTTCTTGACTTCCTTCATTCTCTTTTCAGGTGCAAATGAGGCATTCTTTAATAAAGGACAAATCATCCTTGCAGAAGTTTTCCAAATAATATATGTAGATATTTTCCCTTCCAGGAAGTGGAGATTAATTCTCCACTACGAGTTAGACCTGGTATCTCTTTTCCAAAGAATAGGTTATGAACAGGAAAAAAGAATAGCTTTACAATGATGAAACCTGACAAATAATACTTTGACCGAATGATCAAGGTTAACATACTCTGTGTAACTTAAATTGATATTATGTACCCCATGATGTAATGTCATGAGTTGGGCACTTCACCTCTCTGGCATTCTTCTTCGGAACCAATAACCCAGCCTAATCCTTTGAAGACACCAGACAAACCAAATTAAGGGACATTCTACCAAAAATCTAATATTCTTCAAAACTGTCAATATCAAGGAAAACAAGAAAAGATTGGCAAACTGCCACAGATTAGAGAAGACTAAACATAATGCAGTATTCTGGATTGGAGCCTAGTACATAAAGAGCTCATTAGTGGAAAAGCTCCTGATATCCAAATACAGTTTGAGGTTAAATTGTAATAGTGTTGAGCCAATGTTAATTTCTTAATTTTGGCAAATGTTCTATACTTGCTATTATTCAAGATAACATTAGGGAAACTGGATGAAGGTTATTCAGAAAATTGCTCTACTATCTTTGCAACTTTCCTGAGAATCCAAAATTACTTTCAAATAAAAAGTTGTATTATATATAGAGAAACATTGCCTCAGTATAGATACTTTTATAGCTAAAAGTCAATAATTGAATGAAAAAAGCAGAACTAATGCAATGGATTAATCTTATTTTGGCTTTTGATATAGAAACACCAACATGAGGACTACTGCATAAATTTGGAAAAAAATTAATCATTCAAATCTTTCAAATCATTTAATCCTCCAAGATAAATTTTGAGATCGTACTATGTGCTAGACACTGGAAATAAACAGCCATTTACCTACATTATATAATATGTGCTCTAGAGACTGGCTGTTGGAGCCCAATCCTTCTGTGCCTCAGTTTATTTAACTGTAAAATGGGGGTAATAAGAATGATAGTTTATAGAGTTGTGGAGATTAATTGAGACAATGATCATACAGCAGGAGATATAGAACTATGAGCCGTATGTTACGTACTATATTATTATTATTACAAGCATCAGATACATGAATCTGGTATTATCAGCACTATCATCATTAACTACCCCTCCTTTGCTTTAGTTCTGTCAACTTTCTATGTTATAACATATATACATATATATATGTTTATATATATATGCTTGCCTTCTTCTAATATACAAATCAGTAAACAGCATGAACATAATTTAACAGAATTTGAATCATTAAGAAGGGCAACATATTTTGAATCTTTAAATGGTACCATTTAAAGTTCCATTGTAGTCATTTATAATACTAGTTCGGAGCTTTTTATTATGACCATTTCAGAAACAAATTGAGGCCATGTATGGAAACTACATTTTAGAAATATATTAAAATGGATGAATAAATTAAGTTAGGAGATTATACAAACAGATAACATTTATGCTAAGGAGCTAAAATCATACTGGCACACAATCGAAGCCAGCTCCCTTTTTCTGGCTGCAATACAGAAAGGACCGTTTTCCCAGTCTTGTTTCTTGCATTTCACCCTTTACAGCCAGAACCAGATAAAACTACTTTGGGCCATTTGTTTACTGACATTAAAGTGGATTTATGGAGACCGAAAGTCTTTCTATTGTCCCTTCTGGGCTGAATCAAATTTATTTAAATGGTAATTCACTCACATATTTCTAATCCCCTTTGAATGCTTCCTTTGTTTATAATAACCACAGATATTAAGGATTTAGAAAATCAGTTCACAAATATTATTGAACATATTGAGTAATAAAAGCCTCATTCTGATACTTAGTAAATTAGACATTCCTGAAGAAAATGGAATATTTCCATTTTCAAACTAAAGATTTACTATATTAGACAAAGGATTTAAACATAATCTTATATGTAAAATTAATCACTAATTCTGGGATATAGTTAATAACTACTCTTGGAAAATAGAGTCTATTATCATAACTTCCCAAAAGTCATTTCCGTTGTGTTATCCCAACCACTGCCTTTTTTTTTAGTTAAAAATTTTCCACTGGCAATACTTATTTTTTTCTTTTCATTTGGGTCTTTTAGCTCTGGTCTTATTAGTTTATTAACATATCTCTTATTTTTAAGGATACTTTTAAAATAAAATTATTGGATTTAGTTTGACAACTGTGTCTATTCGTTTGGCTTATAAACTTGACAGATTTGTAAATGCCTCCAACTTCCTCTCTGTTTTAAGACATATTCTTACCAATAATACTTTCTGTAGGTTGTGTATGCCTGTGCTTCATAGTGAAACCTATAAAACTATGGTGCAACATCAACACCAGTTTATAGATACATATTTTCATTGTTCTCCTAACCAACTATTGTCAGGAATACTAAGTTGACACAACAACATTGCCAGAAAAAGTGGAAAATATACAGCACTAGATGTGCACTCGGCACATTTTTCTACATTTATCAAAATATGTTCATAGGGACCTAATTTTTTGTTTAGTTTGGTTAATAATGTTATGATCTAACACTGATGAAAATTCAGACATTCTCTGACTAGATATAAAAGCAAGCTCCAAGTATATGCTATTTTTTATGAAACAGACTTAAAATATAACAAAACAGAAGACTTGAACAACACTATTTATCAATATCATGGATCAATACTAAAGGCATTATGCTGCATACGAGGAGCCAGACTTCCCAATCATATATGAATGATTCCATTTATAAGAAGCCAAGGACAGGTTATTATAAATTTATAAATTAATTTAAAAACAAAACAAAACAAACAAACAAAAAAACCTAATGTATTCCTTACATCAGGGCTACCTCAAGTGCTTGTTGATTTCCCAGGCCACATCCTAGGTCTTTTAAATTAGAATATTTTGGAAAGAGAGCCCCCAGATCTGTATTTAACACTTTTCTCAGGTGACTCTTAAATAATCTGAAGTGTGCAAATCATTGGCCTGCAAGATATTAAGAAAGAAGGAGTGCCACATAGTAGATAGACAAATATGGGTACAGAGAGGCAAGGTGATTTTTCCAAGGTCTTGCAGTAAATGAGTTGCAATGACAGGTGTCCTGACTCCCAATCTATGGCCATTCCCATTATATTACAGGTGATTCTTAGTTTAGATACGGGGGTGAATTAAATGGATCTGTGGAATACATTGTGACACTTGCATCACAAGTGACCCTGAGCCATTTCCACTTTCACTCTGAATTCCAGGAGTAATCTCCCTATCTCTCTTTGCCAGGATTATGTAACACATCACATTCAGAATCATGTAGAAAAGTTGATATGAGACTTATCAGAAGGAAACAGATTGCTGTAGAGAGTAGAAGAAGGCAAAGATGGTGGAGACAAGAAACAGAAGAGGAGAGAAAATAGAAAGACTCTAGTTTATGGCAAAAATAGGAAACAAACATCTTTTAATTTTTAGAAAGTGATTAGTATCAGGTAATAGTGGATTCATGGGCATACACCTATTCATACCTTCATTAAACTAAAAGTTGAGAACAATAATGTTAAAGCTACAGAACTGTGGAATAATCATAATATACTGATTTTGATTCTGATAGTATTACTTTTTTATTATGTTTCTTTTCCCGAATTTTGTTATTGGCTGCTAGTCTAAATTTAGCTCTTTTCTGCTAATTGCTATTGCAAATATTCATTTACATATTGAACAACAATTTTTATCATCTCTTTAACCTGTAATTTCAGACACAAATTAAAGACAAAACTTTGGTTATTTCTCTGAGCAAGCTGAAGTCTATGAAGAATAGGTATAATTCCTTGAATTTGATAATTTCCATTCATTGAATCCATTGAATTTATAAAAAAATGAAGACTGCTTTTTACCAATGCATTCAAAGTAAACATTGCTGAAATCCACAATTCACATATAACTCTTGGAATTCTTTAAAAGATGAATAGTTTAAAATAGGTAACTGAGGGATAACCAGTTGATTGTTTTTAAAGGAGGGGGAAGTTTGCAACATATATGAACAGAAGTGCAAATTTGAAGATTTTCAAATCTTAACATTAATACTGACAATCAAATCAACTCCCAAAAACCAGAAACAAACAATAGAGTGCTCCACAATTTATAAAATTCCTTCACAGATATTATTTAAAATCATCTTAACAAAAACCATGAGATATGAGGGAGAGGTCTGAAACCACATTGTATTGTTAAGGTTATGGAGGCTTGGGTTGCCCTGATGGGGGTCAGCAATGTTAGGGCTTTCAGGTACTTAGTGGTTATTAATTATATTCCTTATATAATAGCTGAGGAGATTAAGGATTAAGGAAGAGAAATGATTTGCAGAAGGACACAAAGTCCAGAAGTCCTCGAGCTAGGATTGGAACTGTCAGAAGTAAAGCTTGGAGTTGCAAAGAAAATGAGCACTTAAACAAAGGATTTCTCAGCAAGGCAAAAGTTATTTCTGCAAAAGGGTGCTGCTCACAAGTTTGGTCACCATAAGAGCACACTGAATGAAGGAGGGAAGGGGTTTTTATCCCTAATGCGGCTTGTCCCTGCTACTGTGTCTTACCTCCACTGGCTGGAGTTGGACCACAAAATCTAAGCTGAACCTGATTGGTTAACTTGAATGGTGCAGGAATGTGGTTACACTGGCAGATAGGGCAGTTTTGTTGGGAAGAGCCGTTATGACAGGAGGGGTAATTTACAGAGTGGGTAGCAGATATGGGCCGTGTAGATAAGGATGGGCAGGAAAGGTGTTTCTGAAACTGAAACAGGGAGGCACAAAGGATAAGGAAGTTAGTTTGGCCTTCAAAGTAGGGAACAAAGAACAAGGACGCTGAACAAGCCAAACCTTTGAAGAGGAACTTCTTTTGTACCTGACTGAACCAGGTGTTGCTAGCTGGTCATGGTCACATTCCAAAGGACTATGTTGGATTTGACTGATCACAACAATCACATCGAGAGGATCAGTGTCTGATCATTCCATTTTGCGTCTTATGGGTACAGCCACAGAATTAGACTCATATTTTTTAAAATTCAATTTTACCCAATTTTTCATCCCTGGTTCTCTTGTCTGACTGGCTTTTTGCTTTGTCTTTGATTAATGTGTCACAGAGAGGTGACTGAGACCATAAAGTTGCTGATAGTAGCATAGATAAGAACGGCAGCACATTCTGGGATTTAGGAAATGTGGGCATTTTTCTCCTTTCTGCCATTAATTGGCTCTATGAACAGGAATGAGCCTCTACATTAAGGAACAATTTGTAATCTGTGTTATTTCCTTCGTATGATAGAAATTAAAAGAAACCATATGTTAATAGAGTATATAAAAATAAAAATGCCCTACATGTGCAATTTGTTTCTGTAAAATTCCACTTCTATTAGTTAGACAATAAGTAACTAAAATGAGAGTCAAATAACCTTTCTTAGGTGCATGTTGGTATATAAATATATTCTTCATTACCATCACAGAAACCAGGTTTGGAAAGAGCTTTAAATTATTTCAGTCCAACCACCATACTGTTGCTTAGATACATTCAACAAAAATGGGTATTACATAACCAATGAAGATATTTGACCTTATATCCAGTCATAGTATTCTCAGGTGAGAGTATTTAATTATTATGCATAGTATGGTACATTAAGATAGAAGTTTTGGAATCATGGGAAATCGGAATATATGTGCAGTGAAGTTGTAGCTTACTTGAGGATTAGGTTGGAAAGTCAGTGCTAAATTGCTTGTACTGTCTTTGACCAGTGCTCCCAAGATTTAACAGCCATAAAGTAACTTGTTTTGTTTCCCTGCATTTATGCTGTGAGTTACTGGGGGTAAGATTTAACTTGGGGATGGGGGTTGAAGGTGATGAATTCTAGGTGGAAAATACAGAAATGGTTCCCCCATTTTGCTGGCTTCATCAAGTATAATTTGCTTATGTTAAATGTGTGTATTCTGGGACTCAATTGTACCTGCATTAATTTCTAATGCTATTAAAAAATACTAATTGTATCACCACAATCTGTTGCTCTCAGCCTCAGTAAGCACACTTGTCCATGTTTGCACACCCGCTCTGCCTCTCTGAGTTTTCTTTTATCCTGATCATTTTTGTAAGGCTTCAGCAAGTTCATTTTAATGTAGCATGACTGAACATTTTAACATCATGAACTTTGTCTTGCAGTTCTTCCAAATTAGTACTAGCTCTCTTTCCTTCTTTCTTGGTTCCCATTCACCTTTAATTCTCAAGTCATGGTAGGGGTCATAGCACTGATGATGGGTATGTAAAGTCAGAGGACAGTTGGAAGAAGGAAACCAGTCAGCTTTCTTACATAGTGACAAAGCCTGGAGGTCTGCATAGTGATTTGGTATTTGTGGGAGGATCAAGTACTCTGAGCTGTGGTGCCATGCTTTATCATGCTTTCTAATTCATTTCCTGTTTACCTGCTACAAAATTCTGCCAGACTTCGATTTTAGCAGGCAAAAGTAATTCATTTCATGGATACCTTCATAAACTTTGGTAATTTCCAGATAAGAAGTCAAACCTTCAAGTTATTCATATACATAAACATGTATTAGTTTACATGCATATATACACACACACATGCATTATCATGAAGATTTTTATGTTCTTATCTCCCGAAGTCAGCATTTGCTAGCTTACACTCTGTTAGCCATTGACTTTTGTGCTTCTCTTACAATAGTTATCAAGATGCCCCTGGAGTCTGAGTGTCTGAATTCATGTCCCAGTACTGCTGCTATTCCCTAGCTATGTGAGTGGGGGCTAATTATATAACCTTTCTGAAACTTCAGTCTTCCCATCTGTGAAATGGAGATGACAGTCACATTGATCTCATAGGATTGTTGGGGGTGTCAAATGCTTAACACAGAACTGGCATTGTATAAACAATCATTAAATATGAGCTCTTTTTACTCTCTTTTTAATCTTTTTTTATCAGTTGTGTACTCATCTAATTATCTCTTTTAAACTGTAAACTTCTTAAGAACAAGGGTTTTGCCTTACCTAACTTTGTTTTCTAATGCCTGTTACCTTACACAGTTTCAGCACGTTGAAGTGAATGTGGGCTTTTTCGTCAGAAAGAGATGGTTTCAAATGCAAACTCAAATCTAGGTTCTGATACGTAAGAATGAGCCTCATTTATTAGAATAATGAAAATATCCAGATCATTAGTTATTATTAGGTTTGTACAGCATGAACTATGTGAGAAACTTAGCTTAGAACCTGGCACACAGTACACTTTTAGTGTGGTAGTCCCCTTATTGCTGCTACCTGAAAAAAAATTCACATAGTTTTAAAAATCATCAAAAATACTAGAAAGAAACTGTATAAGAATGTGGACTGATTACATATACAGTCAGCCCTCCATATCCTTGGATTCTGCATCCACAAATGCAATGAACTGTGGTTCAAAAATATTGGGGAAAAAATTGGATAGCTGCATTTGTACTGAATGTGTACAGACATTTTTTTGTTATTCTTATTCCCTAAACAACACAGTATAAAAACTATTTCCTTAGTCTTTACATTATATTAGGTATTATAAATAATCTAGAGATGCTTTAAAGTATATGGGAGGGTGTGCATAGGTTATAGGCAAACACTACACTATTTTACATAAGGCACTTGAGCATCCTCGAATTTTGGTATCTGTGGGGGTCCTGGAACCAATCCCCTAAGGATACCAAGGGATGACTGTATTCTGCTAAAATCCTTTCTCATGCATATAGTAAAATTAGTTTCATTTTTAAAAGAATACAGAACTGTAGTGTTTTAGGGACTGCAATTTTTTTCAGTTGATGGATCAGATCAGAAAATGGAGACCTAGGAAGCAGCACTAGTTTGCAAGAGAGGACACAAATCTTTAATGATGGTTCCTTCATGACATTTAAAAATATTCTTTGGCTTTCATTTCCTGCAATGGTAATGTCTAGCCAACATAAAAAGATTTCTGACTTACTTTATCTGCTCTCACATTGTTTTTATTCTTCTCTGTTTCTTTTCCTCATATCTAGGACAGAAGATCTAGCTCATAATTTAATTTGGGCTTCAAATATCCCTGTGTGGTATATAGGGCAGGCATAATTACAGCCAATTTTTAAATGAGAAATCGCTCCAGATTGGTTATGTTAATTGTCTAAGGTCATACAGCTGCAGTCACTGATAGGCAGGATGTGAGTCTAGTCTTTGTATTTTAGATTAAGGGTTCCTTCTTTCACATTAGGTTGGTGGTGACCTTCAAGACTGCTTGGTCCAGGACGTTTTGCAATGGGTAGTTTTTAACTTGGGATGAAAAGTATTTTTCTTCCCATCAACTATTCAGTCAGTTGACAAGTGTCAACTGTGTCCTAAGCCTAACTATGCTTTAATTACACTAGGAGATGAGAATGATTCAAACCTCAAACCCAATATGACAAAAGAAGAAAAATCTTTATGTATAGGAAACATATTAACAAAATAATATGCTATGCTAATAAAGTTAAAGTAAAAGCCTTTGTATGGTAGACATTATGTCCACTTGGTTACTTCTTGGGATTCCTAACACAGTGTTCAATATTTGCTTAGGAAAAGCATGTTTGCAAAGATAAACCCAATTTGAAAAGTACACATCTTATATTAAAGGTCAGTCTATAAAGATACCATTCATTGGGGTAAGATATGGGACATATAGGGGGTTTGATCTCCAAGTATATTTTGAGGTCATTTATGGTAAAATAAACATCTCAGTTTTTGTTTTTATTTTTGACCTCTTCCCATAATGCTGAATATAAGTTCTCATACAGAGAAAATACTGAGAAAATATTATTCACTGACTCACTGAAGCTAAACCTTATTGAGCACAAACACCATCCAGTTTCTTGGAGGGGCTGGAGTCAATAATTCATCTCCTTATAGACAGAAGTGAAAAGCAACTCAGCACAGCTGCCTGCTTCTGGTCTGTATGGTGATTGATAGGGGATAAAGTAGGCAAGGAGTGCTTTAAGGATTTCTTGCAGCCAGGGCTCTTAACCTGAAGTTCATGGATAACTTGGGGCTACAGTGATAAACTTTATAGGATCTGCAAACCACTGCTAATAGTATGCAAATGTTCCTGCACAACTTCATATATACTCCCTAACTGAAACATATAAAAACAGCCCCTCAAAAATAATCCTCGGTATGTACCACCAATGTGACTAACTCAAGAAATGAAATACCACAAATCGCAAGAGAATTGTGTAGCCCACTGCATCTTTTACAGAATCAGAGCAAATAGCCAGAAGGTTGAAGCAATGCTGTTGTAACTTCACTTTCCCAACCTTTGTGGACTATGAGTAGGATAGAGTATTAGATAATGTGATCCAGCGATATATTTCAGTGGATGACATAAAGATGACCAAGATTATATTGCCTCCTCCTGGTAGGTGTCCAAAAATATCCCACTATATCACCAAAAGTGATACCCATGAAAAATGTGGAATGAACACTGAAATATAAGGAATGCTAAAGTTCTGGGAGATCTGAGAATTTTAGGGTAAAATAAATTAGGTATGTTAGGAGCAGAATATGTCATCAGAGAATAGATTGGAGTGGATAATGGTATCATGGTCATTATGGTAGCCATTTATTAAATGTTAGACTTTTTCATGTCCCAGAAGATATAGGTTTATTTCCAAAAGCCAACTCTACTTCTGTAGTGTACCCTCTGGTAGGCTCAAAGTTTATTATCTGCCCCATCATATTTTCTTCTTTCCTCACTGTTGGATTCTCTTTTCATTTTTGTGAACCTCTTACATTGTAAGTTCCACAAAATATATTTATTTCAGCATCTCCTGTACATATATGTGTATATATATATATATATATATAAAAATAATTTTCCTACATACAAACATCTGTGCTGAAAAGAGAATGATAAGAGAAAAAGAAGCTTCTGGGCTATATGTCACTAGATATCTCTTTTCTGCAGAGATTTGAAACCTACAAATCTCTTTTGTATTTTTTCGTTGTCCCTTTTAAATGCATGCGATTTATAGTGAAATTTGCAGAGGTGAATTGGCATCACAGAATACAGTGAACTGTAAATGCCATGGTTTTATTATAAGCAGGATAAGTGATGTTTGCTATTTTGGCAAAATTTTCTTCATTTCTATTCTGGAAAGATAATAGTTGTCAGTTACTTGGAACGCATTTTCTTGTTAGTGGATTCTACTTAAAATTTATATTGAATTTCTGAAGAGGAAAGATGCAGATTTCACTGGCTTGAGACTAAGTGTGTAGAGAAAGTACAGAAATGCCAACTCTTGATGATTGCCAATTCTGGATGATTGCCAATTCTGAGAGGCCATTGATTGTGCTTTCTCTAGATTTGGCATCATTTTTTTTCTAAAGATGAGATTCTACAGGCCATAGGGATTACTGTAAAAGGAGTTTACTGTTTTACTTGTAGATGCAAAAATGAAGAGAATTATCTAAGTTATCAAGCTGAGAATAGTCTTTTAAACAACTATATTAGTTTATGCACGCACTTCCTATTGCTGTAATTAGAGGTGAGAATCATCTCCTTAAAAATGAGCTTGTTCAACCCCATAATCACTAGTGTCCTTGAAAGATAAAAAGAAAATGCAATAATACATGATCACAGTTGAGTTTTTTGGAATTTGTCATGTTTTGAAGTTAACTGTGTGAGAATTAAAATTTATATAGGAGGTTAAAGTTCAACCTTAGTTAAAATATAAACATTTCTCTCTTTGACAGATTTAAAAATAAATAGGCAGGTTATACATATAAAATAAAAAAACCTTATACATGTAATAGAGCACCTGAGCTATTATGGATGATAAGACAAACTTTGTGGTTTTATTACACTTAATAAAAGTAGCTGATTATAGTTTGATGCGTGTTTCTAAATTAGTGATGAAGGAATTCAATTAGTGCAAAGGTTTCAATTATATGACTTTGAATTTCATATATTCCAAGTTTTAATTAGATTCAAGTCTGTTGATGTTTTTAAAATGACAGATCCCTTAGTTCAAATCTGTAGGGTTATAGAAATTCTAACATCAAATAAGTGAACTTCATCCTAGGCCTGATGAAAGAGAAATAACAATTATTAAATCCCCAAATGATACTAAACTGGGTAATCTTAGCTCTTTATCAAGCATACTGACATTTATGATAGGAAATGAATAGCTGACTGGGCCCTTGCTACATTGGAAAAGAAAAGGTTTTGGTTTGAATCATTTAGGTCCAATGTATTGTGCTTTTAAAATGTATCACCAATTAAAATGTCCTCTATTGCTTGAAAACTGCTAGAGGCATTTCATCTTAATGTCCATATAGTTTCTAGTAAACTGTGTTCATTTAGTCAAAGTCTAGGAGAAGTGAATGTGTTTTGCTGGTTGCTTATTTTATACTCTTTTCTCAACAGATCTAATTTCTATATTGAAATAGTACACATGCCTTGCGAGATTTTAAGCCTCATTTTATATCTGGTGTGCCCAGTCATTGTGCAGGCTTTCTATACCTTTGTTTCCTCTTCTTTCTCTCTTCTTCCTTCTTCCTTCTTTCCTTCCTTTCTTTTCAGTTTAAATCAGAGGAACGCAATGGATGCATGCTTTGTTTCTATGGTTATTTGTAATATTAGGTCTGAGACTTGGTTTTTAGAGCCAAAATTTTTGTGAACATTTTTACAATGATAAAACTCTAAACATTGACTCACTCTCATAGGCTTCTTAGCCAGGGCAACAATCTATCAGAATAAGATGTTGAGATAGAAATGGGATGATTGTTGCAGATGACTTCTTTATTCCCCCTATTAAAAGCAGAACATATTTGATTCATTACTTTTTAATTTATATATTTACTTATTTTGAGACAGGGTCTCAATCTGTCACCCAGGCTGGAACAGAGTGGTATGATCATAGCTCATTGCAGCCTCCAACCTCGATCCTCCCATCTCAGATGATCCTCTCACCTCAGCCTCTCATGTAGCTGGGGCTACAGGCATGTGCCACCACATCCAGCTAATCGTTTTATTTTTTTAATTTTTGTAGGGACGTCACCTTGCTGTGTTGAACAGGCTAGTCTCAAACTCCTGGCCTCAAGCGATCTTCCCTCCTTGGCCACCCAAAATGTTGGGATTGCAGACATGAGTCACTGTGCCCAACCTGATTTGTTACCTTTTTAAATGATGCAATCCTATACTATTTAATTTGTTAAATGTGTTAAAAATAATTCAGAATAATCTAAATATTCAGTTGTAATATTTACTCACAAAAGATAGATGGGGGATTTCTGAAAAGCTGACAGTTTTGCAGGTGACATAAACAAGCCCTAATGCAATGAGAGATGGTTGTTGTTGGTGGACAGCAATCAAGCCTAATACTTAGCACTTTCACTTCCTCGAAGACCTGATGTTTCCCTCCTTGCTTTTTAACCTTCAAGCATATGACTTCTTTGCTCTCCTAAATCTTTCCTTAGGATCTTCATCAACAATTCTTTCTGCATGGAATGTTCTTCCCAAGAATATCCAGTGTTAACTTCCTCCCCTCCTTCTGTCCTGCCCTTAACCACCTACCCTGACCATCTGTTTAGCACTAAAACATGTATTTCCACACCAATCACAACTCCTGTTTTCCTTCACTCTGATTGACTTTTTCTTTGATCTATTGTGCTTATCATTTTAAACACTAGATGATATATTTTCTATATTTATCACATATTTCTAAACTTCCATGCTAAAGGGTAACCCCCATAAGGACAGGAATATTTGTCTGTAGTGTTCCCTGATATATTTTAATCACCTAGGACAGTGTCTGGGACACAGTAGGAGCTAAATAAATATTTGTTCAATAAATGAATCATTTTATATGACAGATTTGATCCTTTAGATTTACTATAATTGCAAAGCCATGAAATAAAAGGTACCAAAATATTCTTTATCTTTAAAAGGTAGGTTTAAAGCACAGGCTTCAGCAAATGGGACAAAATAATTACTGAGAACTACAGAGTAGTAAGCAAAAATATGATGTGATAGCTCATTTTGCATTGTTAGCCCCAACTCACACAAAGATTCAGAATACTTGATTCATCTTTTAGAAAGAATACTATTATAGAGTTATATTTGTTGAAATAAAACCATTCTAACATTTCAACACCAGTACAAGCATAGATCACAGAAAATTTTTGGAGCAGAAGCAGGTATGCTGTGAAAGTTTTGTAATTACATACATCTGAAATACATGGTACATTGTGAGTCTTTAAAGACTAATGGAAATGTTTCACCCAGAGTAAAAAATAACTTTTGTTTTCTATATTGTGGTGTTTTTCTTCTAAATTATGAATGCTATTATAAAACAAAACTTAAAAAATTTAATCTTACAGCTGTAAAACTATTTTATCTCTTTTACATTGTGTCCCAGTTTGTTTTTTAACTAATTAATTATTTATTTTTATTTTCAGTAGGTTTTTGGGGAACAGGTGGTGTTTGGTTACTGTCTCCTAGTTTATATTCAAATGAAATCTGAAAAAAAATTGGTTAACTTTTACCCTGAAAAATAAAGCAAGTTTATAGATTGATATCTTTTGAGACATAGCCATTTTCACATAAACATACAATTAATAAGTATTGACTCAATTAATGCACCTTTTACAGGCACTACATTTGCTGATTAAGAAAAGGATACTAAATAGCTATTGACTTAGAGGAAATGTTCAATAGCAGTCTCAAATTCACCTTATGAAGGAAAGAAATTATTTTCTTTGAAGAGTGGGAGAGATTTAATTAAACATGAAATAAGGAAAAGGTTACTCTCTAATAAAATTTAAATGGTCAAAAAATAAGTACAAAGAAGTCCATGACACTATTTTTTTTTCAAATTCACACTTCATTTGCATCATACAAAGCAGATATGTCATGTACTCCCCCAAAGTGGATAACGGAAGTATGTGTATAATATAAAAGAACATCTGTTAGTACGTCTCTCCTGAAAAAATGGGAAGGGCAAAAGCTTACTTCTTTCAGAATTAATTTGATAATGAGAGCTCTCTCTGAAACCTCAGATGGCTCAACACAGAAGAGTACAGAATGGCAAAGCATAGAGGGAATTTCAATGTAAATTAATAGGTTGATGGTAATAAGAAGGTGCAGAACAAATTCCTCCTTCAATAATTGCTAATATAATCATAATGTAGTAAGACAATATGGGAACACATACAAGCAAACAAAAGGACTTGTTCGTTTATTATTAGTTATATCAGGTATGAGATATAGTGGTAAACTGGAGGATGAGAGAAAGCTCAGTTGTTTTCTTTTCATCATCCTTCTGCTGAGGGAATTGCTCTATTTCCAAAAATGAGTTCTTAAAAAAAGAAAACTACAGCATGTACTTTGAAATCAGGTGCAATTATACTATTAGCAATTGAAACCTTCTCCAAATTAGGAAAGGCTTAATTTAAACTTCTTAAGTCGAAGGGAATTGGATTGATTGTTTGCTAGCAACTAGTCTGCATTTACTGAGATGGTCAATTCTTCATTCCTGTAAACCTAATCTCCAATTCAGCATCATCAGGGAACATCTGTAGAAAGCTTCTGGCTTAAAATTATTTTTGTGTCTAATTTAAATAAGGCCTAATGAGAATCTAAAAATTGCACTGAGTTCCCTAGTATGGTGATTGGAATTCAGGTAGTTTCATTGACAGAGATTTTTTTTCATAAATATTCTTTATTGTCATATATAATTATCTCAAAGTAGCTAACAAATGTCATTTCAGGACAATGGCAGGCAATAAGTAGAGGGAATCAAAACAGCATGTTTTTACTTCGTGGGTTGTTATTTATTCATAAGCTGTTCAAAGTCCCACTTTTCAACTAATTGTAAAGAAAAAAGTACCCATAAAATCACATTAAGATATCAGTGACTAATATTGTATTTAAAATTTTGTATTACCTTTTCCAAGTTTTTTTGCATATCTTCAAACAGGATGTCAGGCAGTGGATATATTTTTATTTAAACAAAGTGTCTCTAGGTAGAAGAAGAAATAGGAAACACATTTGGATGAATGCTGTCTTTCAAATACTATCCCACAGAACAATTTCTATTATGCCTATAAGGAGTGTCTTGCCTGCAGGTTAAAATGAAACTTCTCAGTGGCTTCTGGCTCTGGATAACATAGCGTAAGAACACTCCACCCTGTCTGTCCTATTGAAAGCAACTACAAAACCTGGGGAACAGGTGCTATGGTTCGAATGTTTGTCCTTTCCAAAACTCATGGTGAGATTTGATTGTCACTGTGGTGGGGAGAGAAGGTCAGACCTTTGGGAGGTAGTAGATTGAGATGGGATTAATGCCATTGTGAAAGGGCAAATTTGGCCCCCTTTTGCTCTTTGCCCTTCCACCCTTTGCCATGTGATGATGCTGCGAGAAGACCCCCACCAGATGCCATCAACTTGATCTTAAAACTTACCAGCCTCCAGAACAGAGAAAAAATAAATTTCTCTTCATTATATATTACCCAATATCAGGTATTCTGTTATAGCAGCACAAAATGGACTAAGACAACAGGTTTGGACCAGCTACTTGAGGACTCTAAAAAGTAAATATATGGACAATAGCCAACAGGTGGATGCAATCCAAATGTTCTTTGATGATGAATGAATATATAAAATATGGTACATACATGCAAGGAATATAATTAGGACACAACCAACAACATGGATGAACCTTGAGGACATTATGCTAAGTGAAACCAACCAGTCACAAAAAGACTAATATGAATAATTCCACTTATATGAGATACCTAAAAAATTGTGCTCCAAAGAATTAAGGAAACCCATGACTAACAGAAATTGTCAAGTTTGCAGGATGGCAAATAAGAAGAAAAGAAACAACTTGCTGAAAAGCTGAAACTCCTTTCACTTCTATGATAACAAAATTGGCTGAAATTTATTGGAGCCAATATAGCTCACCAGAGTTTGCATTGAATGAACTCGCTGACATCACAGCCTGAATTTCCACTACATGTTTCATACTGACTCTCTCAAATTTTCACATGGGACCCATGTATGGCTAAGGACTTTCCAGACCTTCCCTTTCCTTCCATAAATCACCTGCTAATCCCAGAATTCACCACCTAAACTTTTTTCTAATAAATGGACTGCCTTAAAGTCAGCACAGGAACACAGACTTGGTCAGGACTCCTGTCTCCTTGTTGGTCAACCTGCAATAAAATGCTTTTCCTTTCCTCAAAACCCAGTGCCATAATGTTGGTTTCTAGCACATTGGGCAGTGAGCCTTTTTTGCTTGGTAACACCTAGAGTAGTCACGCTCTTAGGGACAGAAAGTAGAAGGGTAGTTGCCAGGGGGTGGGAAGAATGAAGAATAGCAAGTTGTTTAATGGGTATAGCACTTCAGTTTTGCAAGATGAAAAGAGTTCTGGAGATGGATAGTGGTGGTAGCACAACAATGTTAATGCACTTAATACTACTGAATTTTTTTACTTAAAATATTTAAGATGGTATTACGGACTGAATTGTGTCCCCCCTCCCAAGTTCATATATTGAAATTCTAACCCCTATTACCTTAGAATGTGACTGTATTTGGAGTTAAGAACTTTGAAGAGGTAATTAAGTTTAAATAAGATCATAAAGGTGGAACTTATAAGAAGGAGGAAGAGACAGCAGGGATGTGCACATAGATAAAAGGCTATGTGGGGAAATAACAAAAAGATGTCTGCTTTCAACAACGCAGGGAGGCCTCAGGAGAAACTAGACCCACTGTCACCTTAAGCTTTCACTTCCAGCCTTCAGAACTTGAGAAAATAAATTGCTGCTATTGAAGCCAGCTGGTCTGAGGAATTTTTTGATGGCAGCTGTAGCAGGCAAACAGGAATGCTACATTGTATATTAAGTTTATTTTACTACAATTAAAAAATATAAATAGTACCAGGTGGACTGAGAAAGAAGACTTAGGATGTATGGCGAGGTTACCATTTTTCCCCCTCTGGTTTTCCGTTCACCTCAACTCAGTGAAACTCAACATAAAATCAACATTGATGTAGACAGAGAAAGGTCCAGGAGAAGTTCCCACTACTCAGGTCCCAGACTGACTGCTTGGAGAGGCACACATGAGGCAGATTCAAATAGCACAGTAGAGTCTTGGAAAACGTAACAGCTCCTGGAACCACATTCTACAGAGGGCTCATTGGAACTTGCAGGATGAGGCCAGCCCAGTGGATTACTTGCCAAAACAAAAATATACACATTTTCCCTCAGATTTACACAATATCCCCAGAGTTCCATAATGTAATATTCAAAATGTCTAGAATATAATTCAGTATTATGTGCCATATAAAGAACACAAACAAATTTAAATTCACTTGGAAAAAGTAAATAAATGTGTTAATCATAACATAATACATTGTTGGAATTAACCTGATGAAGACTTCAAAGCAGCTACTATAAAAATGCTCTAACAAGTTAAGGATGAAGAGTTTTAAAACAAATGGAAAGAGAGAAAGTTTCAGCAAGGAAATATAAGATATAAAGAAGAACCAAATAGAAATTTTAGAACTAAAAACATATAATAACAACAAATTCACTAGATAGAGTCAATAACAGAATATAAATGATGGAGAAAAAAGTCATTGAACCTTAAGATAGATCAGTAGAAATGATTTAACTTGAATAACAAAGAGAAAGACATACGATTTTTTTTTTGAACTGACCCTCACTCACAGACCTATGGAACAATATCAAAGAGTCTAATGTACATGCCATTGCAGTTGCAGAAGGAGATTAAAAAGCATGCGGTGTGGGAAAAAAACTGAAGTAATAATAAGACTAAAAACTTCACAAATTTGGTGACATAAATCTTTCAGAAGCTCAAGCAACCATCAAACGTGATAACTCTTCTAAGTCCTCTTTTAAACACATCAAAATCAAACTATTTAAAACTATATATATATGTGTGTATATATATATACAAATTATCAATATCGGGAAAAAGAAAATATCCCTACAGACATAAAAAATGATAATAAAATATATATATACACACATATATATATATAATTGAGAGCAAAGAGAGATACATGACATATTACAGCAGAACAATTTGAATGACTGTTGAGTTATCATAAAAAAGACTCTGGAGGCATAACATTTTAAAAGAAATAATAGAAATTTGTTTCTCACAGTTCTGGAGGCTGGGAACTTTAAGACCAAGGTGATAGCTGGTGAGAGCCTGGTCTCTCTGCTTCCAAGGTAGTGCCCGGCTACGGCTTCCGGAGAGGACAAATGCTGAGGTACAGTATTTCTAAGATGATGAAAGGAAAGAACAGTCAAGCCAAAATTCTATATCCAGCAAAAATATCCTTCAGTAATGAAGTCGAAATACACCGATAACGCTCTAGACGTACTGAAGGATGCAAATATCCTTCAGTGATGAAGGTGAAATACAGATGAAGGAAAACTAAGAGAACTTCTTACCAGAAGGTCTGCTCTAAAAAAATCCGTCAAAGGAAATGTGTTGACCAAAGTGAGGTGATACAACATTGAAGAAAGAGCAGCAGACATGGTATCTGGGAAAATATATAATTATTTTGTTATTTGGTTCTTTCAAATGTATTTGATAATTTAAAGCAAAAATATAATATTTTTGGATATTGTTAGTGTTTGTAGATAAAATACATAACATGACTATACAACTGGAAGTGGTCAAATATTTTTTGCAAGGGGACTGTGAAAAGTTAAGCAACCACTGTATAGTCAAAAACTAAAATACGTAAATTAAGATGACATGCAAATATATGTTCAAATAACCCAGAAGATGGCAGGAAAGGGAAAATAAGGACACAAAAACAGAGAAAAAACAAATAATAGTAGAGCTATATTCAAACATATCAATAATTACATAATATATAAATGTTCTAAACACAACAATTAAGAAAGTCTCAAAATGTATATGAAGCATGATTTAGCTATATTTTTCCCAAAATAAATTAATTTTAAATATAGTCATATAAGTTAATTAAAAGTAAAAGAATAGGAAAAGATACACCATGCAAACAACCGTCAAAGAAAGCTTGAGTGACTAGGTAGACTTTCTAAAAAGATTAGAGCAAGGAAAATTTGCAGGGATAATTATAAAGTTCAGTTCACCAAGGAGATATAATACCCTAAATGTGTACAAAGTAAACAATGAGAAATTAAAATATAAGGAAAAACTGACAAAGCTGAAAGCTGGGACAGATAAACCACAGACATCTTTAAAAAATTCAACCCTTCTATCTTAGTGATTAATAAAGCTAAGAAGCGGAAGATCACAAAGTTAAAGAACAACTGAAAAACACCATCAACCAATTGGATCTAACCGATATGTCTAATTGGTATCATCAGCAGAATACACATTATTTCCAATGTGCACAGAACATTCATCAAGAGAGACCTAACTGTGAGTCATAAAACACATCTTAACAAATTTAAAAGAATTGACATCGTACAAAGTGTGTGTTTTGATCATAACAGCATTCACAGAAAGAAACAGGAAAATCTTGAAACATTTGGATATGAAACAATCCATTTTCAAATAATCTATTGGTAGAACAGGAAGTCTCCAGGGAATAGAAAACATTTTGATTTGAATGAAAATTAAAATACAAGATATTAAGGTTTGTGTGATGCAGTTACTACAGTTGTTAGATGGAATTTATAGCATGAGATACTTAAATTCAAAACAAAGTGTCAACACTCTAAAATTCTACCATAATAAACCAGAAAAGAAAAAGTAAAATGAAGCAAAGCAAGCAAAAATTAATGAAATTAAAAATATTGAAAAATAAAGAATGCTCAATGAGACCAAAATCTGAGTCTTTGAAAAGATCAGTAAAATTAATAAATCTCTGTCAAGACTGATAAAAAGAGAAAGGACATAAATTATCAACATCAGGAAAAAGAAAATATCCCTATAAAAATAAAAAATGATAATAAAGTGATATACCAACAACTCTATGAACATAAATTTGCCATCTTAGATAAAATGAACCAATTCCTTAAAAACCACGAACTACCAAAATTTAACCAAAATGAAATAGTTAATCTAAATACTCTCATATGTATTAAAGGAATTAAATTTGTTGCTAACAACCTTTAACAAAAGAAATTTTTAGGCACAAACAATTTCACTGATGAGATCGACAAAATGTTTCATGCAGAAATAACAACAATTCTACACAATCTCTTCCAGGAAATAGACCGTGCAGATTACATTCAATTTGTGTTCTGAGGCCAGCATTATCCTGATTCCTAAATCAGATAAAGGCAGTATGAATTAAGAAAACTACAGTTCGATGTTAATCGTGAGCATGGATGCAAAAATCCCCAATAAATACTAGCAAATGGAATCCAGTAATCTATAAAAAGAATAATACACACAATATATATTGTGTATAACATACACAACACGCAGCCAAGTGAGAATTATCGTAGAATTGTAAGGCTTTAAAATATTAGAACATTAATCAATAAAATGCACCATATTTTAACAGTAGAAAGAAGAAAACTACATAATCAACCCAAGTGATGCAGAAAAAGCATTTGACAAAATTCAACATCCAGTCATAATAAAAACTCTTCACAAACTAGGAATAGAAGAAAATATCTGTTGTATAAGGCCCGTCTTAGTTGGTTTTGTGTTGCTTATAATAATACCTGAAACTGGGCAATTTATAAATAAAAGGAATTTATTTGTTTTGTGATTGAGGCTGAGAGGTCCCAGGTTGACAAGACACATCTGGTGAGAGCCTTCTTGCTGGTGGGGTCTCTCTGCAGTGTCCAAAGTTGGCACCAGTCATCAGAGGGCAAGGGAGCTGAGCATACGAACATGCTGGATTTTCTTATAAAGTAACTGGTTTCCCTTCCAAATTAACCCATTAATCCATTAATGCATGAATGGATCAATCTATTCATAAGCAGAGTCCTCATGATCCAATCACTTCTTAAAAGCCCTACCTCTCATTAGTGCCACATTGGGGATTAAATTTCAACATGTGTTTTAAAGGAAATAAATATTCAAACTACAGCAAAGCCTAAAGTTAAGGCACAGTGTACTATGTGCTGCCTTGTCATCTGGTGAGACTGGAAGGGCCTTGAATGTTATAACCACAAGCTTCTCTTTCTTTTTTGTCCCCAGACACAAAGTCCTCTGGCCAGAAAACGCTTCTTATCAAGGGGCTCAGGTGAAGTTCTTGCTTACCCTGGTTTCTGCCAATCTCTCTGCTCTGTTGTTTTCACATTGATGTCATCCTGTCATTTACCCATGTGATCCCAAGATGTTTGTCACAGGTCTCATAAATTCAATTTTTGGTCACAAACTCATATTGCATGAGTTACCCAACCTCAAGGTAAAACCAACCAGACACTGTTTTTGACTCTGCACCAACACCTTCTCTGTGTTCCCTGATAATTAGAAAACATGAAGTCTTTGGTTAGCTCTTAAATGCAAGGAAGAAACAGCTGATCTGTATCAAGGTATTAAGCCTATTCTAAATCTAACTCCTTCCTCTGCACTTTTCAGTTGCATAAACCAAAAAATGCCCTTAGTCAATAAACCAATATGCCAATATGAGTTGGTTTTCTATACTAAATAACAGTATCATACCTGGTACAGAAGGAAAAGTGAGCTTTTTTGTAGTCATCTGAATACAGCGACCCAAAGATATCCATGCCCTAATGTCTAGAACCTGTGTATAGGTTAGGCTACATGGCAAAGGAAAATTAAGATTGCAGATGGAATTAAGGTTGCTAATCAGATGACCTTAAATTAGAGAGATTATCCTAGATTATTAGGGTGGGCCCAGAGTAATCACAAACACCCTTAAAATTGAAAGAGTGCAGAAGAAGCAGAATTAGTGCCAAATTTATACAATTTGAGAAAATTTTGATCCATCATTTCTAGCTTTAAAGATGAAAGACTGAGGCAAAGTGCTAAAAATGTGGCAATCTCCAGGATCTGGAAAAGGTACAGAAGGGGTTCTTCTCTGAGGCCTCCAGAAGGACTACAGCCTTAGTGACATCTTCATTTTACCCCACTGAGACACATTTTGGACTTCTGGCCTCCAAAATTTAAGATAATAAATTTGAGTTGTTTTAAGCCACCAGGTTTGCAGTGAATTGTTATAGCAGCCATAGGAAACTAAAAGACAAGTGAGTCTCTCAGTTCCTATGGAAAGCCTTTCATCACATTTGGAGTCAGGTTACACGCTCCTCAGAAATCCTCCCACTGCCCCTTGTCCACAGCACTTTTATAATCTCTAAAGACATCAGCATGTATTTCTTACAAACAAGGACATTTCTTACACCATCACAGACACTTACAAAAATCTGATAATTAATATTGACACAATACTTCAATCTATAGTCCTTATTCAAATTTTATCATCTCATTAGTGTCTTTGACATCATTTTTTTGTCCTGGTCAAGGGATCAATGCAGGATCACACAGTGCATTTAGTTTTCATGCCTCTTTAGTCTTTTTCTGACGTATTTCCTCAGTCCTTGGTCTTTCATGTTAATGACATTTTTGAAGAGTACAGGCCAATTATTTTGCAGAAAGCGCTTCAATATGTTTATCTGATTTTTTTAGTGGTTAGATTCAGGTCATGCATTTTTGGCAGGAATATCACAAAAGTGTCCTCAGTGCATCATATTAGTAGGTATATGATGCCAATTTCTCCTGTTACTGATAATATTAACTCTGATCACCTGTTTAAGGTGGCAGTTTTCTGCCAGTTCTCTCCACTAAAAAGTTATTAATTCCCTCCTTATATTTAACAAATGTCTTGGAAGGAGATACTTTTAGACCTTTGCCCATTAGTTTTAGCATCTATTTATGATCCCTGCCTTAAAATTATTACTATATCACACCTGTAATCCCAGCATTTTGGGAGGCTGAGGTGGGCGGATCACCTGAGGTCAGGAGTTCGAGATCTGCCTGGCCAACATGGTGAAACCCCGTCTCTACTAAAAATACAAAAATTAGCCAAGCGTGGTGGTGTGCGCCTGTAATCCCAGCTACTCAGGAGGCTGAAGCAGGAGAATCACTTGAACCCCAGAGGTGGAGGTTGCAGTGAGGTGAGATTGTGCCATTGCACTCCAGCCTGGGCAACAGAGTGAGACTCTGTCTCAAAAAAATAAAAAAAATTATTACTATACTGATTGCCTACTATTGTTTTCTCATTCCACCATTACTTCTGTATTTATTATTAGAATTATCTTTTAAGAAAAAGCTTATTGCATTATTATTTAAATCAATATGGACTTATGGAGTTTTATTTTATTCTATGGATTATAATTCATTACTATGACCACGTATTTTGTTGTTCAATTTTCTCAGATTTGGTCCATGGTAGTCCTTTCAAACTGACTTCAGTGTTGTTCTGATATGTCCCCATGATTCACTGAACACTTTCCTACATCCGGTGCAAAATATTGTATGCTCATCTTATACTTTCCATGTCGTAGTTCTTTTTTTGTTTTGTTTTTAATTATACTTTAGGTTCTGGGACACATGTGCAGAACGTGCAGGTTTGTTACATAGGTATACATGTGCCATGGTGGTTTGCTGCACCCATTAACCTGGCATCCACTTAGTTATTTCTTCTAATGCTATCCCTCCCCTAGCCCCCTACCCCGCGACAGGCCCCAGTGTGTGATGTTCTCCTCCTCGTGTCCATGTGTTTTCATTGTTCAGCACCCACTTATGAGTGAGAAAATGTGGTGTTTGGTTTTCTGTTCTTGTGTTAGTTTGCTGAGAATGATGGTTTCCGGCTTCATCCTTCTGAAATCAGCCATTTTATCAAGGACACCCACTACATTTTATTAGTGAGGATATTTAGAAACCAAGATATGAATGCTAGGTGACCTTTTTTAATAGTTTCATTGCTTCCAGGTCTTTTCAGTAAACACACTGTATTAGTCCATTCTTACACAGCTATAACAAAGTACCCGAGACTGGGCCATTTATATGAAGAAAAGAGGTTTAATAGACTCACAGTTCTTCAGGCTTACAGGAAGCATGACTGGAAGGCCTCAGGAAACCTACAATCATGGCAGAAGGCAAAAGGGAAGCAAGCGTGTCTTTACCACAGCAGAGCAGGAGAGAGAGGGAGAGAGAGAGAGAACAAGTGGCGAATTGTCACGTTACACACTTTTAAACCAACAGATTTTGTAAAAACTCACCCACTATCAGGATAACAGCATAGAAAAAAATGCCCCCCGATCCAATCACCTCCAACCAGATCCCTCCCTCAACACATGGGGATTACAATTTGAGATGAGATTTGGGTGGGGACACAGTGCCAGATCATATCACAAACCTAGCAAATAGAGAAGAGAGTTAAAGTCTTCAACTATAATTGTGAATTTGTCTACTTTTCCTTTTAATATTTCATCAATTTTTATTTTGTGTATTTTGAAACTCTGCTGTTGTGTACATATCCATTTAGGATTGTTGTGTTTCTTTGGTAATTTGACGTAGTTCTCATCATAGAATGTCCATCCTTATCTCTGGTAATATTTTTGTGCTGAAGTCAACTTTGATATTAATATAGCCATTCTAACTTTTTTTTACTTTCTGTTTTAAAATTGCTTTATTGAGATGTAATTCACATATCATATAGCTCACTCAAAGTATATTTTTCTTAAATTTAAAAGGTTGTAAAACCATCACCACTACCTACTTTTGAACATTTTGTTCCCCCCAGAAGAAACCGTTTACCTATTAGTAGTCAGTTTCATTCCCTAATAAAGACTAATAAAGAAGAAAAGGACAAGAATAAAATAGACACAATAAAAACTGATAAAGGGGATATCACCACCTATCCCACAGAAATACAAACTACCATCAGAGAATACTATAAGAACTGCTATGCAAACAAACTAGAAAATCTAGAAGAAATGGATAAGTTCCTGGACACATACACCCTCCCAAGACTAAACCAGGAAGAAGTTGAATCCCTGAATAGACCAATAACAGGCTCTGAAATTGAGGCAATAATTAATAGCCTACCAACCAAAAAAAGTCCAGGACCAGATGGATTCACAGTTGAAGTCTACCAGAGGTACAAGGAGGAGCTAGTACCATTCCTTATAAAACTATTCCAATCAATAGAAAAAGAGGAAATCCTCCCAAACTCATTTTCTGAGGCCAGCATCATCCTGATACCAAAGGCTGGCAGCGACACAACAAAAAAAAAGAGAATTTTAGACCAATATCCCTGATGAACATCGATGCAAAAATCCTCAATAAAATACTGGCAAACTGAATCCAGCAGCACATCAAAAAGCTTATCCACCATGATCAAGTGGGCTTCATCCCTGGGATGCAAGGCTGGTTCAACATACGAAAATCAATAAATGTAATCCAGCATATAAACAGAACCAAAGACAAAAAACACATAATTATCTCAATAGATGTGGAAAAGGCTTTTGACAAAATTCAACAGCACTTCATGCTAAAAACTCTCAATAAATTAGGTATTGATGGGACATATCTCAAAATAATAAGAGCTATTTATAACAAACCCACAGCCAATATCATACTGAATGGGCAAAAACTGGAAGCATTCCTTTTGAAAACTCGCACAAGACAGGGATGCCCTCTCTCACCACTCCTATTCAACATAGTGTTGGAAGTTCTGGCCAGGGCATTCAGGCAGGAGAAAGAAATAAAGGGTATTCAATTAGGTAAAGAGGAAGTCAAATTGTCCCTGTTTGCAGATGACATGATTGTATATTTGGAAAACCCCATCATCTCAGCCCAAAATCTCCTTAAGCTGATAAGCAACTTCAGCAAAGTCTCAGGATACAAAATCAATGTACAAAAATCACAAGCATTCTTATACACCAATAGTAGACAAACAGAGAGCCAAATCATGAGTGAACTCCCATTCACAATTGCTTCAAAGAGAATAAAATACCTAGGAATCCAACTTACAAAGGATGTGAAGGACCTCTTCAAGGAGAACTACAAACCACTGCTCAACGAAATAAAAGAGGATACAAACAAATGGAAGAACATTCCATGCTCATGGATAGGAAGAATCAGTATCGTGAAAATGGCCATACTGCCCAAGGTAATTTATAGATTCAATGCCATCCCCATCAAGCTACCAATGACTTTCTTCACAGAATTGGAAAAAACTACTTTAAAGTTCATATGGAACCAAAAAAGAGCCTGCATTGCCAAGTCAACCCTAAGCCAAAAGAACAAAGCTGGAGGCATCACGCTACCTGACTTCAAGCTACACTACAAGGCTACAGTAACCAAAACAGCATGGTACTGGTACCAAAACAGGGATATAGACCAATAGAACAGAACAGAGCCCCCAGAAATAATACTACACATCTACAACCATCTGATCTTTGACAAAGCTGACAAAAACAAGCAATGGGGAAAGGATTCCCTATTTAATAAATGGTGCTGGGAAAACTGGCTAGCCATATGTAGAAAGCTGAAACTGGATCCCTTCCTTACACCTTATACACAAAGTAATTCAAGATGGATGAAAGACTTTAATGTTAGACCTAAAACCATAAAAACCCTAGAAGAAAACCTAGGCAATACCATTCAGGACATAGGCATGGGCAAGGACTTCATGTCTAAAACACCAAAAACAATGGCAACAAAATCCAAAATTGACAAATGGGATCTAATTCAACTAAAGAGCTTCTGCACAGCAAAAGAAACTACCATCAGAGTGAACAGGCAACCTACAACATGGGAGAAAATTTTTGCAATGTACTCATCTGACAAAGGGCTAATATCCAGAATCTACAAAGAACTCAAATTCACAAGAAAAAAACAAAAACTATCACAAAGTGGGTGAAGGATATGAACAGACACTTCTCAAAAGAAGACATTTATGCAGCCAACAGACACATGAAAAAATGCTCATCATCACTGGCCATCAGAGAAATGCAAATCAAAACCACAATGAGATACCATCTCACACCAGTTAGAATGGTGATCATTAAGAAGTCAGGAAACAACAGGTGCTGGAGAGGATGTGGAGAAATAGGAACATTTTTACACTATTGGTGGGACTATAAACTGGTTCAACCATTGTGGAAGACAGTGTGGTGATTCCTCAAGGATCTAGAACTAGAAATACCATTTGACCCAGCCATCCCATTACTGGGTATATACCCAAAGGACTATAAATCATGCTGCTATAAAGACATATGCACACATATGTTTATTGCGGCACTATTTACAATAGCAAAGACTTGGAACCAACCCAAATGTCCATCAATGATAGGCTGGATTAAGAAAATGTGGCACATATACACCATGGAATACTACACAGCCATAAAAAATGATGAGTTCATGTCCTTTGTAGGGACATGGATGAAGCTGGAAACCATCATTCTCAGCGAACTACCGCAAGGACAAAACCCAAACACGGCATGTTCTCACTCATAGGTGGGAATTGAACAAGGAGAACACTTGGACACAGGGTGGGGAACATCACACACAAGGGCCTGTCGTGGGGTGGGGGGAGGTGGGATGGGGGAGGGATAGCATTAGGAGATATACCTAATGTAAATGATGAGTTAATGGGTGCAGCACACCAACAAGGCACATGTATACATACATAACAAACCTGCACGTTGTGCACATGTACCCTAGAACTTAAAGCATAAAAAAAAAAGAATCCTCCTTTTGAAAAATGAAACCTTATATTGTAGAAACATTGAAAACTTCTAGCTGCTTCTCTGTTAACACAAGTTGGAGTTAGATTAGATCCTCAAGCTTCTTTTAGCATTATCAGTCAATGTCATATTGATACTCTAAAACAGGAGTTCTTATCAAGTGGTTCCTGATAGAACTCAGGGAGTTTGTGAACTTAAGTGTTAAAATATACAAAGTTTACAGTTATATTTTCAGTAAGTCCTTTAATTATGCATGTATGCAACAAACCACTATAGTATTAGCAGTATTTATGACTCCATTGCTAATAGAAATCACAAACATTTTTTGTATCACATTATAAGTTTTGAAAACATCTTAAAATATTGCTCATCTTTACTTAAAAATTATGGTTGTTATTAGAACCACTCTTAAATCTTGCTTTTTAATATGCTATTAAAGGGGTGCATGTATTTTGCTATATCACATATATGTTCTATTTGTAGCTTAATAATTGTATTTGAAAAATCATTTGTTGCCTTGGTATTCCTGTGTGCTTTAGTTCATGCACTTAACAACATTATTCTGAGAAGTATCTTGACAAGAGAAAAAGAAAATAAATTAAAAAAACCTTTTGCTCTAAAGCAATGTTCCTTTATACACAGAAAGTAGTTTATAGTTCAAAACAATGTACATGTCATTTCTGTGTTGTCATATGATCTTTTGTCTTTAGGGAAGTAAAGAAATTGGAAATATTTATCTCCCAATTGCAAAATTATTCCTGTAGTCAATGTTTCTTTACTTGAAAACACTCTTCTCACAAACACAATTATATGCACATTTTATCTTTTAACACGTTTAGCTAAAAGGAGGACAAAATGGTTTCATATTATGTATTAAGAGTGTATTACACCCACCACTATATTAACAGAGACTTGAAAATAGCAAAATAGCACTGTATAAATCACTTGCGATATGAATTTCGAAAACCCGGATAAAACATTTAAGTGTTAAATTTTAAATAGCAGTTGTTCTCCTTTACTTCAGTAACTTTGAGCGTCTGTCACTTCAACAATACGCCATTGTTTTCTGCTACAACTAGGAGATTTTACACTTTCTACGCGTTGGAGTACCAAGCAGCATCTTAATCTTAATGTCAGCTGTGGATTTCTGCAGAAATGCAATCACTGCAGATACACCAGGTGCTGGAATGTGTCTTTAGAACTACCAACGTGATGACATTACCCACTAATGTAGCTTTCGTCAGATCAGAGTATGAATAAGAAGGATTATGTGCTTGCTGAACAAATTATGATTTTTCTCATGTGCTTCTCTGAGAACTGATTATCGCAATTCTGACTTTCAAGAGAAAAGGGTGGCATTAAAAAATATCCAAGATATTAAAAAACAAATCAAAATACAAAAGGATTTTTATTTAATACTATTGTAACATTACCCTCTCCCAACCTTCAAAAGAAAATCAATAGGGAGAAAATACATAGACATATAATAATTTCATATCCCCAGCCAGAGTTTCTAACTCCAGATCTAATGTAGTGTGTAAGAGAATAGTAATATTTTATTTATTATTAATAATTTCTACCATTCCTGCTAGATTGCTAACTCTCAAAAGTGATGATCTTTTTTCTTTTGATCCATTATTTCAATCTGAGTTGAAATGCTGAGTTCTTGCAATGCAGTATGCTTTGGAATGCTTTATTGGGGATGTGATCCGAGATGACATTGTAGGGACATGAAGAAGTGAGACATGGAAGGAAAGAAAGCCAATGAACAAGATGCACTGTGGCTCAAACCCTTTGGAAAACTCTGTAAGAGAGTGTAGGAAGCACCTTAGAAATGGGGTTAGTTATTCTCCAGCTCTCATACATCATTGGCTGAGGGTTGCTCTGGAATCATTAATGCTGCTGCACTTTTCAATTTTTGTGTATCCCATGCACAGGTCTATGGGACAAGAGAAAGCTCTCAAGTAGAGTGTCAGTCAAGGAGGCCTTCCATACCTACAGGATTGGTAAACACAAAGAGATATGGTGGGGTAGGGGGAGCCGGACTATGCCTCCTACAACAGTCATACCAGGACATGGTGAAGACAATTTCAGTATGATTCATAAGAAAAAAATTATATAAGGTTAGGAGAAAAACTTCATAGAAATTCTAAGCAAATTCATCTAAAAATAAAGAAAAATCACCTTCCAGTGCTTCTTAAACTATTTTTTTGCTGTTATTATAATCATTTGAATTTGTTCAATTGCAGTATGTATGCTCTTTTATAAAACTTCTAGGGAGAAGGTAGGTGGAAGGTATTGGTAAAGTACAGGCAACAATGAAAGGAAAAGAATAAAGCTGCAGTAGTGACAGACAGCAAAATGTGCTCAGTTTCCCATCATATTTCAGCACAGAGTCATGAAGCAAGAACCAAGGGCAGATATCTCATCGTCATGAAGAAATTTTACTGTGAAAAATCACAGTCATTTGCTTCATCAGAACTAAAATCATACACAATTTGCAGACAGACACTCACAATTTTGAAATAGTTATGACATGGAGGGGGTGGGGTAGAGAAGAAATTATTCATACCACAGCCTCCATTGGAAATGTCTCAATTAAGGATAGTTTTTCACTGTGAGGTAATTGTTTTCATTATTTTCTTCTGACTGAAAAACTCGGTGAAAACAGGCATATATGTGTTTTTTTTCTTCATCCACTAAATGTGTGGTACATAGTATTCACTCCGTGATAGTTGAAAGACTTTAATTGGGATGCATTAAGTGAAGTCATTTGGTAATTGGGTGGTTCTTTCCTTTTTTCTTTTCTTTTTTTTTTTTTTTTTTTTGAGGCAGCGTCTCACTCTGTTTCCCAGGCTGGCATGCAATGGTACAGTCACAACTCACTGCCGTCTCAACCTTCTGGGCTCAAGTGTCTGGAACTACAGGCATGCACCACTATGCCCAGCTAATTTGTGGTTTTTTTTTTTCTTTTTATAGAGATAGGAGTTTCTCCATGTTGCTCAGGCTGGTCTTGAATTCCTGAGCTCGGGCTGTCTGCCCACCCTTGGCCTCCCATGTGCTGGGATTACAGGCGTGAGCCACAGTGCCTGGCCAATTCAGTGGTTCTTAATGGGGGATATTGGGGATGATTTTTGCCCTCCTTCCTGTATATTTGACAATGTCTAGAAACATTTTTGGTTGTCACAACAGGAGGGAAAGAGCTACTGGCATCTAGTGGGTAGAGGCCAGGAATGTTGGAAAGCATCTTACCATGAACAGAACAGTCTCCATAACAAACAATTATCTGTGTCAAAATGTCAGTTTGCCAAGGTTGAGAAATACTGTTAGAATACCTAGCAACATTTTGTCATTCACACAATTTATTCATACTTTATAAAATGGCATCTTAGTCAACAATTAGCTAGTTGCTTTTTCTTGTCCAATGTTAGTCAGTCTCACTTAACTAATCACATATAAAGTTCCTCGATTCATTCTAGAATGAATATATCTGCTTAGCGTTTGTGTTCCCCAGCAGTCAACCCAGAGACAAAATGTCCTGTGTAAGTAGTTTCTTCAGGAGGTGATCCCTAGAGATACCAGTAGGAAGTAGGGAAGAGGGTTAGAGAGCAAAAAGGAAGCCAAGCAATGGCGCAGCATTGTTCAGATACTTTATCACTTTGGGCAACTTGAGCTAAATCCTGCTGGAGAACCTGGGTATTAGGGTGGAGTTGTGACCAAAGCTATCCCAACTGAAGGCCAAGGAAGCTGGGGTATTTATCCGTCACCTCACTTTCACCATTGGCTGAATGCTGCTCTCAGAGATTTAACTCTCAACTACTTCTGGCTTGCCTTCCACACTGGCCAAGTATAGTCCACAGGCAGACAAAGGTCAAAGAGAGTCACATATGTTTATGTTAAGCAGCCTTTGGTGTGACAAGTGCCAAGATGACATGGCAGGCGTCAACAACTACTCCAGCATAACGTGGCAGGTTTACAGCCAAATATGAGTTCACATAGGGATTCTATACTATAAATTGTTTATGATGTGTTTTTACTAAACTTCTCTATTTTGAGACTCGGTACTCTTTGATCCTGATTCTTATTACCCTTGTGATATTTTAGATTCATAAAATCATAGCTCCTTTTAGTGTGTCTAATCCAACCTCCTCTACAACGTGGACAAATAGATACTTCACTTTTGTTTCAGCATTTTTTGTCCTGCTACTGTCCTGCTACTGTCTAACTACTTGATTAATTAAATTGACACCAAGGAAGAAATGGTCTGTTTTTCTTTGAGTTTTCACTTTTCATTATGGATTAATGAATGTCAGACTGTCCTTGACATATAGATCTATTGCTGTTAGAAATACCTTGACATGATTACTTGATTTATTCTTCGGGAAAGATATTAAACTCAAAAGAATTGGCAAAATTCTATTCAGAAAATGGTGTTTGTTGGAAGCTCTCCATATTTTGTGTACATTTATAGTTTAAATATTAATGAAAGCTTACCATTAAATACTCATTCCAGATAGGCGTGTGATACTAATTTATAAGGAAACACAAAATTAGTTTTATAGAAACTTCTAAAACAAGTATAAATCAACCCCCAATGCAATACTCATCTCTGTCCATGCATTACATTAAAGTGTGCTAAAATGTGTCACTCTGATACACAGGGGCTGAAAGCTGTTTTACATGATTTATGGGATCACTGAAGGATTTATTTCTCCTCCCCAGTTGTTTTTCTACTATCGTCTTGACATTTATATTACCCAATCAGGTAAAGACCACTTTCAACACTATTTGAATAACTGCTGATAGATCATAACTTTTCCAGAAAGGAATAGCACATACTCCAGTGATATTCTTAGATGGGACAAATCTTGAACAGGAAAAGTTTAGCTGCTAAGATGTTCAGGATCAATCCACCCTTTGTGTTCTTATAGGTCTATTTTAAGTCCCTAAAAGCAAAAATAAATTGTCTACATGAACTTCTCAAAAGCTGTTGCCAAAAAAGTTCAATTTATTTTCGATTTCATTTCAGGAAAGAGTATCGGTACAGATTATTTTTATGCCAATTACAACAATTTACTGCCACGCCATTAATTAACTCTCTTCTGCTGAAGTATACTTCTTCCTTCAAAATCTGGTTAGAAACAATATAATTTTTATACACAGTCGCATTTATCACACATTTTATTTCCTGCTATTATTTACAGCTTTCTTTGTAGAGAGTTAACAAAGAGGAGGAATGATAGATAAAGACTTTTTACACATTTTAGATGTCATTGAATAAATATTTTATAGAAGGTTGTTCTAAGATGAAAAGTTTGGTACTATTGAAAACATACAAACGTTATTTAAAACATTTGGATTGTGCCAATGGAACTATTTTTTCAATAGTTTTTGCTAGTGATATTACCAAAGAGATTCTAACACTAGGAAAGATGCCAGTTTTAATGGCGGTTTACTGAAAGATATTTCTGAAGAACTAATTTATATATTTAGACATCGAATCCTGTGTGTTTGTCCCAATTCCATTTGTGATGTATGGATTCCAATTGGTATCTTTGACAAAGTGCTATAGCAATCAACCTGGTTTTTATTTAGCATTTGAAAGAACAATCAGCCAAATTCTAATCTCAGATGTGTGAAGTTATCACATATTTTGTAAAATATGTGGCTTTGCAGCATTGAAAAAGGATGTGAGACATTTATAGCAAAGCACAGTACATGAAAGCCACATGAAGGTGGATGAACTCATTTTTGAACTTGGGGCTTTGGTTGTGCCTTCAAGAGTGCATAACTTTGATTTTTCTCCTCAGGTTCCAGTCAGTTCAGGAAAACTCCATTTCACAATGGGAAGACTAGAAAGGCTAACTATTTCATGTGGGAAGAAGGCAGGGTTTTGAAACTTGGAAATCATAGAAGACACAAGAGCTACTCAGTGCACAAAACCGTTTGTTTTCCTTCAATGATCTCTGATTTGTACTAGTCACTGATCATTTGCATTTTTCCACATAGGTTTTCATAAGCCACAGTTATGCTTACTTTTACAGTGGGTATATGCACCGTTAAATATGACCTCTAATTTTAATATAGGCTTTCTTGATTTCATTCTTTCTTCTGACTTTCCATGCCTCACATATCCAGGATGAGTTATGGGAAATGTATATTCCTCTTTATGATGGCTTTATTTATGATTTTAAAAATCTGTCTTTATGGCAGGGCATGGTGGCTCACACCTGTAGTCCCAGCACTTTGGGAGGCCAACACAGGTGGATCACTTGAGGTCAGGAGTTCGAGACCAGCCTGAGCAACATGGCGAAACCCCGTCACTACTAAAAATAAAAAAATAGCTGGGCATGGTGTATAGCTGTAGTTGCAGCTACTCAGAAGGCTGAGACAGGAGAATTTCTTAAACCAAGGAGGTGGAGGTTGCAGTGAGCTGAGATTATGCCACTGCACTCCAGCCTGGGTGACAAAGCAAGACTTCATCTCAAATAAATAAACAAATGAATAAATAAAAATAAATCTGTTTTTATGTATTTCCCATTATGCTGAGGTAACATGCTGTGGGGTGTACCGAATTATTTATTAGCTTTTAAAGTTTAATTTTCTCCTTTCTTCCTCCAAAAAACCTCAAAGGCCTGTTTGCATGAGGTAAGGAAGAGCAGAATGCTCATTTAGGATACTTCATTTCACTTTAATCATTACTATAGAAAGTGAAAACAATAATAATATTAGAAGGTGGCAAAGAACCTTTAATATTTCTACAATCCAACCAACCTTCTAAATTTCTGACTGTCCATTCCAGGCAATCCAAAATATTTCACTTTGGGACTTCTCCATTGAGCATCAAAATGCAACTTCATTGTATCATTGAGAGAAATATTTACTACAGGAACTCATACTTTGAACATTTTAGTTTTACATTTTGTAAACTGATCATCTATTGTATTGTATATTATTATGCCTTTGTATTATATATTATTATGTTTAGCTGATTGCTTTTCTAATATAATATCTGCTTGTCAATTTTTAGTTTCCCTTACTGGAGTTATGGCTCTTAAAAATTATTATTTAATATGACTAATGACACATTTTGGGGGATGTAGGCTACATTCTGTTAGAGACTTACCTATTTTGAAGGAGGCAGCTTTATTTTTAAACATGTAATTCAATTGAAATCAACATTATGCTGTTCAAAATGTGTATTTATTGTTCTTGAACTTGGAAGAATTACAATTCTGGAATGCATTTCTTTCTGTTATTAATAACAACTGTATCTAAAGATTGCATCCTATAGGCAAACCATGTGCCAACCCTCACCACAATTTACCTATTTTAAGTGAGTGACTTAGAACATACACAAGTGTATTTTCTTTCTTCTTTCTTTCTTTTTCTTTCTTTCTCTTTCTTTCTTTCTCTTTTGTCTTTCTTATCTTTCTTTTTATCTTTCTTCACCCTTAGATACCATTTGAATACCTCATCTACAAGAATGTCTCAAGCAGAAATATTTGGTGGGTTTTATTGTTACCAGCCCCCTTCACTCTGCAGTAACGTGCTATTTGCATCATGTAATGAAGACTCTTTTTGCAAATCGAGATGGATGGTATGAGTGACAGGGATCAACATTACCTTCCAGGTGATTATGAAGAGGACTGATATCCTTGTTTGTGTCCTGAATCCCCTATTGATGTAATATATGATAGTAAAAATTATATACTTATTTCATCATGTTACAAAAAGGTCTTACTTTTTTTGGAGTAGAGTAATAATGTAATCATTTCTACATTCCCATGAATAATGTTATCTATAAACATTAAACTTTGAAAACTCCTAATGTACTGCTTTCTATTAATGGAGTTCTACATGGGAGAGACTCTTACTTTAATTGATAAGAATAGATAGCCGGCAGGGCATGACGGCTCATGCCTGTAATTCTAGCACTTTGGGAGGCTGAGGCGGACGGATCACCTGAGGTCAGGAATTTGAGACCAGCCTGGCCAACATGGTGAAACCCTGTCTCCACTGAAAATATAAAATTAGCCAGGCATAGTGGCACGTGCCTGTAATCCCAGCTACTTGGGAGGCTGAGGCAGGAGAATAGCTTGAACCCAGAAGGCAGAGGTTGCAGTGAGCCGAGATTGTGCCACTGCGTGCCAGCCTGGGTGACAGAGTGAGACTCTTGTATAAAAAAAAAAAGAAAAGAATAGACAGCCAAGGCTATGTGTTTTCATACTGACCATACTGAACACATTCATGGAGCTGTTATTATTATTGTTTTTATTATTAGTGATGTAGATGGGTTAATAATGTAGCTACCAGTTTCTTTTAAATAAAATTTGCATCCCTGCCTTTTGACAACATTCAAGTGACTCTCTGAATATGAAAATATCATATGAAAAATCCAATGTATGTAAAGTTAATCACTAGTAATGACTGTTGGGTGATTCAGTGACTGATATAAAAATTCAACAGAGTTTTTTAAAATTTAGTCTAGATACTGATTTTTAATGAAGTTACATATTTAATATCTTGGTCTCATTGATGAATTGTAGCTTCTCTAATCCAACTCTTAATTTGGTCAAATTTCTTTTGATTTTTATTTAGCATAACATTTCAATAAACTTTGATAATTCCTAAAATGCTTAGAATGCTACAAATACTTATTGAGCCCCTACTCTATGCCGGACCCTTTGATAAGCACTAAGTGCCTACTCATAAAGACACCAGCATTCCTGACCTCACAATTTCATAATTCATTCATATACAACTTATGATATAAGAAAAGTTATGGTAAAGATAAAAAGTAAATAAAATGACATAGAGTATAGGAAAGAGAAGCACTAATGGCACAACCCTGAATTCCAATGAAGAATTAATTATCAAAATTCTTTGTGATCTATTTTTTTCAACAAATACTTAAATACTGATGTTGCAAGCCCTATTCTAAATATTGGGGTACATCAGCAAATAAAAGACAAAAAAATCCTTGTTCTGGTGGAGCTAACACACTAGTTGGGTGAGACAGAAACTAAATCATAACTACTGTAAATAAGAAAATTTTAACAAAAAAGAAAATGAAAACAAAAACAAAAGCAACAACCACCAAAAAGAAAATTATGAAGTATGCAATTTTTTATTAACCATTTTTCCTCCTTCAAAGCAACTAAACTTTAATCCTGATAAAAGTAAATATTTAGCAATTTTTAAAATGATTTAATTTAAATTATCCATGTTGGATATTCAAGTGTATTGGATAAAATATAAAATAAGTTCTAGTTTGACTTTTCCAAATTTCATATATTTTGCTGTTCAGAAACACATTTTCCCATACTGGGTGGCACTAAAAACAGACCGTTTCTACGAATCGATAGGATGTAACAATCATCCACAGGGCAGCAGAGGCAATGCAAGTTAGCATGGGCTGTGCAGGCACAGACTGGGAATTAATTCGTGGCGACAGGAGGGGCAATCACTGCCCCTTGCCCTTGCAGTTAAAGCATCATTTGTGAAAGAATATGAATCCTTGTTGTGGACTGAAACCTTCCATTAGTTCCATGTGTATGGTCAAGAAAATACCAAATCAAAACTTGCAAGAAGTGTGTCTTAGGGGACAAACAACAACAACAACGACAAACCACTGCAGACATTAAGGGAGCAGTATTTTGAGAAGTACGGTATCACTAAAGTTGTTGATGGTCCGGGGATGATATTATATGGGAAAAAAACATAGATATACATGGTTATGTGTAGAAAAGGCATTCAGGAAAACTGTACTCTGAGAGTAAAGATGTTTTGAGAATACCCATTTTTTTTTTGGTTTATATTTCCCTTTTTATGTGTACACAAGTGTGATATATTAAAGATGTTAGCTAAGTTTAAAAGAGCTCTGCAATATTTAAGACAAAAACTCCAGACACTGTAGTAAGAATGGATAATCAAAGAATGGATAATCAGAGCAACTTTTTCTCTTTTTCAGTAGAGCATGAATTATTGGTTCTTCTTATAATCATCAATTATAGGTGTCTTAGGTTATATGAAATACAATAATTTTATAACCAATAGCTTTTTACTTTTATTCATGCAAATAGGTTATTTTTTTTTTCTTTGAGACGGAGTCTCGCTCTGTCGTCCAGGCTGGAGTGCAGTGGCGCTATCTTGGCTCACTGCAAGCTCCGCCTCTGGGGTTCACGCCGTTCTCCTGCCTCAGCCTCCCCAGTAGCTGGGACTACAGGTGCCCACCACCACGCCCGGCTAATTTTTTGCATTTTTAGTAGAGACGGGGTTTCACCACGTTAGCCAGGATGGTCTCCATCTCCTGACCTCATGATCCGCCCGCCTCGGCCTCCCAAAGTGCTGGGATTACAGGCGTGAGCCACCGTGCCCAGCCGCAAATAGGTATTTTCAAATGGGGGCAAAATTATCCTTCTGTTTGAAAACCACTACAAAAAAATCACCCTTTGGAATTTTACACGTGAACGTTCACTGATCAGCAGGTAAAAAAGCTAGAGCATCTGCTGCAATTAAACAAGGAAGGTTTTGTTCAAATTACTAAATAATACCTGTAAGCTCTCAGCAGGAAAATAAAAAGTCAATGCACTAGCTCATTTTGTCATTCAGAGCAGTTGTCAGGTTTTTGAAAACCGTTATATCTTTTCTTTAATACATTCATTCTAGCATGATTTAGATTTTTTTCATTTCTACTACTCTGAAAGCTTATTTAAGTTGCTTATAAAAATGATGCAATTTTCTCTGAAAATTTAATTATGTTTGCATAGCTATTGCTGTGTTGTGCAGGTAGACTTGAAGTTTTCAACCACTGTGATTATGACAATTAAGTACAATTGATTGTCTAACAGCATGATTAAAGAGAAATAGCAGGGTGGTAAAGAATGAAAACATGCCTTAACTGCTTTTGATGACTGTCACAGTTTGTTTCTCTTCCAGCTTCTCTGGTTCCTGGTCTTTGGTTATCACTCCCTTTCCTCCCACTTCCTCCCCCATGCCAAACCACACACAGGACATGTAAAAACTTAGCATTTTTCTTAAAAACAAAAAGGTAGGGAACAGAGAGATTTTTCCTGTACACTATTGGTGCAATGAGGAAGGAAGTAATTCTTCCTGCTGCATCGCAAATTATTCTCAGTGGCTACCACTTTAAGAGTTTTTTGATCAATTTAGCTATTGACAGATAAAATTAAGTCCTTTCAATTATTAAAAGAAATCTGCATTTTCAATTATTGATTTTGATTTAAGAATGTAATACTTGGCCAGGCGCAGTGGCTCACACCTGTAATCCCAACACTTTGGGAGGCAGAGGCAGGCGGATCATGAGATCAGGAGTTCGAGACCATCCTGGCCAACATGGCAAAACCCCGTCTCTACTAAAAATACAAAAATTAGCTGGGTGTGGTGGCAGGCACCTGTAATCCCAGCTACTCGGGAGGCTGAGGCAGGAGAATCGCTTGAACCCAGGAGGCGGAGCTTGCAGTGAGCTGAGATCCTGCCATTGCACTGCAGCCTAAGGGACAAGAGCAAGACTCCGTCTCAAAAAAAAAAAAAAAGTAATACTTTTCTACTTTTCTGAGCAAATGTCATTTTAAAAAATACATAAGAAAAACAAGCAATGGGGAAAGGATTACCTATTTAATAAATGGTGCTGGGAAAACTGGCTAGCCATATGTAGAAAGCTGAAACTGGATCCCTTCCTTACACCTTATACAAAAATCAATTCAAGATGGATTAAAGACTTAAATGTTAGACCTAAAACCATAAAAACCCTAGATGAAAACCTAGGCATTACCATTCAGGACATAGGCATGGGCAAGGACTTCATGTCTAAAACACGAAAAGCAATGGCAACAAAAGCCAAAATTGACAAATGGGATCTAATTCAACTAAAGAGCTTCTGCACAGCAAAAGAAACTACCATCAGAGTGAACAGGCAACCTACAAAATGAGAGAAAATTTTCGCAACCTACTCATCTGACAAAGGGCTAATATCCAGAATCTACAATGAACTCAAACAAATTTACAAGAAAAAAACAAACAACCCCATCAAAAAGTGGGCAAAGGACATGAACAGACACTTCTCAAAAGAAGACATTTATGCAGCCAAAAAACACATGAAAAAATGCTCACCATCACTGGCCATCAGAGAAATGCAAATCAAAACCACAATGAGATACCATCTCACACCAGTTAGAATGGCAATCATTCAAAAGTCAGGAAACAACAGGTGCTGGAGAGGATGTGGAGAAATAGGAACACTTTTACACTGTTGGTGGGACTGTAAACTAGTTCAACCATTGTGGAAGTCAGTGTGGCGATTCCTCAGGGATCTAGAACTAGAAATACCATTTGACCCAGCCATCCCATTACTGGGTATATACCCAAAGGACTATAAATCATGCTGCTATAAAGACACATGCACACATATGTTTATTGCGGCATTATTCACAATAGCAAAGACTTGGAACCAACCCAAATGTCCAACAATGATAGACTGGATTAAGAGGCACATATACACCATGGAATACTATGCAGCCATAAAAAATGATGAGTTCATGTCCTTTGTAGGGACGTGGATGAAATTGGAAACCATCATTCTCAGTAAACTATTGCAAGAACAGAAAACCAAACACCGCATATTCTCACTCATAGGTGGGAACTGAACAATGAGATCACATGGACACAGGAAGGGGAACATCACACTCTGGGGACTGTGGTGGGGTGGGGGGAGGGGGGGAGGGATAGCATTGGGAGATATACCTAATGCTAGATGACGAGTTAGTGGGTGCAGCACACCAGCATGGCACATGTATACATATGTAACTAACCTGCACAATGTGCACATGTACCCTAAAACTTAAAGTATAATAATAATAAAATAAATAAATAAATAAAATAAAATAAAACATTAAAATCTTTGCAAATGTGTTTATATAATGCTAAAATAACAGGATGGCAAATTAAAATTTTTTATTTAGCATTTGATTTACATGTTATCAAATATGTAAATATTTAGTACTCTGTAAACTAAACACCTGGGTGATAAATTATTTACATCTAATAAAGATGCTTTACTGTTAAAAAAATACATAAGGGATTGTATTATTTATGCACTTTATTTTGTGTGTTAAATATCAGTAATAAAATAAATGTTCTCTATATCATATGGTAAAACTACCATTAACATTTCCTCAAAAATTCATTTCTAATTTTATTGCTAGAAGTTTCTCTTTGTAAGTTACATAATTTCCTTTTGTAATTGCAGATATGGTGAAATTACAGAAAGTCTAAGTAATACACAATGAAGCCATTTCTGAGCAATTGTGATGTATTTGTTACACAGCAAGCCAAGTATACCAGGAAATGGAGAACCCTGAGACTTTTAGGTATCTGACAAATTTCTCTTTAATTGGCATAACTTTAAATCTTATCCACTTGGATGAAATTTCTTTCTGCAGATATATTGTTTTCTGTTCTGTCTTACACAGATCATACTCAACTTTATTTCACAGGACCCCCAAATCAGGATCATCTTTACAAACATCAGTTTCTCAATGGCAATTATAAAAATGTAAACAAAACAAAAAAAACCCCAGTGTTTTGTGAGAGCTTTTATGTGCCAGTTAATTCTGATATGAACATACTTTTATGCCTGTTTTTGTTTGATTAAGGCCATCTCTTTTGCCTACTTCTTATTCAAAGTGTTTTTCTTAGTCTCGCCACACCTCCAAGGGACAAGACTACCAGCTATCTTTTTTACATTCATTGTTGTCTTTCCAATTCTATCCACTCTTTACTTTCCTTCTATTTTCTTTTCACGATAGCTTTTTACTTTATCTTCCAGATGCTTTCATCTTCTCATGTTTAAGATTTGGCTGATAGCTACCCTTAGACAATAAGAGCAAGTCCTTGTTTGGATTAACATTCTTTCTTCACTACTTCTTAGCTAGGGGTATTGGTAGAGCTTTCTATTCCATCTCTTGTTAGGACCAATTCACAACATCAGCCATGCCTGTTATCCAAGTGCTGAATATACACAGTGTTCCTGTTATAAAAATGAGAGCCTTTGGATACCAATTTTATTAGCTTACCAAAATGTGAATTCTCTATGCCAATTTTATATAACTTGGCATTTAGATACATAACAATATTTATGAGGGACACTGTGTGTTGTTGCCAGAGTTTGTTTTTGATGTTCTAATGTCTGTGATTCATGTGCCAACAATATGGCTAATGAGTAGATTAAAAAAGGCAAATCTGACAATTACCTGAAAAGAAGTACGTGGTTATTATAGGGTTTAATTTACATGATTCCATGAGATAAGAAGTTAGTGTTCAAAGCTCTTTCTTAAAATTTGAAGTTTATCTTCTGTATAATTGATACATCGCTGTAACATCTCAGTCTGCTTGGATAAAGTTACCAGATTGATCACAAAGCTTATAAATTAGAGTTTTTACCACTAGTCTCTAATTTAACAAGGACCCAAGTTTCACGAGGAGGTATACCCTGGCCAAAAAATGTAACAAGGCTCATGTATCTTTTATTTAAAAAATGTGGTCTTTTCTATTGTGAAACTCTAGCATGCGCCTTTGTTTCTAATTATACATATATTTTTCTCAGCCAAAACATATGATCTTTAGAATTTATTCCCAGTTTCTACATGTGAAAACATGAAAGAATTTTATAGGTCAAGCCTATGCTCCTCTTTTGCAATGGTTTCAGGAAAAAAAAATATTTTCCCTCAGCCCATCTTAGGCACTCTGTAAATTAGATTAACAAGAGATAGATTAATAAGAGAAAAACAAGCTTATTACCATGTGAATTGTGCATGCATGTGTACACACGTGAACACTCAGAAATGAGTAATTCAAGGAGGTAGTTAGAACTTGGGGCTTATATACCATCTTAACAAAAGAACAACAAATGTTTCAAGAAGTGACAATATAAAGGAACATGACTTTCACTTTCTTGGGGCAGCAAATTGTGGGAAGGCAAATATATGGGAAAACTAGGTGTATATAAGGAGTATTTTTAGTAAGAATTGTTATGTAGATTCCTTGGTGCTGTCTCTAGCTAATTGACAAGAGAGTTGTCTCAGGTGATTAACTTCTGTCCTTCCTGGTTGTTGGGGAGATGGGGAACGTGACAATTATATGTCCTGCTTTTAAGCAAATAGGGAGGGCAGAGAGCTAATCCTGTATCTTCTCAATTGCTTTCAGATCAAAAATAATCTTTATGCAAAAGTGGCATATTTTGCTACTCTTTGCTTTGTAACTCCTGCTCAGTTCCAAAGCAGTTATATTTTCAAAGCAAGAGAAAATCTGACGAAATACACAAGGTTTTTCAAATGAAAAGTTTAATGTAGAGGCAAAGAGACTGGCTCTAGAGTCATGCTTGGTTCAAGCCCTGATTTCATTACTTTTAATTGTGAGATATTGAGCAAGCCAAACTTTCAATTCCTGGGCTTCACTTTTCTCATCTGCAAAATGGGAAGGGTTAGAGAATATTAAGGATACTTACAGGACTGTGAAGAGGATTGAGTGAGAAAACACATTTAAAGCACTTACATATGCCTGGCCTATAGGGAACATTCAATAAATGTTAGATCTGTTGACAAAAAGAATCACACTCTGTAAAATATTTGAAGAGATTTATACTGAGCCAAATATGAGTGACCAATGGCCCATGACATAGCCCTCAGGAGATCCTGACAACCTGTGGTCAAGGTGGTTGGGGCACAGCCTAGTTTCATACATTTTAGGGGGACATGAGACATCAATAAAATATATATTAAGATGTATATTGGTTCAGTCCAGAAAGGCAAGATAACTTGAGTCAGGGGCTTCCGGGTTGTAGGTAAATTAAAAAATTTTCTGATTAGCAATTGGTTGAAAGAGTTAAGTTATTATCTAAAAACCTGGAATCAATAGAAAGGAATTTCTGGGTTATGATGATAAGGGGTTGTGGAAACCAAAGTTTTATCATGCAGATGAAGCCTCCAGTAGCAGGCTTCAGAGAGAATAGATAGTAAATGTTGCTCATCAGATTTAAGGTCTGTGTTGATGTTAATGCTGGTCAGCTTTTCCTGAAATCCAAAAGGGAAGAGAGTATAATGAGGTGTGTCCCTCCCTTCCCATCATGGTTTGAAACAGTTTTTCAGGTAAACTTTGGAATGTCCTGGCTGAGAAGAGGGGTCCATTCAGGTGTTTTGGGAGGCTTAGAATATTATTATTAGTTTACAGATCATGTAAACATATTTTGAGAGTAACTATGTGACATTCAGAGATGAAACATGAGATGAAACAAGCATTTACAAATGTATTTATTGGGGAAGCCATGATTACATGTGAGTTACAAGTAGAGTGATCTTTCCTTATATATATTTCATTGAATAATTCATTTTCCACAGTATACAATCTAACTCAGTCCCATGTGGAAAATCTTCATTATGTAGCCAGGAGGCTCGGGTTTTGCTTTTCTAAATATTGTTACTGTGTTGGAAAGAAAACAGAGAATTATATTGAGTGAATTTGATGTTTTACTATCTTGAAGTTTACTGTCTAAAATGAGTTTGTATAAATAGTAGACGATCTTTTAGAAATTGTAACATATAGAACATGCTTCAGTTAGAAACATGGTAGTCCCCTTTACTTCTAATGACTACAAGTAACCTACTTCAATTTTGACATGATATTTGTAGACTAAAAATAAAATCCTAAGCTCCCACGAGCTGAATGAACTTTTTTTTGGCCAAGAGGACCCCAGAGAAATGTTAAAAATCAAGTTCCTGGTTATGATAGAAAGGGAGATCCAACAGTCCTCATTATACCCTCTCCCTTTTGGAGTTTAGACTCAAGTAACTCACATTCATGTTAAAATAGAGGACGTAAGATGGCCAAAACAGATTCCTTGTAGCAAAGAAGTACCAAATTATAAATAAGACCTAAGGCCATGTAAAGCAAGTGTTAAGTCATGCCTGTAGACCATCAATCTCCCTTAACAGGTCATTGTATTGTGGCTGATTCTGACATAGCATTATTACCTTAAATTAAACATTCCTTTCTAATAACTCCAAGTTTTACATAGAGCCTTACTCCTTTAACCAATTGCAAATTAAAGAATCTCTGAATCCACCAATAATCTCTAAGCCCTCATTTCCAGATATCCCGCCTCTTTGGGACAAACCAATGTATACCTTTCATACATTATGTCTTTGCCTATAACTCCTGCCCCCTTAAAATGTATAAACCAAACTGTAATCCAACTAACTTGCATATATCTTTTCAGGACTCCTTGAAACTGTGTTTCTCTGGGCCATGGTCATTCATATTGACTGAGAATACCTCTTTAAAATATTTTACCGAGTTTAGTTTTTCTGTTAACATATTTTAAAATCAGCAACCAGCCCTGATTTGTTTTGTCTAATATCAAAGATGATATCTTTGACATTCTGAATGCTAAAATACAACCAATGCATGATGTTTACTGACATTTTTATACACAAAAAGGAAACATATATGTTTTGAGGCTTAGTTTTCCAGAAATATCTTTTTATAATTATTAATAACTCAATGATCAAATCTAGATTATGGTGGTTTTTCTTCACAAGCTTCAACCATTTTTCCTCTCTCATTTAATTTATTTTATTTTAATTAATTAATTTATTTATTTTGAGATGGAGTCTGGGTCTGTCGCCCAGGCTGGAGTGCAGTGGCATGATCTTGGCTTACTGCAAGCTCCACCTCCCGGGTTCACGTCATTCTCCTGCCTCAACCTCCCAAGTAGCTGGGACTACAGGCACCCACCACCACGCCCAGGTAAGTTTTTGCGTTTTTAGTAGAGACGGCGTTTCACCATGTTAGCCAGAATGGTCTCGATCTCCTGACCTCGTGATCTGCCTGCCTCAGCCTCCCAAAGTGCTGGGATTACAGGCATGAGCCACCGTGCCCGCCCAATTTATTTTGTCTTTCTGAGACATGATCTTGCTCTGGCTGGCCAGGCTGGAATGCATCGGCACAATCATGGCTCACTACAGCCTCAACCTCCTGGGCTCAGGTGATGCTCCTGCTTCAGCATCACAAGTAGATGGGACTACAGACCTTCCTTCCTTCCTTCCTGATCTCACTATGGTGCCCAGGCTGGTCTCTAACTCCTTGGCTCAAGCAATCCATCCCCCTCGGCTTCCCAAAGTACTGGGATTGCAGGCATGAGCCACCACACCTGGCTAACAATAATTATTTTAATATTCTATTTGGAAGCCTTTGTGGGGTAATACTATACTTCTCATATCCTATATAAAGTCTACATAAAATTGTAATTTTGTCAAATCAAACATTAAGCACTGTAAAACTTAGTAGCTCCTGTAAAATAGAATGGAGAATAGGCAGTTATCAGCAAATCATTTTTTATTGTAAAATGCTAAGGATATGCACAAGGCTTCCATGTGTGGTGGTTTAGGTTGTGCACTGTGCAAATTTAGAGGACACCATTGACAGTATCACCTATAGAGAACTCCTCTGCAATTGTGCACAGGACACTTTCACTACCACATGCAGTAGCCCTGTATGTATTAGTAACCTTCCTGTACTTAATCCTGAGAAGATTTTTAATTTTTAAACAAATATTTGGTAACAAAAATGAGTCCAAAGACCAAAGTGAAGATTCATTACAAAGTAGATGGGCAGGATTTTCAAAACAGGAATGACTAAGTCAGTACAAGTGGTGGTAATGATGTAACTGTACTATCAGTGGCTTGTGTATCCCTTAAGGATCCATATGGGAAGATTCTGACACAGACTTTCCTGAAGGGATAAGAAAAATATTTTATTTCAGTTTCTGTTGTTTGTCTAGATTCTGTATCAGTTGCTTTTGAGAAATGAATTGGTGAAATGAACCTTATGTTTTTCGTATGTCTGAATTGTTGTAGAATCTTCAGTGGAGTGGCAAGGAAATCTCTCTGCACAAAATGTGGCCATTACATGTTAGCTTAACTCTTCTGTCTCTTCCTGGGTCTTTCCCAAACCATCCTAAAACTAATGCAGCAGGATTAAGATATTTTAAGTGACTGGAGACAAAAAAGCTTATTTTATTTGTACCTTCTGCATATAAGTTGTAGTGTATCATATATTTGGATGCGATATCATAGACTGAAGAACTGTGAACAGAGAAAAGAGTGTTTCGATGTACTAACATATGCTGTGTTCAGATTCAGCTGCCATCATTTTCCTTTGCCACACTTCTGCGCAGAGGAGGAACACATAGATAGAACTACTGTCATGGAAAGGTGAAATAGAGGGAAGAGTTTCCTGGATTATATACTTCTTACCTCTTATCAGTTGAAATGATTTTACTTAGTTATAATGGAGATAAGAAATGCCTAATATTTTATGGGCTTTACAAACTTAGTTCTCTGATCTACAGTGACGAAAAGAAGAATGGGCAAATAGGGATGGGTGTTGGGTAGGTCATTGATTGGGAAACACCGCAAGGGGCATTCTGAGGCAATGGATAGGTTATATCTTGAATGTGGTGATAATTACATGGGTATATCCACTTGCCAAAACTCACTAACAGTACAAATATAATGGATGCATTTTATTGTATGCAATTTAGATTTCATTAAAGGTGATTTTGAAAAAATGACTACCTACCAAAAAGAAATATTCCTATAGAAAAAAATATATTTTTCTGTGTTCTGAAGGAACAGAACTATATTCTGTATATTGAAAAACACATGAATAATTATTTTTGGGAATTAACTCCTGAAGAGCTGAAAATTTAACTAAAAACAAAAAAGTGGCAAATTATTTTAAAATTTTTCAAATCATTATTTCTGTGATTGTGTGTAAATGTGTGTGCATGAAAAAAAAATTATCCCATAGCTAAATAAACTAAAAAATGTATAATTAATTGGCTGTAAACATGGAAAATTTACTTTACTTAAAAATTGTTATATTGAAACAAATTAGTACAATTTTTGAAATATGTGAACATGAAATATTCTCTTATTCTTCCTTGACTCTTAATACCTACTGCTTATTTGAGACTTCACAATTTGTATTCAACACTCAACTGGAACTTTATAACTGGGAGTACACATTTGTTTTTGGTGTGTATCATTTCATATTTTATTCACTCATTTGATGAAGATTTTTGGTACAAATGAATAAATTTATAAAGTAGGTATGTGCACTCTCACATACATACACACATTCTGCAACTCATTCTTCACTTGTTATTTTAAAAATATTTCAAAGGCCAGGTGCAGTGGCTCACGCCTGTAATTCCAGCACTTTGGGAGGCTGAGGCAGGCGGATCAAAAGGTCAGGAGATCGAAAACCATCCTGGCTAACACGGTGAAACCCAGTCTCTACTAAAAATACAAAAAATTAGCCGGGTGTGGTGGCAGGTGCCTGTAGTCCCAGCTACTCGGGAGGCTGAGGCAACGGAATGGCGTGAACCTGGGAGGCGGAGCTTGCAGTGAGCCAAGATCACGCCACTGCACTCCAGCATGGGTGACAGAGCGAAACTCCGTCTCAAAACAAAACAAACAAACAAACAAAAAAATATTTCAAACATTATCAAGTAAAACTATGTCCAGATCCAAATTCATTTGGTTAATTTAAAACATATATCACTCCTGTATTAGTCCATTTTCACGCTGTTGATAAAGACATACCTGAGACTGGGCAATTTACAAAAGAAAGAGGTTTAACGGACTTACAGTTCCACATGGCTGGGGAGGCCTCACAATCATGGCGGAAGACAAGGAGGAGCAAGTTACATCTTACGTGCATGGTGGCAGGCAAAAAGATAGCTTGTGCAGGGAAACTCCCCTTTTGAAAACCATCAAATCTCATGAGACCCACTCGCTGTCACGAGAACAGTATGGGGGAAACTGCCTCCATGATCAATTATTTCCCACTGAGAGGTGACAGCGTGCTGGCAGCCCTCACGGTGCTCGCTTGCTCTTGGAGCCTCCTCGGCCTTTGCGCCCATTCTGGCCACGCTTGAGGAGCCCATCAGCCCGCCGATGCACTATGGGAGCCCCTTTCTGGGCTGGCCAAGACTGGAGCCAGCTCCCTCAGCTTGCGGGGAGGTGTGGAGGGAGAGGCATGGGCGGGAACCGGGGCTGCACATGGCACTTGCGGACCAGCGGGAGTTCCGGGTGGGAGTGGGCTCTGTGGCCCCCCACTGAGAGCGGCTGGCCTACCGGCCGGCCCCGCCAACCAAGGGCAGTGAGGGGCTCAGCACCTGGGCCAGCAGCTGCTGCGCTCGATTTCTCGCTGGGCCTTAGCTGCCTCCCCGCGGGGCAGGGCTCGGGACCTGCAGCCCGCCATGCCTGAGCCTCTTCTCCCTCCCCCCGCGCACTGGGCTCCTGAGAAGCGGGAGCCTCCCCGAGGAGCTCCGCCCCGTGCTCCACGGCGCCCAGTCCCATTTAAATTAGGAAACATATATGTCAAATTTGGTGAGTCTTGACAAATGCGTACACATGCAATCCACAACCCTATCAAGACATAGAACTTTCCCATCTTCTCAGGAACTTCAGTCCTTTTTCAATCAATATCTTCTGTCCCACTCCATGCCACAGATACATCCATATTTTTATTCCTTTCTCCATAAACTAGTTTTGTTTGTTCTAGGACTTCGTATAAATAGAAACTGTACTCTGTGTCTAGCCTCTTTTGTTTATCACATGTTTTTGAGCTTCATACACATATCAGTAACATATTTTTTTACTGCTGAATAATATTCAACTGTAGGAATATATCAACATTTGTTTATTCTTCTGTTGGTGGATATTTAGGTTGCTTCTAATTTGGGGTTATTATGATTAAGAGGACGACCTTTTTATATGAGTTATTTTTGTGCATGCATGCTTTATTTATTTGGGGTAAATACTTAAAAACAGAATTGCTGGGTCATACAGTTAGAGTACAGGTTAATTTTTGAGACTCTCCTAAACTCACTTCTAAAGTGGTTGCATCATTTTACACTTCCATCAGTAGTGCATGTGAGTTCACGTTAATATTAACAACTAATATTTTAAAGTTATTAACTTCAAAGAGAATTTGGTACCCAGTATTTTTCAAGAACCATGAGTCTAACTGTCATCAAGTCTAAGTGTCAATGATTTAGTCACTGTCATCACACCTTGATAAAATGTAAAAATTAAAATAAGACTGAGCTACTTTTAGCTGTAAGGGGTCATTTTGTAGGGCAAGAGTTAAATGTCAGAAACCAAAGAACAATTTGAGCTTCTGCTAATTGTCAGGTGGATTTATAAAAAGGATTTGCCTTTATAGCTGTCCTTGACAGATTTTACAACTACCACATATGCCTCAATATCAGGTATGTTTTGAAATATTACATAAATTTTTAGTTGCTCAAAACAGAACTCTGATAACTTCCTATGCTTTTTTTCTCCAAAACCTGCACAAGCGATCATTTCTCACTGACTTAATTGTAAAGTGCATTACCCAGCCAGAAATAAACACCTGCCCTCAATTTTGTCCCAAATCTTTAGAGTCTTTGCCAGTCTTGACATTTCCTTACACCTCTCAAATCTTCCAATAGAGGTTTTGGGGTCAGACGGATCCCAAATTCTTAACTCTACCCCATACTAGCCATTAGAAACTGGGCAAATTATTTAACACAGAAGGAGACAAACAGGAGCAGTAAAAACTACACGAAGTAATACAAATAAAGCACTTAATAAATAGGTAATGCCAGCAATGTGTAGCTATCAGTTATCGTAGCAGCAGGAATCTCGTTCCTGAAGCCCATGCCATACACAAAGCGTGGTACTTCATGTTTTCTTAATGTATCCTGTAATCTCTCTGCAGTGTCTTTACCCATACCATTCCTCCCTCTGGCAGGCCTCTCTTACCTTTTGTTTTAGAAATCTAAATCTTTATGGTACTGTCTACCCAAAGGCCACCGCTGTGGTCCTTTCTGAGTGGCTCCAAGTAGCCTCCTCAGTAAACAAACAAACTTCCTTTCACATGAAGTCTAACCACCCTTTAGAAACAAATGACAACATTTGTGATTGCATTGTCACTAATCATGTTTTATACTGCTAGTGAATAAATTATAATGAAAACAAAAGTTGTTTTGTTTTATTTTTATATCATACTCTTTGAGAGCTAGAAATAGTACTATACCATCTCATAGTGCCATCTTTATCATCTCCGTGGTAGCTAAGTGTTATTAACTGCTTTCTATGTGCCAGACTGGGTGCTAAGTACTGACGTGTGTCACGTCATTTAATCCTTATCACTGACCTCCTAAAGTAACTGAAGAAAGCAAATTCTTGCCAAAGATTTTACAGTCTGTATCTAATGTTCACTGTCTCTCAACCATAGCTGGTGCTCACTAACTGTTAAGTGAACACGTCAAATGCACATAGAGAACAACAATAACAAAATCACCTATATTAGCGTCCTTCCTAAAAACTTCCTTTTGAATATACTAATTTCCTGTAGTTGATTATTGAGTCTCAGAATGGACGTTGCATAAAAAACAAGCACAGAAAATGGTACATTCACCTAGAGTTGTGACAGAGATTAACAAGCAATGTATAATACTAATGTCTAATTTCCACTTCTTTTAAAAGTATTCTTTTGGCTGGGCGTGGTGGCTCACGCCTGTAATCCTAGCACTTTGGGAGGCTGAGGAGTATGGATCACCTGAGGTCAGGAGTTCAAGACTAGCCTGACTAACATGGTGAAACCCCATCTCTATTAAAAATACAAAAATTAGCAGGGCATAGTGCAGGGGCCTGTAATCCCAGCTACTCGGGAGGTTGAGGCAGGAGAATCGCTTGTACCCGGGAGGCGGAGGTTGCAATAAGCTGAGACTGCACCATTGCACTCCAGCCTGGGCAACAGAGCAAGACTCCGTCTCAAAACATAATAGAAAATAAAAAATAAAAAATAAATCGTTCTTTCTCCATCCCTATCAATTTTCTCTACCTCTCTCCATCATTAATCCTAGTCCATATATACTTCTCAGCGTAAATACTCATAAATTGGATTATGAGGTGAATGAATGACTGAAATACCACATGAGCTCCTTAAATGTTTATCTGCAGTATAGGATTCAATGTGTATCTACAGGAAAGAGCACCTGTCTTTAGCATTGAACGTATGTGACTCATCTGAAAATACAAAGCTATTTTTCAGACATTGAAAAGATAAACCCACATCCAAAAAGAAAAATTTCTATATTTCTCCATGCCCTTGAAACTTTCTCTGATCTAATTAAAAATGTGTTGTCTGCATAAAAATTTGTGATTGAAATTGTTTGCTTCTTAACCATATTATAACTTTAAATATTGCATGCTTTAAAAAAATCAATTTATTGAGATGTAATTTAAATGCAATAAAATGAACGCACTTAAGTGTACAGCTTAATGAGTTTTGACAAATGTGTATCCTTATTCAACCACCACGAATTAAGATGCTAGCTGTTTCCACCACCTTAAAAGTTCCTTCATTTCTCTTTGCAGTCATTTCCTCCCAGTTCTACCTCCAGGCAACCACTGCATTTCTTTCTGACCCTGTAGATCAATATTACCTCGTTTACAATTTCAGATAAATGAAACCATACAGTATGTACTCTTTTGTATCTGACTTATTGAGCCTACATTTGAGATTCATTCAAATTCAATTTTTTCATATGATATGAGCTATCATAAATTATTTTTTGGTTATCAAGGACATGGAGTAAAATATCAGTTGATGTTCATTTTTTCCATATGGATATTCAGTTATTCCAGTCATTTGTTAAAACGTTTTTCGCTTTCTACACTAAATTGACTAGGCACCTTTGTCAACATTTCAATTGATTATTAACCTGCCAGTCTGTTTTAAGATTCTGTATTCTGGTCCTTTGGTTTATTTGTCTATCCTCACAACTCTGTCTTAACTACTATAGCTTTAAACAAAGTTTTGAAATTAGAAAATCAAGTAAGAACTTTGCTCTTATTTCGAGCTTGACTTTTCTTTCAATTTTTTTTTTCTATTCTAGGTGTCTGGTATTTTCATATACATTTTAACATCAGCTTATCAATTTCTATTAAAAAGGAGAGATTTTGCTCATGATTGCATTGGAACTATACATCAGTAGGGGAAGAATTGGTATCTCAACAATATTAAGTCTTCTAAAACATGAACAGTGCATATTACCATATTTATTTAGCTCTTCATTAATTTTTTTAATCTTGCAGTTTTTATTGTAGAGATATCTCTCGATTTTTATTGCATTCATTCCTATGAAGCTGATGTTTGATGAATATATAAATGACATTTTAAAGTTATTTTCTTTTTTTTTTTTTTTTTTTTTTTTTTTTTGAGACGGAGTCTCGCTCTGTCGCCCAGGCTGGAGTGCAGTGGCGCGATCTCGGCTCACTGCAAGCTCCGCCTCCCGGGTTCACGCCATTCTCCTGCCTCAGCCTCCCGAGTAGCTGGGACTACAGGCGCCCGCTACCACGCCCGGCTAATTTTTTGTATTTTTAGTAGAGACGGGGTTTCACCGTGTTAGCCAGGATGGTCTCGATCTCCTGACCTCGTGATCCGCCCGCCTCGGCCTCCCAAAGTGCTGGGATTACAGGCGTGAGCCACCGCGCCCGGCCTAAAGTTATTTTCTAATTGTTACTAGATAAAATATTTAAATGCCATAGAATTTTATGTATATTGATCTTATATCTTGTAGCCTTACTAAATTCAGTTATTATTTCTAATAGTTTAAAATGTTTTGTACATTTCTTCAGGTTTTCTTTTTCTTCTCCTTTTTTTTTGAGATGGAATCTCGCTCTGTCACCCAGGTTGGAGTACAGTGGTACAGTGGTGCAATCTCAGCTCACTGCAACCTCCACCTCCTGGGTTAAAGCATTTCTCCTGCCTCAGCCTCCCGAGTAGCTGGGGCTACAGCCATGCACCACCACACTCGGCTAATTTTTGTATTTTTAGTAGAGACTGGGTTTCACCATGTTGGCCAGGCTGGTCTCAAACTCCTGACCTCAAGTGGTCCACCTGCCTCGGCCTTCCAAAGTTCTGGGATTACAGGCATGAACCGCCGCACCCAGCCTTTCTTCAGGTTTTCTATGCACGTAATCATGCTCTCCAGAAATAATGTCATTTTCATTTCTTCCTTTTCAATCTGTATACCTTTTTTTTCTTGTATTATTATGTAGACAAGGACTTTCAGCACAATGTTGAACAGAAGTAAGGATAGCAGACAACCTTGAACTGTTCCCAATCTTAGGGGAAAAAGATTCAGTCTTTTACTACTGTATGTGATATTGTAGTTTTTTCATAAATGTCAGATCACATTGAGAAAATCTCATTCTGTTCCTATTTTTTTGAGACTTCTCATCATTACTATGTGCTAATTTTTATCAAATGCTTTTTATGTATTTGAGATAATAATGGTTTTTGTCCTTTATTATAAAATATCCTGAAAACATAGTTGATTAACATCTAATGATAAAGCAAACTTTGAATTCTAGACTTAATATCACTTGGTCATCATGTATTAGAGATTTTATGTGTTTTCAGGTATTATTTGCTAATTTTGGTAAATTCTTTGCATCTATATTCACAGTGGATATTACTTTTCTTTCTTTGGATTGTCTTTGACTTGGTTTGTATCTTAGTAATCCTTCCTTATTGAATTAAGAAGGAATTGTTCTCTTCTCATGTATTTTTGAAAATAGTTTATTTAAGATTTTTATCTCAAATGTTTTAAATAATTCTTCAGTAAAGCGCCTTGGTATGAATTTTTCCTCTGTTGGAAGGCTAGCAACAAATTTATTTTGTTTAATAGATATAGGATTACTGTATTAATTTTTATTTTTCTTGTATCAGTGTTAGTTTTATTTTTGTTGTATCAGTGTTAGGAAAAAAGTACCTTTCATGAAATTTGTCCATTTCATTTGTTTTTGTAGTTATTGGTAAAAATTGTTCTTAAATATTTTTCTCACTATTGCATACTATTTTTCTCTTTTAGTGTCTGTAGGATGTGTATGGAAGGCTCCCTTTTATTACTAATATGGATAGTTTTTAATCACTTCCATTCCATTAATGTATGTCTATTCTTATGCCAGTATCACATTGTCTTGATTATTGTAGCTTTATAGTAAATACTGAAGTTTAAAGGAGTGTCCGTTCTCCAAATTTTTTCTTCAGTTTTCTGTTGGCTATGCTATTTTTTGACTTTTCTTATCAAGTTTAGAATCAGTTTGGTAATATTCACAAAATAACTGGCTGGGATTTTGATTGGTATTTCATTGACTCTATTAGACCAAGTAGGAAAGAATTGACATCATAGCAATATTGAGTCTTTCTACTCATTAACGTGAAAGTAAACTATGTTCTTCTTTTTCAGTAATTTGTATTTCCATATTCACATTAAAATTATAAATCCATAAAATTCTTTCCTTCCTTCCTTCCCTTTCCTTCCTTCCTTCCCTCCCTCCCTTCCTTCCTTCCTTCCTTCATTCTTTACTCTCTTTGCATTTTAATTTGGCTAGTTTCTCTTGTCCTGTCTTCAAACTCACTGATTCTTTCCTCAGCTGTGGCCAGTCTACTGATAAACCCATAAAAGCCGTTCCTCGTTTCTGAAACAGTGTTTTTCTTTTCTAGCATTACTTTTCTATCTTTCTTAGAGATTCCATCTATACCCTTACAATATCCACGTGTGTCTTAAACATTTTCATTCAGATATAATTAACAGAAAGTAAAATTCACTAACTTGGTCATTTCAAACTGTATAATTTGGAAAATTTTAGTTTTGTCCTTTAAGAGTATCCAATACCAGAATATTTTCATCAAAAAGAAAAAAAATGCATACCTCTCAATTCCCTCCTTCTGCCATCCCCCGGCAACTAAACATTTACTTTTTGTCTTTATGGGTTTATCTATTCTGGACATGTTTTATAAATGGAATTGCACAATGTTTGACCAGTGTTTAGCTTTATTCATTTGGCACTATGCGTTCAAGATTTATCCATGTTGTACTATTTATCAGTACTTCATCTATTTTTGTGTCTAAGTAATATTCTGTTGTCTAGATATGCTCTAATTTACTTACCCATTCATGAGTTCCCATAAGTTTTGGTAAATTGTGTTTCCATTCTTGTAAATTCATTGGTAATTTTTGTCATTTTCCTTCTGATTTCTTTGACTCAGTGGTTATTCAGGAGTGTGTTAATTTCCATGTATTTGTGAATTTTTACAACTTTTTCCTGTTATTAATTTGTAATCTCATTCAATTGTGGGTAGAGAACATACTCTGAGTGACTTCAACCTTTTCAAAAACATTTTTTTTTTTCCTTGGAGACAGGATCTCACCCTGACACCCAGGCTGGAGTGCAGTGGCACAATCACAGTTTACTGCAGCCTCAACTTTCTGGACTCAGGTGATCTTCTCACCCCAGCTTCCTGGGCAGCTGAGACTGCAGGCACATGCATTCATATCCAGCTAATCTTTTGTATTTCTTGTAGAGAATAAGTTTTGCCATGTGGCCTAGGCTGGTCTCAAAATCCTAGGTTCAAGTGATCTGACAGCCTTGGCCTTCCAAGTGCTGGAATTATAAGTGTGAACCACCACACCTGGCTTGTATGACTTCAGTCTTTGAAAATGCATCAAGACTTGTTTTGTGGCCTAACCTATGGTCTATTATGAATAATTTTCATGCCTATTTGAGAAAGATATATATTTACTCTTGTTGAGTGGAGTGCTATATAAATGTCCGCTAAGTCTACTTGGTTTATAGTGTTGTTCAAGCCCTTTATTTCTTTATTATCTTTTGTTTTGGTGTTCTGTCCTTTATTAAAAGTGGGATACTGAAATCCTCAACCATTATTATTTAACTATTTCTATTATTTATTTCTTCCTTCAGTTCTATCAGTTTTTTGTTCCCTTAACTGTAGAGCTCTGCTTTTAGGTGCATATGTGTTTAGAATTGTTATCTCTTCTTGAGAGAATGATTCTTTTATAATTATATTATGTCAGACTTTGCCTGTAGTAATAATTTGTGTTTTAAGGGCTAATAGCCACTTCAACCTTTTTTTTGGTTTACTATTTGCATGGAAAATCTTTTCCCATCCATGTACTTTCAGCATATTTGTGGTTTTAATCTAAAGTGAGTCTTTCTAGACAGCATATATTTGGATCATGATTTTATATCCATTCTTCTAATCTCTGCTTTTCATTGTGAGTTTAATCTATTTAATTTAATATATAATAATTACTGATAAAAAAAGGGCTTACTTTTTCTGTCTTGCCATTTGTTCTCCATTTGTCATATTTCTTCACAATTCTTTTGCTACTGTCTTCTTTTGTGTTAGTTACTTTGTAGTATAGCATTTTAATTCTACTATTGTTTCTTTTACCTTATTATTTTGAGTTATTCTCTTAATGGTTGCCCTAGGGAATGATGATTGACATCTTAATTTATAAAAATCTAGTTTGAATTAATACCAACTTAATTTCAATAGCATGGAAAAACTTTGTTCATATATAACTCTGTTCCCTACCCCTTTTGTGATGTTATTATTAATAAATTTCATCTATATGCATTGTTTGCCCATCAACATATATTTGTAATTATTTATTTATGCAGTTGGATTCTAAGTCATATAGGAGAAAAGATGAGACCAAAATACATTGATATCTTCTTTTATATACACTTGTATGGTTACAGTCATATGCCACTTAACAACGGGTATACATTCTAAGAAATACATTGGTAGGTGATTTTGTCGTTGTGTGAACATCATAAAGTGTATTTACACAAACCTAGATAGTATATATATTTTTATTTGTATATATTTTTTCATATGGAAAACCAAATATCCCACACTATCACTGAATATCAATTATTCTTCCTACTTGATCTGCCATGGCAATATTAAGTGCCATATGTCAAATGTCTACATATGTTTCAATATCATCTTAAGCAACCACCATCTTATATGTGGGCTGTCATTGACTGAAACATTGTTATGCAGCATATGACTGTATATACTTGATCTCTATTGTTTTGGATGAGATATTAGTTGTTAATCTTACCAAGGATCTCTTTTAGGAGCTGAGTTGCTTCTCTCTTGCTGTTTGCAGAATTCTCTCTTTGTCCTTGATTTTTGACAATTGACTATAATGTGTCTCAGTGTGCATCTCTGAGTTTATCTTACTTGGGATTCATTGAAATTGTTGGAAGTGTAGATTAATATTTTCATCAAATTTGGGAACGTTGGGTCATTATTTCTCCAAATATTCTTTCTGTCCCTTTTTCTCCTCTCCCTCTGGTGCTCTTATTACATGTATATTGCTTCACTTGATGGTGTCTCAATTCTTTTGGCTTATGTTTCTCAGACCTGAAAATTCCAACCAACCTATCTTCAAGTTTGCTGATTTTTTCTTCTGTCATCTCAAATATGCTGTTAAGCATTTCTTTAAATTTTTTCATTTCAGTTGTACTCCTCACATGTAGAGTTGCTATTTGGTTCCCTCTTTGTAATTTCTATCTTCTTGTTGATATTCTCTACCTGGTAAAGTATAATTCTTATGCTTTCAGTTCTTTTGATGAGGTTACCTTAGCCTTGGAAATATTTAAATTGGCTGACTTAAGTGCTCTGTCTTTTTAGGACAATGTCTGGATTTTCTCAAAAACAGGCTTTATTGACTGCTTTTTTCCTGTGTATAGAACATCCTTTCTTAGTTTTTTGCATGCCTCTTAATTTTTCGTTGAACACTGAATATTTTTAATACCATGATGTGGCATCTCTGGAAATTATATTAATCTCCCTTAGGATTTGTTGTGGTTGTCTGTTTAGTAACTTTTTTGAATAATTTTTAAAATCTGTGTTTTTTTGCTGTTTGTGGCAATTGAGATCTCTTATCTGTCAGCTAGTGACTAGACAAATATTTTTTTAAGTTGCTTAAACAAAAAATTTCCTAGTCTTGGCAGACGGGCTCCATGTGTATAAGGGTATATTTTGAGCACCTCAGCCAGGTATTTTCCAAACCTACCTTGGCTTTCAGTTTCTGCTTGTGCAGATCCTGAAAGTGTGCTAGACATAAGACCTCCCTTAGGGACTTCTCATATCTTCTCTGAGCATGCACCCAGTTCTGAACATGAATTTAGCCTTCTATATTCCCAATAATATCTCTGAAGTTTACCTAGCCCTTATTCTCCAAAGCATCTCGTTTCTGAGCTTTTCCTCCCAGGCTATTTAGATAGTATATTTTTTGCTTCCCACCCTCCCCCCATTATCCCCTGCCTTAGCAAAGACTAAAAAGCTTTTCTGTACATGTTTTCCACAAATACCCTCTGGATGACTTTGGTACTGGGCCAATTCTGAGTTAGGCAAGGCTTTTGTGCCAGTGTTCTGTAGTCACCAGAAAGATCAGCTAAAGAACAAATCTTTGCAAGTGAAGTCAGCTATGCTTTCATGGAAACTGGAACCTAGAATGCAAGCTGTTATTTCAAGGCTGCTGAGCTAAGGAGTGAAGTAGAGTGAGGAAATGCAGGGGTTGAGAGAAGAGGTTAAGTAAGACTATCACAAAGCTCACTGTTCTCACTGAGATTCTGTGAGTTGAATAAACTCTCCCTGAATTGCTGGAAGCTTTTGGTTCATTTCCAGAGTTCTGAAACAGTTGATTCTCACAGTCTTTGCCCATTTTTTGGTTGCTTTTATGGCTTTTATGTAGGGGCAAATTTTGGGGACTTCTTTCTCCATTTTTTTCTGAGACAATCTTGTAGTCCTACTTGTCTGTTTTTGCATGTTGTTCATTTTTTTCATTAGAACCTTTCACATATTAATCATCATAATTTTAAATTTCTTGTCAGAGAGTTTTAACAGCTGTATTACATCAGTGTCTAGTTCTGTTGTTCGTTTTGTCTCTTCATATTGTGTTTTTCTTGCCTTTAAGCATGCCTATAATTTTTTTTGAAAGCTGGATATGTTCTATCATCTAATATGAACTAAAGGAGACATGCTTTTAATGTGAGGATATATGTCAATCTGGCTAGGAATTGTGTTTGATATTTGCTGTAGCTATAGGTACCAGAGGGTTCAAATCCCCCTTTTATTTTCTTTGTCTTTTTTTTGCCTTCTTTGTTGACTTTGGTTTTCCGTTAATTCTCTTCCTCAAATACTGTGTTTTGTCACTTTTTCAGCTGTAAGCCACTGCTATTGCATGGAGCTCTATTAGTGTGGTGGTGAGGTATAGGAGAGGGGAAGCATTGTATAATCTTATGATTAAAGCCCAGTCTTTTACTGGGCCTGTGTTTCTGGGCCGGGCTTTGCCTTTCACAAGTGTTTTTCTAGTGGTTAGTTTTTCGCTATGCTAATTGGAGATGGGAAGACAGGAAGGGTCCAGAGTAGGAGGAATGACCTTCCCTTAACTGGGAGAAGGCTCTGGTAAGGACTTTACTCTTGAAGAATACACCTTTGTTATGGAGGATGTTCTGAGAACATGTCACAATGATTACTCTTTTCTTCACCTTTCTAGAGTTATAAGAAGATCTTTCTCTGATCTTTCCCAAGAGAATCCAGGGAGGTTTTAGGAGGTAAAGTCCGCTAAAGTGTCAGGTATAAGAATGAGACCACAGGAGCTTTTCCCTTTCATGCTAGTCCACGCTCAGCCTCCAGCAATTCTTTAAAATTACCATTAAAGTGCTTCTACCAGTTTATATCGTCTGCTGCAAGTAAAGTAGATCTTTGCTTTGTTTCCCTTTATTTTCCTTTTTCTCCAGATTTAGGAGTGATAGTTTATCCTGAAAATTCAGTTCACCAATGGGTCCAAAGAAAGTCATTGACTTTCAGTTTGTTTACCTTTTTTTATTATTATTATAAGGGCAGATTCCAAGTTCTTTTCATGTCAGAACTGAAAACAGGTATCTGTGCATTTATTATTCAGTTTTCATTTTGTCTGTGCCTCTGTTTGGATAATTTCTGTCGTTTTAACTTCAAGCCCACTGAGCTTTCCTTCTTCAGTATCTCAGAGGATGTTAATTTAAAAACACAATATTGTGTATCGCTCTAGAATTTCTATTTGCTTCTTTTTTATATATTTCATTTATCTCCTCATAATATTAATGTTTTTGTCTAAATCCTTAAGCGTATGTCCTTCTCTGTTATATCCCTCATTTCTGTCTTTTCTTTGCTTTTTTATTTTTTAAACTGACTGATTTTCCTCAAGATTGTAGGATACAACAGGGGTCCCCAACCGCTGTGCAGCAGACCAGCACCTGTCTGTGGCCTGTCAGTAATCAGGTAGCAGGAGGTGAGTAGCAGGTGTGTGAGCATTACCGCGTGAGTTCCACCTCCAGTCAGATCAGCCACGGCATTAGACTCTCATAGGAGTGCAAACCCTGCTGTGAACTGTGCATACAAGGGATCTACGTTGCACATTCCTTATAAGAATCTAATGCCAGATGATCTGAGATGTAATAATTTCACCCCCAAACCACCACCACTTACCATTCATGGAAAAATTGTCTTCCAGGAAACTGGTCCCTGGTGCGAAAAAAGTTGGGGACATTGGGTTACAATATTGTGTGCTGCTCTTTTTCGTATCCATTGAAGAAGTTTCTTTGGTGAGGCAGTTAAGTTATTTGTTGATTATCTGTTTTATTCCTTTTATTTCTTAAGATCCTTCTTTTTAAGCTTTGGTAGAACAGGTTTAGAATAACCTTTATGCTAAGGCTAGTTAAGTCTGAATATTAATGGGTGACTCTCTGCTGTCTCTGCTGACTGCCTCAATGCTCAACAAAATCTAGTTGCTCTGTGTGAGTTGGGAGATTCTGCTTATAGATCTCCTGCTATTTTTTTTGTTTTATTTTGTTCTGCCTCACCTGATGAAATATTTCCGTTGAAAGTAATGATTAGTATTTAGCTGAAGGCTAAGCAAACCTATGCAAGTTATTGGAGCCCTTTTTCTCTATAACTCCTTCCCAACCAATGCTCTGTCCCACAGATCACAACTGATTTAGCTTCCCCAAACTCCAACTAGTGTCTCCTCAACTTGGCAATATCTCCATTTACTGCTTGAGTTCTTAACCACGGCATGATCCTGATATTGGCTCCAGGTGGAAGCTGTGGCAATGGTAAGATGTCTCATTTCTTACTTTTCTCTCAGCAATCACAGTTCTGCACTGCTTCTTCTCCAAATATGTGAAAGCAACTATTCTCCCTATATTTGGTCAAGTTTTCTAATTATTTATGGTAGGAGGGCAAGTTTCATACTAGTAACTCTTTCATAAAAAGAAAAAGTTCTTAATTATATTTCATGTCACTGAATTTCCATGATATAAACCACCATAAGTTAATGGGACATTCAATTATGTATGTAACCACAAAATAATCTTAATTTTATGAAGATTTATTTTTTAAGTTCTAAAGAACTTTAGTTTTCTTATTTGTAGCTAATTCTCTTCTTAAAAATTTTTTAATTTTCTGTTTTGCATTCTGTGCACATCCACATATTGATACTGTTTTTCAGTTATTCAATTACTTGACAATTGATAGATGTTTCCTGAGTTTCTCAGTACACATTCAAAATTCACAAAAATAGATAAAAATTAACTAGAATAAATAATAAAATTAACTAATATTTATCCAGCCCTAATTATATGCCAGTCACTGAGCTAGATATTTACATAGTTTATTGCATTGAAACCCTACACAGTCTTTAAGGGTAATTACTATTATTTTACTGACATTACAATTGAGAAGATAGATAAAGTAGCAACTATTTTTACATGCATTTTATACACAAAAAAGTAAATGCTTAGAAAAATTACATGCTCACTAGGTCATGAACTTAGGTTCACTTCAGAAAAGTACAAATAGATATTAGTTTTTCTTTAGAAAAAAATGTGAATTTATTAGGTATGATTTAGTAGTTTTCTGAAAAAGTAATTTTAAAACCTAAAGCTAGAGGCCTTTTGGGAGAGTGTGAAGAACATTTCTCTGTTAAAATTATTTTCAGTATCCGTTAGACATTCAAAGTCTTAGAAACATCATGCAGTTCATCTCAGTCTTTTATTTTCCTTTTATAGTTATTGGTATCATTATTTGCAAATATATTCCCAATTTCTAATTCCTTCATATATAAATATTTATTTATAGTTAAGCTGACCACCATTTGCATTTCTTCAAAGATCTCCTTATCATGCAATCTGTTCTGTTTTACTCTAGACATAGATTTATTTATATTCCAGCACCTCCCAATGCACTTTGCACATACTCTAATAGTATTCATGATGAGTTTGTTGAATAAATGGGTAAATGCAATAAGTAAGTAACAAAAGCCTGAAGTCTCATGTCCAAGTTCCCTATGTCAATTACTTACTCTTTTTGATCATCACAGAATTCACCATCTCTAAATCACATAGAGTATGAACACATTATTATTCTTCCATAGACAGCCCAAATTCTAACATTTTATTCATTATTTCCTCCCTTCACCTCTTTAGCTTGACCCCTTTCAATTACAGATGTGCACAACAGACACACATACACACACACTCGCACTCTTTCACTCATGGAAAACTCCTTGAAGACAGGAACCACAACTTTTCCTCCTTCCGACAGTTTACACCTCAGGTGCAATGAGTGGAATCAATGTGTTCATCAAAGACTTCCCACTCTCAAGGAAAGTTCTATGTAGTATGATTTTTTGGTTGCTTAGCAGAGCAACATACATCACCAAATTGGTTCATATTTAAGGGTTTTTGCTGCATGTGACAGTTTATTATACACTCATTTTATTTTAGAAAACAAATAATGAGACACAATCCTCATTTCTAGAACTACATTGGTATATAAAAAGATCTCAAAAAGTTTAACCCAGGAATAACAATAGAATAGAGAATATCTAAAATAACATTCCTTTAATACATAGTAAAGTGACTGAAATTAATTGATATTAGAACAATTCATAGGTTATTGTGTTAATACCGCATATATGGTTGGAGGGGAGAGGGAAGTATGATATTGGAAATGTGTAAGAAGGGTTAACATAAGATTAAGGGCATGGATTTGGGTACCGGCTCTGGGTTTAAATGTTAGCTGTGCATATGTGAGCCATAGGATCTTGCGGAAGTTATATATAAATTCTCTGATCTTCAATACCTATTTTATGTCACTGTTTTGATGATTTAGTAAAAAAAAAACTCTCCAAAATATTAATTTTCCATGTATACTTTCACAATTGTTTCCATATTTGTATATTTCCTGTTATTTACTTAATATTTCTATGTGTACCTACATGTTGGCCTTTGCATTTAAAAGGAAAATATAAATAGAAGCTGTACTTCTTCTAATTCATATGAAAACGAATGCATAAATACCAATATGAGAAATGTGTGTGTCTCTTCAGTGATACACATACCAGGACTACTGTCCTTGAGTTAACCATGTGATAATTCTAAATTGAAATGACTTAGAATGGAATGTAGTATAATATATAACTGCTGCCCAGTAAATTATGACGGTAATTATTATTCACAATTCAAAAAGTACAGTCAGGCACTGCAAAATGATGTTTCAGTCAATGATGGACTGCATATACAATAATGGTTCCATAAGATTATAATACATGTTTTTACTGAGTGCTCAAAACTCAACAAAGGTTTTTAACTGCCCTGTAAAATGAAGATCATACTTCCAGACCTGTCATTCAAGAGCCTGGAAGATAATGTTTCAAACTATGCTTCCAGTCTTATATCCTAATACTTGCTTTCATTCAAATTCAACTACAGTCATGTGTCACATAAGATTTTGATCAACAACTGACTGCATATATATGACAGTAGTCATGAGATTGTGAGACTATACTTTTACTGTAACTTTACTATGTTTAGAAACACAAATACTAATCTTTGTGTTATGATTCAGTATTCAATAAAGTATTCAGTACAGTCACATACTGTACAGATTTGTAGCCTAAAAGCAGTAAGCTATACCATATAGCCTAGGTGTGTAGTAGGCTATCTCATCTAGGTTTGTGTGAATATATGCTGTGATGTTTGCACAATGACAGATTTGCCTAACAATGCATTAATCAGAACATTTCCCCATTGTTAAGTGATGCATAACTGTATATTAATAATAATAATAAATTATGTATTATTCAAAGTATTATTTTGGGAAAAGATGAAATTTTACTGCAGTGGCTAAATGAATTTGGTAAAAGGGTGCCAAAGTTTCAGGAAGTAACCTGATTTCTTTTATTCAAACTCTATTATGAGACCATCTCACAATGTTTGTTTTTAAATACTTAAGAAGGGAAATAATTTTGGTGCACAAGGTCTAGTGAGTTGAAAAGAGACTGCATTTCTAGTAAGTTTCCACATGCTGACACTGCTGGTTCATGGACCACACTTTATGAACCACTGCTATAAGTTATTTGGTCCATCTTTCTTTCTTGGTCATTTGTTTATTGCAGTCCATCTTGTGAGAATAAATCTATACCTAGAGGGAATAAATCCACATGAAATAATGAAACACTATTTTAAGGTAAGGAGTGCCTCCAAATTATTTGCAATAAGTTAGTTCTTTTTATCTTGACTTTGACAACCTGATTCACTGACCTAAGCTCATTAACCCTAATGATTCTGAATCTTAGGATAAATCTCCTACTGGATCTATATCTGCTTATAGTACTTTAGGACCACAAAACTCTTGCTATCTGGAAAGACCAAATGGCATCAATTTTATGAATGGATGAAATGTTTCTGTGCTCTGAATAGTTCAGGCTTTAACAAAGGTTCAGTCACTAAATACTTTGCCCATTGACATAAAAAGGTCTGAATCACCTCCCACTTCTACCCCTCCTCAGTCACAACCATGAAAAGAGGTCTTTGCATTTTGATGTGTTCTTAACCTTTCAAGGGCCTTAAGAAGATTTAATGACACCCTGGGAAGAATGACTTTGACCCCTAGCTTGAGTTCTATACTTAACTCTACCCCATGTTCTACCTTTCTGGTTATCCCTACTGGTCCCACACACAAAAATGATCCTACTTGAAATTAATGTTTACTACAGATTCATCAGTATCTGCTATGGGCTTGCAAAGTATTTTAAAATCGATTTCTCCTTTAGCTGTTCCCTTGATTTTTGGTCCTTGCGATGTTACTGCCTTACAAACCCTGAGAGTGGTTCTTCTGGCTTTTCTTTATCTGATCTTTTTCTAATGTTTATGTCTTACAATATCAATTGTCACTTCTTTAGCTAGCTGTCATTATTATTATTATTATTATTATTATTATTATTATTGTAGAGATGGGGGTCTCACTGTGTTGCTCAGACTGGTATCAAACTCCAACGCTCAAGCAATTCTGTTGCCTCAGCTTTCCAAAGTGCTGGGATTACAGATGTGAGCCACTGTGCCTGGCCATGTTTGTTTTTGTGTGTGTGTGTGTGTGTGTGTGTGTTTCTTTTTCTTTATTTTCTTTCCTTTTATTGTTGTTGTTGTTGTTGTTGTTGTTGTTGTTGTTGTTTTCTGTAGAGACGAGGTCTCACCATGTTGCCCAGGCTGGTCTCAAACTCCTGGGCTCAAGTGATCTTCTTGCTTTGGCCTCCCAAAGTGCTAGGATTATAGGCACTGGCCTAGTTCTCACTCATTTTTTACAAATCTTTCTAGCTTTATCTTCACTGCTAAGGACATAGAGTGAATTTTTCCTGCTAGTTCTCTCAAACCAGGTTTATATTTGGTTGTCACATTTGATGATTGGCTTATATAACATATGATAAAAATATATCTGGGTTTTCACATGATTCCTGAAGTTTCAGTTAGTGATTGCTCTTGTTCTCATTCAGTTTTCATTATTTTCTTAATAATTTTTCTATCTGGATTTACTTGAATTGTATCATTTGAATTTTACTTCGCTTATTTTTTTTTGTAATTTTGACCATCTGAATATTTTCCCTTTTTTAAAATTTGCAATTGTATTTTTAAAATTTTATAAACATATATCATTTTCCTATGTGTATAGGAGCTAGGTCTTCACTTTTGCCAACAGGGACAGACAAATGTATAATGGTCTGCAGCTGAAGGTATTACATACTAACTTATGATATTCAAACAATCTTTTGTATAACCGCCACTGATTTAACAGCAAAAAGGATTATTGTGTTATTATTTGAGGGTTTTTAATATGGAAACCTGCTGCTCCTAGTTTCTATCTTTTTTTTCTATGCTCTAGTCCTTCCTCCTTTCCTTAACTCTCAATGCCTTCAGAGAACCCTCTGCTATCACAATTCCTAAATCCCTCTCCAAGCCTTGCCCCTTTCTCACTCACACAAGAATGCATCCAAGTGGAATCTGCTTTTAGAATCCTTTTCTGAACTTCACTGATGCTTCCATGAAAATTGACTGGTCCTTTGCCTCTCTTGGTGCTGTTAGTATATCAGATAAGTGAGCTTATCTGTGTCTGATAATGTATCTTTTAATAATAATAAATGGACACCATATGAATGGAACATGATGGTGTCTTAGAGTGTGGCTGGACAGTCCAAGGACTGTCTAGAATCAGGAACTGGAGAGCTATCGGGCATTTGAGCAACTATTCCACTTGTTTACTCCCCTGTGGATAATATGGTTTCTTGTCTGTTGCATTCATCTCTTATATGAACAACACAACTGTTTCTCCATGCACATGTCCATGCTAGAGCTCACAATTTCATGTTTGTAGTAGAAAACTACATTATCAGTCTCTTTGTTACAAGTCAATAGGATAGAGATGTTGACCCAGGCTGGTGCCGATGGTCTAGCAATTTCCAGGAGAAAGTGGCGTGTAGGACAATTACAACTGTTGAGGCCAACCCCTGGAAGTGAGGACAAATCTGAGATGAACGTGGATTTTCAGTCATGGTAAATAAACATGGTTATTTAGGTTCTATTTATAAATATGTTTATATGAATCTTTATAAAAATAAGACTTGCATATGATAAAACAAAACATATTCAGATAGTCTTTTTTTTTTTTTTTTGAGACGGAATCTCACTCTGTGTGGCCCAGGCTGGAGTGCAGTGGCACGATCTCGGCTCACTGCAACCTCCACCTCCCGGTTTCAAGCAATTCTCCCTGCCTCAGCCTCCTGAGTAGTTGGGATTACAGGAGCCAGCCATCATGTGCGCCTAATTTTTGTATTTTTTAGTAGAGATGGGGTTTCGCTATGTTGGCCAGGCTGGTCTTGAACTCCTGACCTCAGGTGATCCACCTGCCTTGGCCTCCCAAAATGTTGAGATTACAGGTGTAAGCCACCACTCCGGGACCAGAGAGTCATTTTAATACCAAATGAAAATAAAATTTACCATCCCATCCCATCCCTGAAGTAACCATTTTTTAATTTTTTAGTTTGAGTGATGGTTTTCTTTTTAAATTTTTTTTCTTACATACAGGAAAGAGTTACTTAAGGTGAAGCATCACACATTTTCATAAAGTTAACACACTCATGTTGTCAGTATCTGGATCAAGAATTTGCATGTTACCAGCACCATGAAAACCTCCCTCAGTCATCACTCCTCTGCCCAAATGTAACCACTACTTTGCCTTCCAATACCTGAGACTAGTTTCTCCCGTTTTTATTTTACAAATGGAATTATACATACTTAAGTTTTTTTGTCTGGTTTTTTTGCTCAACATTATGTCTTAGAGCGTTTATCTGTGTTAATTTGCATTATTGTTAATTTCTTTGTTCTCACTGCTGTACTCAATTGTTTGAGAATACTATCTCCATTCTAATGGGGCTGGAAACTTGACTTATTATTTCCAGTATTTGGTAATTTCAATGAAAGCTGCTAGATATATTCTTTTACGTATCCTTAGCTATACATATATGCACATGCCTGTTGGATGTACACCAAGAAGAGGTATTGCTGGGTCATGGGGCCAATTTATGATAAACTATAGCAAGTAGCTTTCCAAAGTGCTGTAGCAATTTTACACTCTGATAATCAGCATATGAGAATGATAGGTTTTCTAGATCCTAGACAGTAAGTGGGATTATTAGACATTTTCATCTTAGCCTTTGGCTATATAATCATATTCCATGGTGGTTTTAGTTTGCATCTTCCTATGATTATTATGGTTGAACATCCTTTCATATGAATTTTTTTCAGAAAGTGATAAAGTATTTTGCAAATGTCTTGTTTCTATTTTTATTATTGATACATATTCTTATTGATATATGCTATAAGTATGTGTGTATATAATATATATAAATACAATGTATATTGTATCATTCTATATGCAAATCTTGTGTCATATGTATGAATGGCAATTATCATTTCCAAATTTGTAGATTGCCTTTTCACTGTCTTAATGGTGTCTTTATGAACAGAAGTCAAATTTATCAATCTTTAACATTACAAAATTGGAGGTTTAATGAAGTCCCAGTTTATTGATCTTTGACTTCACGTTAGGTTCTTTTGGTGTATTATTTAAGAAATTTTGACTACCTCAGATTACAAAGATACCTTCCTGTGTTATCTTCTAGATGGATTTCTGTTTTAGCTTTCACATTCAGATCTGCAATTATTTTTTTGTGTAAATTTTAAGGAAGGAGACATAATTATTTTCTCCTATGTGGATACCCCTACACCCAAAGCCACTTTTTAAAAGATAATTATTTTACACTGCATTGCACTATCACCTTTGCCACCAATAAGGTGATTATATATGTGTGAATCTGATTATCAAATCTATTCTGTTCTGCTGGTCTATTAACCTATCCCAGCACCAATACTTCATTGTCTTAATTATAGTAAGTATTGCCATGTGGTATCATAAGTCCTCCCTGTTTGTCTTCAAGAATGCCTTGTCTATTCTTGGCTTTGCATTATCATAATATTTTGGGGTCAATGACCAATTTCCACAAAAAAATCTGCAGAGATACTGGGAGATTGCATTAATATGTAGACAAATTTTGAGGAATACTTAGATTTCATAATACTGTATCTTGCAGTCCATGAATATGGAATAGTTTTCATTTACTCATCCCTTCTTCAATGGCTGAGAATATTTAATGCATTTACTGTTTATGAGAGTATTCATATTTGGCTATTAATACTGGCATTATATACGTAAACCAAAGGAGATTGTAGCTATTGATTTCAGATATGCAGTTTAGCTATAATTTGGTGGAGTTGAAAGTGACAGTATAGAGATGAAGGGAAAAGGTTGCTCTATCTTTTTTATATCATAACAGATAGTTGGCTTATTTCCTAGACTGCTCTAATTTTGGTAAGGTCCTTAACTTGACATTTTGAGGTGGCTGTTTTGGTATTTGCCTTATGTTAGTGTGGATTTATTTCCCTTCTAAATCTTTGCTCTAGGATGAAAGATACTTATGTTTAATGTCTAATCACAAAGATTCATGCTGGAATAGAATATGGAATTTCATTTCTAGATGAATGAGGAAGCAGAAGTAAATTCTGTTTTTCACCAAATACTCCTGCTTCTAGATGAATGAGGCATATGGTTGGTGGAAACATTTTTTTTCAGTCTTCCAAAGAAAAATGGTTTGTTTGATACATCTAGTTTCTAAGTGAGAGATTGTCAAGAAAAGAAAATGATTTTAGAATATCAGTTTGCTGAATTTGATTTTCAAGTGAGAATTTTTACATGAAGAAAAGTAAGGTCTACTTACCTATCATCTATCTATCGTCAGAAAAATAAGGTCTATCAATCTGTAAGATCTATCTATATGTCTTTTTTATGTTGAAGACATTTGCAATATATTTCTACCCCCTTTTTTTGATTCTCTGTAGGAACAGATGTTTCACAGCTGACACATCTTGGATAAACGACATGGGAGCTGGAATATATGTGAAATTATATCTCTAAGATAATATTTATTGTTTTACTATAGAATCAAAAATAAGTTATAAGAGAAAAAAGAATATTCATTGACAAAGAATTCTTTATTCTCTACATTTAACAATTTTGGGAAAACTCAGTGGATAAGAGTCCAGGTACACTTAGATCTGAATGAATTATTTAATAAAATTTCATAACAATATTAATAAATATCCTGACTTTCAGTTTATATACACTATTCTGGTCAAGCAAAATCCTGTTTTCACAAATTTTATAAATCTCCAAATTATTTCATGATGATGAAAATATGTTCAATAAATACATTCCCAGGAATAATTTAGATATAATAAAATAACAGCTATAATATCTGTTTTATTATGTGGCCCATGTTCACAACAGGCATGCACTTTGTTCTATGTTGCTTATTACTAACCTTATGAGATAGGTAATGAGAATATTTCTATTTTGAAAATGAGGAAGCAGAAGTTCTGAGACAGTGATTGATTAGACCAGGCTCATACGCCTAGAGAAGGAGTTAGTGATAGATTCAAATCCAGATTTATCTTACTCAATAGCTGTACTGACTAACGCTACTGTATCCCACAAGATCTGGCACAAAACACTCATTCTAGCTTTTTTGAAATGAATTTCTTATGACAGCTTATTTATACATATAACAGACATAACTATTTACCATTTGATGGGGGCAGGTTCTTTTCAGTATTTGACTATTAGAAGCAAAGCTACTATGAATATGACTGTACAAGGGTGTATGATTTTTTGTGTTAATACATATTTTCTTTTCTCTTCGATACATGCCTAGGAGTAAAAGTTCTCAGATGTATGGGAAAATGTATGTTTAACATTGTAAGAGACTGCCAAACTCTTTTCATTTCTTTTCTTTTTTTTTCCTTTTTTTTTTTTTTTTTTTGAGATGCATTTTCGCTCTTGTCGCCCAGGCTGGAGTGCAATGGCACAATCTCAGTTCACTTCAATCTCCACCTCCTGGGTTCAAGTGATTTTCCTGCCTCAGCCTCCTGAGTAGCTGGGATTACAGGTGCCCACCAACACGCCCGGCTAATTTTTTGTATTTTTAGTAGAGATGGGATTTCACTATCTTGGCTAGGCTGGTCTCAAACTCCTGATCCACCTGCCTCGGTCTCCCAAAGTGCTGGGGTTACAGGCATGAGCCACTGCACCCAGCCCTACTCTTTTCAAAGTGGATGTACCATTTTGCATTCCCACCCCAAACAACACAACAAAAGTTCCAGTTCCTTCGTGTTCTTGACACTTTAAAAAAAATTTAGCCAGTCCAGTAAGTGTGTTATAATATTCCATTGCATTTTTATTTTGAGCTTCACTAATGACTGATACTGTTGTTCATATTCTCATTTGCTCATATCCATGTGTATGTCTTTTTTGCTTTGTTGGCTCTTGACTGTATTTTTAAATTGGGTTGTTTATCTTCTTATTCATTTTTAAGTATTTTTATATTCTAGGTACAAGTCCTTTATCATATATGTTTTGCAAATATTCTCTCCCATTCAGTGGCTTCTCTTCTTTTTTTGAAGGATGTCTTTTGAAGGACAAAAGTTCTTAATTCTGATGAAATCCAATTTAGCATTTTTATCTTTCATACTTCGTGTTTAATATGTCTGATCTAAGAAAGATTTGCCTAACCCAAGTTCATAAAGATTTCCTACCATGTTTTCTTTTGGAAATTGTCTATTTTTATCTATATTTTAGTTTATGGTCCATTTCAAGTTAATATTTGCCTATCCTGTGAAGTAAGGATCAAGCTTTATTTATTTACTTATTGCTCATAGAAATGCAGTAGTTCTATTACTATTGGTCCAAGAGGCTATTTATTTTTCCCAATTGAGTTACCTTGACACTTTCATAGAAAATCAATGGGCTGTATAGCTGTGTACCTGTATCTGGGCTTTCTTTTTTTGTTCTATTGATCATGATGTCTATTCTTACTCTAATTTACTGAGTACTCCAGGTTTATTATAACGCAAGTCCTCCCACTCTGTTCTTTGTTTTCAAAATGGTTTAAACTAGGCCTTGTATACATTTCCATATCAAGTTTAGAATCAGCTTGTCAAGCTCTCCAAAAAAATCCTCCAGGAATTTTGACTGCTTTAATGTTGAATCTAGAGGTCAATTTGAAGAGAATTGACATCTTAATAATATTTAGTCTTCTGGTCCATGAACATGGTTTAATTTTCCATTTATGTAGGTGTTCTATGATTTCTCTCAGCAATATTATATAGTTTCTCTGTGTATAGCCCCTGTATATATTTTGTTAAATCTATTTCTAAGCATTCATTTTTTGAGGCATTAATAAGTAGTATTTCAAAAATATATTTTAAAATATATTTTTATATTTGGTTTTGCTAGTACACAGAAATACAGTTCGGTTTTGCATATCAACCTTGTATTTTAAGACCTTGCTAAACTCACTTATTACTTCTCTTAGCTTTTTTGTAAATTCCTTAGAAATTTCTGCATAGATAAATGTATTTTGCATATAATTAAATAAAGATGGATCTTCTTCTGTGCCATTGCACATTTGACCAGATGCTTTTGCTTTGGTAGCTAAGTTTTGTGAGATAACAGATAGGTTTTTGATCAGATGCTTGCTCTACTTCTGTCCTTCAAAGAGGTACTAAATAATTTAGTTGTAGCTCAGCTAGCATTTCTACGCCCCCCAGCCACCGCCAACTTTTTCTAAAGTGTCACACATCAGCTCACAATCAACTGGTTTTGTTATAGAATGCGATTGTTAAATATACCAGAAAAAATTCTACTTTCGCAGCAATATTTGTGCAGATATATATATCTGCACAAAAATTCATGTGCAAATCAGTTATGATGACTTTCTAATGTGTCAGCTTGGGTAAGCTAAACTGCACCTCCCAGAATTTCATGTCTTGTATGTTTCCAGTTAGCCTGGGCCACATGAGAGATTCTTATAGGAGAGCTGGAATTGCATATATATGATTCCAAAGTCCTACTCTCATTATGAATCCTGTAGAGACTCACAGTGATAGGCTATTTTAGACAGCTTCTATTAAATGATATTTATTAGCACTGTGAATACTTGGTAAATACCTATTTCAAACTGAACTTTCACTGATACATGCAGATTTTCAGCAATTTTTAAAACATATATATTTATATTTACATGTATATGTATGAACTAAGTTTACAGAGGTACATTCTGTTGTAATTTTCTAAGTTCACATTTGTAAGATATTTTAAATGATAAGGCTTACCCGCTTAAATAAAAAATAGGACTCTACTTTTGTGATTTGGAAAATTTTGTTCATTTGATAATAATAACAGTTATATTTACTGTTTGGTTGTCAGGTACCAAACACTGTTCTAAGTCTTTTTCTTTTTTTTTTTTTAACATGGTTATCTGTTTCTCTTAATAGCAGTATTATTAATAGGTGTTGTTATCTTCATTTTCCATATGAGGATTCTTAGGCTCAGAGAATTTCAGTAATTTGTCCACAGTCACACAGCTGGAAAACAGTGAAGGAAGGCTTATACTCTGGAGAAGTTCTGTTACAATTCTACATAAGGTTTTAGTTGGCTAGAACTGATTATAAGTAGAACTCATGTGCAAATCACTCACGGAGCCTTCCTAATGTGTCAACTTGACTGAGCTGAACTGCATCTCGCAGAATTCCTTCTCATATGCTTCCGGTTAGCCTGGGCCACGTGAGAGATTCTTACGGAAGAGCTGAGAGGCAGAAGGGAGGCAGCAGCCACTCTGACATAGTGTGCCTTGTCTGGCTCACCTCTTGCTATGAGGAAGGAGCCAACCTACGGCTGATCTTCCTTTCCCTGGATCCTCCATTGCCTTCTTGGACTCTGAATTGGATGTGTGTGTGTTTAGCTCTGTGATAAAGGGTCTCCGAGCCTGCTGGACACACAGCACCAAGATCAAAGTCAACAAGAACTGGTGCAGCTCTGTTGTCTCATGGACTTTAGCTCATGCTTGTGGATCTCAGCTTGCTAAAACCTCCCCAGCTGCATATCCGTCCTTGTTTCCCAACTGCCTGCAGAAAGATTAAGGTCAAATTCCTGCAACAAATTCCTTAAATCCCTTGACACACACACACACACACACACACACACACACACACACACACACACACAAACCACACACATGCACCCACACTATAGATGATAGGTAATTTTATTTTTTTAATGTATACTATATAATTAGTATTATATGTGTGTACAATTGGGTATATGTAGAATGTCCTAGTGGTTTTGCATTTCTAATTAGGCCCTGAGTGTTACATCAGTCCGTAACAATTTTAAAGTATCAATAAGTTTGTTGTATTGAAGAAATGATGTCATGTCCAATTAAGAGACAATATTGTATAAGGAACAGAGCAGTGTTTGTGTAATTAGACTTATATTCAGTAACAGGCTCAGGCTTCCAAACTACCAAACTATGCGACCATGGGCAAGTTATATAACTGCTCTGAGCTTGATTTTTTTCATTGGCAAAAGAAAGTTGTTGGAGACACTCATGAGACAACACATTAAGTGCCTAACACTTTCCCAAGCATTTAAAGAAATGATAGGTACAGTTACTTACATTGTTGTGTTGTCAGAATTAGAACTAAAGACATGGGTAATTTAGTCTCTACAAAATCATCAATCCATATAATAATATTTAATGAGACACAACGATAACACTATTTTCTATGTGGCAGAATCATAAGAGCACTTTGTTTCAGGCAGGGCATTTTGTTTCTGAAGTACCAAAAATACTCTTCAAAGAGGAAAGCTAATTTGTATGTATAAGTGAAATTAACAATGGAACTTTAACAAATAACAATCCTGCTTGAACATTTGTGAAATAATCCCATTCACCTTTTTTAATTGAGTTAAAATTCACATGTGGTAAAAGGCACAGATCTCAAATGTTTACTCTGGAGCATTCTAACAGTTCTGTGCACCAAAAGGTAAATAACGTTTTGATTACCCTCCTCCCCCTTTTCAGCCAATCTCCTCATTGAGTCCACATACCCTGGTTTCTATCACTACAGATTAGTTGTGCCAGTTCATTGACTTCATATGAATGGCTCCATGAAGTATGTATTCTTTTGTGTCTGGATGCTTTCATACAACATAATGTGGAGATTCATCTATGATGCTGCACATATGAATCATTTGTTCCTTTTTCTTGCTGACTAGTATTAATTGTATGAATATACTACAAGTTGTTTATATCATTCTCCTAAGGAAGGCATTTGGGTTGCTTCTAGTCTTTGACTATTGGCAAACCTTCTTCACTTAGCCAAACGTTAGTCAGGCTTCTGTATCTCCTGTTAGGCACATCTGTGAATCTCCCTATAAAATTTAATTTTATCAAAGAATCCCGCTAAGTCAGTTTAGCAAGAACATCTCATCCTCAATATTTGATCATTCTCAATATCTGGTCAGGTTCCTCATCCTCCATTATCCGCAGGAGATGTCTGATCACCCCGACCTGTTTTCAGCACGAATCTTGTTAGGTTGGTTTAGCCAGAATCCCCTTTACCTCTGATGTTTCCTCTAGTAATTTGCTATCCACTGACCTCCACACTGCTTCATGGCTATAAATTCCCACTGATTCATGTGGTATTTGGAGTTAAGCCCAATCTCTCTCCCACTGCAAGAGCCTGTTGCAGTGGTTCCTATACCTAATGTGATGGTCCTCAATAAAGTCTTCCTGACTGTGTTTTCACAAGTGTCATTGAATAATGTTTTATTTAGCACAATTATAAGCAAAGCTGCTGAGCACATCCTTTAGTCATTTTTGATACATTTTCATGTATTCTAAGTACATAGCTAAGTGTGGATTGCTGATTAATAGGGTGCTGATATGTTTTACTTTATAAGAACCTGCAAAATAATGAATCCTAAGTTCTTGTAATATTTTATGTTGCCATCAAAATGTGTAAAAATTTCAGTTATTTCACCTGCTTACCAAATTGTTTTTAATTTAGCCATTCTAGTGGATAAAAACAGGAAATCTCACTCTGGTTTTACTTTTCATTTGCTAAGTAACTGACAATGTCGAACAGCTTTTCTTGTGTTTATTGGCCAGTTATGTACTTGTGAAGTGTCATTTCAGACATTTGTACTTTTTTGTTGGGTTGCTTTTCTTTTTAGTATTGGTTTGAAGCAATTAATACATATGTATTTATATTAAATGGTATATTGTTGGTATACCATTGTTGGTATATTGCTCATGAGTAAGATACAGAACTACAGTGGAATTTTGCTCACTGATTTTGTCTTCTTTGGTTTTGCCAACTTCACTAATTCTGATACATGTTTTGGAAATTTTGGATGTCTTATTATGTACAAAATAATGTAATACAAATATAATTAAAATTTAAATTTTTCCTTTTCATTCTTTATGGTTTTCATTTTTTCTTGTTCTCTTGGGTTAATATATACATGTTTATATATATAATATACATTTGTTGTGAATATAAGTCTTGTCAGATATTTGTCGCAAATATTTTTTCTAAGCTTGTAGCTGGTATTTTCATTTCCTTAATTGTATATTTTGATGAATTCCAATATATTCATTTAGAAAAACTTTTATTGTCAGTGTTTTATGTGTCTTAAGAGACCATAAGGATAGTTTTCAAACTCTTTACGATTCTAGATTTTACAATTAGGTCAATGATTCTTTTTAAATTAATTTTTGTGTATGATGTAAGGTAGTAGTTGATGTTCTTTTTTTTCCTTTTTTTTACAGATACTTAGCTTTTCTGAGATCATTTGTTAAATGGTTTTTCCTTTAACAAGAATTTGGCAGCTTTGATAACAATCAGTTGGTCAAATATGTGTTTCTGTGAACTCCCTGTTCTGTTCCATTTATCTATTTGCCTCTATTTATACCAGTAGAATGCTATCTTTTTTTTTTTTTTTTTTTTTTTTTTTTTTGAGACGGAGTCTCGCTCTGTCGCCCAGGCTGGATAGAATGCTATCTTCATTACTACAGTTCTATATATAGACTTCTAATTTTTCAAGATTGCAGAGGTTGCAGTGAGCCGATATTGCCCATTGCATTCCAGCCTGGGTGACAAGAGTGAAACTCCGTCTCAAAAAAAAAATAAAAAAGAAAAAAAGAAAAAGAAAAACAAAAAAGAAAATGATTGCTTTGATTAAAACAGATTGTTGGCATTTCATTATAAATTTTAGAAAAAGTTTGTCCATTTCTTTAAAAATCCTACTGTGAATTTGATTGGGATTTAGATCATTCTACTATTGGTTTTGATGAAAATAGACATTGGTATCATCTAACTCATATCATGGTCCATTTCTGCACTAACTGAGATCATCTTTGGTTTCTTGCAACAACATTTTATAGTTTTCAGAGTAGAGATCTTACTAAATTTATTCCTAGCAATCTAATATTTTGACATGAAAGGTATTTTTAAGATTTTATTTTTCCCATTATTCATTAATAAGATGTACAACTACAAGGAAATTTTGGTCACTAACTTTGTATTGTTTGGCTTTGCTAAATCCATAAATTCTGGTACATGTTTTAGAAATTCTTGTTGCTTTAAATATACACAATGATCTCATGTAGATATAATTAAATTTTTAATTTTATTTCTGTCTTTATGCTTTTTATTTTTTTGCTTATTTTATTTCAATGGCTAGGACTTCTGGTACAATGGTGACAGCAGATATCCTTGCCTTGTTTGTGATCTTAGGGACAAAGCTTTTAATATTTTATCATTAAGTAAATGTTTTGGTTTTTTTATCAGGTTGAAAACATTTTCTTATATTTCTAGTTTGCTAAGTGTTTTTATCCTTCCAGTTATTATAATGATGGTGTGTTTTTCTTTTGTTATCTGTTAACATTGTCATTTACATTGATTGACTTTCTGATGTTAAATTAACCCTGCATCCCTAGGATAAACTCCATATGTTTATAATGTATTGTCTTTTCATATACTGTTAGATGCTATTTGCTAGTATTGCCATAAACATTTTGAATTTATGATAACCAGTGATACTGACCTAATTTTATTTTCCTGTATTTTCCTTGTCAGGTTTTGGTATTAGAGTTATGCTGGTCTCAAAAATCAATTTGGCTTGGGTTCTTTCTTACTTTTAATTTGAAAGAGTTGTCTAAGATTGGTATTACTTCTTTCATAAATGTTTGTTAGACCTCAACAGTGAAGGCATATGAATCCTGAAATTTTGTTAGACAGCTTTTGATTATGACCTCGATGTTGAATAGATATAGGCCTATTGATATTTTTAGTATCCCCTTGTGAAAGTTTTTGTAATTTTTGTTTTTCAAGAAGTTTATCTATTTCATCGAAGTTTCTGAATTTATTAGCATGGTTTTGTTCATAGTATTCTCTTATTGTCCTTTTCATATTTTCAGGAACTATTTCAATGTCCCTTCTTTCATTTGTTAGTTAGGTAATTTGCATTTTCTATTTCTTTTATTTAAAAAAATTAAACTGCAATAGCTTTAGCAGTACAAGTGGCTTTTGGTTACATGGATGAATTGTATAGTGATGAAGTCTGGTTTTAGTGCACCCAACACCTGAGTAGGTAGTTTTTCAGCCCTCACTTCCCTTCCTGCCTACTACTTTCTGGGTCTACAATGTCCATTATACCACTTTGTATGCCTTTGCATACTCAGCTTGCATTTTCTCTTCCTTGGTCCAGCATGCTGGGAATTGGTTAATTTTATTAATCATCTCAAAAATTCAACTTTCTGACATTATTCAATGTCTCTATTATTTGCTTCTTTTCTTTTCTTTTTTTTTTTTTTTTTTTGAGACAGAGTCTCTCTCTGTTGCCCAGGCTGGAGTGCAGTGGCGCGATCTCGGCTCACTGCAAGTTCCGCCTCCCGGGTTCATGCCATTCTCCTGCCTCAGCCTCCCAAGTAGCTGGGACTACAGGCGCCTGCCACCACACCTGGCTAATTTTTAGTATTTTTAGTAGAGACGAGGTTTCACCATGTTAGCCAGGATGGTCTCGATCTCCCGACGTTGTGATCCACCCGCCTCGGCCTCCCAAATTGCTTGAGCAATTACAGGCTTGAGCCACCGAGCCCAGCCTCTATTATTTGTTTCTTATTTACTTCATTCCATTTCTTCTTATTATTATTATTAAAATTTCCTTTGGTTTTAAACTTTATCTGTTTAAATTTATTTTAAATTAATTTAGACATTTTATTGGCCCAAACCATGGTAAACCTTAATGAATGTTCCATAAGAGCATGCAAAGTATTTGTATTCTGCACATGATGATTGCAGTGTTACATAGAAATTAATTTATTCAAGTTGCTTGACAGCATTGCTTAACTATTTTGTTTTGAAAGAATTTTTGTCTTTTATCCATATATTTGTCTACTTGTTTGTATTTTATATTCTGATTTTTATTGTCTACTCATTCTGGCTCACTTACCAAGTATATTAGTTTTCCAAGGCTCTGTAAAAATTATCACAAATTTAATGTCTTAAAAGAACACTTTTTTTTTTTTGAGATGGAGTTTTGTTCTTGTTGCCCAGGCTGAAGTGCAATGGTGTGGTCTTGGCTCACTGCAACATCTGCCTCCTGGGTTCAAGTGATCCTCTGCCTCAGCCTCCCGAGTAGCTGAGATTACAGGCGCCTGCCACCACGCCTGGGTAATTTTTGTATTTTTAGTAGAGACGGGGTTTCACCGAGTTGGCCAGGCTAGTCTCGAACTCCTGACCTCAGGAGATCTGCCCGCCTCAGCCTCCCAAAGTGCTGGGATTACAGGTGTGAGCCACTGTGCCTGGCTAAAACAGCACACATGTATTATGTCATAGTGTCTGTGGGTCAGGAGTCCAAGTATGGTTTACTTGGGTCCTATGTTTAGAGTCTCACTAGGCTCAAATTCAGGTGTTGGCTGGCCTGCAATCTCATCTGACATTTGAGGTCCTCTTCCAATATCACTGCAGTTTTTGGCAGCATTTATTTCCTTGGGCTTGTAGGATCAATGTTCTTACTGAATATTGATTGGGATCTATGCTCGGCAACTGAAGCTGCCATCAAATTCTAGCCATATGGCAACTTCCTTCTCAAAACCAGCAGGAGGTTCTCTCATTAGTCTCCTATGACAGAATATTACATAACATAGTTTAGTCATAAGAGTGATCATCACATCAACTTCGTCATATGGTGAAACCAGATTGAGGGAATGACTGTCTCACGGTGCTCACAGCTTCCACCTACACCCAAAGGGAGGAAATCATACAGAGCATGCATACATAGTCGTGGAAATCTTGGGAGCCTTGTTACATTTTTCCCACCACAATGAAGAAATCAACCTGAGTCAATAGACTTGCTCTGTTATATATAAAAAATTTCCAAGTGTATGAGACTGCGGTCGTAAATTTATAATTAACTGGTGGTTCCTTGCAGTGATGGGTTTGGGCATGGGACCATGGCAGTGGGATCTGGGCCATGTTTAAGCAGCTATGCTTTATAATGAGGAGAGGGATTTTAATTGCCTGAGGAATATCTCAGAATGGAAGCTTGTATAAGAGTAACCAGGCACTGCCTTGTGGGAAAGGGATTTTAAAAAGGAATTATCTGCCAAAAGCATGAAACAAAGAAACTTGGGAGAGGAGAAGAGGTTGAATGGCATTTTTCAAATGAAATAAACTGCAATATAAGGGGAGAACAAAGTAATCCTGGCATCTTAGGAAAGGCCATAACATTTACAAAAATAAATTTTTATGTTTCCGTATTCTATATTTATTATGGAAACTGTGAAGAGGATGGATTTCTTGCCTGGGTTGAAATAAGGGCAAACCACAATTAATATGGCAAATGAGAAGAAGGCTGTTATCTCTGCGGCTCTGGAAATTGCTCTTTAATCAACATACAACTTCTCCATCAATTTTGTGACAAAAAAGTTCAGTGAACAGCATATGTTTTCACTTTTTCAGCTCTTCTTTTTCCTAACCCCTTTTCTAGCTGTAAATAGAGGTTAACATAATGATTCTCACACTACAGTTTTGGAACTATTTGGCTGTTTCTTGAACTTCTAAAAAGCTTAATTGTAGGAACAATTTGCTGCTGAAAGCAGCGTTTCAAAAATGTTAATTTTAATTTATTTAAAAAACTGCTTTTGAATATTTATAAAATTCAGAAAAGTATATATAAGAAAATAACAATTACCCATATTTTCCCTCTCTCAAAATGAACTGCTATGGAAATCTTGGTCCATTTGCTTTCTTTATCTCTTTTATTCTTCCTTCCTCCTCCTCCTCCTCTTTTTTTTTTTGAGAGGAAGTCTTGCTCTGTTGTCCAGGCTGGAGTGCAATGGTACGATCTCGGCTCACTGCAACCTCTGCCTCCCCGGTTTCAGCGATTATCTTGCCTCAGCCTCTGGGGTAGCTGGGACTACAGGTGTGAGCCACCTTGCCTGGCTAAGTTTTGTATTTTTAGCAGAGACGGGGTTTCACCATGTTGGCCAGGCTGGTCTCGAACTCCTGACCTCAGGTGGTCCACCTGCCTCCGCCTCTCAAAGTGCTGGGATTACAGGCGTGAGCCACTGAGCCCAGCCTCCTCCTCTTACTACTTCTTCCTCATTCTTTCTTCTTTATTCCTCCTCCTCTTCTCCCTTCTCCCCTTCTTCCTTCCTCTTTCCTATTTTTTCTTTCCTTCCTCCTCCCCTTCTCCTCTCCTCTTTCTCTTCCTCCTCCTCCTTTCTCTATATCATCATTACTTGATTTATTTTGTTAAAATTATGTTTACAAGCATAAAGAATAACATGAAACAAAAATTAAAGTACTTACAAAGTCAAATGAAAAACAGAGACAATGAAATACGTTGTAAAACCGTATCCACCACTACGAACATTAGGTAACTACCATTTCAGGTTTTACATCTAGAAGAAGGCTAAACACAGAGAATGATAGATAAGTAGATACAGAAAAAGAGATGTAATGACTGCTATTATAATTTAGAAATATTAAATTTGATTTTAAAATTTTATCGAAAACAATTTAAAATTGAGTAAACTTAATGAGCATCAAATAAATATTTCTTTATTACAAGAGACATTTCATAAAAGATTCCTTTAGGTTTACAAAAGAGATCATGAAATGTATTAGGTAGTCAGATTCCTATTTTTTGCCTGTGTTTGCCTACCATGTATAATTAGGACATAGGTATTTTCACAGATCTCCTCTTGTTTGCAAATGTGTTGTTTTTATTTTAAATACCTGAAAGATGTTTTCACTGGGTTCAATATTCTTGGCTTATGTTTGTTTCTCTGGAACCTGTGTGGATGTTGCTCTGTTGTCTTCTGGTGTTGAATCTAACCACAAATGTGTTAATAGTCATCCTGCCTAAGATTTCTCCCTAATATGTTATTTGTTTGTTTCCCTTGCTGAATGCCTAAAGGATTATTTCTTCATCTGTGAGGGACTAACCAGTCTAGTTTTTGATGTGGAAGGTCTGTGTCAACTTTCATCATTTTCATCTCATACTATTGTTTTATTTTACTGTTGTTATGATGTGATTCTACAGAATTCATGTTTTTGTTAATTTGTCCTCTGTTGTGAACAATTATGAGTAATTTTTTGGTTAAGATTTTAATTTTTTTCTGAATTGGATTCATGTTTTTTATGTTCTGTTTCCTCTCCTTCTTTATTATTTTTTCTTTCCTCCCATTCCTTCGTTCCCTCTGATATATATTTGTGTTATCGCCAAGCTATTTCTTTTTATCTGGCTTATGCTTGGTGTATTAGTCTATTCTTGCATTCCTATACAGAAATACCTGAAACTAGTTAATTCATAAAGAAAAGAGGTTTAATTGGCTCATGGTTCTGGAGGCTGTGCAGTGAGCATAGCAGCTTCTGCTTTTGGGGAGGCCTCACGGAGCTTTCAATCATGGTGGAAGGCAAAGGGGGTGAGCCATCTTACATGGCAGGAGCAAGGGAGTGAGGCATCTCACATGGCAGGAGCAAGAGCGGGAGACAGAAGGTGCAACACACTTTTAAACAACCAGATCTCATGAGAACTCACTCACCATCATGAGAACAGCACCAAGAGGATAGTGCTAAGCCATTCATGAGAAATTGCCCCCATGATCCAATCACTTCCCACTAAGCCTCACTGCCAACACTGGGGATTACAATTCAACATGAGATTTGGGCAGGGACACAGATCCAAACCATATCACTTAGGTATTCTGTCCATGATTCATTTGCTCTTAAATAGAGTGAATGAAACCTGACTCTCCTAATATCTGACACTAATTTTTCTCTCCAAGCTAGAAGTGGGGTTGGGGATTGTGTATCTTAAGCACATTTCTGCAGATGTAGATGGGATTGTATGAGGGATGTGAGGTGAGAGTGAATAAGGAAAACCCAGTTAAGGCTGTATGTTCCACTTTTGAGATTTTTCTAAAAGTCTTCAACCAAATTTTGTTCTGCCTGTATGCAAGACAGATATTTCTTTCATGGTGGGACTACCTTTGGCTTTGAAACTTTCTCCAAGCTACTATGCAACCCTGGGCCCTTTAGTTGATTGAGTCATTTTTTTTTGTTATCTTCCTTGGGTTTATTTTCCGATTTCATTACTTTTCAATACAAAAAGGAAAAAGAAAATGGATGCCCACTCAGTTTACTTCATTCCAGATTTTGGGAAGCATTGATAGTCAGTGGTCAAGGGATTTTGTTGACTCATTTTTTGTATGGAGCTCCCGGACAACGGGATCAGTGTTAGAAAGCAAGTGCTTTATCTCCTGTTGCCACTACTATCTGATTTGTTTTTTTTTTTTTCTCTTTTTTGAGATGGAGTCTCGCTCTGTCGCCCGGGCTGGAGTGCAGTGGCGCAATCTCTGCTCACTGCAAGCTCTGCCTCCCGGGTTCACATCGTTCTCCTGCCTCAGCCTCCTGAGTAGCTGGGACTACAGGTGCCCACCACCACGCCCGGCTAATTTTTTGTATTTTTAGTAGAGATGGGGTTTCACCATGTTAGCCAGGATGGTCTCGATCTCCTGACCTCATGATTCGCCCACCTCGGCCTCCCAAAGTGCTGGGATTACAGGTGTGACCCACCGTGCCCGGCCTTCTGATTTGTTTTTTATTTTATTTTCCTTTTCACAAGTTTTTCAAGCTTATTCTATTAAGTTATTCCATTTTCCTTATTGTTAATATATTATTTTTCTCAAAGTGTAGTAGCTCATTTTTTGTGCATTGAGAATGACAATTTTGTGTTACACTTGCAGTCCCCAACCTTAATCTCAGGAACTAGAACTCCTTTATAAGGTTTTAAAAATATGTTTCTTTATTTCAGTCTTAAAAAGTAGTACAGCTTTATTTATATTTTCTGATTTCTGATAATCATTTTCAGAAAAATGATTAAAACTTCACCATTCAGGTAAAATCTGGAATGAAATGAAAATATTAAAAATGATTATTTCAACATGCAAATATGTTGCTTCATTCTCACTTGCTAGGCCATGGTAATTTTATTTATAGTTTTAATATATGAAGCGATTAAAGTTGTTCTCTTTGTTAGAGGTTGTCTTAATTTGGGTTGTCCCAGATGCAGAACGTGAGACAAGGATTTGTGTCTGGTAGTATATTTGGAAGGTAACCCCAGGTAAGGAAGAGGGCAAGTGGGCAGAGAAGAAAAGCATTAACAGTGCTTCATTTTCAAGCCAGATACATACATAAGAGCTAGAGAAGCTTTGGAAGCCACTCCTCACAGTTATTCCACCTGAGGAAGGAGGGAGCTGGGTTACTAATACTCTAAACATCTGCTAGTCATTGGTTGAGGGCTGTCTTGAGGTTGTTAATCCTGACATTTTTAGCCTGTTGTAGGGTCAGCAAAGCAGCCTTCATCTTGCCAGAGAAAAATCTCAGGCAAAGCAACATAGGTGCTGAAAGTTGGAAGATGAGCCAGTGAGCCCTGAATTAGTAATGGGAAGTTACCATGGGCCCGACGGCATCTGCTCCAGATAGATTGGTTTTCTGCCAGTTTGCTATCATGTGCTGTGGTGATATGGTAGCCAAATGAATACAAATTGTTTTTAAATTATATGTTAAAACCTGACAGGATACAATTGCTCAGGAAAGAATAAAATTCTTTTTTAATGCTCATAGAAATTCATGGTAGACCCAAGTACCTTGTAAGAAACTAGTAATTTATAAATAACAAGGTTTTACCTATTTTACTCAAGTATTTGGCTTAATGCATGCTTTGATTTCTCTCAAGTGACACTTGAAAACACAAAGGTTCGTAACAAACTACTCAAGAATAGTATGTAACAACATTATAAGGCACATTCTAGGAAACCACTATAGATGAATCAAAAGAACGAAATTCGACTACAACATTACAAAAAGGAAGAAAATTCACTAAACAATATTAACTTAAAGAAGTTTAGCTTCTATTTCAACACTGGTTAGAACATTTTAGCCTCTCTTTCCTCTGAAGCCCCATTATGATCATAGCATTGAAGTGCAAATAATAATAAACCCAAAATGATATAGAGAATTAACACAAGTAAGAGCTCATCAAATTTCTAGAAGCTAGAAAGTTTGAGCAATCACTGTATTTCAGTCTATGACGCTGTTGACCAGAATATGGCCCTAGAAGACTCTAGCGGAGTGAGATTCAGCCTGCAAACCAAAACTTCAGAAAGGCACTGCAACAGAAGTTGGAGGAAAGGAAAGAGAAAAATGATAAGAACGGAGGTGGAAATTGAAGGATTAATTTAAGGTCTGTAACAAAACAGCTGTGCTGAGCTTGGCTTAACCAGGAATTAAGCAGCCTACTATAAATAGCTACTACCAAGCCAGAAGGGTCTTCTATAAAGTTATTGGATGCAGCTTCTTGGGAGAACTAAGGCATTTGGTACAGGTGATGGTGCCCTGGAATAAAACCAGGACTTTTAAATTCTGTTATTTAATAGAACCGTGTATAACCCAACAGTTTTTCCTAGCCTGATCACCCTAAATTGAAACCATATAGTTGATAGCACAGACCTCCTGGTCTGGCTTGCCACTCTGAGAAAGAATCTACTAGAAAAAAAAGCAAATTTATTCAAAGGTAAAAGAAATGCATACCAGCTACCTAAGTATTCATCCCTGTTCTTCATTCTTAAATAAGAAATAATAGTTAAATATGACCACGTTTATGGAAGAAAAATAGCAATATAAAAAAGACAGCTCTAGATTGAAGAAAAGCTGAAACATGAGGATAGAGATAATTCTTAAAAATGATCACTTTAAAAACAGAGATATCTTCAAAACAGAACAACAACAACAAAAAACCCTAAAACTAATATTAATCTTTCAAAGTAATTAGGAAACTATTGCATTCATAAAATGTGAAAAATAGCTATGAAATATGAAAAATTACAGATCATGAAAATAACTCATAAATTAAAAATTTGATTTTAAAAACAATCAATTGAAGAATGATAAATTAATAAAATATTAAATTGAAAAATTAAGATAAAGAATTATAGAAAATATTTTATAAAACTTGAGAAATGTTGGGAGGCCAAGGAGGGTGGATCACCTGAGGTCAGGAGTTTGAGACCAGCCTGGCCAACATAGTAAAACCCCATCTCTACTAAAAGTACAAAAATTAGCCAGGCATGGTGGTGCACACTTGTAGTCTCACCTACTCGGGAGGCTGAGGCAGGAGAATTGCTTGAACCCAGGAGGCAGAGGTTGCAGTGAGCTGAGATCATGCCATTGCACTCCAGCCTGGGTGACAGAGTGAGACCCCATCTCAAACAAAAACAAAAACAAAACAAAATAAAACAAACAAACAAAAAACTTGAGAAATGGAGAGTTACTACAGAACATTCAACATCCGGCTTATAGCAGCCCTAGAAGGAGGGTTAGAAAAAGTAGGAAAGAGGAAGTAATTGAAAAATTACACAGTAAAATCTAAAGTGGAAGGGAACTCTGAGTCTTTAAAATGAAAGAGTTTATTGGTGAATGTGAAAAGAACTACACCCATTAACACGTGTGTGATATCATGAATAATGAGACTATCCCAAACTATCAATCAGTTGAGAACATTTGAAATAGTCAAGATTTTGGACACTTACCATTTTGTTACAGGATCCTTGGGGTGTTGCTTTTCTCCCTGGGAAACTCTGCGGCTGCTGGTGCCTTTTTGGCTGAGTTTTGCTAGGGCCCACTGGGCTCATTCTGCCCACTTGGCCTGGCAGGCTGCACTCTGCTCACACTATCAGCCTGGATCCCATGCCTGCCGAGGGCGAGCCAGGTGTGGAGCAGTGAGGGGTATATGAATGAGTAGGCATGGGGTCCAGCCACTGTGCACAGTCAGGCATGCCAGCTGCTGCAGCAGGGCGGCTGCTCCAGATGTAGGAACAGGTCCCAGTCCTCTGAAGTTTGCAGCTGGACCAGGTCCACCACAAGCAGCTTACATGGCTGCCACCAGGGAACACAGTGGTGCCCAGAAGCTTGGAAACTCCTGGAACCACAGGGCTCCAAAGAGGGAGTCACAGCCTTGGCTTGGGGAGCTCCCAGGCCTGGGGTCCCCAAAGGGCCACAGCTCTTCTCTCATTTTCTTCACCTGCAACGTGGCAAGCAAGGGGTGTGTTTTAGCCCTGATAGTGTTATAGTTCTTTCAGCCCTGTTATTTGGCAGGTCCCAAGTTCTTGTCCTGTGTCCATGAGGAATGCAGCTCACTGACAAGTGGAGGGTGAACAAGTTGAAGAGGAGCTTTATTGATTGACAGAATAGCTCAGAGTAGGCCCTGGAAGGGGTAGCTCCTCTCTGGAGCCAGTCATTCTGATGTCTGCTGCTCTCAGCGGAGAGCAGGCCTGGAGTGGGTAGCTCCTCTCTACGGCTGGTTGTCCTGACGTCTGCTCAGCTTTGGCTGAGCCCAAGGCTTTATGGGCCTCAGAGGGGAGGAAGTGTGCACCAGTTGGTCTGCGGGTGGCCATGGGCACATCCAGAAAAGGCACCACGAGTTCCCACTTCCATTGTGGGGGTAGCAGCCTGGTCCCCAGTCTTCAGGCCCTCTCTGACCTGAAGGTAGGACATCTCCAGGGACGCCCCTCCTTTTACCTGGGAGCCTGTCTGCCTCCCACTGCCATTCGTGGCGCCCTGGCTGTAGGTACCAAGGGATACCTGCAGGCCAGTGCCAAGCTTCCCTCAGCCCGACACCAACTTGCTTCCTATGTTCATTGGTGCCCAAAGTCCCGAGGGGACTGAGATGGCAGGAGGCTGTCATATCAGCACTGCCCTGAGCATGTACACACCTGGCCAGGCTGTGACAGAGCCCCAGCTCAGCCTTGACTTTGCTCTGAGATTGAAGTGGGCACAAACAACAGGAAGAGCCGGGCAGTGGGAGCAGGTATTTCCAAGCCTGCAAGGGCAGGGGGGATTTCCTAGGTCCCCAAGAGTGCAGGTATGTGTGGGTCTGCAGCCACAACTTGGGCACCTGCAGCTGCACAGGGGCCCAGGTCTGCAGCCGTGGTTTGGGTGGCTGCAGCTGCACCCAGCAGGGCAGGGCTCCTGCCTGCTCCGTGGATCCAGGGGCCATGATCCACTGCCACAACTTGGGTGGCTGCAGCTGCACCCAGGAAGCTCCCAACCCACTAATTTGGAAGGGGTGGGGATCCCACTTGCCCTCACTCCCCGCCGACTCCACAGAATGTGTAGCCTGGGCTGCACCTCCCTGCTGCAGCTGGTGTGATGGCAGCAGCCACTCCAGACAGGCCGCCGCTGCCATCAATCTCTGTTATCTTTTCATAGCACTTTCCCTAATATACTGTAGCAATATGAAGAAAACAAGAGTAGATGTTATGAGATAAACAAAGAAAACCTAGTTCATGTGATCCAGACAAGCGTGGATATTACCTATGAAAGCAGAGATACTGCAGGGGAAGAGTTTTTGACCAGGTGCTTCTAATCGCAGATTGAAGCAGATATACAGCACTTTAGGAATTATATATTTTAGGGAAAAGACCTTATGTAATATAGAATTTGTGTGTGTGTGTGTGTGTGTGTGGTGTGTGTGTATGTGCGTGTGTGTATGTCTTTACATATACATAAAATGAATTGAAACTATGGTGAAGATTTTTGTTGTTTTGGTTTCATTGGCCAGGTAGGAAAAGGAAAGGCAATTGGAGTCCAGGAAAAGCCAAATTACATATAAGAAAATCTTGATCCAAGTATGAATCAAATCAAGACCTGGAATAATTTGAAGCAAAGGAGTGTAAGAAAGTCAATATCTTTATCTTACCTTGATAAAAATGTCTATGTTAACTGAGGTTGAGGGAACAAAAATACAGCTGTAAGAATATTATTCAAAGTTATATTTAAAAAATGATAATAATACACATATTGAACTTGGGAGGATGATTATTATGCATTTATACATCCTTTAATTTTAATTATATGTCTATATTACTATAATAAATATATTAATTTATGCACAGTATAGAAAACCAATTGTTTGCTTTTTATGTTGCTTTATCCCTTATATGACACTTTATTTAAAAGCAATATTTTTCTATTATTAATGTTTTTGTGATGGAGGATGGTTCCATTTACAATTGCTAAGAATTTTTCATTCATTTCATTATCAAAAGAAGAAAATAAATAAAAGATGACAGTTAAAAATCAAGGCAGATTCAAACCCTAAAATTAATTCTTAAAAAGACTTAAGAGCAAGGGAAAATGAGCAAGAAATAATTTGCAACACATATGAATTCCCAAGCAGTCAATAAATCTGTTATACTAGGCAATTCATTGTGAAATGTTTAACTTATTTCAAGGAAAAGGAAACTTCAACAATTATTCTAATAGCAGATGACTTTCATTATCTAATTACAAATGCTCTTTGTTGCTGTCTTTAATCTATTTTCAAAAGTAATGTTTAGACTATTTCCTATTAAAAATGGATTGTTTGAAAAATCTACACTGTACAATATATTTGCGTTTGCACAGTCAATTGTAGTTTTATGATGACAGCTTTTTATGTATCTGTAGTAAAATTTACAGTTTTATTTGAATGGCTGCATGATACACATTTGTAATATTAAGGAACACATATGTTAGCAATATAATGTGAAAAACTCTACAGAAATCTAACCTGTGCTTCATTACAGTATGCTGTCATTTAGGTTCTCTGTGACATGCTTTGAGCTCTACAGCTTAACAGAGGTGTGGGAAACCTGGAGGGTCAAGGAAAAGGATTAAAAGATTGACAAGATAATGATTGGAAAGAGAAATTGGAATTTAGTTGGCAAAAAAAAATTGAGAATAACTAGTCACTTCTGCTATTTTAACTGGGTGACCTTGTATAAATCACAATGGGGGCTTAGTTTCTCCATCCTTAAAATTAATGGACTATTTTAGAATATCTTTAAGATCACTTCCACATCTAAATTGTAAATTGTATAATTCTCAGGAAGACTAGCACAGAAAAGGTATTCTCTTAAAATAGCTTAAATTGAAGCAAGAGAAATTTAAACTAGATATCGTAAAGGAAAAAAAGTTAACTCAAGTTATATTCTTCTGAAAGAATATTCTTTTCTATAGATTTAAAAAATAGGAAGCTAATTTGTGTGGAAAAAATATTTCTGTATTTGTATATTGGGAGAGAAAGGAAATAAATCTGTTTTAAAAAATTAACAATCTTAAAAATCTAAGTTTTGAAAAACAAAAGTCAGCCGTACCTTTAGTCATGCTACCACTTGCTCTAACCACTCCTGACTCAACAACTTTTTCATCATCCTAAATATTATTTGTAGGCACCAACCCCTTCACAGGGCCTTTGCACATGCTGTTCCTTTGGGTTGGAATACTTTTCCATCCCCCTTTAAGTGTAATCATCATAAAGATATCAGTTTAAACATCTTTCCCCCAAGGGCATTCCTTAAGTTTCCTCATCATGTCAAATGCCCTGTTAAGAACTCTTTTAGCACCAAAATATCTCCCTTACATAGGACATGTCAGAGATGAAATTTTCATTTTATTTGTCTATTTATTTGAATGTGGTCTGTTTCCTCCATCTCCTCTGTATAACTCCATGAGGGCAGGGACCAAGGAGGGTTTCATCGAGGATACAGTCCCAGTGTTCTGACACAGGTCTGGCACGTAGAAAGCATAAAATACACTTACGTTGAATGAAGGAATTAATATTCTTAAACCCTTGTCCACATTCTAGCAAGTCCTGGACCTCTCTTCAATATCATTATTTCCTAGATTTAGAATTTTGAGGATCAACAAAGTTCTTTATACACTCATGATTTCTTCCTTCACTTTTACTCTCACATTATGGGTAATCCTTATCAATTCAAGAATGCTAATTCAAGAAATAGATTGTTAGGATAATGAGATAATTGAAGAACAATGTCATGCACTATAAAAACAACCACACCATATTAACAAGGCATGGGCTCTAGGCTAAAATTTGACTTATTTGCTCTATCCCTTGTTCCTTGTTCTTGCTTGTGTATAAAATAGGATTAAAAATGCAGTATTTGCTTTGTACATCATGCTGGATGATTTTATGTATAAAAATAAGATAATTCCCAATTTTGTTGTCACTCTGCTATCTATTAAACTGTGTATATTTATCAAAATATAGCCAGGAAAAGAAGCAACAAAGTATGAATAGTTATTGTTATTGTATGATTAGAGCTCTTTCTGTAATACAAGCAAAATCCAAGTAGGCTTAAGGAAAAAGAAACTGTTAGCTCATACAAACTGAAAATTTCAAAAGCAGTTCAGGCACAACTGGATTAAAAGGCTTAAGTGTTGTCCTGAGCCCTTTGGCTTTACCTTTACTCTGCTTTCATTTTTGTTAGCTTTAGTCTCAGGTGGGATCACATGTGGTAGTCAAGATGGCTATACATGGCTATACATTTTTCTCAGTTTCTGCCTCGAATGTCCCAGTATCCATTGGTCTGTCCTCTCTCATATATTATTCCCTGAGCCAATCATTTTGACATTTGATTAGTTATGCCTGAGACAAAATCCCCCTTTTTTGACTAAATAGTAGGGTTAATCATATTCACATATGGACTGAATTGGGGGTACAGAAGGAAGGAAGTTAGAGGTTTTATTGGAAAAGAATGCACTCTTTGGGAGAAAGGGATACTAGAAAGGCAAAATAAAATATGTCTACCGCAATATTTATCTTGGTACTGGGTTTACCTGTAATCTGTTATGCACTTCTTGCTTCTCTGTATTTTTCAATAATTCTACAATAGCCATGTATTGCATGAATAATAACAAAAATACAAATGAGATACTGTACACAATAGTGTACTCTAAACTCTAGGGATCTATATAATGCAAGAGATTATTATGATTGACTGAATTTTTTTCAAATAGTAGAAATAGGATAAGAAAAAGCATCAACCCAAACATCTTTAATCCCCAGCATTTTAGAATGATTGAGAATGTTCATGTAATTTTTAAAAAATGTGCCTGATCTAAGGAAATAGTTTGAAATATTTTTCTAGCATAAATCAGTTGTTGCTTCTAAAGGAAGATTTTGTCTATTTACTTTGAACGCCAGTCAATAACTGTGGCTCCTTATGAAAACTCAGCATCTATGTCTCTATGTACTTTATGGCTTACGAGAGTATTTTCTCATTTTTCCATTTTTGAATCATGTTCCATTATTTTATCTCTATCACTTCAGACCGTCAGTAAATTGGACCCATACATGGATCTTAGAGTTGATGGAGTCTCTTGCTAAAAAGTGGCTCACAGTGGTATCATTTGACTTTCAACAGGGTTCCACAAGTGTGTTCTATTGAGCCAATCATACTGAGAGAAACAATCTAAATAATTGTCTTCAACTGAAACTTACCATGATGTTTGTTTTTTTTTCCTCGCCCCCTCATCTTTCACAGTTCTTCAAGTGAGTCAGCTATAGAAGGGTTCTGTGTATGATCAATTCTCTTAGGTCAGGTTACCCAGGAAACAGAGTCTGAGGCAGAGATTTGCAGGCAGGAGGAGGTGTGCTGGGGAGTGCCCCTGAAACACCACCTACAAGGGAGTAATGAAGTAAGATTCCACAGAGGGAAAAATTACATTGTGATGTGGTTGGAACAAAGGCCATCAGCTGACCCTATAGGGAGCTATGGAGCTGCAATGACCCTTCAGAATTGTCCCAGATGGAGGCAATGCAGCTGCGCTTTTGTACTCCAACAGAAACCAGCATGGGCTGCCTCTGGGAAAGATGCCTAATGTGGGTGAGGCAGCTCCCTTTGAACCAGTGCCATTCTTTGTTGTTTTATTCTTTTTCCATTTTTCCTCAATCCAATTTCATGACCTCATTTTTTAAATTAATGTTTAATTTTTGTGAGTATGTAGTAGGTGTATGTATTTATGGGTACGTGAGATATTTTGATACAGGAATACAAGGCATAATAATCACATGAGGGTAAAGGGAGTATCTGTCCCCTCAAGCATTTATTCTTTGTCTTAAAAACAATCTAATTATACTTTTTTAGTTATTTGTAAATGTACAATTAAACTATTATTGGCTATAGTCACCCTGTTGTGCTATCAAATATTAAACCTTATTCATTCTTTCTAACTATTTATTTTTGTAGCCATTAACCATCCCCACTTCCCTCCATCCCAGCCCACTACCCTTCCCAGCCTCTGGTAACCATCCTTCTACTTAATGAGTGCAATTTGTAAAGGGGACTCACCTGTAAGCCTTCAGCAGCCAACATTCCTGGTAAATGGAGAGATGAGTACTCTGTAAGCACAACACAGGTTTTGCTACATATATCTGTTGAATTTATAGTTCTATTTAGAAATTGAAATAAAAATAACATTTGAATAATCTGAATAATTAGGGCAAAAATCTAATTAAAGGCTTTGCCATTTATATATAGCTATTAAAATTAGTTTAATTTTTTAGGATGAATTTAGTTACATTTTTTCAATCTTTTAATTCATTCCTAAAGATTCCAATTTTTTTCCACTATTTTTTTTCTTCAGCCTGTGGAACTTCCTTAAATTCTTACAGTTTAGCTGATCTGGCAACTAATTGTCTTTGTTGTTCTTTGATTTGAAAATGCTTTTATTTCTCATCCATTCCCAAGGTATATTTTTGCTGAATATACAATCTGAGTTGAAAGGTTTATCTGTTTGTTTGTATGTTTTTCCTGTAAGTACTTTAAAGACTTTGTGACACTGACTATTGGTCTTGATGAATTTTGATGAGAAATTCACAGCTATTCAAATTGTTATTCCCCTCTGTGTAATATAGTAGTTTTGTTTGTAATGTCATTTTTTGTAGCTTATTATGTGTCTAACCATGGTTGTCTTAGAATTTATCCTATTTGGAATTTACTAAGCTTTGAGATTCTCTAAATTTTTGTATCTCACCAAATTTAGGATATTTTAAGTTATATTTCTTCAAATACATTTCTGGTTCTGTGAAGAATGATGGTGGTATTTTGATGGGAATTGCATTGAATTTGTAAATGGCTTTTGTCAGTATGGTCATTTTCACAATATTGATTCTACCCATCCATGAGCATGGGATATGTTTCCATTTATTTGTGTTTTCTGTGATTTATTTCAGTAGTGTTTTGTAGTTTTCCTTGTAGAGGTCTTTCATCTCCCTGGTTAAGTATATTCCTAAGTATTTCATTTTTTTTGCAGCTATGGTAAAAGGAGTTGAGATCTTGATTTGATTCTCAGCTTGGTCACCATTGGTGTATAGGATAACAATACTAAAATTCATATGAAATCAAAAAACACCCTACATAGCCAAAGCAAGACTAAGCAAAAAGAACAAATCTGGAAGCATCACATTACCTGATTTCAAACTATACCATGAGGCCATAGTCACCAGAACAGCATGGTACTGATATAAAAACAGGCAAAGAGACCAATGGAACAGAAAATAGAGAACCCAAAAATAAACCAAAATACTTGCAGCCAACTGATCTTTGACAAAGCAAACAAAAACATAAAGTGGGGAAAGGACACCCTATTCAACAAATGGTGCTGAGATAATTGGCAAGCCACATTTAGGAGAATGAAACTGGATCCTCATCTCTCACCTTATACAAAAATCAACTCAAGATGGATCAAGGACTTAAATCTAAGACCTGAAACTATAAGAATTCTAGAAGATAACATCAGAAAAACCCCTCTAGACGTTGGCCTAGGCAAAGTTTTCATGACCAAAAACCCAAAAGCAAATGCAGTAAAAACAAAGCTGAGTATCTGGGACTTAATTAAACTAAATGGCTTTTGCATGGCAACAGGAACAGTCAGCAGAGTAAACAGACAACCCACTGAATGGGAGAAAATCTTCACAATCTATACGTCTGACAAAGGCCTAATATCCAGAATCTACAACGAACTCAAACAAATTAGCAAGAAAGAGACAAACGATCCCATCAAAAAATGGGCCGAGGACGTGAATAGGCAATTCTCAAAAGATTACAAATGGCCAATAAACATATGAAAAAATGCTCAGCATCACTAATGATCAGAGAAATGCAAATGAAACCCACAACTCGATACCACCTTACTTCTGCAAGAATGGCCATAATCAAAAATCAAAAAATAATAGCTGTTGGGGTGGATATGATGAACATGGAACACTTTTACACTGCTGGTGGGGATGTAAACTAATGCAACCACTATGGAAACAGTGTGGAGATCCCTTAAAGAACTAAAAGTAGAGCTACCATTTGATCCAGCAATCCCACTACTGGGTATCTACCCAGAGGCAAAAAGTTATTATACTAAAACGATACTTGTACACTTAAGTTTATAGCAGCACAGTTCGCAAATGCAAAAATGTGGAGCTAACCCAAATGCCCATCAATCAACGAGTGGATAAATAAACTGTATATATGATGGAATACTGCTGAGCCATAAAAAGGAATGAATTAATAGCATTTGCAGCAACCTGGATGGGATTGGAGACTATTATTTTAAGTGAAGTAACTCAGGAATGGAAAACTAGACATCATATGTTCTCACTTATAAGTGGGAGCTAAACTATGAGGATGCAAAGGCATAAGAATGACACAATAGAATCTGGGGACTCGGGGAAAGGGTGGGAAGAAGGTGAGGGGTAAAAGACTACAAATCAGGTTCAATGTGATAGGTTCACCTAAATCTCACAAATCACCACTACAGAACTTACTCATGTAACCAAATATTACCTATTCTCCAAAAACCTATAGAAATAAAAAAATTTTAAAAAAGAAAGATAAAAAAATACAGTTCTGCCCTAATCACTTCATTCTCTCTTTTTGGGACTCCAATATCACTTACTTTAGACTTTTTACTATTGTTCCAAAGGTCCCTTAGTCTTGCTCAATTTTTTAATTAACTTTTTTTCTGTCCTTGAGCTGTGGAATTTCTATTGATCTATATTCAAGTTTACTGACATTTTTGTCTGTAACGTGTATACTGTTATTGAGCTTTCCCACTAAACTTTGTATTTAAGATATTGTACTTTTCATTTTTAACATTTTCATTTTTTTGTATTTTTATTTTTCTGCTGACATTTCCCATCTTTTTGTACATTTTAGATGTATTCATTATAAATGTTATAATAGATATTTATAATAGCTTCTTTAAAGTCCTTGTCTGGTAATCGCAAAATCTGGGCATTGTGGGATTCACAACTGTTGATTGTTTTTTCACTTAAAAATAGGTCACATTTTCCTAGGTTTTTCAGTGTCAATTAATTTGGGGTTGTATCCTTGTTATTGTTAATGTTGCATTGTATAGATTCTGATTTCTTTTATAATCCTCTTGGGAATGCGGATGTTTTTGTTTTAGGAGGCAATCAATCCGGTTACATTCTGACTGTAAGACCTGTCTTGTTTTGTAGGTGGTGGTTTAAATCTCAATTCAGTTCTTTAAGCCTTCGCTGTGCTAGTTTCACAGGCAAAGCTAAGCATCATTTAATCAGAGCATCTTGCTTTATTCTGTAAGTTAAACTCATGAATTTCATTTTTCCTTATCATCAAGCAATGTCAATAATTATTAATTAAAAATGGAAATATCCTAACTAAAAAACTGGGATATATCAATTAACTGAAAACCTGCCTGTTATAGATTTACAACAGAGGATATTTTGATGTATTTTTTGAAAGCAGATTTCTTGGATACAAATTTACTTTTTAAGATGATGTGTCCAGCTTCTTGATGATAAGAGAAATAATTTCTTTCAGGTGGAAGATGGTATAAAATAAAGCTTTGAATTATTGATATCAGTTTTATATTTGATGATATATAATGTTGGTAAACAATTTTTAAAAGGCACAAATAGTTAAGAATTCTGCAATAATAAAAGGAAAATCAGACAACTGAGATTAACCAAGAGGATAACTACACATTATAATTATAACCCATGATTTGAAAATAATTTTAATTAATGTATTCATAAGTTAAGTGACAAAATGGGAAATTTAACAGAGAACTGGAAAATTTTAAAATTCACAATTATTAAACATATGAGTGAAATAACAAATTAAGATCTCAGTGGTTGAGGTCTTCATAAACTGAATGATTGAGCTTCATCACCAGATAATACAAAATTAAAAAAAGTAAATAAATTGAAAGTAAGGTCAAATAAAATATACAAACAGAAGCAAGGAGCTTCCAAAGGATGGAAAATATGGAGAATAACATAATGGACACTAAGAATATAGCACAAATGTCAAGTAATATGTAATTGGACTCGTAAGTGAAGGAAAGAGTAAATTGGGTGGAAGGGAGAGTTGAAAAGAGTGTAACTGAAATGTTTGTTAACTATTTAAAAAATTCAAGGTAGAGATTTAAGGAGTCCCATAAAACCGAAGCAGATATAGATAGAAAGAAAAAATATGTTAAGGAATGCCATTATAAAATTGCTGAAAGCAAAAGATACATAATAAATCTTAAAAGCAGCCAGATATCTTACAGATTCAGCTAAATCTGTATCAAAATGCCTTCTCTTTTGAAGAAATGTATGATCTGATTCTAAAATTAAAAAAGAAATGCAAATAATCTACTATATATAATGATTTTTAAAAATGAACAAAGTTATAATACATATATTACCTACCTTTAAGAACTATTATAAAGCTACATTAGTCCATAGTACTGGTATAATAAATGACAAATAGATTGGTAGATCCAATTAGAAAGTCCAGATATATATGTACCTATATAAAGACAACTTATTTTAACCAAGATGCTAAACTAAATGCATAGGGAAAGGAAAGTCTTTTTAACAATGATGCTGGATCAATTCTATATAAATCACTCCATACACCAAAATTAAACTAATTCAGGATGATTCCAAGTCCTGAGTATAAGATCTACCACCATAAATCTTCTGGAATAAAATATAGGAAAATGTCTTTTTCATTTTGAGTAATGATTTATTAGACAAAATACAAAAAGCATTAACCATTATAAAAATCAGTAATATTGACTTTATCAATATTAAAAAAGAAAACTTCTGCTTATCAACAGAAACTATTAAGAAAAAGAATAGGCAAGCTGCAGACTGAAGTAAAATATTTGCAATACATAAATTGAACAAGATCTTTTATCTAGAATATATAAAGAGCTTCTACAAATCAATGTTATAAACATAAACAAGCAGTCTAGGCAACATAGTGAGACCTCATCTCTACAAAAAATAAAAAATTAGCCATACATGGTGGCATACATCTGTAGTTTCACTTACTCAAGAGGCTAAGGCAGGAGAATTGCTTGAGCCCAGGAGGTCAAGGCTGCAGTGAGCCATGATCGTGCCACTGTACTCCAGCCTGAGCAACAGAGCGAGTGTCTCAAAAAAACAGTAGAGTACAAATAACCACATAAAAAGGTCGAAACTTTTGAAAAAATGCTTGTCAAAAAAGATACAAGAGTGGCCAATAAACACAAGCATGTAAAAAATGTTCGACATCATTAATCATCAAAGAAATACAAATTAAAACCACAATAGTATACTACATTATAACCAATGAAATGAATATAATTAAGAGTGACAATGTTAAGTGTCGGCAAGGATATGGAGTGACTCTCGTGAATGTCAGTGGTCATATAAAATTGTACAAATACTTTGGCAGTTTCTAATAACTTTAAGTATACATCTATCTCAGAAATTCCATTCCTAGGTATTTACACAAGACAGAAAAAATAAAACATATGTCCACAGAAATGTTTATAAAACTATTTATCACATCCTCATTATAATAGTCCCAAATTTGAAACTCAAATGCTCATCAACAAGAGAATAGAAAAAACAATTTTTGGTATAGTAATACTCTGGTATACTGATTGACAATTAAAAGGAAATAAATAGTACCAATATATGCCACATTGTGAATAAATTTTATAAATAATATTGAGCAAAATAATCCAGACATAAAATACCCTATGCCGTAGGATTTCACTTATTTGAGGTCCAAGAACAGGACTACTGTAATAGAATTTTGGATAGTAATATGTTAAGTGGAAGTCTGGAATTGAATGGAAAAAGTAAAGATAGTGCTTTCTGGGGTGATGGATATGGTCTAAACTGTATTTTTCCTTGGATAGTAATTACATAAGTGAATAAAATTTCAAAATCCATCATGCTGAACACTTAAGATCTGTCCATTTTATTGCATATATGTTATAGCTCAATACAAAAGGAAACTGGTGAGATATTGCTACATATAAGAATGTCTACAATTAAAAACAAAACAAATCATGGTAATTGCAAGTATTGAGAGGGTTATGAACCCATGGAAACATCCAAACAGTCCAAGTACTAGGGCAAGTTAACACAACCAGTTTGGAAAACTAAAGATTAATATTTGCCAAGCTTTGGCTTAGCAAGTATACTCCTAGGTACAGTATATTCCCAAAAGAAATGTGTAGAAAAGGCTGGTCCAGATTGTTTATAACAGCATTATTTTAATAGCAAGATTTGTGGTATATTTATATATAGCAATGAAAACTATCACAAGTAACCATATGGGAAAAAAAATCATATGACTGTAATATTTTGTAAAAGAAACCCACAAAGAATAATTATATACCATGTAAGTTCACTTATATAAATTTAGAAAATAATTGTATTTATGTTGATTCCTTGTCTTTGCTATTGTGAATAGTGCTGCAATGAACATACGCATGCATGTATCTTTAGAACAGAATGATTTATATCCCTTTGCTATGTACTCAGTAATGGAATTGCTGGGTCAAATGGTATTTCTGTCACTATGTCTTTGAGGAATCGCCACACTGTCTTCCACAATGGTTGTACTATTTACACTCCCACCAACAGTGTAAAAGCATTCCATTCTCTCCACAACCTCACTAGCATCTATTGTTTTTTGACTTTTTAATAGCTAATGGATGCTGGGGTTAATATCTGGGTGATTGCATGATCTGTGCAGCAAACCACCATGGCACATGTTTACCCATGTAACAAACCTGCACATCCTGTACATGTACCCTGAGCTTAAAATAAAAGTGGGAAATTGAAAAACAAAATAAAAATTATGAATTTCTGTGCATTTTTGTTCCAATGTTTTATTTCAACTTCAGAAAGGGCATTATAAAAGAGACAAGAGTCTATGCTGTGGATCAGGTTAGGTAAAGAGGAAGAGGAGGCTTAGATAAGAAGCAAGTAATTTATATTTAGTTTCCATTTTTACGATCAGAAAAATAGCATCTCTCTTATACATTTGTTCAATTTTTTTCTTCATTGACTTTTACTATATTCTTACCGGAATAAAGTCACGAATCTTTAGCCTTTTGAAATATTTTGTTCTTACTTTTCATGTGCACTCTGCATGACACTTTTTACAGGTCAGTAATGTCATACTACCTTATTATCTTGCTGAATATTTTATGCATAGGCACTTCTTTCTATATTTGCTTTTACAACTTTGCTGGTCTTCCGTTGACTCCCAAATACTAGCTTTCTGGTGATGCTAATACCTTTTGCAAGTCTGTTATACCTGTTTCAGTTTTTATAAAAGTACACCGAAATTTCTGATGCACTTTTAAATAGTGTAATTAACATACAAAATTTTGAAATTAGGAAATCATGAATATAATTATAAAAATTATGATTTAAGTATATTATTGCCCTCTTATTTAATGTATACATAGTATTTACTAATAAAAACTACTATAGCCTCAGATTATTTCTCAAATCCAATTATATGTCTTACTCTGCCATCCAGTCACTTCAGAGTGAATAATTGCTTTGTAATAAATAAATTACCTTATTAGGAAGATGGATTAAGTAGATATCTGCATGATTCCAAGTATTTTCCTTATGAAGTGCCAGTTTTTAAACAACAACAACATAGGATTCTGAAAAGTCAAGGCTTTTCCATCCATAGATTCTCTCATGCATTTATTTTGGCTGGGAAAAAAATTGTTTGTCTTAAATATGTGCATTTTACACAAATGCAAAAATAGTCGGCAAACAAATGTAAAATGTGTTTATAGAAAATGTACGAGTTATTGTTTAAATAGTGCCTACTGTATTATGATACCACATATACAATTTTCATATTTTATATTGATTGTAATTTTCATTATGATTATAGTAGATAAGACTAATCCACTTTGCAGACGAGAAAAAAAGTTTTAAGGAGGTGAAACAACTAACAAAACACACACATGTGTGGTGATTCCTACTGGTGCTGTTGACAGCTGTCCATGATTGACAATGACTTGCTAAGGGATTTGGTTACTCCTGGCTCTTCCAGAGAGAGTAAGACAATCAGTAGCTCAGCAAAGTGATTGGGAAGCTCTGATTGGAAGAATGGTAGAGGTATTTGGTAATGAGGCCAAAAGTGTGAAATAAATGGCTCATGACTCTGGCCCAAATCAGTGGAGAAATAGTTTTGCTGGAGTATTTTAGCATTAACCCTACATAAAACTTTAGATCTCACATTTTGTTAAATCATTCCTAACCACTAACATCGTCGTCAAGTATATGAAAGTATGTGTTTGTTCAGCCTCTACTTGCTTCCCTTTTATCATGCCCCCCCATCATCAGCACACCACACTCTTTTTTGGGGTGCCTGGCTATTTTGTATTTCATTCGGAGCTTATGGACTCTGCTTACCCTTCTAGATTCTTATTCCCCCCATCACATATCAAAATATTCCTGTCAAGTATCACATATCTTCAAAATGTTGGTGTCTGGTAAACGTATCACGATAGGGTTTATTATGTTTTGAATCCTTTTAAGAACGTTAATCTTCTGTGGCAAGTAAGAATAGGTGGCTTAAGCAAAAAGCAAATTTGTTCACTCAACTAACTGAAAATTATAGTGGTTCTACCATTAAGTAGTACTATACTCTTGGACTCAGATAATACCATTAGGGAATTGTCTTTCTGAGTCTCCTAACTCTGCTATCTGTGCTGACTCCATTCTCAGGCAGGCTCTCCCTTGCCAGGGTACCTGTAGCTCCAGACTTATGTATTAATAGCTCAGTATCTTCAGTGGAAAGAGAATGCATAGTTTGTAATAATGGTAGAGAAAGACCTGGGGTTTGTGAATCCAATTGGTTTGTTGATATTATGCTGGCTGCTAGAACAGATCACCGCCTCATGATGATGTGGTCTTCTCCTTGGATAGATGCTAGGTAGGGAAAAAACAACAACAACAACAACAACATATTGAACACACAGTGTATTTTCAAACAAGCTTTAAGGTGGTCATATCAAGATGTATGTAACTGAAAGAGTAGTGAAAGCAATTCTATTTGAGTTTTTGCAGTTTCAATATCAGAATTGACGTTCCACGAGTGGAATTTACATATGAGGGCTGATGCGAATATTTTTTGAAGTAGGTGGGCTTTAGAAAGAGGAACCAACTTCTGCTATACGTGCAGTGGCAGGCAGCAATGAATGAATTGTTCTTAATAAGAGTTTATCTTGGAGTTATGATTTTCTCATCATACATCACAGTTCTGTTCTCCTTGTCATCAGCTTTCTTGTTTTCTGACTTCAAAATGTTCTAAGGATTGTTGTTTTTCTCTTTCTGCTAGATATATAGTCCCCTTACAACCAAAAATGGGAAGGGGGACATATTTGTTTTGGTTTTGGGTAAATACTTCTTGTACATTTTCAAATTCATGTCTTTACTCTTGCATTTCTTGAAAATATAAAAATTCTAAAGTTTGTGGGGCCAACAGTGAAAAATTATGGTGCATAATGAAACATGACTAGTTTATTTAAACAGCACAAGTGAAATGTCTCCAGCAACTTGCAAGCCATTAGATGTACTTCTCAGAGGTATATCCTAATGGCTAATAAGTCAGCATGTAACTGCTGGAAATTTAATCACGGGTTGCCTGTGCAGTTTAGAGTTGAGGATAAAGGATCAGGATTGAATTTTGTATCCAAAATATCCCTCTCTCCATCCAATCACACAAGGTTTGAGTAATCTGTTTGTGTGTAAAATACAGGAGCATCATCCCTAGAGTTTAATTCAGAGTCAGGGAAATACAAAATATGCTCTACTGTTAAGCACATACCTTCTTTATTGAGAATGGGTCACCCAGAGACCAAGGTGTTTAAGGAAACAGACAGAATACAATAATTCCAAGTATAGACCAATAAAGGCCAAGTTAATCTTTCAAAAGACAAGTGGGTAAGCAAAGTCCCTCAGTAGCCACTGTTCTGTGAATGCTTGTTAAGAGTTGAACATATCTAGTTTATATATGATTGCAGGTTCAACATGATTTAGTGGAAAGGAAACAAGATATGATTTGTAGAAACCAGTGAAAGAGAAACCATTAAGGAAGGTTTTAAGGTTTAAAATGTTTTCAGGAACATTTGAAAGAAAAAAAGTTTAGGTCATAGTTCCCAATTGGCAGTTACCCCAAAGAGTGTGAATGAAAATATTCCAGCTCATTAACTCCTTTCTTAGAAGACCTAAACAGAAACAGAAAATAAAGAAGTAAAAGACCCTAAATCAGGAAAGGGCAGTCCTGGTGTCTGGGTGAACTCTCGCTTGTTTGGGAGCAGCTGGCCTGGTGGACACTCCATTACTGCTATTTTCATAGACTGGCTTGAGGTGTTATGTGATACTCTTTTCATAGTATCAGAAAGTCAATCTGTGTCCATAAAGTATGAGTTTCCCTCTCTATGATTTACAAAATAGGAGAAATATTTCTGGATTCTTGGAATTTCCCTTTAACATTTCAGATCCTCCTTGCAGTATAGTATGTATGCCATATTCTAGAGCAGGGGTTGACAACATTTTCTGCAAAGGGTTATATAATAAATATTTTCCACCTCTTGGGCAGATGCTCTCTGTGCCTACTGCTCAACTCTGCCATTGTAGTGTAAAAGCAGCAATAGGCAATATGTAAGTGAATGTGTGTGGCTGTGTTTCAATAAAACTTTATTTACAAAAACAGGCAGCAGGCTGGATTTGGCCTGTAGGGCATTGTCTGGAAACTCCTATTATAGAAAATTGCTTATGTTGGGGTCGTGTCATTGTAGTATCTTGACAATGATTGGGTGCAGAAGTTGTGGGTTGTAGACACATGAACTGCCAAGATTCAAATTACTGGTTAATGCTGTCCTAGTAGCTTAAGCTGCATGGCTTGGAATAATACAGATATCACTATTAACTGATATAAATAGTAATTGTGTTATAACCAGTAAGAGTTGTGATGGTTGTCAAAAGTGTACATGTTTTGATGGTTAATGACTGTTTTGGAAACACTGAATTGTAATTTTCTTTACACACACATATAACATATACAAATACATGTTGAAAATTATTTTTTGATACCTTGGTATTTAGGAGGTAAGGTAACTGAATTGCTTAAAACACTGTGAGTACTAATTGCATCACAAGCCTCTTCTGGACATTATTAATAAGCTATATTCTATTTTATTTTTTTGTTGTTGCAAAAAGCTTTGTTTTTTGAAGCCACATTTTGAAGTTATTTTATTTTGCAGTTTCTACTTTCTTGTACTCCATCAAAACAAAATATCAAAGTAGTTCTTATGGAAGCAATATAGTGGTTAAGACCCTTAAGCACGTGAACTTGGAAATTAGATAAATCCCTATTATATCTTATCTCTGCCTCTTACTAGGTGTTTGGATTCGGTACAAATGATGCAACTTCTTTGAGCCTCTGTTTCTTCATCCATATGAAAGAAAAGTAGATAATGTGTGTAAAGCATTTAGCACAGTCTCTAGCATATAGGAAATGCTCAATAATTTACAGCTATTATTATATTATTTTTAGTAAGATACAGAAAACCACTCAGTCACTTGTTGTTGTCACTATTCTTAATATCTTGTTTGATGAGATGGGTGACTATTGTTTTTTCCTTTTCAAATGTCCATTCTCCTTTCAATTGGTAATTTTACCTGGATTTTCTTTGTGGTTTCTTGGCAGCTAAGAATGAGACTCCTCTCATCTCTGCTTCAAACCATAGACACATGACCTATCTCAGCCATAGGATAGATTCAAATGTGGGCACATGACCACCCATCATCCTTTTTTTAAAGAAGGAGAAGCTGAGAGGATGCAAGGCTGAATCTATTGGCAGGGATATTTTGCCAGAAACCGTACCTACCCATCAACTTTTCAGTCCTGTGAATCAATAATTATGTTGTTGTTTTTTGTTGAATCCATTTTGAGGTGGGCTTTTGTGACTTGTAAGTAAATGACACATGCCCAATACAGCTAACTATTTTATATTTGCCAACAGGACAGATTATATCAACAGATCAATGTCTAGACTTTTTTTTTTATCCTATTCCTTTGGTTTTTGACCTCTTGGAGATCAAAATTCAAAGTAATCCTGTCGCAAAACCTAAACTTGTTATAAAGATTTGTCAAAAGTCAAAATTACCTCAAATTTAGTTTAACACTCATAGTTGCCTTATTCAAATCAGCCGCCCACCTATGATTAACTAAAGCTCAACTGCTGTGATTGGCTGAGACTCAGCTATTTAAGAGTGCACTCTTAAGTTAGATTTTCAGTTAGCGTATGTACTTATTTAGGCTGCACTTCATTAAGTAAGGCTTCAAATACAGAGGCATCTCCTTTTAGTTTAACAAGATCAAACTTTTTATTTTATCAGCTGAAATAGTGGAATTCTCACTATGACTTTCTTTGAGAACATAAAACCAGAGTGTTAAATCTGGAGAGAAGGTTAAATACCATCACTGTTTTCTCCACAAAAAAACACTCTGTCCTAAGGGATAAAATCACCTATCCAAGGCTGCATAAGAGGTTACATAAAAGGGTTCGAATTTTGGTTTCTCTTTCTTTCTTTTTTTTTTTTCCTTGAGACAGAGTTTCGCTTCGCTCTGCTGCCCAGGCTGGAGTGAAATGGCGTGATCTCGGCTCACTGCAACCTCCGCCTCCCGGGTTCAAGCCATTCTCCTGCTTCAGCCTCCTGAGTAGCTGGGATTACAGACATGCCACCACACACCCGGGTAATTTTTGTTGTTGTTGTTGTTTTTTAGTAGAGGCGGGGTTTCACCATGTTGGTCAGGCTGGTCTTGAACTCCTGACAAAAGATCCACCCACCTCGGCCTCCCAAAGTGCTGGGATTACAGGCATGAGCCACCGCGCCCAGCAGAATTTTGGTTTATTATACATGCAGAAATACCCTTTTGATGTGGAATTGTGTTCAGCAAGCCATATTGTTTGTGCTACAAGAATCCAAGTGAGTAATGTTTCTCAGATAAAAATAGGAAATAGCCACAGACGTATCTGTTTTATACACAGAACCTAATTACATCCATAAAATAATAGCATCTGCTTAGATGCAGGTAATAGTTTAATATAACTGCCAAAAATTTGTTGGCATTTGCAAGTACATGGAATGCTTTGGGTAGCTTTTTAGCTGCTGTTATTTGATATATGCATTACTGAAAGCTTTATATGGATTTCATTGAACTTGAGTGAACAGAACATATGAGTTTGCAATGATTATAGTGACTTTAGGAAGTTAACCTCTGTGAGCCTCAGTTTTCTTCATTCATTTGTAAAGTGGTTATAATATTAATTTTAGCTTCATGATATAAGTAAACATCAAATCAGCCAATGCCTGGGAGGTACGTAGCACTGGGCCTGGCACATAATGCCTTAGTCGGCTCAAGCTGCCATAACAAAATATCATATACTGCGTTGTTTAAACAACGAAAATTTATTTCTCACACTTCTAGAGGCTGGAAAGTCCAAAGTCAAGGTGATGACTGCCATTTTGATAAGATCAGACCACTAATCTTATCGTAGGGGCTTCACCTTTCTGATGTCATCCAACCCTAATTAGCTCCCAGAGACCCCATCTCCAAATACCATCACAATGGGGACTAGAACTTCATCATATGAATTCTGAGATGATAGAAATATTCAATCTATGGCACATAGTATATGTTCATAATAGGTTAGTGTTCATTATTAGATTATTATTACTTTGCTACTATGTTGTTCTTCAGCTTAAGATTAAACCTTAGCATAGAGCATAGGCTAACTATTTGGAAATGTTTCTCTCCTCACGTATGTTATGTTTGTTTACAAGTCTGGGATTTTGGTGAGCTTCCTCAAGTATTTTGTCATGTAACAGACTGTGCAATAAAAGTGGAGTGGAGTGCGTGTCTGAAATGGGTAACAAACACAAGCTGATCTATTTGTATGATAATAGTACAGTTAAAAATAAATAGGCTCCCATACTCCTGAAAAATAGAACTACAATTTCAGGAAGCCAGTGAGTTCATTACTTTCTTTTTAACGACCCAACAAATAACATTTCACACATTATAGTCTTCCACTGGGAACCCTAAAAAAGAAAATTAAGCTTTGTGTCACAGCCTGAATTCTATTGGTATGATATGTAGCAATCCTACTCACAACAGCAAGATATTAGAGAGGGGGAATACAGGGGAATGGATGGGGAAGGGAGGAGAGTGGGGGAACACTTTGAAATCATATTTGGAAAGAACTGTGAGACTATCTTTTTTCCACCAAATGCAAAGCATTTGATTTGAACCAGGTGGTGTGTATATTTCACTGAGTTCCGAAAGGGACTTGTAGAGGTCTTATAAAATTTAGGTCCAAATTGGTAGTTTACTTGGCAATATTGGCATCTTTTCAGTCATTATTCTCCATACTGGAAGTTTATGGGTGCTTTTCTTCCCATTCACAGTAGCAAATTATCAATAGGATCCCATTAAATGGCCAGTTACCTTCTAGACTTACGGTTCTCAAACTTTAACATGCATACAAGTCACCTAAGAATCACCTTAGAATGCAAGACAGGACTTGACATCATACATTTCAAACCGGTTCTCGGGATGCTCATGCTAGGGCCCAAAGCAACCCTTTGGGTAGTGTTGCCAACTGAACTTTCTGCAAGCATGAATATTCTACATCTGGGCTCTCTCACACATACCTACTATTGAGGAACTGGATTTTTAATTTTATTACATTTAAATTTATTTAGCCACATGTAGCTAGTGACCACCTTATTGAATACCACAGCTCAAAGATCAACAAGAAAATCTCAGCTGTAACCCTACCAGTGTCCCCTCTCACTTTAAGCTCTCCAAGTGATTCCCATTGTTTTTGCATAAATTAAAAACAAAACTAGCGTCTACAAGACTCGGTGTGGTCCAGCGGCTGCCACCTCTCCAGCTTCCCATATCCTGCTTGCTCTCACCATGTGGCTGTCACTACCCTGGGCTTCTTTCACCACTCTCCTCTCATGCTCCTTTTTCCATGAGATTCATGACATCACTTTCCTTCTGCCTCCAACACAACTTTCATTTCTCCTCTTTCCTTAGTTGATTTAGACTCAGTTTTGGGTTTCAGTTCAGAGAAGTTTTCCTTGGAATTCTTAGCAAGGCCAAGCACTCACATTTCATATTTTCCCCTGTTCATGCCTGTTGTTCTCTGTTAAGAGTTGATGTTTATTTCTGTGGTCATTTGTTAATATCTAGCTTATCCAACAGGCTGAAATTTAATGAGAGTAGGGACTATATCTACTTCTGCTTATCATTGTATTCCTAGCAATCACCACAGGACATGGCATGTAGTGTGTGCTCAACATTTATTGAATAATAATGTTTTAAATATATATATATATATATATGCACACACATGTATATATGTGTGTGTACATATATGTAATATATATACAGTCACCCCTTGGTATCCCTGGGGGATTGGTTATAGGACCTCCTGTGGATACTAAAATCCATGGATGCTCAAGTCTCTGATTTAAAATGGCATTGTATTTTCATATTACCTATGTATATCATCCTGTAGGCTTTAAATTATCTCTAGATTACTTACAATGCCTACTACAAAGTAAATGCTACATAAATAGTTGTCATACTGTATTGTTTAGGAAATAATGACAAGAAAGTAAAATCTGTACATGTTCAATACAGAGGCAATCTTTTTCAAATATTTTCAACCCATGGTTGGTTGAATCCACAGGTGCAAAACCCACAGATAGGGAAGACGACCTATACATATATATGTATGTATATGTATGTGATACACACACACACACAAATTACTTGGGGTGCTTGTTAAAAATGCAAACTTCTTTATCTCATGTTTTCAAATTTCAATTTAGTAAAAATGGGGCCCAGAAGTCCTCATTTTTGACAACACTTGAGCTGTATCTGTTACAAGTTGTCTTTGGGCTCTATGCTGAGAAATCATGTTCAAGGTAGCCCTTGAGGATAGCAAAGTTTTTAGTTTTCTTTTGATGAAAGGGGCACAGAACAGTAGCATAGTCACCCCCCTTCAAGGACTCAAGGAAGAGCCTTCCTTCCTCTCCCATGACATATTTGAGCAAAGCTGGAGCAGAGCTGAGCAAGGCTAGAAAGTATTGCTTTCATAAAACATCCATGTGTAGTTTCGTGGTACAGCCAGCAAGCAACTCATCCCAGTAAAAGAAATTATATTAAAGAGCAGCTTGCATGGAGTAGGAAAATAACTGAGTATTTGAATATAACTATGATGTAATTGTTCGAAAACACTGCCCCCAATGGCATACTGATGAGTTGTGCTATAATATTTAAAAGGACAAAAGTAACATGGCCGATTTAAGGGAAAACACATCGGCTAGCAAAGGTCATTTGCTTTATGGATGCAAATCGTTAGTGTGGAGGAGAAAGCCAGGTAAAGGAGATGAAATAAATCAGGAGAAATCCAACTCAGCAGGAACCCAGCCAAAAGGAAGATGGCCTCTGTTCCTTTCATGTCAAAGGTGGGATTGAGAAATGAAAGCCTCACTCCTCTATTTTCTCATCTACATTCTGCTGACTGGAAAAATCACAGTCTGAAAGAAAATAGAATTCACTTTTTTTTTTTAGAAGGAGGTCTGGGCTGTAAAAGAAGCTTAGTCCTGATGATATGACAGTGCTTCCTTCTTTGGTTTATTCACCACATTTCCTCACTAAGAATTTGTTGAAAGCATAGCGTTTCCTCTGGAGCCACATTGCCTGGGTTCACATTTGCCCTTCATCAGTTATTGCCATTACCAATTGGGAAAGTTGCTTAATAATGTCAATGCTTCAAATTTTCTTATCTGTAAAATGGAGATAATAATACATATGCTCCTTCACTTACCAGGGGATCATGTCCCAATAAACCCATTGTAAGCCGAAAATATATTAAGTCAAGTCAAAAATGCATTTAATAACCTAGCTTTATTGAACATCATAGGTTAGCTGAGTCTGCCTTAAATGTCCTCAGAGCACTTACATTAGCCTGAAGTTGGGCAAAAGCTTCTAACGCAAAGCCTAATTTTTAATAAAATGTTTAAAAAATCTCATGTAAATTATTGAATATTGTACTGAAATTGAAAATCAGAAAGGTTGTATGGATACTCAAAGTATGGTTTCCATATGCATATGGCTTTCCCACTAACATAAAGTAAAAAAAAATCATAAGTGGAATCATTGTAAGTATTCCATGGAATAGGTACAGATAGTCCTCTACTTACAATGATTAATACATTTAAAAAGCTTAGAATGACAGTTGCATTGCAGGTACCATACTGGTGTTAACTGGTTTGTTTTTGTTTTTAAGCACATCTTTATCCTGGTAGAATTTGGAGCCCAGTGAAGGTGGGAGATAAGACAGTACACAATAAACGTACAAATAATCACTAATTTGTAATCATAGCCATAATAATTATTAATTAATATAGTATGCTATAAAGTAACAAATAGCCTGTGGAAAAAGTAAAATTTAGGGATTGAGAACGCTGGTAAAGAAGAGGATTTTGCAAAGTAGATGAGTTTAATTATAACAGCAGGCCCATAAGGTGATTATTGTTATTCTCCAAAGTGAAAAAGAGGTTCAGCAGCTTTCTCAAGATCATACAGCTAGTATGAAAGTCTGAATCTAGTGACCAGGACCATAGTCACCTAGAGGGTCTTGGTTGATCGAACAGAGATGATGCCATGTGGAGAACATAATGGAATGAATCATGTGTATCAGGAGAAAAAGTGTTTTAGACAGAGGTGACAGTACAAAGGTAACAAGGAGGTAAGATCCTGGCATGTTAGAGGAAGAGCAAAAGCTGTCATGACAGGAGTTAAGGAAGGGGAGGTATTTGGTTCAGAGAGATAATGGGAAGGTGCAATTCATGGAGACCATTTGTAATGGACTGAATGTCTGTGTCCCCTCAAAATGTGTTTGTGAAATTCCAACCCCCGTATGATGGTATTAGGAGGTAGGATCTCTTGAGGATTGAATCCTCAAGAATAAGATTAGTGTCCTTATAGAAAGAGAGGAGATTGCTTCCTTCCTCTCTGCTCTCCATCATGTGAGGATACAACAAGAAGACAGCCATCTGCAAACCAGGAAGAGGGCTTTCACCAGAACTTGACCATGTTGGCACCTTGATTTCAGACCTCCAGCTTCCAAAGAACTGTGCTAATGCAGTGCTTAATGTGTAAGCCTCTCAGTCTATGGTAGTTTGTGATAGCAACCCTATAGCATTGTAAGAATTTGGCTCCTGCTTAACAGTAAGATGGAAAGTAATTGAACGATTTTTTGTATTTTTGTACATGATTGTCATGGGAAAATGTTCAAATATATAAGTGAAAAAACAAGGCACCCAAATGTACAAACAATTTAACTCTAGAAAACAACTTCTGAAGAGAAACACAAAAACATGTAACAGTAACATGTAACAAATATCTTGTATTTGGAACATGGCTGGCTTTTATTTTCTCTTTGCACCTTTTGGCACTTTTCAAATAATATGAAATAAGTTTGTATTATATTTATAGCCAGAGAAATATAATATTATTTTCTAAAATATAGGTGGTAGCTAAGCAACTGGAAGTAAAACATAAATATCTGATAATATGGTGATCAAACACTTAGCTGCTTTAGGCGCTGTGTACACATTACTGATGGTTGCTAAGGAAAACTTCTCACTGAGTCTGGACATTCTGATTAATAGAAATAAATTTCCGTTACTCAATTGGGGAACAAACACCTTAACTATATTATCTGGAAAAACCAATTTATGCAGACTTGACTTCAGGACAGGAATATTTTATTCTCCTTATCATCAGAGGTTTTAGTATCTTTTCATAAACTGGGGATTAAACTTGCTCATTTAAAATTTAGCAGAGTTCAATGAGATCACATGGACACAGGAAGGGGAACATCACACTCTGGGGACTGTTGTGGGGTGGGGGGAGGGGGGTGGGATAGCATTGGGAGGTATACCTAATGCTAGATGACGAGTTAGTGGTTGCAGCACACCAGAATGGCACATGCATACATATGTAACTAACCTGCACAATGTGCACATGTACCCTAAAACTTAAAGTATAATAATAAAAGAAAAAAAAATAAAATAAAATTTAGCAGAGTTTTAAGATAGTCTCTTAAATTTCCTGTGAAGTTTGGAAGATTATAAATTTAGCCTGAATTGATAAAACATTATGTCCTGTTGAAAAACATTATAATTCTATTATATCTTTGAAATGTTAATTTCGTGTTAGGATTTGGATAAACTATAATTATGTCACAATGATATTCCCCTTAAAAGAAAATTATATGAATAGAAGGAGAAAATGGGCAGGTATTTTGCATAGGCTTTTATAATTATTCTCTTTCTGCAGTAAATTCTTTCCTCTATACACATTACAGACTGACTGGGTGTTTTAGATTAAATAAAAGAAAATTGCGTTTAAAAAGAGTATTTTCTCTATTTCTTATCCCTTAATTAAAATCAAAGATGCTGTGTCCATTAGGAATCTATATGAGATCAGTGACAGATAATTCAAATTAGGTTAAGGAATAGGAAGAAACTATCAACACATATAAAGAAACACAAAGATAGCCCCATCTCTGGAGCTATCTTCAAGGATAGCTGAGTTGAGACCTTGGGCCACACTGTGAGGACCTTGTTTCATTCTGTCTCTCAGCTCCAATTTTGGCTTTGTTGGCTTAGGTTTAGGCGGCTCTAGGCTCCTCCTTGTGTCTGCAAGGTGTCTGCAGTAGCCTTAACTTCTCATTCTTCCAGTTAAAGACTAGGAGGAAATAGTGACATTCTTTTTCTGGTAGCTTTTTGAAAAGTTCTGAAGTTGATTCTGATTGGCCCATCTAAAATCATGTGCCTGTAATGGAATCAAATTGCAGTGACCAGAGGAAAGCCAAGATTCAGTTCACCCTGGAAGTCAGTCCTGGTACTCCTTTCTCAATAATGTGGAGGTGAGGGTGGATTTCCAGTTGCAAATCTAGGAAACAAGTGTTGGGGAGGTATTCATCAAATACTCACAATATAAATATTGCTAGAAAATCCTTTTGTAAGTGTAATAGTCATTATTTGCTGCTTAACAAACAACCTCAAATATCTCATTGGCTTGTAACAAATATTTTTCTTGCTTTTAAGTCTGTGGGTCAGCTCCACATGTCTAGTTAGTCAATAGCTATCTGAGACATGTTTCTCTAATGGCAAATGGCATAAAAGCAAAAAAGCTGAGCGAAGATATGAAATGCCTTTTAAGGCTTCAGCTCATAGCTGGGACACTGTCACTTTAGGCCACATTCTATCAGACAAGGCAAGTCACATGGCTAAACTGGGCATTAATAGGATGAGGAAATATTCTCTTCCCACTTCAGTGGGAGATAATGCAAAGTCACGTGAGACAAGGCAAGGAATTTGTAATTCTAGTAAAGGACAAGGGTGAAGAATAGTGAACAATAATCCAATTTACTAGAGTAAGTTTCTAGCACTCTGTTGATGACAAGGTTAGCTGTCAGAATTTCTCTCCTTCAAGTCTTCAAGTACAGTCCATATTCACTTCAAGTAGAGTTTGTTATTAGGATACCCCCAAAATAAAGCCCATCATTATTACCCTTCTTTTCAAATTAAGTTACACATGTATATTTATGTTTATATACATATAAATTAAAATTAAAGATAAGTCATTGGTGAAATAACAAATCTAACTAATGATTAAAATTATTACTGATGTTTTCCATATAATAGTTTTTGAGTTAACATACTTTACAGAACTCTTCATAGTAGTTCTGGAAGAAGAACTCAAATGCCATTTCTTGGTTTCCAATTGAAATTTTTAAACTACCTTTGATTTATTCTTTGGGCTTTTTATTTCTAAAAACACACAAAAGAAAGTTAGGTCAAATCATCAATAATTCTGATTACCCTAAGGTTTTATTGGTTAGTGTCATAACTTTAATATGAGTTAAATGTATTTTTATGCAGTAATTTGGTAAATCATCTCAGTAGATAATAGAAAATTACCCACCTTCGTTCTGCCTGATGGATAATATGTTCTAGATGAGCAATTAGATATTAGTTATACGCAGCTGCAGCTCATTCGACAAATACTTTTTTCAGTCACACGTTTATCTCTCTTTTTCTGGATAAACTGGCAATATGCCTCATATAGGTCTTTACTGTGCTGTTTTCATGTAGTTCCAGGCTGCTGACCTAAAAGATGTTTGTGCATAATTACACAAGTATGTTATTTCATCTTGAAGATGAGGTCCAATTGTTATTAAAAATAATTACATAGGCTGGGTGCGGTGGCTCAGCCTGTAATCCCAGCACTTTGGGAGGCCGAGACGGGCAGATCACGAGGTCAGGAGACCGAGAGCATCCTGGCTAACACGGTGAAACCCCGTCTCTACTAAAAATACAAAAAATTAGCTGTGCGTGGTGGTGGGTGCCTGTAGTCCCAGCTACTAGGGAGGCTGAGGCAGGAGAATGGCGTGAACCTGGGAGGCAGAGGTTGCAGTGAGCCGAGATCACGCCACTGCACTCCAGCCTGGGCGACAGAGCGAGACTCCCTGTCTCAAAAACAAAAACAAAAACAAAAACAAAAAACAAAAAACCACCACCACCACCACCAACAATAATAATTACATAATACTGAGAGAAGACGTTATTTTTATTCTATCAATCCTATGTATTTTTTCATTTAAGCTATCATTTGCAACTATAATAGTTTAAGGACTATATTTCACGACTTTGCAAATAAGGATTGCCCACGTATAGTAGCATATTTGATATATTGGTTCTGTGTCATTGATGGACTTGCCAATATGCCACAATGGTGTTCCTCTGAAGCAGGATTTCTCAACCTTGGTACTATTGACATTACGGGCCAGAAAATTATTTGTTTGGTGAAGTGAGGTGGGAGGCTGTCCTGTGCATTATGGGATGTGAGCAGTGCCCCTGGTTTCTACCCACTAGAGGCCAGTAGCACCTCTTCCACCCCGGTTATGACAATCAAAAATGTCTACAAGTTGCCAAATATCCCCTGAAGGGCAAAATCAACCCCACTGAGTGCTATTATAAAGTGATTCCTAATGGATGCTTACATATATTACAGCAACCCTCCCCCTTCACCCTGGCAATTTTATTTAAAATTGTTGGCTTGGAATTTCACAAAGGAATAAGGAAGACATTGAGATTAATATGTCTCACATAACATGAATTTGGACTATAATGAATTACATAATAAGAGAAAACATTTAGGTACTTTTATTGAAGTGTCCTACATAGATGTTTTTATGGTAGTGAGTTTCTGGTCTACCAGATTTCTTTCTGTTCCTTTCATTAGAGATATATTTTTCCCTCTGTTGTCATTGTTGTCATTATTGTTCCCTCAATGACTATTAATTTAAAAGTTTGCATTTTTTCACCCTCTTAGCTGTGCAGAATATTTCAGAACAGATGCTGTTGTAAGTGAGCTCCATTATGTCTATGAAAGCTTACTCTGAGTAGGCAGTTTCTGTAAATGAAAAGGGTCCAGGGAGCAAGAATCCTTTATATTTGGAGAGAGAATAATTTTGGATTAATTGAACATAGTTATTAAATGATCTCATTCCTTTAGTATACCTGTTGGCAGGGACAACAGATAAGGTTTCAAGATGTCATTTCCACATAAGAATACTTTGGTGAAGTCCACAATCTTGAAATCTAAAAAATTTCATAAGGCTTTCATTTAATTCTGGGCTCTCAAGTGTAAATTGTAGGAAAAATATTACATAGCAGAAAGAATATGGGCTTTGAATAAATAGAACTGGATTCCAGTTTTGACTCCCACTTACTTCTGTGAAAAGTTTGACCAAGTTGCTTAAACTCCCTGAATCTCTGTTTCCTCTTCTGTGAATGGAGATAATGCATTTTATTGATGAAGACTGGGGAGAGTGGCAGTGTACTGGCTGTGGGAGGATGAATACATCTTGAAAGTTGCATATACTTACTCCCTACACTTCCCTTTATCCCAATACCAATGATTTCACTAAAAACTCCTTTCTCAGAGTCACCAAAAACCTACTTACTGATAAATCCACAAAACACTTGGCACATTTTTTCTTGATCCACTGTTCCTTTGTTTTTAAACAAAGGATTAGCAAATATTTTGTATAAAGAGCTAGATAGTAAACACTTGATTTTGTGGGATAGATAGTCTCTGGCTTATTTACTCAACTCTGCTATCACAATGCAAAAACAGTCATAAACAATATTTAAATGAATGTACATGGCTGTTTTCCAATAATACCTAATTTACAAAAGCAGAGAGTTGGCCAGATTTGGCCCATGGGAGTAATTTGTGATCCCTCCTTTCAAACCCTCACTGCCTTCCCATTTTATTTGGTATCGTTGAGCTTTCTGGACACAAGCATTTTATCTCCTATGTCTTTGATCACTCCTGCTTTTTTTTCTGGCCTTCCTCCCTGCCTGTGTATTAATTGTCCAAATTAACAAAACACCATTGGGGAAGAAAATATTTTCAAAGTATGCATCTGACAAAGGACTAATATCCAGAATCTACAAGGAACTGAAGCAAACCAGCAAGAAAAAAAACTCAAATAATACCATTAAAAAGTAGGCAAATGACATGAATAGACATTTCTCAAAAGAAGATTTACAAGCAGCCAATAAACATATGAAAACCTACTCAACATCACAAATCAGTAGGGAAATACTAATTAAAACCACAGTGAGATACCACCTTGCCCCACCACAATGGCCATTATTAAAAAGTCAAAAAACAGTAGATTTTGGCATTGATGTGGTGCAAAGGGAATACTTACACACTACTGGTGGGAATGTAAACTAGTACAACCTCTATGGAAAACGATGTGGAGATTACTAAAAGAACTAAAAGTAGATCTACCATTTGATCCAGCAATCCTACTTCTAGGTATCTATCCAAAGGAAGAAAAGTTACTATATTAAAAAGACATCTGCATGTGTATGTTTATGGCAGCACAATTAACAATTGCAAAGACAGGGAGTCAACCTAAGTGTCCATCAACCAATAAGTGGATAAAGAAAATATGGTATATATATATATATATATGTGTGTGTGTGTGTGTGTGTGTGTGTGTCTGTGTGTATATATGCCATGAAATACTGCTTAGTCATAAAAAAGAATAAAAAATGTCTTTTGCAGCAACTTGGATGGACTCGGAGGCCATTATTCTAAGTGAAGTAGCTCAGGAATGGAAAACCAAATATCACAAGTTCTCAATCATAAGTGGGAGATGAGCCATGGGTACGCAAAGGCATACAGAGTGGTATAAAAGACATTGAAGACTCAGAAGCTGGGAGGGTTGGAGGAGGGTAGGGGATAAAAAACTACATATTCAGTACAATGTACACTACTTGGGTGACAAGTGCACTGAAATTCCAGATTTCACCACTATACAATTCATCTATGTAACCAAAAACCACTTGTACCACTAACGCTACTGAAATTTAAAAAACAAAAAAATAGAAAAAGAGAAATTACCATTGGGAAGAAGAAGTAGATGTGTTTCAAAATGATACCTTCATTTCCACTCTCAAGCCCTTACCTTCTGCATGAAGTCCAAGTCTCAGCAAGGCATGGGAGGCTCATTATTATTTGATCTCTGCCCACCTTCCCATCTTGTCATCAACTCCCTCATTGCCTGCTGGCTGTCCCAAGCTATTTGCATTTTCCCAAATTGTCTGATGTTTTTTCTTATCCCTGGGCTTGGCACATATGAGTTCTTCCAGGCAGATTTTTATTTTACCTTTTCTTCTAGAAAGGTTGTATTCCTCCTTGTATTTTATCTTAGTTAGCTTCTATATCAGCATTTCTTGTATTTTATGGTGATTGTTTACATTTTTAAAGTCAGAATGACTAAAATAAAAACTAAAAATAATGCCAGTCTCAGATGTTGATGAGAATACAGAGAAGCTGAATCATTCATGCATTACTAGTGGGGTTGTAAAATGGTACAGCCATTCTGGAATACAGCTTGACAGTTTCCTAAATATCCAAACTTCTAATTTCCATACAGCCTAGCAATTGTACACTTGGGCATTTATTCCAGAGAAATGAAAATTTATGTTCATGCAAAACTAGTACATGAATGTTTATAACAGTTTTATTTCTAATGGTAAAACACTAGAAAGAACCCTTATGTTCTTCCACAGGTGAATGGTTAAACAAACTGTGGTACATCCATATTATTGATATACACAGCAACCTGACTATTGTGTAATAATTTCCAGGGAATTATGCTTAGTGAAAAAGCAATCTCAGAAGATCACATATTTTATGACCCATTTTATAGCATTATTGAAATGACAAAATTATAGAAATGAAGACCAGATTAGTGGTTGCCAGTGTTTAAGGTTAATGGAGTGGGAAGTAGAGATGTGGGAGGAAAGTAGATTTGATTATAAAAGGGCTACATTTGGGATCCTTTTGTTGATAAAATTGTTCTATGTCTTGACTGTATCAATGTCAATATCCTGGTTGTGATATTATAGCAAGATATCATTCAGGGGAAATTGAATAAAAGTACATAGGATCTATCTGTTATTTCTTACAACTGTATATGTATCTACAACTTTCTAAAATTAAAATGTTTAGTTAAAATATATCAGTCTGGTTGATTTCTATGATATAATTATGGTTGGACTGCTATGGGAATGCAAAGAAAGGACACTACACCTATTCTTGGAGGTCAAAATAGCAGAGAAGGCATTAAGGGGAAGGTGGTTTTCGATTTGGATCCTGAAGATAGAACAAACATTACACAGAGGAACAAGAAGAAGAAGGTTCTGCTAAGTTGATGAAATGTCAAAAGTCAGGAGTGTCTGGGGCACTAGTCAGGTCATGGAACAATTCATGTTCTGGAGGACATTCTATGATTCATGTCTCTATTCTCCACAGTAGAGCTTAAGTCACATAATTGATGTTCAGTGTTCTAAGTTCAGGTACTTCAGAGAAACAGAACCAATAGGATACACTACAGAGAGAGAGAGAGAGAGAAAGAGTTATTGTGGGAATTGGCTCATGTAATTATCGAGGCTGAGAAGTCCCATTTGAAAGCTGAAGGGCCAGAAATGCCAGTGGTATAATTCAGTTAAGTCCAAAAACCTGAGAACCAGGAGCTACTATGTCTAAGGGCAGAAGGACACAGATGTCCCAGCTCAAACAGGGAGAGGAAATTTATCCTTCTTCTATCTTTTTGTTCTATTTGGGCCCTCAAAGGACTGGAGGATGCCCATCAACATTGGTGAGAGCCATCTTCTTTACTCAGTCTACTGATTAAAATGTAAATTTCTTCTGGAAACTCACTCACAGACACACCCAGTAACATTTTCACAACTCTCTGGGCATCTCTTAGCCTAGCCAAATATACACACAAAGTTAACCATCATAGCCAGGTGTGGTGTCATGTGCCTATAGCCCCAGCTAGTCAGGGAGGCTGAGGCACAGGATTTCTTGAGCCCAGAAGTTTGAGTCCAGCCTGGGCAACATATGAGACCCTCATCTCACTTAAAAAAAGAAGAAGAAAAAATTAACCGTCATAACTCAGTAAATGTTTGTGTGTGATCCAATGACACTTGAGTTTATTTTTTGAAGTTATGAGTTAGATTAATTTTTAAAAGCAGGTATTTACTTTTAATTGATCATCTTAATATATTCTTCAACTAAGATAATTAAAAATGCTAACTTTTAATCCCAGTACACCAGATAAACCTTCACAGAGTGTGTATATGGTCAGCTTGACCCACCAGTTCATCTTTCCCCCTAGCCCATTGATAACCAGCATAGTACACAAAGAGGACCTCCATAAATATTTATTGAATTAAATAAACCTATGAATGTTGCAAGAAGTCAGCACCTGTTTGGAGGCAAAGATTAAACGATTTGCCAAACCTCAAGAATGTATTTATACAATGCATAACATACATTATGAGTGCTACTTGTTCATAACAAAATAATTTCCTTTAAATTATGAAATGTAAAAGTAACTAGAAATATTAACCAAATAAGAAATAAAATAACGAAAATTAATAATGAACATTCTAAACTCTGATTTAAGAGTTATAACAACCTTCCTAAGGTAGCCAAGTGATATTCATCTTTTTTCCCACAGTGCTCATTCATTTAATCATTCAAAAAATAGCTGCAGAATGCTACATACACAAAAAGTACTGATACAATCTCAAATATCCTTCTGATTAAATTCTGTAACCTTGGCATTGGCTGTGTATATATTACACACACACACAGAGGCACATATATACGTGTACTTAGTTTCTTTAACTAAAAGGCTACCTATTCAGGATGAACTTGTTTTCCCAGCACCTACTGTTATCATGCCTCCTGTCTTGTACATTCCTTGAGTGCATCTTGCAAAACGGCCTTGTATTTCAAGCTATGTTTTTTTTTTTTTTAAATCTGAACATACTTATGTTGGGAATAAAGTTTAAGGGGAAAATAGCATTTAAAAAACATTTTTTACTGCAATGTGAACAAAATCCAGGATAAGAAAAAAGAGCAAAATATGATTTTCTTGCAGGTCCATTCTGCTTAATCTCAGTGTTGGAATTAAGAGATACAACTTATAGAGAACACACACTGCTGCACCGGCCTGTAGAGAGTTAGAGCAGACTTGACGTACTGGTGGGTTGAAAAATCTGTCTCTGCCATGTGGGCAGAACCAGTTTCTTCTCTAGATGTCTCCTTGGCATTTTGTGCCCCATCAACCCTGGCTGCGTCTATTCCATTTCTAGGCAAAAAAGATTAAATATAGCTTAAGTATCTTATGCTATATTCTCCAAAGAATAACCTGAGAAAACAATATATATCCTATATATTCGTAACCTGTTATTGAGATATACACAGAATAATTAGTTGCTTATTAAATTTTGCTAAGACTGAAATAATGCATTGTAACCATGTAAACATGAAATATTTGTCAAAGTGCACAAATGAAGTGGAAAATGATTACCATCTATAGTCATTTAAAAAGGAAGTCTAGTCATTAACAAACTTCTTGATAATTCACAACTCAATCAGGCACAGAAAATAATAAAGTAGTAAGATAATGTGATTCTGATTTAGGGAGATTTAAAAAATGAGAATGGTTTATTATAGAATTTAGTAGTAAAACTCAGTGTCTAATTTCAAATAATTTTGACAACTAGTTGTAGTTCCAAACAACTAGTTGTAGGGATAATAATAACTTTCTCAAAAATTTTTAGTAAAATTTAAGTTAAATAACACAAGTGATGCATGTGGTTCAATACTTATCACATTGTAGTGCTTGATATAATATTCTAAGATGAAATCATAAAATCAAAATAAAAATAGTGTTTATGTTTGAATGTTTGGATTATAATTTTCTTGGGTTTTTAATAATTTTCTATAAAATAAATTTGTGCTAATGTTTGTCTAGTTCGCAACGGCCCAATACTTTGGAGTTGTAATAGTAACCATGTAATTGCAGAAAAGGTGAAAATATTGGTTGTGGCCTCTTGTATAATTCTCAATGGTTGTTTCATAATTTGTATCTATCTTGAGACCAATGAAAAGTGGAAATTAAAAGTATATAAAATGTACAATTTTATTACCTAGAAAGTTTTCTGCTTTCTGTACGTATATCCTTTCATAGCCCTGAGTGATCAACACTAGGGAGAGGGTCATGATCTGGCTGACAGAATGAATTATTTTTATAAGTGTCTTAGTTCATTCCTACTGATGTAACAAAATACCATTGACTGGGTAACTTATAAACAACAAACAATTTGTTTCTTATAGTTCTGCAGGCTGAGAATTCCAAGATCAAGACACCGGCAGATTTAGTGTTCAGTGAAGACCACTCTCTGCTTTCAAGATGGCACCTTGATGCTGTGTCCTCACATGATGAAAGGGAAGAAAGGTTAAAGGCACGAATAGCTCCCTCAAGCCTCTTTTATATGATTATTAATCTCATTTATGAGGACTCTGCCCTTATGACATCCTAAAAGCCCCACCTCTTAATACTTTATATCAGTGATCATGTTTCAATTTATGAATTTTATGGGGACATATTCAGACCGTAGCAATAAGGGTTGGAGAAATCATTTAAATTAAATAATATATAGATTGATAAAAGAAATACCTTGAATATATGAATATTTACTATACATTTATCTTTAAGGCATTCTCTTTTCTTGCACTTTTACAATAAATAGTGAATGATAACTTTATGTTCTCCTTATTTCTTGTTTTAGTCAGCCCTAACTCTTCTCACCTCTCATTTCAAACCACCCCCCGATCACAAGCAAAAACTATAACAATAAAAAAAAGTCAGACTTTGTTGCCCTTGTCCCAGAAGGGAGTTATCACAACTTCTTTTCTTTGTATTCCACTGCTAGTTATTTAAAATTTCTACTGGAATGAGAGAGATTACTTTGTTCTAGGATCTCACCTGAGACAAAAACCCTGGTAACCATAGCAGCATTGCCATCCAATCTCTTGAATCCACAACAAAATGTAGCTAGAAATGCTTAGTGCAGTCTCCCAAGGCAAACATTGCTGTGATGAGTGACAAATTGAAACAATGGGAACTGCTCCTGTTGCCATGGAAACAAGCCTTTCCATCTGAGTGGTTTCATCCCAGTATTCACAATCTAAAGCTTTGCAAAGGTATGCTAGACTTAACTCCCCTACTGGTTAGCACTCTCTACCAGACTAACACTGCTGAGATGACTGACATGAAAAAACAATAAGGGCTACTCCTTATTGCCATAGTAACCCATGTTTCCAGTAATTTGCCTTGATGGAAAGTTAAAAGAGCTGTGTAGCAGATGTCTACCATACCAAAATCAAATGACAGTTAAAAAGAATAAATGTGATAAGTTCCTTGGAACTTAAATGCATACCTATTGGGGTAAGTGTCAAGGAGGGTTGTGTTTTCTAAAAAAATTATACATGCTACAATACTTCAGTGAATCACAATTTAGATCATGAAGCACTGGAAGAAAATATGTTTATCCTCCTGCAAAGACATTTACGTAAAATACAATGAAGTTCTCTGAAGAGAATTAGCAAGCACTGAGTTTTTAAACACTGTTTTCTTTGGCAGTCTTTTGAAGGAAAGGACTCTGTTGAACGACATAATACAGGTATCTCAGTTGAATTAGCTGGCATATTTGTAACTAACCAGATATTGAGATGGCATTTGATTAGCAAAATTGTAAAGTTAAGGTGAATTCATGATCCGCACTTAAAAATTAAGATGAAAAACAGATTTTAAAAAATGCTTCCTGTGTAATGGATTATCTCAGGATTTGGCAATAACTTGATATATGAGACAGATATTGTAATAATTAACCCCACACAAATTGAGGCAATGGGCATTCTGAGAATAATGGAGAAACTGAGCCTTCATCTTGGACAGCTGGGTTCTATTATTTTTATTTTACTGCCACACTTCAATCTACACAACATGTACTTACTAAATATCCTTAGATAATTTAACCAAAGTGTAATTTTGGTCCTAATTAAGTGAATCTATAGTTCCAGATGCCATAGGCCATAGCTATATATACATTCTCTCTTTTTCACTGTGATATGCTCTGTAGTCATGAATGTGGAGCAGATCACAATTTCTCCTAGGACTAATGTTATGACTGGACTTTGAGTTCTAATCAACTAATATGGAGTAGCATGGAGTAAGTCAGAGCCTAACTTATCAGCCTACCAGATAGGCAGGTCTAAAACCCATAGCGCTCCAAGATGAAGGGAAATTGAATTAAAATATGTTATTAGTCCTTCGAAATGTGCATAAAGCACAATATGTATTAGTTACTCAGGATATCTCGTATACCACAAATTGTACCAACAGCTTCCATAAAACTACAGGGCCATCAGTATGAACTACTGAAAATAAATGGGTCAACCAGTATTTATATGAATGAAATATTTTCAAAATAATTGTACAGGGATATAAATGATGAGTTTGGGTACCTGTTCTAAAATTTACTAGCTATATGATTCTGTGAAGAAAAATCAAAAGAAAGATCAAATCAAATGATTCTGCTGTCAACACGCAACAATGAACACAGCCTTCTGTGGCCAAATGTGTGGTAATTCTTTCCACCAGGAAGAAGCAAGCAGTTCTGCAGTGGACACCAGCTGGGTGCTTTCTAATTTCATTTCCACGCTACCTGGCACTCTGATTTCCACCCTGATGTCACTCACCATCACGCCCAGCTAATTTTAGTATTTTTAGTAGAAATGGGGCTAAGTAGAGATGTTGGCCAGGCTGGTCTTGAACTCCTGACCTCAGGTGATCCACCCACCTCGGCTTCCCAAAGTGCTGGGATTACAGGCATAAGTCACCACACCTGGCCAAATACATACCTATTATAAAGCATAATTTATAAATTAGGCACAGAAAGAGATTAACAATAATAACTAATGATAAAACAATTATAACAACATACTGTAATAAAAGCTATGCAAATGTGGTCTCTCTCTCTCCCTCAAAATATATTTTTTACTGTACTCACCCTTCATGTGATAATGTAAGATAATAAAATGCCTACTTGATTAGATGAAGTGAGCTGAATGATGTGGACATTGTGACTTAGTGTTACACCACTATTGACCTTGAACACAAACACTGTGATAAAAGCACGAAGTTAGCTTGACAGTTGATCTGAGAAGTGAGGTGGCTACCAAGTGACTCATAAGCGCTGGTGTCTATAGGATGAATCACTTTATACCGTGGGGATGACTCACATACAGGTAGGAGGGAGCAGGATGGCATTAGATTTCATCACACTGCTCAGAATGGTGCAAAATTTAAAACTTACAATTTGTTTATTTCTGGAATTTCTCATTAAATATTTTTGGCTTGCAGTTAACCATATATACATGGGTATTGTATTGTTTTGGTTCCTCGTGCTGCACTGGACTCAATGACACTTTATTTTGTAAGCAAGCTGCCATCAGACTTTGAATTTCTTCAAAGCCCTCTTTGAAAACATTTGAAACAAAATATATTAACCCCCAAATCCAGAAAATTGAAAAATTGAAATGAGTCAATATCTAATGAAATGTCTACGAAAACACAAAATCCACTTTTCTTGATTGGTGGTAAAATTAGTATTTGTAAAGAATTTTCACAATTGAAAATAATATGTATAATGCATTTTTCTCTGTTTATAATAATTTCTGAATATGTAGGATCCAGGAACCCAAAGAAAATTTTAAATTTAATTAGTTACTTGTAGCTACATTATTTCACATGAAAGTAATGCAAATTCTTGCATTTAAAAATATTCACAAAATTATGGAAATTGAGTGCTTTAAAATGTGTTTGATAATATGTGAGTTGGGGATTCCAGAAGCTAGAGTGCTCACAGCTTTATAAGACAGCCTTGGGTATCCTTTTTGAGAGATGGTACAGAGATAGTGCCATCTCAAAGATTTTTAGGAGTAAATTTGACTATACTTGTTCTTCTTCTCACATACTAAGTTAGAAATGACGGTGTAAGATGTGACTCAGCTCTGTCTCTATCATGGCACTCCTGTGTCTGCCATTACAGTTATTTATGTTTGCTATGACATTTTTATAATCTTTTCCCATTCCTATTATTTAATTCCTCCTCTTTTAAATTATGTTTAGTGTTTATAGTTTAGATCCAAGTTGCTGGGCTTTTAACAATGTAACTGGGTTGACAAAATGCACATAGACTTAAATGTGCAGGAAAATTATAGCTTAATTATTTTACGTAACTTATCTAAACTTTTTCACAGGCTCTCTTCCTCTGGGCAAGGGGAAAAAACATGTTGCTGATCAGCAATATCTCAGCATTTTCCAGTTTTAATAGTATCTTTCAGTTCTAAATAGAATCTCTTTGATAAATATTCAGTCAGATTTGAAGCCAAGTTCCTATCAGGGCTGCTTCTATTTTCTCCCTCATCCTTCCCCAAGATGGTATCTGGATGTAAATGAAAGATCTTCATTGTGTTTCATGGGGGAGAGCTGTCTGGGGTTCTACCTGGTGTTGGACTCTTCTCAAAAGTGGCTAATCTGGTATTTGTGTGTTCACTGGTAGTGTCCGCTGAGTTGCAGTTATCTTTATTCATAGACAATCAGTTATTTCCGCTGCTATAGTCTATGGCTGGTGACCTTGTGGTCTGATCTTTTAGCTCAGTATTGATTACTGAGTCCCACTTCAGTAATTGTTGCTGTTACAGAACCATCCTGAAGTTTGCTGGTGACTGCCACTGAGCCTCATCCTCATGGTCAACCTTATCATTCTTAGATACAATGCCACTCTGGCCATACTGTTCTTAATAGTGAGTGAGTCATTTTGGGGACACCCCCCCAGCTCAATGTCTTACCTCACCATTTTCAACTTGTAATCCAAATCACAAAGTTCTCTATAATGTTTTTCTTTCTCTTTACATCTTTCTAAACTCAAACACAATTTCTGTTTTTAAAAAATGAAAAACACACACGCACACAGAAGCTAACTTAAGTTTTCACAACTCCATTGAACAAGATAACTTTTGCAATGTCTTTTAGTTCATTTAGGCTGTGTAACAAAATACTGGATAGCTTATGAACAACAGAAATGGATTTCTCACAGTTCTGGAGGCTGGGAAGTTGGAGACCAAGGCACCAGCAGATTTGGTGTCTGGTAGGGAGCTGTTTTCTGGTTCACAGGTGGTAACTTCTTGCTGTTTCTTCTCATGGTGGAATGGGCAAGGCAGCTCTCTGGGGTCTATATTATAAAGGAATTAATCTCATTCATGAGAACTCCATCTTCATGACCTAATCACCAACCAATGGCTGTCCTTATAATACCACCACCTTACAGGCTAATATTTCAACATATGAATCTGGGGGAGGGGCGAAGTCTTTAAGGCTCATTATAATCCATTTATCAATACTTCTTATCTTAGGCATGGTACGTTACAGTTAGTTTTGAAGTAAGAGGCTCTATTCTTTTGGATACTTGTGCTTGTGTGCAGGAGAGAGAATGACTTACCCAAGCTGTGCCAATCATATTCTTTTTCCAAAGGTGCTATGATGCAGCCCTTACTTATAATTCAGAGGAAGAAAGAAGAATGATTACTAGTGTAAAAAACAAATAAAATAGAAACAAAATATTTTTATGTTCCACATACCTTTCCATTTCTCGTTCTCATTATTTTCTGTAGCGTTGCTACCTCCTCACTTTTGGACAATGAAAAATACTTTGGATCTTCATAGTAAATGACTATTATATTTCCATATGCTAGCTCAAGTTGATTTCTGATATATTTAATTAAAGAATGAATTAACACATGTATGAGGTTTGTTTCTTTCATGACCAAATTACCTGACCAAAAATAAAATAAAGATTTTGATCTTTAGTTTTGGATGCTATAAATGAACATCAAACAAAAATGGTTCTGAGATTTTAGAGGAAGGATCATCTCAATTTGTAGCTCAGAAGTGTGACAACTCAAACTAGTCTTCTTGCAGTTGTAGCGATGAATAGAATCTTGTTTCTTCATATGAGTCTACACACTGCCAGCTTCATATTACCATATTGAGTAATTTAAACAGTTGCTACAGTTGCATCAGAAGAGAACATCAATTTCTATTGACTGACATTAAAAAGTTATCTGTTTGATTAGTATACTAGTGGATATTTTGCTTTAAATGCTGCTGGTATTTTTAAATCAAAATTGCTGTATTATCTTTTATTTTTAATTGGAATCTTAGCAATATTTTCCAGCTGTCTTGAAATACTGATGTTGGTACCTATTAGCTTTTCTTATTTGCATCCATTTCATTTTTTCAAGTTGCTGCATCTCAATTCTTTAGAAACAGTTTCCTCCTCATTTCATGAAGACTTTGTGAGACTGCCAACCTAGGTATGCTAGCTTGCTCTGAGACAGTCCATTGGATCCTGTTCTTTAGATCCTGATGTCGTTTCTGAACTTCCTAAGCCCTTTGCTAATTTTCCTTCAAACTTATAAGTTACACCATATTCTTCTTCAAAATGTCTTCTATGGGAAATACTATTCTACTGTTTCCAATCAAAGAATGCTAATAAATAAAGCCTATCAATCCTTGATCTGTTAATTCATTATCATGCTTTAATTCTTTTTAATTAATTCTTTTTGTCAATGTCCAAGTCTTGAAAAGGAAAAAATACAATGAAACACCAAAATACAGGTAGGTTTCACCACAGTGTTTAAAGTGTTGAAAGTAGAATTATTTCAAATTGTTTAAAATAATAAAGAATAATCAATATGATTTTCTGATAAATACTTTTTCATATAAAAAATTCTGTCATCCAAAATTACTCAACCTAATGCATATAGATTTACATGTATTTTTCCTGTCTTTTATAGCCTCATGAGAACTATTTTATGCAATCATACAAATATTTATAAATGTCTAAGAGTTACATAAAGCACTTATGTAAGTTTTAAAATATTGGAATAATATTTATACATACATAAAAGGGAAGAAACACATTTTTGCATACAAATGTATGTTGTTGCTTTATGTGAGTGTGTATATGTGTGAGTGAATATGTGTTCCTGCTCTATATTTGTTCCAAGTTACTTTTCATAAGTCGTCCCTTGACTACTCTGGGCTTCATATGATAGGTAGGGCTTTTAAACTATTTTAATTTTTAGGAAGAATTTTGGTGCTATCCATAAATAGCAAAATAGAATAGTCAATCCTTATATATTCATCACCCCAAACTGAGAATCAGCAAACAATGGCTAATTTGTTCCTATGGATTCACTCATCAACTCTTACCACTTTTGTAACACTTTGAAGTGAATCCCAGTCGTATATGCTTCCTCTATAAAGTGTATATTGGTTAAATGAAGGAATGTTATTCTTCTTTTAAAATAATCACAACATCATTATTATATCTAAAAACAAATTGGGGTTTTATTTCTGGTAAATGAGGGTAATATCAGGCCTACCCTCCTGATGAAATAATTACAGACTTCGGACAAATAACTGAAAAACAATTGTTTGAAGGCATTAAAGAGACACCAGAAGCAGAAAGAAACAGAAAGAATTAGAGTCCTTGAAATGAAAAAAGTAAACTAGGTACAATCCACGTTTAACCACCAGCTGGCAATGTGGAGACTCATGTGAAGAAAAGAGATTCTATTCATCTCTACAGCTGCAAAAATACTAGTTTGAGTTGTCACACTTCTGTGCTACAAATTGAGATGATCCTTCCTCCAAAATCTCAGAACCACTTTACTTCTTTTTTTTTTTTTTTTGAGACAGTCTTGCTTTGCCGCCCAGGCTGGAGTACAGTAGCACTATCTTGACTCACTTCAACCTCTGCCTCCCAGGTTCAAGCAATTCTTGTGCCTCAGCCTCCCAGGCAGCTGGGACTACAGGCATTTGCCATGCCTGGCTAATTTTTGTATTTTTAGTAGAGACGGAGTTTCATTATGTTGGCCAGGCTGGTTTCAAACTTCTGACCTCAAGATATTTTTCTTTGATGTTCACTTGTAGCATCCAAAAGTATAGGTCGGGGTCCATTCCAAGATGGCTGAATAGGAACTGCTCTGGTCTACAGCTCCCAGTGTGATCAACGCAGAAGACAGGTGATTTCTGCATTTCTAACTGAGGTACATGATTCATCTCATTGGGACTGGTTGGAAAGTGAGTGCAGCCCATGGAGGGTGAGCCAAAGCAGGGCAGGGCATCTCCTCACCCGGGAAGTGCAAGGGGTTGGGAGATTTCCCTTTCCTAGCCAAGGGAAGCCATGACAGACTGTACTGGGAAAATCGGGATGCTGCCACCTAAACACTGTGCTTTTCCAATGGTCTTAGCAAATGGCACACCAGGAGATTATATCCCGTGTCTGGCTAAGCAGGTCCCACGCCCATGGAGCCTTGCTCACAGCTAGTGGAGGGGTGTCTGCTGTTGCTGAGGCTTGAGTAGGTAAACAAAGTGACTGAGAAGCTTGAGCTGGGTGGAGCCCACCACAGCTCAAGAGGCCCACCTGCCTCTGTAGACTCCACCTCTGGGGGAAGGGCATAGCTGAACAAAAGGCAGCAGAAACTTCTGCAGACTTAAACATCCCTGTCTGACAGCTTTGAAGAGAGTGGTGGTTCTCCCAGCATGGAGTTTGAGATCTGAGAATGGACAGACTGCCTCCTCAAGTGGGTCCCTGACCCCCGAGTAGCCTAACTTGGAGACACCTCCCAGTAGGGGCCGAGTGACACCTCATACAGTCAGGTGCCCCTCTGAGATGAAGCTTCCAGAGGAAGGATCAGGCAGCAACATTTGCTGTTCTGCAATATATGCTGTTCTGCAATATTTGCTGTTCTGCAGTCTCTGCTGGTGATACCCAGGCAAACAGAGTCTGGAGTGGACCTCTAGCAAACTCCAACAGACCTGAAGCTGAGGGTCCTGACTGTTAGAAGGAAAACTAACAAACAGAAAGGAATAGCATCAACATCAACAAAAGGACATCCACACCAAAGCCCCATCTGTAGATCACCATCATCAAAGACCAAAGGTAGATAAAACCACAAAGATGGGGAGAAACCAGAGCAGAAAAGCTGAAAATTCTAAAAATCAGAGCGCCTCTTCTCCTCCAAAGGAACGCAACTCCTCACCAGCAACAGAACAAAGCTGGATGGAGGATGACTTTGACAAGTTGACAGAAGTAGACTTCAGAAGATCGGTAATAACAAACTTCTCCAAGCTAAAGGAGGATCTTCGAACCCATCACAAAGAAGCTAAAAACCTTGAAAAAAGATTAGACAAACGGCTAACTAGAATAAACAGTGCAGAGAAGACCTTAAATGACCTGATGGAGCTGAAAACCATGGCAAGAGAACTACATGATGCATGCACAAGCTTCAGTAGCAGATTGGATCAAGTGGAAGAAAGGGTGTCAGTGAATGAAGATCAAATGAATGAAATGAAGCGAGAAAAGAAGTTTAGAGAAAAAAGAATAAAAACAAATGAACAAACCTCCAAGAAATATGGGACTATGTGAAAAGACCAAATCTATGTCTGATTGGTGTACCTGAAATTGACAGCGAGAATGGAACCAAAAACAAATGAACAAACCTCCAAGAAATATGGGCCTATGTGAAAAGACCAAATCTATGTCTGATTGGTGTACCTGAAATTGACAGTGAGAATGGAACCAAGTTGGAAGACATTCTTCAGGATATTATCCAGGAGAACTTACCCAACCTAGCAAGGCAGGCCAACATTCAAATTCAGGAAATACAGAGAATGCCACAAAGATACTCCTCGAGAAGAGCAAACACAAGACACATAATTGTCAGATTCAGCAAGGTTGAAATGAAGAAGAAAATGTTAAGGGCAGCCTGAGAGAAAGGTCGGGTTACCCACAAAGGGAAGTCCATCAGACTAACAGCAGATCTCTCAGCAGAAACTCTTACAAACCAGAAGAGAGTGGGGGCCAATGTGAAGATTTTTAAAGCAAAGAATTTTCAACCCAGAATTTCATATCCAGCCAAACTAAGCTTCATAAGTGAAGGACAAATAAAATCCTTTACAGACAAGCAAATGTTGAGAGATTTTGTCACCACCAGGCCTGCCTTACAAAAGCTCCTGAAGGAAGCACTAACATGGAAAGGAACAATCGGTACCAGCCACTCCAAAAACATGCCAAATTGTAATGACCATAGATGCTAGGAAGAAACTGCATCAACTAACATGCAAAATAACCAGCTAACATAATGACAGGATCAAATTCGAACATAACAATATTAACCTTAAATGTAAATGGGCTAAACACCCACAATAAAAGACACACACTGGCAAATTGGATAAAGAGTCAAGACCCATCAGTGTGCTGTATTCAGGAGACCCATCTCATATGCAGAGACACACATAGGCTCAAAATAAAGGGACGCAGGAAGATCTACCAGAAAAATGGAAAGCAAATAAAAGCAGGGGTTGCAATCCTAGTCTCTGATAAAACAGACTTTAAATCAACAAAGATCAAAAGAGACAAAGAAGGCCATTACATAATGGTAAAGGGATCAATTCAACAAGAAGAGCTAACTATTCTAAATATATATGCACCCAATACAGGAGCACCCAGATTCATAAAGCAAGTCCTGAGAGACCTAAAAAGAGACTTAGACTCCCACACAATAATAATGGGAGACTTTAACACCTCACTGTCAATACTAGATAGATCAACAAGACAGAAGGTTAATAAGGATATCCGGGAATTGAGCTCAGCTCTGTACCAGGCAGACCTAATAGACATCTACAGAACTCTACACACCAAATCAACAGAATATACATTCCTCTCAGCACCACATCGCACTTATCCCAAAATCGATCACATAGTTGGAAGTAAAGCACTCCTCAGCAAATGTAAAAGAAGAGAAATCACAACAAACTGTCTCTCAGACCACAGTGCAATCAAATTAGAACTCAGGATTAAGAAACTCACTCAAAACCGCATAACTACATGGAAATTGAACAACCTGTTCCTGAATGACTACTGGGTAAATAACGAAATGAAGACAGAAATAAAGATGTTCTTTGAAACCAATGAGAGCAAAGACACAATGTACCAGAATCTCCAGGACATATTTAAAGCAGTGGGTAGAGGAAAATTTGTAGCACTAAATGCCCACAGGAGAAAGCAAGAAACATCTAAAATCAACACCCTAACATGACAATTAAAAGAACTAGAGAAGCAAGAGCAAACACATTCAAAAGCTAGCAGAAGGTAAGAAACAACTAAAATCAGAGCAGAACTGAAGGAGATAGAGACACAGAAAACCCTTCAAAAAATCAGTGAATCCAGGAGTTGGATTTTTGAAAAGATCAACAAAATAGACCACTAGCAAGACTAATAAAGAAGAAAAGAGAGAAAAATCAAATAGATGCAATAAAAAAATGATAAAGGGGATATAGAAATACAAACTACTATCAGATAATACTATAAACACCTCTACACAAATAAACTAGAAAATCTAGAAGAAATGGATAAATTCCTGGACACATACACCCTCCAAAGATTAAACCAGGAAGAAGTTGAATCGCTGAATAGACCAATAACAGGCTCTGAAATTGAGACAATAATTAATAGCCTACCAACAAAAATAAGTCCAGGACCAGACAGATTCACAGCTAAATTCTACCAGAGATACAAATAGGAGCTAGTATCATTCCTTCTGAAACTATTCCAATCAATAGAAAAAGAGAGAATCCTCCCTAACTCACTTTATGAGGCCAGCATCATCCTGATACCAAAGCCTGGCAGAGACACAACAAAAAAAGAGAATTTTAGACCAATGTCCCTGATGAACATCGATGTGAAAATCCTTAATAAAATTCTGGCAAACCAAATCCAGCAGCACACCAGAAAGCTTATCCACCAAGGTCAAGATGGCTTCATCCCTGGGATGCAAGGCTGGTTCAACATACAAAAATCAATAAACGTAATCCATCACATAAACAGAACCAAAGACGAAAACTACATGATTATCTCAATAGATGCAGAAAAGACCTTCAACAAAATTTGATAGCCTTCATGCTAAAAACTCTCAATAAACTAGGTATTGATGGAATGTATCTCAAAATAATAAGACCTTTTTATGACAAACCTACAGCCAGTATCATACTGAATGGGCAAAAACTGAAAGCATTCCCTTTGAAAACTGGCACAAGGCAGGGATGCCCTCTCTCATCACTCCTATTCAACATAGTGTTGGAAGTTCTGGCCAGGGCAATCCGGGAAGAGGAAGAAATAAAGGGTATTTGATTAGGAAAAGAGGAAGTCAAATTGTCCCTGTTTGCAGATGACATGATTGTATATTTAGAAAACCCCATCTTCTCAGCCCAAAATCTCCTTAAGCTGATAAGCAACTTCAGCAAAGTCTCGGGATACAAAATCAATGTGCAAAAATCACAAGTATTCTTATACACCAATAACAGACAAACGGAGAGCCAAATCATGAGTGAACTCCCATTCACAATTGCTTCAAAGAGAATAAAATACCTAGGAATCCAACTTACAAGGGATGTGAAGGACCTCTTCAAGGAGAACTACAAACCACTGCTCAACGAAATAAAAGAGGACACAAACAAATGGAAGAACATTCCATGCTCATGGATAGGAAGAATCAATATTGTGAAAATGGCCATACTACCCAACTTAATTTATAGATTCAATGCCATCCCCATCAAGCTACCAATGACTTTCTTCACAGAATTGGAAAAAACTACTTTAAAGTTGATATGAAACCAAAAAAGAGCTCGCATTGCCAAGACAATCTTAAGCCAAAAGAACAAAGCTGGAAGCATCATGCTACCTGACTTCAAACTATACTACAAGGCTACAGTAACCAAAACAGCATGGTACTGGTAACAAAACAGTATAGACCAATGGAACAGAACAGAGCCCTCAAAAATAACACCACACATCTACAACCATCTGATCTTTGACAAAGCTGACAAAAACAAGAAATGGGGAAAGGATTCCCTATTTAATAAATGGTGCTGGGAAAACTGGCTAGCCATATGTGGAAAGCTGAAACTGGATCCCTTCCGTACACCTTACATAAAAATTAATACAAGATGGATTAAGACTTAAATGTTAGACCTAAATCCATAAAAATGCTAGAAGAAAACCTAGGCAATACCATTCAGGACATAGGCATGGGCAAGGACTTCGTGACTAAAACACCAAAAGCAATGGCAACAAAAGCCAAAATTGACAAATGGGATCTAATTAAACTAAAGAGCTTCTACACAGCAAAAGAAACTACCATCAGAGTGAACAGGCAATCTATAGAATGGGAGAAAATTTTTGCAATCTACCCATCTGATAAAGGGCTAATATCCAGAATCTACAAAGAACTTAAACAAATTTACAAGAAAAAATCAAACAACCCCATCAAAAAGTGGGCAAAGGATATGAACAGACACTTCTCGAAAGAAGACATTTATGCAGACAACAGATACAAGAAAAAATGCTCATCATCACTGGCCATCAGAGAAATGCAAATCAAAACCACAATGAGAAACCATCTCACACCAGTTAGAATGGTGATCATTAAAAAGTCAGGAAACAACAGGTGCTGGAGAGGATGTGGAGAAATAGGAACACTTTTACACTGTTGGTGGTAGTACAGATTAGTTCAAACATTGTGGAAGACAGTGTGGCGATTCCTCAAGGGTCTAAAACTAGAAATACCACTTGACCCAGCGATCCTATTACTGGGTATATACCCAAAGGATTATAAATCATGCTGCTATAAAGACACATGCACACATATGTTTATTGTGTCACTATTCACAATTGCAAAGACTTGGAACCAACCCAAATGTCCATCAATGATAGAGTGGATTAAGAAAACATGGTACATATGCACCATGGAATACTATGCAGCCATAAAAAAGGATGAGTTCATGTCCTTTGCAGCGACGTGGATGAAGCTGGAAACCATCATTCTGTGCAAACTATCACAAGAACAGAAAACCAAACACCGCATGTTCTCATTCATAGGTGGGAACTAAACAATGAGAACACTTGGACACAGGGCGAGGAACACACACTGGGGCCTGTCATGGGGTAAGGGAATGGGGGAAGGATAGCATTAGGAGACATGCCTAATGTAAATAATGAGTTAATGGGTGCATCAAACCAACACGGCACATGTATACATATGTAACAAACCTACACGTTTTGTACATGTACCCTAGAACTTAAAGTATAATAAAATAAAGAAAAAAAAGATTCCAACCCAATAACGTTCATGTTAGTAATGATATAAAAAAAGTACAAGTCAAAATCTTCATTTCATTTTACTATAGTAAAATAAATACATAAACCAGAAACATAGTTGTTTATTGCCATTATCAAGTACTATATACTATACATAATAGTGTGTGCTGGATTTTTACATGACTGGCAGTATAGTGGGTTTGTTTACATCAGTATCACCACAAACACATGAGTAATGTGTTGTGCTATGATGCTACCACATAACTAGGCAATAGGATGTTTTTCAGCTCGGTTATAATCTTATAAGTCCACTGTCATAGATGTGGTCTCTTGGTAACCAAAACATCATTATACGGTGCATGACTGTAAATAAAACTTAACTTCCTTTTAAAATTTGAGGTGTTTCCTCTAATTTCCCTTCTTTCTATGTTGTCACCCTTCTTCCAGTCACCTAGACATGAAATCTAGTAGAAACGGCTTTCTTGACACCTTCTCCTAGTGTATCATCAGGTCAATCTTATTGCAAAGTTTTAGTTCATTCTTTCAGCTATTTTCTTTTCTACTGAAATGGCCTTCCTACCCCAAAATAAATATGCCCCTTTCTCCAAATGTAAATACAGATTCATAGGTGAATGTGTGGAATTACTAATGGAAAATAGATAGATCATCTATTTTTTGATACTCATTATTCTTTCATTTAAATCAATTTATTTTATTAGCATCTTAGCTAAATTCAACATTTTTTTTTCAGTTCTTACTAAATGATCGGTTTTTCCCTTGGCATTGAGTAGATTAGTAAAAAAGGAAGATATTCTTTTTGTCTTCAGGGAATTTAAATCTCCTTGAAGGAATACGATTTATGAGATCTCTTTTATGGCTTATCCCACACCTCCTCTCCCCTTCTTTCCTGCTATCAGAACCACAGCTTTTTTTGTAGAGCAACAATATGTTTAGCCTCAGGGGGTAAATCATGACGGATCTAGGCTAACTCCTGCTTCTGTCTTTCTTGTTTGCCAAATATAACTTTTCCAGTGCTACTTACAGCCATGTGAACATTTTCTGGCCCAGAAGATGTAAGGATACATTTTTTGAGAGTCTTCAAGCAAAGGTTTTATTTCTTCATAAGAAGACATAGATTCATGATAAGAAAGACTCAGCAATCCCATTAGTTGGTATAAACCCAAAGGAATAAAATCATTCTATTATAAAAACATATGCACATGTACGTTCATTGCAGCACCATTCGCAATAGGAAAGACATGGAATCAACCTACACGCCCATCAATAATAATAGACTGGATAAAGAAAGTGGGGTACATATACCCCATGGAACACTATGCAGCCATAAAAGAGTTTGCAGGCACATCGACGGAGCTGGAAGCCACTATCCTTAGCAAACTAACACAGGAACAGAAAACCGAATACCACATGTTCTCACTTATAAGTGAGAGGTAAATAATGAGAACACGTGGACCCTAGAGGGGAACAGCACACACTAGGGCCTTTCAGAGAATGCAGGGTGGGAGGAGGGAGAGGATCAGGAAAAATAACTAATGTGAACTAGGCTTAGTACCTGGGTGATGAAATGATGTGTACAACCAACCCCCATGACACAAGTTTACCTACATCACAAACCTACACTTGTACTCCTGAATTTATAATAAAAGTTAAAAAAAAGAAAGCACTTCCCCTTCCTACTTTCTAAGTTTCAATATAATTGTGATATCTGGAGTTTACAGCTATGAGGCAATAAGCCTAAGACAAACAAAACGAAAGCAAAACAAAAAGGCCAATGTATCAAGAAGCATCAGTAAAGGGACAGTCTGTAATTGATGACTTGATTACACTTTTGAACTAACCTTTGATTTCCTGTTTCTAGCCGTTGACTTCACATTTCTAGACTTGTTATCAAGTAAAATAACTGTAATTCTGGTTTTATCAACTGTTAGTTGTTTTGTTGTTGTTGTTATTTGCTGCCAAAAAATTCTTAACCAATGAGCCTACATACATGGCATAGTTTAATAAAATGCAAGGAGTCATGTGATTAGATCACCAGACACGATGATGGGTTATTGTGTATAGACAATCTAAGTCAATAAATTAGTACCTTTCGGAGTCAGAAAAACCATTATGGGAGACTGGACTTAAGTGGCCAAGGGTTGTGCTGATCTTTAAGGTTTTCCCAGCTGAGAGAACATGAATAGTACAATGAAGTAAAACTGAAATCTATTTTCCCACTTTGCTTTTATGGAAGTTGAATTTACTGGCCAATAAAGTTCTGCGTATTTAAATTAGTTTTGCTTTTATTATCCCTGGTAAATGTGGAAAAATTAGTTAATGGCATATATGGGTTTTTCTCACAAAGTTTCTGGGTTGGAAAAAGATCTTCTGAATCCAGTAACTTTCCAGTTGTTGAACACCCTCTACACAATTCCATTAATTGTTTGCCAGGACTGTTCTTAAATTCCACTGATGACAAGGAATGGAATCAGCACATTTTAACCTTCTAGCAGGTATTTACTTATAAAAATTCTTTCCTACTATTGAGTAGAAGTAGGCTGTCTGTAATTTCTTCCCATTGATCTGAATCCTATTCTATGGAATCAGTCATGAAAATATTTAAAGATTGCTATTATTTCCTCCTTGACAACATGAAAATATTTAAAGTTTGCAATTATTTCCTCCTTGACAACATTTCCAGTTTACTAATCTCAAGTTCTGAAGGACAGATTCATAGTAGACTAGTTTCTAAACCTTATCCATTTGAGGGCTACCTTCATAGTTTCTCCACATCAACTAAATGGTTCCTTATTCAATAATTTCCTAAGAATGACTCATCTTTTTACTTAAATAATTCTAGATTCACCCTAAACAGTAATAGCCATTTAGTCATTAGTTTGATTTTCTGGTTCTATTTCCTAATGTGCATTATAATAAATAGATAATAAAATAAAAATGTATATGTTCAGACTAAATCATATGTACCACACATCTGAGAAACACTGCGTTAAATATATTTCTTTGCAGGTTTTGTCTATCTTAAGGCCTTCCTTTCTTCCTTCCTTCCTTCCTTCCTTCCTTCCTTCCCTCCTTCTTTGTGACAAGACAAGTAAAACTTTACTTACTGTGGAAGTTAAAAGTGTAAAGATTTTGAACCTTTTGGCTTAGAGATCTCCCATTTCATGATTAGAGACATCATTTCATCTCTTAGCTATTATCATAAAATTCAGATTCTCTTATACCTGTTGAATTGTTGAAGCATGTGCTCTTTGGATCTGAATTAAACATTATTATTCATTAAAAATTAGGAAGGTAGGCATAACATTTTTCATATGTTATTAATTTAATATAGGAATATTAAATTAGTATTTCTATATTTCAATTGGAAAGACAGTCATTTTAATAATACAAATACTTGCTATAAATTCACCCTACTTGTAATGAATGTAAGCAAGACAGCCTTAGTTGCAATTACTTTTTAGGAAAAAGTTTTGGTTATATCAAGGCAATTAAAAATATCTTCATGTAACATTTTTCAAATAAATACCACTGACCAATTTCAGTGTCATAGAAATTCTTCTCTGATGCGAAATTATACACAACAATACAAAGAAAGTCAACAATTGTATAGAGATTGATAAATTGGAATAAAGTCAGAACAGCTTTATAAAAAATAAGTAGCTTTATATGACAATTACAATATGCTCTTAGGATGAAAAGAAAAAAGTCTACATAAATAAAAAGTGTATTAATTTGGGTATAGATATAAATATTGCAACTGGAAAGTTATATTTTTGTGTTTCTTTTTCTTTTTTTAAAGAGGTGAATCTTGCAATGTTGTCCAGGCTGGTCTTGAACACCTGGGTTTAAGTGATTCTCCTGCCTTAGTCTCCTGAGTAGCTGGGACTACAGGATTGCACCACCATGCCTAGCTAGAAGGACACACTGTATTAGATAAAAATTTTGACCCTAATTTATACGCCTTTTGTAGATGGCAATATTTAGATATAAAACAATTTGAGGTAACAGTGTTTCACTTATATAGGCAAGGCATATGGATTCGCCTGAATTCCACTCCTGTCATCTAGATCTGTTGTGGGAGGTAAATAAATGAAAATGCTTTAGATGCTTGAATAATGAGGACTTAAGTGAACAGTTTCTTTTAATACCACTTATTCTCCAAAGGCTCAACCTGGTCATGAAATTAAAAACAGAGCAAAAGAAGAACAAAATGATACCACCACCAAAACAACACGTAAATTGCTAGCACAAATTACTTTGGTGGAGTTTAAAAATATTTCAGTAGCATGCTCCATTTTAAAAGGCAGAATTCTTCCAATCGCACAATAATTTTTCATGGTCGGTATTTAAACATAAGCTGTTGGCTTAGATTGACTCACGGGACAATCTCATCTTATCCTTTTATTTAAAGCAACACAAGAGATTTTCTGGCTGAATCCTGTTGGTTTTTATTGTTGAATTTTGTTTTGTAGGTCTAAATCCCCCATTTAATCAATTTTGTAGTAGCTTTTGTGTGTTGGTGAGAAACGTGTTTTTTTCTCCCGTTTTCATTTTTCTTTCCTGTTTAAGTGAAGGATTTGTGAACCTTATTAAACAAGGATTTATCCATTTGCTTCTGCTTTATCCTGCTAAATTACCTATGCTACTTTGTGATATAGAATTTGCTTAGTTGCTTTTATACTTTGGATGCAAATATCATATTTAAGATCATATTAAGATGTGTTAAGCCATTTGCTTGGTATTCCATAGCATCAATTCTCCTTCAAGACACCTGAAATAAATACAGTCATTATCAGTATAAATTCTCTGCTAAGAAATAGGAAAATTTTGTTAAATAAGAAATAAAATATTCCAAGTGCTGAGGTGGCAATTTCATGGTTCTTTGAGAACCATACTTGTCCTGAATTAGAGGTTGTTGATGCTTTAATCAAACAAATATTCAAAATATGTTTCTATGTTTTTCTATGCACTAAAGAAAATTTGATTTTATTGGTATTTCTGTATTGTCCTACTCAATCATCCTAATGGTAACTGGTGATATTTGGGAATCAAAGTTAAAGGTGAAAGGATACGTGAAAACAAACAAACAAAAAAGAACAGAAAAAGGAAAACTTACTTTTTGCTTCATTAATCTCATAATTTAACCATCTAAGGTAAAGCTTAAATATTTTTAATGTGGGCTCAATTCTCCCCATTTACTAACTAGCAACCAATTTATTTCTTTCATGGCTTTACTTCCAATCTGTATGTATTGTGTTGCTTTACCTGTTTATCTCTATAGGTTACATTTCCTGTCTGCTATAAAATACATTCCTAAAAACAGACTTTGTCTCTCCTGTTCTCTAAAGCATGGGTGGTACCTGGTGAGTATTGGTTTGAAGAAGTGCATAAATGGCTTAGGATCATAAAGTAAATGCTGTCTGTGTTTTCAGGCCATATCCCAAGGTTTATTTTTTTTATTTTTATTTATTTATTTATTTATTTTCGAGACGGAGTCTCACTCTGTCGCCCAGGCTGGAGTGCAGTGGTGCCATCTCGGCTCATTGCAAGCTCCGCCTCCCGGTTTCACGCCATTCTCCCACCTCAGCCTCCCAAGTAGCTGGGATTACAGGCGCCCGCCACCACGCCTGGCTAATTTTTTGTATTTTTTAGTAGAGACAGGGTTTCACTGTGTTAGCCAGGATGGTTTCCATCTCCTGACCTCGTGATCCGCCCACCTCGGCCCCCCAAAGTGCTGGGATTACAGGCATGAGCCACCGCACCCGGCCATTGCCCAAGGTTTTAAGGTAGACAGAACTTTGAAATTATCAATCCAATTTCCAAAGAAAAAAATTATGCACATTGCATAATTGACATATTGTCACCTAGTTTTGCCCTTTGGAGCAAGAGAAATGAAGACACAACTGCAATTGCTTGGAGACACCACAGTGGCCACTCATTGCTTCTTTTCTCTCCCAAAGTAAAACACTACAAATTCATTCTGCTCATTCTATTTTACGTTTTCTAATATAATTCTCCAGTGTTTCAATGACCTGATTGTGTGAGGGGGGAAAAGGTGGGAGTCTGCTATAGTTTAAATATTTGTGCCCCTCCAAAATTCATGTGAAAATTCATCCCCAATACCACACTATTAAGAAATGGGATATTTAGGAGGTGATTAGACTATATGGGCTTCGTTCTCATGAATGGATGAGTGCCTTATAAAAGTGCCCCAGAAAATTAGCTGGGCCCTTGTTGCCCTACTACTCCCTTTACTATGTGAGGACACAGGTTCATCCCCTCTGGAGGATACAGTGTTTAAGACGCATCTTGGAAGCAAAAAGCAGCCCTCAGCAGACACTAAACCTGCTGGTGCCTGATTTTGGACGTCCCAGCCTCCAGAACTGTGAGAAATACGTTTCGGTTCTTTATAAATCATTCAATCTCAGGTATTTTGTTATAGCAGCATGAATGGAATAAGACAAGAGCCCTTACTTTTATATGAACTACATGGCTGGATTGAATTAATACAGGTGACTGATTTGGAATTAATTACATGACTAAGTCTAGCTGGATCCACATATGAAAAGTCTTGTGAAAAGTCTTTAGCAAGGTGCTAGAATGGACAAGCACCAACTTTGAATGGTACAGGTAATGGAAACCAAACAAGACATTCTTAAAAGGAGTCACAGAGGTTTTCTATTTCTATCAAGACATGTAAATTCTCCATATCTTTGACTATCTGATAAGAGTTAAGAAAAGCGTGTCTTTATATTTTCATAAAAATATGAGTAACTGTTTGTTTATAAAGTTCTCGGATATTTAAAAAGTTTTAAAAACAGAACTTATCAATCTAAATGTCTCTCTTATTGGTTGTTTTTAAGACAGAGGAAAAAGCGAGGAATTAGGAAAATTAATGAATTAGGAAATTAGTAAAATTAAGTTGGGGCAAGTGATGTAGAGATCGCCTACTTAGACATTATTCTAAGAAGGAGATACACATAAAATAATTTACTTCTCAAGAAGGTGGTAGAAAGGTTAGAATAAATAATTAGTAAGGGAAGGATTTATGGACATCTTTCAAAATGTCAAACAGGAGGAAGGAATTAATTTTGAAAAATAATCTACTTTCAAATGTCATCTAGATGACTATGGAAGGAATGAAAATAAGCTTTAAAAATACATATGGCTATAAGACAAATATAAAAAAGCTAGCCAATGATGATTTAAGCCAATGATGGGTCAATCACCCAAGTGTAATGACTTTTAAAGCAAATGTGGATGGTGGTCCATAATTTGATACATTATAGTGTGCCAGAGAAGGTCTAAGCAAAACAAACAAACAAACAAAAAAAAACACAAAACACTGTATTTGGCAACAAAACTGAATTACTTTGATACTATACTACTCTTGAGTTCTGAAACCAAAATGCATTTTGTAAGAAATTAAAGTAGTAAAGATTCCCCACCTTGGTCTCTAATAATACATACTGCTGAATCAACTGCCAAAGATTCTAATTCAGTTTGTATGTGTGTGGCAGGGAGAAGGGGCCGATCAAAATTTTAAAAATAGTACTAACAATGACATGGACTTATAACAAGGAATAAGGATTATTTAATCACACAGTGATTAAGTAGTAAGACATAAAGCATGGTATTTTGAGATGCTCATATTCAGCAGAGAAATGTAGGCCTGACACTTCTTTCCTGAACTTGACACGTGGAACATGTTAGTGCAGTGTCAGATTGGGCTTTGAGTGTTGGGAAGTGATAGGAATGGGGGAGTATGCAGTGGTCTAGAGAGTCCATGATGGAAACAAACTGGACTTATATTAGCTACTTTGAGCTACATAGAAAGAACCTCTCACACAAAGCAGTCAGAGAAGAAACTAGAAAATGTACATCCTAGCTCATTGGGTTGATGCTTCTCCAAGTTTAATGTACCCATGTGTATTAGCCCATTCACTTGCTGCTATAAGGACATACCTGAGACTGGGAAATTTATAAAGAAAAGAGGTTTAATGGACTCACAGTTTCACGTGGCTGGGGAAGGCTTACAATCATGGAGGAAGGCAAAGGAGGAGCAAAGGCACATCTTACATGGTGGCAGGCAAGAAAGTGTGTGCAGAAGAACCATCAGATCTCATGAGACTTATTCACTGTCAGGAGAGCAGCACAGGAAAAAACTCACCCCCATGATGAAATTACTTCCCACCAGGTCCCTCCCAGGACACATGGGAATTATGGGAACTACAATTCAAAATGAGATTTGGATGAGAACACAGCCAAACCATATCACCATGCATCTCCTGAGGGACTGGTTCACAGGCAGATTCTGATACAGTTCATATGGGGTGGGGCTTGAGATTCTGCATTTGTACTATGCTGCAAGCTGATACTTGTGCTGCTGTTGATCACAGTTGGAGTAGCAATGTGTGAAACAGACATTCTCAAAACTTAATGTGTTCTTAAATCACCCAGAGGGCTGGTTAAAACAGATGTCACTAGACTTCAACACAAGAGTTTCTGATTCTGCAAGTCTGGGATAGGACCCACTAGTTTGCATTTCTAACAAGTCTGCAGGAGATGTCATTGCTGCTGTTTCAGGGATTACACAGAGAACAACTTGTGGATAATATTGCATTAAGGCTGTGTTTTTTTGACTTGACTCAGAGAAGGGACCTATTTCATTTATTTTCTTCCTTAGGCTATTTGACCTCTTGGCTACCACTGTTATGCAGAGCAGACTCTTCTAAAGATGTTTGCTCTATGTAAAATATTTGAAAGTTAACACCAACTATATATACACATGAGTTAGGCAAAGTAAAATTTGATCTGTAGAAAAATGAGGTTAATCTACTTAATCTACTGCTTTCATCGTATTTGACTTCTGATTAAAACAGCATTGTACTCTCACAGGGAAATCTTTAAATGCTTTCTATGCAATGTCTTCTATGAAAAACTCTGCTTCATCTTTTAACCATTATTTTTCCACTACAGTTTTCTCTACTGACTCCAGTTAAGCTATTCCAGCTGGGTTTCCCAAAAGAGATTATTTCTTCCCCCATTACATCTCATTTGTTAACTCAAATATTGCTCCCACCATCTTTCCAAGTCAAAATTAAACATACCATCAAAATCCATCCCAATTATTTACTGTTAGGAAGATCCTTAAGTAACCTGTTTCAAATTTGTTTCCTCTTGTCTCTGAAGTCTATATTTTATTGTGTCTGTTATTTACAACTTTGCACATGGATATTTAAGATAATGGAATTAAGAGATGAGATATTTTAATTTTTCATTTTGCCCAGGATTCAAAGCTTGGGTAGTGCTTAAGGGCATGGGTTCAGGAATTAGACTATCTGTGTTTAAAGCTGTCACTCTCACGTCTCTTCTGTGAATTGGGGCAATAGGCAATGTTTCTAAACCACAAGGTTTATCTCTGATATTGGAGTGATAGGACTGCTCAAAGGTTAAATCAGCTATTTTATGGAAAGTGCCTGGCACAGTGCATGGCACATAGCACTCAATAAACAGCAATCAACAAATAACATGGTATTGGGCACCCGGCAAGCACGTTATTTAAAGGTGAATGAGAGGGTGGACGCTTGAAGCAAGAAAGACTTTGAAAAACAAATTTGTGTTAATTTGTGAATTAAAGTGACTTGTGACATTATGGCTAAGTGGTTAGAGTTCCTGGTGGGCTTTGGCTGGGGGTCACTGGAAACAGATACCTTTGGACAGTTTTGTGGAGTGATGGCACCCGTAGGGATGATTAACCCTCTTACAATTTTAACTGACAAAATCTTCCTAGGTAACATTGAAAAACACTTGAAAGACAATTGAACATTTGCTTTGTCCAAGTATTCCCTATTGTAAGCAGATTTGTTAAGTATAAAGACAGATATATATAATAGTGAAAGCAGTTAAAGATTGTACGTTACCTCCAAGGATGATTAGTTCTGCAGATCACTCTGGGAAAATCCTTTAAACAACAAATTCTTCTGCTGCATTTAAAGTGTAATTGATTATTAGAAATTTGATTTAAGGTGAAACTCTCCATGAAAACATTGAAAGCAGGGTACAGATATAAGTGGAAATATTAGAACTTGTTGGTGTAGACAGTAATTTGATTTACATTTATTTTTTTAGTATCCAGGTACACTATTCTAAACCTAAATAAAGCCAACTGGGAAAATTGTTATTTGAAGAAAGGATGTTTCTTAAAGGCTCATATGGAATACGAAAACATTTCTGTTTTTTCAGATGAACATTTTATCATTTGAGGTAGAGAGAAAAATATATTTTCTCTATATTTTTCAAGGAATAAATTGATGCAAAATGTTTTCAGTAATTTAACTTTTAAAGATAAACAGTTTCTATTTTCTTTTCTATCTTGTTCTTTTTCAATGTTATAAGACACTCTTCATAGCAGATATCTTGTATAAAACTGGCTTTATTTCAAAAGCTTGATTATATCTTGTTTTGCAAAGATTTTATTGGAACTATCTATATATTTTTAACATTACTTAAAGTGAATCACTTACATGGAATAGACTCTTTCCAAATTGTTACTACTGTTTTATACAGAAATTTAGTCATCAGAAGTAGTTACAATGATCTCTTTTCTGCTATTATGCACCATATACAAAGTGAAGTTTCATGGAATCTGTGCATCATTTGATTATCAGTTTCCATTCATTGTAGGAATAAGACACCATACATACTTTGGGAAGGACTGATGAGCTAATATAATGTTTTAAATCTGAATCAGAATTTCTGTCTGCCTTTAGTGCCATGCAAATCATCATATGTTTAATTTCAGTGAGTCTTTAAAATTTAAGAATAGAAATGGCTACATGAAACTCTATCTTTGTTTAGGTTCAACCAGGTGAATACCGTGGTGTGAGAATGTGACTGAAGGTAGTGTTTATCTGTGGGACATCCAGGGTAGCTAGGATGAAAACAGAATCATTTCATGGAGGTAGCTGGTATGTGGTACAAAAATACACGGTGGGAAGCATAACTTGATTTGCATATGCACTCATTTGTGCACTGAATCTTGCTTGCGTTCAGGTTCCCATCTTTTCCAGGTAAAGGGGTCCAATTTATTAAAAAGTTTAACCCAATATTAGAACATCTGGATGTTATTTTTTCCCATTCATTTATTTCATCTTAAGAAAATGACCGTAACTTTAATCTCAGTTCTGAAGAACCTGGATTCTTAAATTGCTGCAAGAGAATGGATTCATCAAATCAACTCGTCTTAGGGTTTATAAAGGCTTTTTAGATCCAAAGTCCATGCTTTTAATTAAACCTCACTCCACAGCCCAAAATATAAAATACATATTGTCAGAATTTACTTTATTGAAGTAGAAGAAGAAGGCATAATGCTCCTCCTGCTCTAATATCGCTCTCATTTCCTCTCCTCTTTCCCTGCTGGATGGTCCTTGAGGCATTCTTTGAAATCCGAGGGTCTTCAGAAGCATGGATGGAAAACGCCTGAGGATCTTGACCCTCCTTGTATCAGGAAGAGAATTAAGTTACTTGAAGAAGTAAGGTTTTGAGACAGATATTGAATTATGAAGATGGATCCAGCATCCAAACACTTTCACTTCTAGCCCAGTTATATACGATAGCTTGTGTTGCACTGACATATGCTTATATGCCTATGCTTATATGATTAATTAATTATGCTTATATGATTAATCACTAGGCCGTTTGGAGAAAAAGAAGGTACATGTCATATAGAATTGAAAAGGACTGGAGAAGAACAAGAGGTTTGAGTAGAAAAAGAATTATGAGGTATAATGATTTATATCTTGTTTTTATAATCTTCCACGATATTCCTTCTTAACATTTACTTAATTACTATGATGAACAACAAATAATCATCAACTGCTTACAACACAGAATCGTCTGGCTGAGGAAGTTTTGATTTGGAACCTCAAGAGCAGGTTATGATCTCAGAAAATTAAATATTTGTTTCATGTCTCGCCATAACTACTACTAACATATTTAATAAAGAAAATAATGAATTGGTCTCTTTGCATGGCCAGCTTCCTTCTTATCCCTCAGGGATCAGGTTAAACTTCATTTCCTCAGAGATGACTCTCAGCAGATTCTGCCTGTCATTTTCTATAATGACACTTGTTTATTTCCCATAAATGAGACAATCCCTATTTATTCTTTTTGTATTTATTCCTTTGCTATTAGTCTTTCAGCACATCTAAACTGTAAGCTCTGTCATACCAGGGTTCATGTCTTTCTTGTTCACTGTTGAACCTCCAGCAACTGGCACAGTTGCTATCATGTAGCAGGTGCTCAATAGATAATTATTGAACTAATAAATGAATATATTTATACAGATAGCTATCTCATGAATATCTTAACATGAATTATATATAAATGCTCTTTAAGATGCATATAACATATATTCACATATACACATTTTGAATTCATATTCAGTTCTGAAAAGTTACAGTTCAACATGGTCCTAAAATTGTTAGCGATAATTACTGGATGACATCTTGATGTGCATTTGTGGTGCTTATATTCAGTTACCGAGTTCAATGAGCAAACTTCATGAGAAAACATTCAGCCATATGCTGCTTCGGAGTTGCAGTACATTGGAGATTAGTCACAGCTTTTCTTTCAATGACTTTGAATTTCCAAATGGTTCAGTGGCTTCCATTTTAGGTTTCATTTTTGGCTTTCTCTCCAATTGCTGCAAAATTACATGGCAAAATTACAAGGAAAGATTAGACAACATAAATATTTTCTATTCCCTAGGGTACTTATAGCTTTGAAAACAATAATGTAGTCAAATTACTGAATCAGGTTTAATAAGCATCTCAGAGTGTGCTAATCAATGAGTCAATTAATCAATTGACAATCTCTTTATTGACAGCCTCTATAGACAGCGTTGTGATACAGACATATAAATATATACAGAAGGATCTCTTTCAGTAGATAATAGAATGTCTATTAGTGATAAAAATGTTACTCTGAAAACCAGTTAATTACTTAAGCCAACTAACATTAATTGTATATATAATCAAGGTAACAAGAAATGAACCATCATTGTTGGGAGATTTAATGGAGGAGTTAAGATTTAATCTTGGCTTTGAGTCATGGTATTTGGAGAGATGATGGCTTTTTCAGGAGCTGGTGGGAGTGAAAAGGAGCATGCACAAAACTTCAGGCATTGTGGAAAGGGGACTTAGGAGATTTGGTTGAGCCAGTCTCCTGGGAAGTAGAAAGCAATGAAGTGGTGTTTTTAGGGTGAGATGAGTTCATGGAAGTCCTTAAATGTGGAGCAGTTTCATGTGATGTGTAACAGGGAGGGATTGTTTTCCTTCAAGTAATTCAATGATGTGATGCAAAGTGTAATTTAAAGAAAATTAACCTGGTAGTGATATGCAGAATTAGTTTAAAAAGGAAAAATGGAGTTAAATAGTAGGAAATAAAGATACATGTTTAGCATTTCATTTCTCAAGAAATTCTAGTTTTTAAAAACACACTTTCTTTAGTCATCCGAAATCCAGTTTCTGACTAGAGCAATATAAAGTATGAGTCACTCACAGCTTAAATATGACAAGTTGTGTACTAAATGAATCCTAAATTGTATGTGTGTAATTTAGAGACATTTTTGCTTATGAAGATATATTCAGTTAAGCATCTCTTACCTACTGTTATATTGAATCAAAACATACATCAACATCTTTGTGACAGCTCCATGGATGAAATGTTTTCATTAGGTTTATGATAACAAACTAAACCCAGAATAAATTCATAAAGAGTGTGTCTGTAATGATAGGAAATGAAATGAGAAGAAATTCATAATGATATCTCAATCGCATTCAAATTGATCAGTAGATAGTGAATGGGTGATTACCATTGATCTATTTCGTATGCACATACAACAGATGTTTTCTTTAAACACCTCCAAAAAATGTGTTTTATGCTGAAATATACAATGAATATAGTCTTAAAAAGACTGAAGACTTGAGATGGATGCCAGGGATAAGAGAAAGTTGGCAGCATCTGGGGCCGTGTCAGGAGGAGAATCAGCATTTCCAAAGGTGACAAAAAACAGCTTAATTTGCTCTTGGATTTAATTCCAGGATTTAAATGTAGTTTAAAAAAAGCACTGCATTAGATTTAGCTACATGAAGCTAGAATAATTTTATTCCCAGAATTAACCAGTTACTTACTATCTAGTTGAGCCAATCAGAAACCTAGGGTCATCTTTGATGCATTCTTTATTAACATAACCCTCATCCAATCCATTACAAGTGCTGATTTTACTCACTACATAACACTGTCATCACCCAGCTTCACATCATTCCTACTATTACCACCTTTGTCCAAAACAGTATCATCTCTTTTCAGAACTTCTGGTATTGTGTACCCTGCATTCACACTGGCCTTTATCGAATTTATTCCCTACTTAGCAGTCAGCATGATCTTTTATGTACCTTTTCCCATCACCAAATCAAAATATTTCTATGACTTTACAGTCTTAGGAAACAATCCCAAATTGTTAACAATGAATGACTAAAGACCACGTGTGGCCTCATTGCTGCCTATCTTTGCAGGCTCATTTTCCACTGCCCACCTCCAGGTCCTGCCATAGGAGCCATTCTTCTTGTCGCCATCATGCTTCTGTGCACATGCTCTTTCTTATATTTGGAAGCCCCTCTGCCCTGCTTTTTCCTGCTCAACTATTATTCATTCCTTGAATATCAGCTTCAACTTACTTCCTAAAGGAAGACTTCTTTGAATTCCTAGTTTAAAACATATGATATTTTTGTAGCTGTCTTGGTTCATGTTTCTTTTTCTCAGAGCACTCAGCTCTTCTATAATTATGAACTCATCAGCTGGATTTTTATTTTATATTTGTTTTCTGTACTAGATTTTTTGCTCTCTGAAAGTCAAGGTCACGACTCTTTCCTCTTGCCATTTTATCCCCAATGCCTAGCACAGCAGCTGGCATATAGTGAGTTTTCACTCTGCTTTCACTCCACATTTATGGCTGGTACTTCATAAATCCATTACCACACAAACCATTGTTTTTCCATCTGTGAAATGGAGAACAACTAAGTCTCACTTCTATGAGAATATATTCCTTGTGGAAGTATCTATTCAAGCTAAATACAGCATATCCAGTTTGACTAAGAAATTCCCTAAGACTTTCTGACTCAGGAATTCCATGCTTAGGTAAAAACCCAACAGAAGTACAAATGTATGTCCCATAGAAGATATGTTTAAGAATGTTCTAGCAAGCATTATCACAATAGATAAATTCAGAAAGCAATCCATATGCATCAATAACACAATGAATAAATAAATCATGAAGTATTCATGCAATGAAGTACCACCCACAATGAAAATGGATGAAGTGTTGCTACATTACAACAAAGTAGATGGATGTCACAAACATAATGTTGAGCAAGAGAAGCCAGAAACAAAAAAAAAAAAAATGCATACTGTGTGCTTCCAGTTCCGTAAATTTGAAAAGTATGGAGAACTGATTGATGACAGTAGGAGTTAGAATAGTGGTTAATTTTAGGGGGCTAAGATGAGAGGTGGGTAATTTTACCAACAATAGGTATTGGTAAAATTCTATTTCTGGGTCTACTTTGTGGCTACATGGGGATATTTGCTTTGTTAAAAAAAATGAACTGAACACCCATGAATTTGTCTATTTTTCTGTATGTCTGTGATATTTAAAGTAAAAAGTTATTGTTTCTGATAGAGTAGATTATTTAAATTTTGAATCATTTCAATTTGTTATAATGCCTTTATTAGAAAATGATCATTTAAATTTCAAATGTATTGACTTATGTACATTCTACTGACTGTTAGCTAATGAGATATACTTTTCTTGTCCTATAGCTAGACATTGGCTAAATTCTATAATAATAGCTAACATTAAGTGAGCATTCGTTATGTGACAGATACCAGAACAAATGCCTTCCGTGCAATATCTCACTTAATCTCCATGACAACCATATATACAAGGTACTATTATTTTCATTCTCTTGTAAATGAAGGTGCTAAAGTAGAGAACTTCAATAATGTGAGGAAGGTAACAGAATTAATAAATGGCGGAGCAAGGATCTGAACTGAAATCGAAAGCTCTAGCCCCCATATCTTAACTGTTACTCTGCCTCTCCGTAAAGATGCCAAATAAACTCTTTAATATTTCTATATTAATTTATATATAAGAATTTAAATGAAAAAGTTTGAATAATGATACTTACTACAGGCTTTCCAATATTGCCTGAGTGATAGGCATTTACATTACAAGTGCTTATATAATTAGACTACACTTGAATTTTAGGGAATTAAACTAATGTAATTTCTTAGTACAGTCAGTTCAAGTAAATTCAGTCAAAATACAATAGCTAGGGCTTGAAAAGTTCTTTAAGAATATGGGCAAAGCAATAAAATAACCTCACTATTTCTCTCAAAATGAGAAATAGCATTTCTCTAGCTAATGCCACTACATTTTATAAACAAAATGAGAAAATAATTTACAGCTATATATTTGAAGAGTGAGTGAATGTAATTTACCAAATTTCCATATTTGTATATAGCCTGTTATAAAAGTAATAGCCAAGTTTTCATAGCAAGTACTTTATGTTTACAAATGTTCTCATATAAATTTTGGTGCACTCCCATCGAATAGCTTTTATAATGAAATGTTAGAAATATATAAAATATATAAAATTATTAATCTTCAATACTTTTTACAATGAAGGCAAACTATCTTAAAATTTAAATTATCTTAATATATTCATGTAAGCCACAAGTGATTTTGAAATGTCTAAGTACAAGTATAACAAGACATGGTGCTGATAAAACTTGATGAGTTAGCAATAGCAAAAAAATTTGTTACCACTAACATTACAATCAATCATATTTCTTATCCTGGAGAACATCCTAAAATAAACAAAAATAATTTGGTAAGATTTTAACTGTAAAAGTACTTCATAACTGCTTGTATTAAGAAATATATAAATTATTTATTAGAAGTTGAAAACTGCTAACAGTTGCAGCACAATGATCACTGCTGATATTAATGCAAAAATAATAGTAGTTGGCTATTGCGCTGAAAGTTTCCTCCCAGTAAATGGAAAAAGGAACAAAAATCACATGAGCTGAAGTAGTTACAGAAAATGCCCTAGAGCCATTGAAGGCAATAACAATTAATGTGGCTTTCAGAAACTAATCTCCCAATTCTGATTTCCTCCAGTTTTCTGTTGATCTAAACCCAGAAGTCCCCTTGCGTTTAATAAAGAACCGGTAATCATGCTAAGAATCAACATGTTTCTGTCATTACCTCTAAGAACTAGCCCTACCTTTCTTTCCTATTCTTTCCTGTATATATTTCCTTGGATCCCAGGTTTTCTGGTGTTATTATTATTATTATTATTGAGACAGGGTCTCACTCTGTTGCCCAGACTGGAGTGCAGCGGTGCGATCTCAGCTCACTGCAACCTCCGCCTCCCCGGGTTCAAGCAATTCTTGTGTCTTAGCCTCCCAAGTAGCTGGGATTACAGACGCACACCACCATGCCTGGTTAATTTTTGTATTTTTTATTAGAGACGGAGTTTCACCATGTTGACCAGCATGTCTCAAACTCTTAACCTCAAGTGATTCACCTGCCTCGGCCTCCCAAAGCTCTGGGATTACAGGTGTGGGCCACTGCGCCCCAGCCCTCTGGTATTATTTTAAAGAAACCTCTCTCTCTCGCTCTGTCTCTCTCTCTCTGTGTATATGTGTGTGTGTGTGTATATATATATATATATATGAAATTATAATATGTGATTTATATTCTCCTAAAACTATTTTAATATTTCCTTGATTACACTGGTAAATCTAGGAGATAAAAACTTTCCATTATATTTCAGACTCAGTTGGATATCAGGAACAACGTTACTCACTCAGATTCTCACCTTGGCAAAATATTTCAGTAAAATTAAGTTTAGCTTTTTGCAGCTCACTTACCCTGGAATTGATGATGTCTGTTGGATGGTAAATAAATGCCAATGACCATGAGCTGAGTGAACAAAGTACGCTACAAAGATTTGTTGATAGAAAAGTGGGACAAGTATTGCAGTTCCTAAGGATGGGATGACTAATAAATCATCTGTGTCTCAAGACAGACATAAAACAAGGGAACAGCGTGCCCTGCATTGCCTTTTTCTTTCTTTCTTTTTTTTATTTTTTAAGCGGCAGTCATTTTTTATTTATCTAATTTTTACTTTGTTTCTTTTTTATTTTTCCATAAGTTATTGGGGTACAGGTGGTATTTGGTTACATGAGTAAGTTCTTTAGGGATGATTTGTGAGATTTTGGTGCACCCATCCCTGGAGCAGTATACACTGCATCATATTTGTAGTCTTCTATCCCTCACCCCCCTCCCACTCTTCCCCCAAAGTCCCCAAAGTCCATTGCATCATTCTTATGCCTTTGTGTCCTTATAGCTTAGCTCCCACGTATCAGTGAGAACATATGGTGTTTGGTTTTCCATTCCTGAGTTACTTCACTTACAATAAAAGTCTCTAATAGCATCTGTTAATTCATTCCTTTTCATGGCTGCATAGTATTCCATTGTGTGTGTGTGTGTGCGTGTGTGTGTGTGTGTATACATATTCTCTATCCACTCGTTGATTGATGGGCATTTTTGTTGGTTCCACAATTTTGCAGTTGTGAATTGTGCTGCTATAACCATGAGTGTGCAAGTATCTTTTTCAAATAACGACTTCTTTTCCTCTGGGTACATACCCAGTAGTGGGAATGCTGGATCAAATGGTAGTTCTACTTTTAGTTCTTTAAGGAATCTCCACACTGTCTTCCATAGTGACTGTGCTAATTTACATTCCCACCAGCAGTGTAGAAATGTTCCCTGATCACCACATCCATGCCAGCCTCTACTGTTTTTTTATTTTTTTATTTTGGCGATTCTTGCAGGAGTGAGGTGGTATAGCATTGTGCTTTTGATTTGCATTTTCCTGATCATTAGTGATGTTGTGCATTTTTTCATATGTTTGTTGGCCATTTGTATATCTTCTTTTGAGAATTGTCTATTTATGTCCTTTGTCCACTTTTTGATGGGATTGTTTGTTTGTTTGTTTTTTTCTTACTGATTTAATTATAGATTCTGGATATTAGTCTTTGTCAGATGTATAGATTGTGAAGATTTTCTCCCACTCTGGGGGTTGTCTGTTTACTCTGCTTACTATTCCTTTTGCTGTGCCAAAGCTCGTTAGTTTAATTAGGTCCCAGCTATTTATCATTGTTTTTATTGCATTTGCTTTTTGGTTCTTGGTCATGAAATCCTTGCCTAAGCCAATGTCTAGAAGGGTTGTTCCAATGTTATCTTCTAGAATTTTTATAGTTTCAGGTCTTAGGTTTAAGTTTTTAATCCATCTTGAGTTGATTTTTGTATAAGGTGAGAGATGAGGATCCAGTTTCATTCTCCTACATGTGGCTAGCCAATTATCCCAGCACCGTTTGTTGAATAGAGTGTCCTTTCTCCACTTTATGTTTTTGTTTGCTTTGTGGAAGATCTGTTGGCTGTAAGTATTTGGGTTTATTTCTGGGTTCTCTATTCTGTTCTGTTTGTCTATGTGCATATTTTTGTACCAGCACCATGCTGTTTTGGTGACTATGGCCTTACAGTATAGTTTGAAATCAGGTAGTGTGATGCCTCCAGATTTGTTATTTTTGCTTAGACTTGCTTTGGCTATGCAGGCCGTTTTTAGGTTCCATATGAATTTTAGAATTGTTTTTTATGATTCTGTGAAGAATAATGGTGGTATTTTGATGGGGATTGCATTGAATTTGTAGATTGCTTTTGCCCGTATGGTCATTTTCACAATGTTGATTCTACCCTTCCATGAGCATGGGATGTTTTTCCATTTGTTCATGTCATCTATGATTTCTTTCGGAAGTGTTTTGTAGTTTTCCTTGTAGAGGTCTTTTGACTCCTTGGTTAGGTATATTCCTAAATATTTTATTTTTATTTTTTCACAGCTATTGTAAAAGGGGTTGAGTTCTTGATTTGATTCTGCACTTGGTTGCTGTTGGTGTATAGAATAGCTTCTGATTTGTGTACATTAACTTTGTATCCAGAAACATTGCTGAATTATTTTATCAGTTCTAGGAGCTTTCTGGAGGAGTCCTTAGGGTTTTTGAGGTAAACACTCATATCTTCAGCGAACATATCTTCAGTGACAGTTTGACTTCCTCTTTACTGATTTGGATGCCCTTTATTTCTTTCTCTTGTCTGATTGCTCTGGCTAGGACTTCCTTCCAGTACTATGTTGAAGAGGAGTGGTGAGAGTGACCATCCTTGTCTTGTTCCAGTTCTCAGAGGGAATGCTTTCAACTTTCCCCATTCTGTATTATGTTGGCTGCGGGTTTGTCATAAATGGCTTTTATTACATTAAGGTATGTCCCTTTTATGCCGATTTTGCTGAGTGTTTTCATCATAAAGGGATGCTGGATTTTGTTGAATCCTTATTCTGCATCTGTTGAGATGATCATGTAACTTTTGTTTTTAATTCTGTTTATGTGGTATATCACATTTATTGACTTGCATATGTTAAACAATCCCTTCATCCCTGGTATGAAACCCGCTTGATCATGGTGGATTATCTTTTTCATAGGTTGTTGGATTTGGTTAGCAAGTATTTTATTAAGGATTTTAGCACCTATGTTCTTCAAGGATATCAATCTGTAGTTTTGTTTTTTGGTTATGTCCTTTCCTGATTTTGGTGTTAGGGTGATGCTGGTTTCATAGAATGAATTAGGGAGGGTTTGTTCTTTCTTTATCTTGTGGAATAGTTATAAAAGGATTGGTACCAATTCTTCTTTGAATATCTGGTAGAATTCTCCTGTGAATCTGTCTGGTCCTGGACTTTTTTTGTTGGTAATTTTTAAATTACCCTTTCGATCTTGCTGCTTGTTATTGGTTTGTTCTGGGTATCTCATTCTTCCTGATTTTAGCTAGGATGGTTGAATTTGGTTGAATTTATCCGTCTCTTCTAGGTTTTCTAGTTTATGTGCATAAAGTTGTTCATAGTAGCATTGAATGATCTTTAGTATTTCTGTGGTGTCATTTGTAACATATCCTGTTTCGTTTCTTAATGAGGTTATTTGGATTTTCTCTTCTTTTCTTGGTTAATCTTGCCAAAGGTCTATTAATTTTATTTATCTTTTTGAAGAATCAGCTTTTTGTTTCATTTATCTTTTGTATTTTTTTTCAAATTCATTTAATTCTGCTCTGATCTTGGTTATTTCCTTTCTTCTGCTGGGTTTGGGTTTGGTTTGTTCTTCTTTCTCTAGTCCCTTGAGGTGTGACCTTAGAGTATCAGTCCGTGCTCTTTCAGTCTTCTTGATGTAGGCATTTAGGGTTATGAACTTTCCTCTTAGCACTGCCTTTGCTGTATCACAGGTTTTGATAGGTTGTGCCATTATTATCATTCAATTAGAAACATTTAAAATTTCCATCTTGATTTTATTTTTGACCGAATGCTCATTCAGGAGCAGGTTATTTAATTTCCATGTATTTGCATGGTTCTTAAGGTTCCTTTTGGAGTTGACTTCCAGTTTTATTCGACTGTGGTCTGAGAGAGTGCTTGATATAATTTAAATTTTCTTAAATTTATTGAGGCTCCCTTTATGGCCTATCATGTGCTCTATCCTGGAGAATGTTCCATGCGCTGTTGAATAGAATGTGTATTCTGTGGTTGTTGGATGAAACATTCTGTATATATCTGTTAAGTCCATTTGTTCCAAGGTACAGTTTAAATCCATTGTTTCTTTGTAGGCTTTCTGTCTTGATGATCTGTCTAGTGCTGTCGGTGGAGTATTGAAGTCCCCCACTATTATTGTGTTTCTATCTATCTCATTTCTTAGGTCTATTCGTAATTGTTTTATTAATTTGGGAGCTCCAGTTATAGGTGCATATTTGTTTAGAACTGTGATATTTTATTGTTGGACAAGGCCTTTTATCATTACATAATGTCCCTCTTTGTTTCATTTAACTGCTGTTGCTTTAAAGTTTGCTTTGTCTGATATAAGAATAGCTAACCCTTCTCATTTTTGGTCTCCATTTGCATGAAATGCCTTTTTGCACCCTGTTACTTTAATTTTATGTGAGTCTTTATTTGCTAGGTGAGTCTCCTGAAGGCAGCAGATAGTTGGTTGGTGAGTTCTTATCCATTCTGTGTTTCTCTATCTTTTAAGTGGAGCATTTAGATCATTTGCATTCAATGTTAGTATTGAAATGTGAGGTACAATTGCATTCATTGTGATCTTTGTTGCCTGCGTACTTTTTTTTTTTTCTGTTTTCTTTTTAACTTGATTTTTGTTTTATAGGTCCCTTGTGATTTATGCTTTAAAGAGGTTCTGTTTTGATGTGTTTCAAGGATTTGTTTCAAGATTTAGAGCTCCTTTTACAATTCTTGTAGTTGTGGCTTGCTAATGGCAAATTCTCTCAGCATTTGTTTGTCTGAAAAAGACTCTATCTTTTCTTCATGTATGATGCCTAGTTTCACTGGATACAAAATTCTTGGCTGATAATTGTTTTGTTTGAGGAGGCTAAAGATAGGGCCCCAATCCCTTCTAGCTTGTAGGGTTTCTGCTGAGAAATCTGCTGTTAATCTGATAGATTTTCCTTTATAGGTGACCCAGTGCTTCTGTCTCACAGCTCTTAAGATTCTTTCCTTCATCTTAACTTTGGATAACCTGATGACAATGTGCCTAGGTGAAGATTTTCTTTTCTTTTTTTCTTTTTTTGAGATGGAGTCTTGCTCTGTTGCTTAGGCTGGAGTGCAGTGGTGGGATCTTGGCTCACTGCAACCTCTACCTCCCCAGTTCAAGCAATTCTCCTGCCTCAGCCTCCCAAGTAGCTGGAGTTACAGGTGTGTACCACCATGCCTGGCTAATTTTTGTATTTTTAGTAAAGACGAGGTTTTACCATGTTGGCCAGGCTGGTCTTGACCTCTTGACTGCAAATGATCTAATTTCCCAGGAGTTCTCTGTGCTTCTTGTATTTGGATGTCTAGATCTCTAGCAAAGGTGGTGAAGTTTTCCTCGCTTATTCCCCCAATTATATTTTCCAAGCTTTTAGAACTCTCTTCTTCCTCAGGAACACTGATTATTCTTAGGTTTGGTCATTTAACATAATCCCAGACTTCTTGGAGGCTTTGTTTATATTTTCTTATTCTTTTTTATTTGTTTTTCTTGGATTGGGTTAATCTGAAGACCTTGTCTTCGAGCTCTGAATCTCCTACTTCTAATTTCTTATTTCTAAAAGTGTGTTCAAAGTTTCCTGATTTTTTGATTTTTTTTCTTTAAGCTATCTATTTCCTTGAATACTTCTCCCTTCACTACTTGTATCATATTTTGGATTTTCTTGCATTGGGTTTCGCCTTTCTCTTCTCACTCCCTGATTATCTTAGTAACTAACCTTCTGAATTCTTTTTGGTGTTTCTTCTTGGTTAGGATCCATTCATGGTGAACTAGTGTGATTTTTTGGTGGTGTTGAAGAGCCTTGTTTTGCCATATCATGAGCGTTGGTTTTCCAGTTCCTTCTCACTGGAGTAGCCCCTGTCAAAGGGAAGGCCTGGGGCTGAAGGTTGTTGTTCAGATTCTTTTGTCCCACGAGGTGTTCCCTTGATGTATTACTCACCCTTTTCCTATGGATGTGGCTTCATGTGAGCTAAACTGCAGGGACTGTTGTCTCTCCTCTGGGTCTAGCCACCCACCTAGTGAGTCTGTCTGGCTTCTGGCTGTTACTGGGGGTTGTCTGCACAGAGTCCTGTGATGTGAACCATCTATGGGTCTCTCAGCTGTGGATACCAGTGCTTGTTCTGGTGGGGGTGGGAGGGGTGCATTGCACTCTGTGAGTGCTCTTAGCTTTGGTGGTTTAATGCTCTATTTTTGTGCTGCTCGGCCTCCTGCCAGGAGGTAGAGCTTTCCAGAGAGCATCAGCTATGGTATTATGGGGAGGAATTGGTGGTGGGTGGGACCCTAGAACTCCCAAGATTATATGGCCTTTGTCTTCAGGAACCAGGGTGGGTAGGGAAGGATTATCAGCGGGGGGCAGGGCTGGCTGTGTCTGAGCTCAGACTCTCCTTGGGCAGGTCTTCCTGTGGCTGCTGTGGGGAATGGGGGTGAGATTCCCAGGTCACTGGAGTTGTGTACCTAGGAGGATTTTGCCTGCCTCTGATGAGTCATACAGGTTGCCTGGAAAGTGGGAGAAAGCCAGCAGTCACAGACCTCACCCAGCTCCCACACAAACTGACCTGCCGGTCTCAATCCCACTGTGTACCCTGTAAGAGCCCCCATACCATTTCCAGGCGGAGGGCAATACGGGCTTGAAACACTGCCCCTGGCTATCTGCCTCCCCGCTGAGAATAAAAAGGCCCTGGTTCTTCCTCCACCTGTGGAGTTTGCACACAGGATTTGCACCCTGCCCCAAGTTCTGGCCAGGAGGTTTCTCACCCCATTCAAATTGTTTCAAAGTTCAGCTAGAGATTTCCTTGTCCCTGTGTAGTTTTACCCCTGCTCCTCTCCCGTTGGATTCCTGTGGTGCCAGGCAGGAATGGGCTGTTAGGGGACCCAGCGAGCCCCCAGAGCCTTTCTGCTGCTTCCTCTGAGGGAAGAGAGAGACCCTCATATATTCTTTTATATTGTTTTATACTCAGTACCTGTTTTAACAAAAAACAACGAGGAAGTAAAACCAAAGACAGGCAGCCCGGCGCCAGGCCTGAAACCAGGCCTGGGCCTGCCTGGCCTAAACCCAGTAGTTAAAAATCAACTCATAACTTAGAAACTGATGTTATTCATAGATTCCAGACATTGTATAGAAGAACATTGTGAAACTCCCTGTCCTGTTCTGTTTCTCTCTGACCACCGGTACATGCAGCCCCTGTCATGTACCGCCTGCTTGCTCAAATCAATCACGACCCTTTCATGTGAAATCTTTAGTGTTATGAGCCCTTAAAAGGGACAGAAATTGTGCATTCGGGGAGCTTGGATTTTAAGGCAGTACCTTGCCAATGCTCCCAGCTGAATAAAGCCCTTCCTTCTACAACTAGGTGTCTGAGAGGTTTTGTCTGCGACTCGTCCTGCTACATTTCTTGGTTCCCTGACCAGGAAGCGAGGTGACTGACGGACGGCCGAGGCAGCCCCTTAGGTGGCTTAAGCCTGCCCTGTGGAGCATCCCTGAGGGGGACTCTGGCCAGCCTGAGTGATGTGGTCCGAAGAGCGCTTGGGTAGGAAATTGCCCCTGTGGAATGCCTCGTCAGAGCAGCGCATAGCAGGCCCCCACGGAGGATTAACACAGTGGCTGAACACTGGGAAGGAACTGGCCCTTGGAGTCCAGACATCTGAAACTTGGTAAGACTAGTCTTTGGAACATGCCCCACTCCATCTGAGTGGAAGCGTGGCCTGATCACCCACGGTGTGCCTGTATTGGCACCTTTGTTCTGGTTTTGACTTGACTTGAGTTGCTGGATACTTTGATTTCGGTTTTTGACCTGGCTTGAATTTCTGGATACTCTGATTTTGGTTTTGATTTTGGTTTGGTGTAAACTGCAAAAGTGTGTGTGTGCCCTTTTACCTGTTCTTTGTTTTGTGGTGTGTGTGTGGTGTGAGCGTGGTGTTTTGTCTTGAAAAAACATAGGTCAGATGCAAAGTAAGCACACCCCAATGGGAACTATGTTAAAGAATTTCAAGAAAGGATTTAATGGAGACTATGGAGTCACTATGACTCCAGGAACACTTAGAAGTTTGTGTGAAATAGACTGGCCAGCATTAGAGGTAGGTTAGCCATCAGAAGGAAGCCTAGATAGGTCTTTGGTTTCTAAGGTATGGCAAAAGGTAACCTGTAAGCCAAGGCACCCAGACCAGGTTCCATACATAGACAGTTACAGCTGGTTTTAGACCCCTTTCCCCCCACGGTAGTTAAGAGAACAGCAGCATAAGTGGCTGGCAGAGACAAGGAAAGACCAGCAGAGAGAAGAAAAAAAAAAAAAAGCCATCTATACCAATTGTAAGTTAATTTAGACGAAACAAGATCTTATTATTAGCAAAGGATAATTGAAATCCCAAACTTACAAGGTTTTCAACAAATGTGAAGTTTGCTAAAAGTTAACAGTGTAACATGTATTATGATAACTTCTAATCTTGTGGCCTTAGACAGTCTAGTCCAAAGACATAAAGAATGTTTGCTTTAAAAAAAAAAAAGGTTGGGGGAGGCAGAATTTACATATAAAAAAAGTTATATGGTAAATTCTTGTCCCGAAATAAATTAACTGGTTGTTTAAAGAAAAAAATGTTTATAATAAGTCAAAAATTGAGACATGTTAAAAAAATTGTCCGTGAAAGTCGTGAAAGAAAAAATGTTATAAAAAAATTTTATGCAAAAAATGTTGTATAATTTAAAAGTGATAAGGCCTCCTGAGTACTATTGAAGAAAGTTTATGTGCAAGGTGTATAAAAAAAAGTAAAATATACCTTTGGTAAAAAGATTATAAGGAGGCATAAGAATGTGGATTTTTACCTACATTAAAAGGTTAAAAAAATTATTGTTTTGAAAGTTTAAGCAAGTTTTAAAATGTTAATTGTAAAGAAAATTCTGTGTATAAACATATTAGCTAAAGTTAAAAAGGTATCACCCAGTTTTTCTGTGAACTGGACATTAAAGTAAAAATGCAACAGGTTTTTTTTCTTAAAGCATCAACCTGCTCTTTAACAAAAATTATAAAAGGTTAAAAAGAGTCTATAAAATCTTACCTTATGGTCAAACATGAAAAATTGGATAAATATGTCTACAAGGTTTTCTTAAAATTAAGTTTAACATTAATAACACTAATATAAAGGTAAAATTTAGCTTATCTGGTATAAAAATCATACAAGAAGCATTATTAAACATAAAATGGTGTTTAGCTTTCTTTGGTCTAAAAACTAATAAAAATTGGTGCTAAAGGAAACATTCATTTTACTAGAGGATCATAGAAGTTAAAGACTTAAAACAAACTTTGGCAATGAAGAGAGCATACCAAGATGCAAATGCCTGGTTGAAATGGATCAAATATTCCATCTGCACGTTAAACAAAAGCAATTGTTATGCTTGTGCACATGGCAGGCCAGAGGCCCTGATTGTCCCCCTTCCACTAAGGTGGTCCTCCAGTCGACCAGGTGTGGGCTGCATGGTAGCTCTTTTCTAGGATTCTACAGCCTGGAGTAATAAGTCATGCCAAGCTCTCTCTGCTATATCCTGAAGTCCCTGTGGGTCAGCCCCTGAGGGCCATCCAGTTTCCGTCTCCCAACACTAAGTTCACTTCATGTCTCTGATGGCAGGGAGGAGACAGCATTCCTTGGAGACCTGAAAGGATGCGGGGAGCTTAAAAATTTTCAAGAGCTTATCAATCAGTCAGCTCTTGTTCATCCCCGAGCAGATGTGTGGTAGTATTGTGGTGGACCTTTACTGGGCACTCTGCTGAATAACTAGAGTGGCAATTGTGCTTTAGCCCATTTGGCTATCCCTTTCACCCTGGCATTTCATCAACCAGAGGTAAATATATATATATAAATAAAGACATCATAAAGTGAGAGAAGGCCCTTATAGGTCTTTCAACTCTCACATCTATTTAGATGCAATTGGAACCCTGCAAGGAATACCAGATCAATTTAAAGCTTGAAATCAAATAGTTACAAGATTTAAGTCAATATTTTAGTAGACGACAGTCAATAAAAATGTATTAGATAAACTACATCTATTACAACCAACAGCAATGAGCTTTTCATGAGTTTAAAAGAAAAACTCATGTCGGTCCCAGCCCTGAAGCTACCTGACCTGACAAAACTCTTTACACTCTATATGTCAGAAAGAGAAAAAATAGCGGTTGGAGTTTTAACCCAGACTGTAGGGCCCTGGCCAAGGCCAGTGGCCTATCTCTCAAAACAACTAGACAGGGTTTCCAAAGGCTGGCCCCCATGTCCAAGGGCCCTGGCAGCAACTGCCCTGTTAGCACAAGAAGCCATAAGCTAACTCTTAGGCAAAACCTAAACATAAAGTCTCCCCATGCTGTGGTGATTTTAATAAATACCAAAGGACATCATTAGCTAATAAATGCTAGACTAACTAGATACCAAAGCTTGCTCTGTGAAAATCCCTGCATAACCATTGAAGTTTGCAACACCCTAACCCTGCCACCTTACTCCTGGTATCAGAGAGCCCAGTTAAACATAACTGTTTAGAGGTGCTGGACTCAGTTTATTCTAGTAGGCCCAACCTCCGAGACCATCCTTAAACATCAGTAGACTGAGAGCTGTACGTGGATAGGAGCAGCTTCGCCAACCCCTGCAAAGTGACTCTGAAGAAGACGACAAGCCCTGCTCCAGTCACACCCGGAAGCTGACTGGTCCATGTGTAGCCGAAGCATGAGGAAACTCATTGCAGGACTCATTTTCCTTAAAATTTAGACTTGAACAGTAAGGACTTCAACTGACCTTCCTCAGACTGAGAACTGTTTCCAGTATATACATCAAGTCACTGAGGTAGGACAAAAGATTGCTACATTCCTATTATTTTATGGCTATTATAAGTGTACCAGGACTCTAAAAGAAACTTGTTTGTATAATGCTATTCTATCCAAGGTATGTAGCCCAGGAAATAACCAACCTGATGCGTGTTATGACCCATTTTAAGCCTCCCATGATCACAGTTTTTAAAATAAAATTAAGGACTGGTCCTTTTCTAAGTGACACAAGAAAGGTAATAGCTAGAACAGAAGAAAGAGGGGTCCCCAAAAATGTAACCTTAAAATTTGATGCTTGTGCCACTATTAATAGCAAACAGCATAGGATAAGATGTGGTTCTCTAGATTAAGAAAAAAGTTACACAGCAGAAAATAAGTACATCTTTCAAAAATCATATTTATGTGAGATGTGTCAATACTGGTCTTGTGTCATTTAGGCTACTTGGAAAGAAGATTTAAAAAATCCTGTTTGACTCCAAATAAAGAAAAGTCAGCCCCTCCTGCATGAGTGGGAGCTGCAACCCTTTAGAATTAATAATCACAAACCCCTCAGACCCAAAGTAAAATTAAAAAATATATATGTAACATTAGGCATTAATGGAAAAGGACTAGATGCTAGTGTAAGCATCCTAATAAAAGGAGAAGTTCAAAAATGCTCTCCAGAACCAGTACTTCAGACTTTCTATGATGAACTAAATGTGCCAGTACCAGAGACTCCAGGAAAAACCAGAAATTTGTTTTTGCAATTAGCCGAGCATATAGCCCAGTCTCTAAATGCCACTCCATGTTATGTTTGTGGAAAAACTGTAATAAGAGATCAATGGCCATAAGAAGCCTGAGAATTAGTTCCTACAGACCCAGTTCCTGATGAATTCCCAGCCCAAAAGAACCACCCTGACAATTTTTAGGTTCTAAAAGTCTCAACTATTGGGCAGTATTGCATAGATAAAGAAGGAAGATTCACTCATCCTATAGGGCGGCTTAATTGGCTTGGGCAAAAGCTGTATAATGGTACCACAAAAACAGTAACATGGTGAAGTTCCAATTACACAGAAAGAAATCCATTCAGTAAATTTCCAAAGTTGCAGACTGTTTAGGCCAACCCAGAATTCCACCGGGAATGAATGGCCCCCACCGGGTTATACTGGATATGTGGACACAGAGCTTATGCTAAGCTGCCTGATCAGTGGACAGGTAGCTGTGTAATTGCCACCATTAAGCCATCTTTCTTCTTACTGCTCATAAAAACAGGTGAACTTCTAGGCTTCCAAGTCTATGCTTCGCGGGAAAAACAAAGCATAGCCATAGGTGATTGGAAAAATAATAAATGGCCTCCTGAAAGAATCGTACAATACTATGGACTCGCCACTTGGGCACAAGATGGCTCATGGGGATATCGAACCCCCGTCTACATGCTCAACTGAATCATACAGTTACAAGCTGTTTTAAAAATTATTACTGATAAAACCGGTCAAGCCTTGACTGTTCTTGCCCAGCAAGAAACTCTGATGAGAAATGCTATCTATCAAAATAGACTAGCTCTTGACTACTTGTTAGCAGCTGAAGGAGGAGTTTGTGGAAAATTTAACCTTACTAATTGTTGTCTAACACATAGATGATCAAGGACAAGTAGTTGAAGACACAGTTAAAGATATAACAAAACTGGCACATGTACCCGTGCAAGTGTAGCACGGATTCAACCCTGAAGCCGTGTTTAGAAGGTGGTTCCCAGCACTAGGAAGATTTAAAACTCTTATAATAGGAGTTATAATAATAATAAAAACCTGCTTACTGCTCCCTTGTTTACTACCTGTACTTCTTCAAATGATAAAAAGCTTCATCGCTACCTTAGTTCACCAAAATGCTTCAGCACAAGTGTACTATATGAATCACTATTAATCTATTGAACAAAAAGACATAAGTAAGAAAAATAAGAGTGAAAACTCCCACTAATAAAAAGTGAGAGTCTCAAAAGGGGGGAATGAGGGAAGAGAGAGACCCTCTTATATTGTTTTATGTTATTTTATACTCATTACCTGTTTTAAGAAAAAACAACAAGGAAGTAAAACCAAAGACAGGCAGCCCAGTGCCAGGCCTGAAACTGATGTTATTCATAGATTCTAGACATTGTATAGAAAACATTGTGAAACTCCCTTTCCTGTTCTGTTTCTCTCTGACCACCGGTACATGCAGCCCCTGTCATGTACCGCCTGCCTGCTCAAATCTATCAAGACCCTTTCATGTGAAATCTTTAGTGTTGTGAGCCCTTAAAAGGGACATAAATCGTGCATTCGGGGAGCTCAGATTTTAAGGCAGTAGCTTGCCGATGCTCTCAGCTGAATAAAGCCCTTCCTTGTACAACTCGGTGTCTGAGAGGTTTTGTCTGTGGCTCGACCTGCTACACCTCTACCCCTGGATTTTGCTGGGCTCTCCAAATTGACTCAGCTACAGGTAAAGTCAGAAACGTCTCCCAGAAACAGAACTTCAGCTTCTCCAGTGGGGGTGTGCGTTCGGGAGAGGACGGTCTCCCTTTCCCACTTCTGCAGTTGGGGTACTCACAGTTTTGGGGGGTCCCCTGGGTCCTGCATGAGTCTGTGGACTTCCTTTAGAGGGTCTGTGGGTCCTCTTGAACCTTAGACTCTTTCTTAACACAGTGACTTGGACATTTGAACAAAGCTGGCACATGAGATGAAATGCTTCTGCTGTTCCTAGCACAAGACTGCACATTAAATTGCCTTTTTCTTGTTGTAGGTATTTTGCCTGGAAATAATCACCATGCTGTTTGAACCAATATCTATTCTCAATATTATAACACAAACTCTTGTCATCAACTTACCTCATTTTGAGACCTTACAGTAAGGAGGGAAGCTATACAAGCTCTTTTCTTCCTCCTGTTATCGTTTAGTAGAAGCTGAATGTAACAGCCATGAGGCAGAGATGAGGAAAGTTAGTGGAGACTACTTACAGAGACCCCAGTCAGGGTCTAGCCTGTCCTTCCTTATTCGTTTTATAAGATTAGTCAGCTGGAGTGGATTTGAATAGAAGAGGCTTGGCCCTTATGATTCTTTTGTTCTGAAATAGTTCTAATCTCTATGACCAGCTCATATCTTTGTATTTGTAACTGATGCCCTTTTGCCCTATCCAGCCCTCTGGGATCACTCATCGTGGTGTGCCTGCCAAAGTCTCCTGTTTGCATTCTCATTCATAGAGTTATCCTTGAGCAATAGAAACTGCTTCCTGGGGGAGTGAGGTTCCTCCATCATCAACTCCCCTGAACAATTCACCCAGACCAGTGATTAACCGGTACAGAGGATACAAAAGCCCAGCTACTTTGCCTCAAAGGCAAGAGAGTTCACTGTGCAATTTGCATTCTCTCTTTCCTTTGGGATCAAACAGGCTAGACATCACTTGAAACCACATCCCGACTTAGTCTTTCCCTTTCTCCCTCAACGAATTTCTTGTTTGAGAGTCTCCATCTCAGGCTTTGCTTCTAGGGACTCTGACCTAAGACAATATCCAAATTTTATTTTTATGTTTAAAACCCAGTACAAATGGCACTTTTTCAGCAAATCTTTCACTGATTGCACAGAAGCAAATCATTGCTTCCTCTCTTTGAACTGTGTACATTCCATGAATTGTAGCTATTAATAATGTGGTTTTGCTCCTCACTGGGGTGGATGTCTCTCAAGGCTAGGGTAGAGTTGATATCCTTAGTCCCTTATCTGCCTCTCCTACTTCTTCCTATGCATCTCTATCTCTTGGTCTTTCTCTTTCTCTCTCTCCTCCAGACCTCAGTTCTCTCTTTTAAGTGTGAGCTTTTTTTTGACTCTGTACTTTTGTTTTTGCTATTTCCCGTGCCTAGAACCCTTTTCCCCTCTGTATTCCTCACAATGCTGATTCACACTCGAGGTCTACCCTTAAGTCACCTCCCAGATGTGCTTTCTCTGACTGCCCACCCTGTGCTAACTGCCCTGCTAAATTCTCTTCTGTTGTACTTCATCTGTATTAGTGTCCCAGAGCTGCCATAATAGTACCACACATAGGTGGCTTATGCAACAGAAATTCATTTTTTCACAGTTCTGGAGCCCAGCAGTCTGAAATCAAGATGTTGGCGAGGTTATGTTCTAAGAGCTCCGGGGGAGGAGGCTTCTTTATCTCTTCCTAGCTCCTGGTGGTCAGTGGTTGTCAGCAATCCTTGACTTTCATTGGCTGGTAGACACGTCACTCAGATCCGTACCTGTTTTTACTCGACGTTCTTTACTGTGTGTTAAGTGTCTCTGTGCTGGAATGTCCCCTTTCTTATAAGGCCAAGAGTCACATTGGATTTGGGACCCAACCTAATTCAGGATGTTTGAATTAAGTGCAACTTGATTAGATGCAAAGGAACTAATTTTAAATAGGGTCATATCCCAGGTTCTGGATGGACATGAATTTTTAGGCGGACATTCTTCAACCTAGAATACCTTCGTAATATTTACCACAATCTTTATTTGTGGGGATTAATCTCCTATTTGTGTTTTGATTGTCTCTTTGCTCATGTCATGTTCATAGTTGTATCACCGGCCTCTAGGTGAGGACCAGATGCTCAGGAGGCACTTGAATGCTGGTTGAATGAAAGAGGGAAAACATTTTTCACACAAAGGCACAAATTCCTGGGACAAAATTATTATACCTGCTAGTTAAATATGCCAGTAGGGAATGATGCAATGCCTACAAAAGGGAAGGACCAGTTTCAATCATAATACACTGAAAGTGACGTTTACAAATCATTTATCAGCTTTCTCTTATACATCATTCAAGAGGTGAATCTTTTGTTTGGAACTCAATTTTCCTTTGCATACATTAAAAATATATGTATATGTACAGTAATATGTTGCTTAACAATGGGGATATGTTCTGAGAAATGCATCTTTAGGTGATTTTGTCTTTTTGTGATCGTAGGGTGTCCTTACACAAACCTATATGATATGGCCCACTGCACACCTAGGCTATATGGTATAGCCTATTACTTCTAGGATACAACCCTAGATAGGATGTTACTGTACTGAATACTGTAGGCAATTGTAACACAATGGTAGGCATTTGTGTATCTGAATATAGAAAATGTACAGTAAATATACAGTATAAAATATGAAAAATAGTACACCTGCATAGGGCATTTACTATGAATGGAGTTTTCAGGACTGGAAGATACTCTGGGTGAGGCAGTGAGTAAATGGTGAGTGAACATGAAGAGCTAAGACATTACTGAAGACTACTACAGACTTTGTAAAGACAGTATACTTGGGCTACACCAAATTTATTTAAAAATTATTTGTTCATTAATAAATTAACCTTAGGTTACTGTAACTTTTTTACTTTATAAACTTTTGAATATTTTTAACTTTACTCTTTTGATAACACTTGGCTTAAAACACAAATATTGTAAAGCTGTATGAAAGTATTTTCTTTAACCTTATTTGATAAGCCTTTTTCTGTTTTTAATTTTTTTTAATTTTTTTGTCAAAAACAAAGCCACAAACACATACATTAGCCTAGGCCTGCACAGGGTCAGAATCATCAATATTATCATCTTCCACCTCCACTTCTTGTCCCACTGGAAGGTCCTCAGGGGCAAAAGCATGCATGGGGCTGTCATCTCCTATGACAATGCCTTCTTCTGGAATACCCCTTGAAAGACCTGGCTGAGACTGTTTTACAGTTAACTTTTATTTTTTTTAATAAGCAGAAAGAATGTACTCTCAATAACAATAAAAAGTACAGTATAGTAAATGTGTAAACACTAACATCATCATTTACCATCATTATCAAGTATTACGTACTGTACGTAATTGTATGTGCCATACTTTCATATCATTGGCAATGCAGTAGGTTTGCATATGTCTGTGTCACTAAAAACACATGAGTAATGTGCTGCACTATGATGTTAGGATGGCTAAGATGTCACCAGGGGATAGGAATTGTTCAGCTCCATTTTTTTTTTATGGGACTATCATTGTATATTCAGTCTGCTCTTGAATGAAATGTTGTTATGGGATACATGACTATAATGTAAATTATATAGATGATAAATAGATAGACATAGATCAATAGATATTATGGTAGGATTTAACTAGGAGAATTATGGTCAGCTCAAACATCATAGGGCTTTATAATGCATAACCATCATATTCAATCTACTTTGAATATGAACTCTTTTGGAGAATGTATCTTTTTATTTCAACAGATAAAATGATTGCATAAATAGATATGGGCTGCAATTCTCAATAACAATGAGATATATGCAGAAGCTCAATAGGGCTAGTGCTAATGAGAAAAAAATAAACAAAAATCTTTGCTTATAAATGATGTTTCAAATATTAATTTTAATTAACTTTATAGCATTCAATATATGGTATGGTACATTAGCTTCTAAGTTTTATTTTGGTTATTTTGGTTAGGTTTTGTTTTTTTTAGAAACAGTTATAAGCCCAAATAGGGTAGTCAGTTTTGTTAAGCTGTGTACTACAGGGAATGACCAGAATTAACCACATGGATTCAATTAGCAGTTCCCAAAATAGCCACTGCATGTGTATTTCTCAGTACTTTGGGGTAATGGTCAAGTTGTATAGCTATCGAACCCTGGGTATAGCTTGTGACCATTGACAAGTTACATAACCTGTCTTTAAATTGGTTTCCTCTTTCCTAAACTGGGAGTAATATTGGTACTTAACTCAAAGAGTTATTGTGAGGATTTAATGAGTTACCATATGCAAAAGTGTTAAAAATGGTGCCCGGTAGTAATCCAAGCCCAATAAAAAGCTATTTTTATTATTATATGGTATTGCTGATAATTAGAAGTTATTTCTGAGAGTGCAAAAACCCTTTCTCTTAAGGTAGGATGGCTTTGGATGTCCATTTGGATGAGACTTTTTTTGTTTGTTTGTTTTTAATTATTTCTCTTTTTCTCCAACTAATTGAATTCAATTATTGGTGTTTATTGAATGTCATTTCAGAAATTTGGTCTGCATTTTGGTTGTTAAATAATGGTTTTAACTGAGTGGGAAGAACAAAGGATAATTGTTATTTTCTTCTGGTATACAGCTCTCAAGAGTTTGGGGTTTTTGAGGTTTGCCATGGTACATCAATAGAATATCAAATGACAGGATAAGACCTAGAAGACAAATGTAAAATTCCAAAATGCATGCTGTGGATGAATGTAGCAATATGAGATGAGTACTATTTGGGGTGAGTATATTTAGGAAATTCTAATTTAGGAACTTATTATTATTATTATTTATGAAAAACTCCTTTTTTCCCCCGAGTCAGATTTAGTCTGCAATGTATCCTGACCACAATGGCTTAGGATATAACCTGTATCCAATAATCTTACTCTAAAATCTGCTGGCCAGCAGCCTCTGCCTCAATGATGTTATTCTGAGATCTCATAGCTACTGAGTGAGATACTTGAAAGCATAGCAGAAAGCATCTTACAGTGTTATCAATTCTGTTCTCTCCATCTGGAGCTAGCCTAAAGGTTGATTATATTAGAATATTTTAGTAGAATATTAAATTGGCACAAATCATTTTGATTGGACATTTTAATATTCTGGCAGCTATTATTTACTTCTTGTATTTTTCGGTGTTCTATTCTCTTAAACTACAAAGATGAAGAGGTGTTTATTCTTACAATGTGGAAAATATCAGCGTAATCACTGCTAATCTATTTCTTCCTGTCACCCATTGGTTTTCTTTCAAACAGTATTTTTGTATATTCTTTTCTTTCTGTTCTCATGACAATATATTGTGTGCTAAGCTTTTCCTACCATGTTACAATGTAACATGATAGCAAATCATCTTAGATTTACTCACTAGAGCAAATTTATTTATTTTATGACATTTACAATGGCAATTTATTACATTTATCTGTTCTATTTTTGAAATTTCTTACTAGCAGGAAATTTTAAAATTTATCTGCAAGGATTAAAAAAACTTCAGAATCCTCTCACAATGAATGCTATCCCAGAAGTGAAAGTAAATTTGTTTGACTAATCTAACACAAAATCCTAGGAATAGGTCTGTCAGGCATGGCTGGAACCAAGTACTGTGAGGATATCATTGTTACCTGGTGTATTAGTCAGGGCTCTCTAGAGGGAAAGAACTCATGGAATTACGGAATTTTATATATATATATATATGAGCTTATTAAGTATCCGCTCAAGGATCACAAGGTCCCACAATAGGCCATCTGCAGGCTGAGGAGCAAGGAGAGCCAGTTCAGGTTCCAAAACTGAAGAACTTGGAGTCTGATGTTCAAGGACAGGAAGCATCAAGCATAGGAGGAAAATGTAGGCTGGGAAGTTAGGCCAGTCTCTCTTTTCACATTTTGCTACCTGCTTGTATTCAAGCTGCACTGGTAGCTGATTAGATTATGCCCCCCAAGACTAAGGGGGTGTCTGCCTTTCCCAGCCCACTGACTCAGATATTGATCTCCTTTGGCAGCACCCTCACAGACACACCCAGGATCAATACTTTGTATCCTTCAATCCAATCAAGTTGACACTCAGTATTAACCATCACACCTCGTTTCTTTCTTTTTATTTTTCAACTCTGCTAAGTCATTGTTGGAATCATGTAGTCAGAATCAACAGGCTTCCATACTGTCAAGTGCAAGTCTTTTAAAAAGGAGACATTGTGGCTTTCTCATCAGCTTGACAAGGTCTTGGGTCTGATTCACATCAGCCCAGTGGATGTTTTGCCTAGTAATAGGTATCATTTGAAATGCTGGACTTTGTTCAAATACCCACTACAAAAGCTTCATCTTTCAGATTATTATGACTTTCCTCATTGAAGTTGTTGGATTTCTAATAGCTATCCAATAATTCTAGATTGACTTTAAGTCCAGAACTGGACAGAAACAGTCAACAAAGGCTTGACCAATAGTAAAATGTACTATACTATTTCAGAAATACCATGGGCCATTTGTTTATCCCAATATTCTGATTTTAAAAATTATGACCCTATGTTTTTGCATTTTCTATGTCATAAATATGTTTATAATTTTAATGAAAATCAGAAGCTATTTCTTGACTGCTAAAAATGCTCAATATGTGTGTTTCACCACAATATAGTCCATGAGATTCTGATTAGGCTTTGGATTCAGACTTCTGGGAGTCAAGTTTCAGCTCCCAAATATTTGTTCTGTCAGAAAATATGGGCACAAATTTATTGGGATTAAATGATGAAATGAGACAGTGAATGAAAAGGAGAAATGTGGTGGGTATTATTTTCCTACTTAAATTTTATGCCATACTTCAAGATAATCATTTCTCCATTTTAAATATATCAATTCTTAATACTTTCTACTCTGTAACTGGTATAGATGTATCAAGTAGCAATTTGTATCAGGTCAAAAAGTTTATAATTTTAGAAGAATGTCAGTGATTGAGTGGTGTGCCATTTTCTCTATTATTTGCTATATTCTGTTTTATTCATTAAACTTCCTTTGCAATGCATTTCATTTTTTAAAATTTTGTTTTAAATTGAAGATTCTCCTATTTTAGAGCTTTGCAGCTGGTAAAATGATAGCAGAACAGACCAGGTGCTGTTTATTGGGACTTCCAGATTCTAAAAGCTGAGAAGATTAACCTTTTACCAAAGACAGTGTGCCCCAGAAATTGGTCAATAGGCCTCTTTGTTTTTCACTGAAATGTCAGGGCTCCGAAATATTTCTTTCTCTAAGCACCTGCCAAAAGTCAATGGAGAAAAAGAGGACATAAAAACAGATGGTCGACTCGTATTTATAATCTTAATGACATTGATAGTTTGTTGAAAAGTGTCTTCCTCTTCGTAAAGATTGACAGAGAAGAAAGCACTAAATGCTGGACACTGGTGGCCCATACAAAAGTTAAGCAAGACAAATATCCCTTTGTGGACTCTCTTGCCTTTTTATAATACTGTCTGTTTCTTGTGAGGAGATATATACTCCATGGGTCACTATTAAACATGTGGTATAGCTTTTACTTTCACATATTTGTGAAAAATGAAGTGAGGTCTGGTGGCTTACAAAAGCAACCTAAATTATTTGGTGAGATGGTATGATATATTTTGCTGGCGGAAGAGAGGGAATAAAACGACATTCAATCACCCCAATGATCTGTCTTATGTAACTCATCTTTATTCCTTCTCTTTTTATTATGGAAAAAGAGGGTTTTCAGAGAAATCAGACATTGATTTGTTTATTATGTGATATTAGTAAAAAGGATCAATAGTTACAACCAAAGATGTTAATAATAATAACTAAAACTTAGTATTTCATTGCTTTTAAAGCTCCCTTAAATACACACTGTAATTGGATATACTCTGCAAAATTATAAGGGCTGTGTGGTGTATATTCTTTCATTTTATAGATGAGAATACAAACTCTAAGAAAGGTTAAGTGTTTTATCTAAAGTGACCCAGATAGTCAGTGGCTGACTTGGGAACCAAATTTCATTGTTTCTATTTCTTACCCAGTGTTCTGTCTATTTTACCACATTGTTGCTCAGACACTTAAAGTGACATCTTTGTGGATGAATTAAAAATAAATTCTAAGAAATTATTTTCAAATGTGTAACAGTCATTACCCGATGTGAATATTGGCAAGCCACAATCCTTTTCTGTTTAATCTTTTAGAAGGGGATTTTTGCATATTGAACTAATAGAAATCATATTTAAGTTTATAGGACTGTGATTTCATTTATGTTTCCAAAAGCATGGTGAGCTTCACACAAAACAATTTTCCATCTTTTAAGTCTTGCTAATCCACTTTAAGCTAGGCAAAAGTCACACATCATCTCAGCTGCTGTGATCACATACAAACCACCTCCGCTAATCTCTTCAAAGGGGATTTTCCTTTGCACAGGCAGACTGCACAGCATGGGACTTACAGTTAGTACCTTGCAAAGTTTCCCAAGTTCATTTATAATTCCACTTTTATCCTGAAACTATAGCATGTAAGGTCTCCTCCAAACAATTCCAGGCCCTTTTACAGCTGTCGCTGGTTTTCTCCCTAGCTTTTTAAATAACTGATGAAGTCGATGATGCAGTCATTACAGCAAGGAGTGACTGCGATTCCTATTATTTATTTGCAGATGGAAATAGAAAACTACCCTGATATCTGACAAATTGAGTTTCCAGGATGAATCAGAAAGTATTGGTTGTTGGGTTTTCTTAGCTTGGTAAGATAAATAAATAAATAAATCTCTCCTGTGTCTCTGAATGCATTTTCCATTTTAGACAGGCATACAAAAATCCTAAGCATGATTTAGATAGCTTCTAACACATAACGAATGGCATTATAAATAAGTTTGAGTGGTTGGAAAAATATAAGCACATTAAAAACAACAATTGGGCAGAAATATGAAACTGAAAGAAGTTTGAAAATCCCAGCTTGATACAGTTCATCTTAAAATGAACAAACCTACAAAATTTACATAAATTGCAGAAAAAAAGAAATAGGTTTAATCAGTGAATTCAAGGATATTAATAAAACCTATTTTTGCTGTAAGATTTCTAATGATATTCTGTAACTATGTGATTTAATTCCTGAATTGTAGCTCAGGAAGTTTACTTTCATGTTCTTGTGTATTATAACTTCGGAAAAGTTATTTTTTAGAAACACCATTATGATTCAGTGAAACACATCCCACCTGACTCACTTCAATTCAGATGATAACTCAGTGGAGCATATTATCATTAACAGGGTGATCATATATCCCTTTGTTGTTATTTGACAAAATTTATAGGATTATAATTTCAACTTAGTGCTTCTGCTGAGGATTGGTACTTGAAATGCTGAAAAATGAGGCAGAAGCTCAGGGAACATTCTTTCTAGAGAACCTAATATTATACCACCACAATCTTTTTTTTTTTTTTTTCGTTTCTTTTTTTTTTTTTTTTTTTTTTTTTTTTTTGAGACTGAGTCTCACTCTGTTGCCAGACTGGAGTGCAGTGGAGTGATCTCGGCTCACTGCAACCACTGCCTCCTGGGTTAAAGCGATTCTCCTGCCTCAGTCTCCCAAGTAGCTGAGACTGCAGGTGCGCACTACCACGCCCAGCTAATTTTTGTATTTTTAGTAGATACGGGATTTCACCATGTTGGCCAGGATGGTCTTAATCTCTTGACCATGTGATGCTCCCACCTCACCCTCCCAAAGTGCTGGGATTATAGACGTGAGCCACTGAGCCCGGCCCACAATCTTTTATTTCTCTAAATAAATTCATTCAGAAAAAAATTTGCGAGGTAGATACCTTGGCAAAAATTCATATAAATTTTAAGGACCTTGAACCGGAAAAAGCACATATTCTTGTTTGTTTTTTTTTCTTTTTTTTTTTTTTAACATATATTGTCTATCCTAAAAGTTACATCTTGGTAAAAGAAATGACAATAATTTTTCATGATCATAATTATTGATTGCAATATTTGAAAACAGATTCCTTTCTTCCTTCCTTCCTTCCTTCCTTATAGCCCTAACAAGGAGGAGTTAAGTGGAGTCCCTACCTCAGCAAAAAAAAAAAAAAAAAAAAAAAAAAGGAAAAGGAAGAAGAAAAAGGAAACAGTAAATAACAATTATCTCATAATCTTATATTCTTAATCCGTCTTCGTCATTACCAGATTTTAGATATAGAATGAGGGATGTCAGAAATGCAGATTTTCTGAATCTTTCCATATGTAAATGACACAGAATGCTACTTTTTCTTGAAACAAATACTTTACATGTTGTAGGAGAAAAAAATGGCACAATTGCAGTTCGAGTTTCAATCACTCCACTGCTTGTTTCCTTGAAGTTTTGCCTTAGAATTAAAGAATGGAGGTGATATCTTCTGAAGCTCCTTCTAGTTCTGTAATGTTTTTGATTTTCAAATGTGAAATGAAACCAAAGATAAACATGTCCTGCTTTTAATAGGTGTTTTGTAGCAAGTGCCACAATGATTTTCCTTCCCTATCCATTTTCCTTGTTATCCACACTTACCCTCCTCTTTCCCCAGGCGCAAAAGTAACAAAATAGATAATAACTTTGCTACTCTTTACCATCCTCTCACTGTAAATTGTTATCCATTTCAGCAAATAGCTCATTGGAGAGTGAGATTACTTCCTGCAAAAAATGTAGAAGGGAGTGATTTAAAAACTCAGTTATCACTTCCTTAAGCTGAAATAATGGAAGTAGTCCCTTTAATCAGTTATCTTTTTTGTGGACATAGAATATATCACTAGTTATTTGTGTGTGTGTGTCTGTGTGAGAGAAATTATCTCTTGATAGAATAGGAGTGCCTCTTGAGTATTTCACATATTATATGCTTAGAAAACCGGGTCAGATTAGCTCAGTTACACTGCCAAGGAGAAAAGCCAAATAACAGTGGACAAATGGCATATGTTTTGTTTCAGTTTTTAGTTCACCAGCTGACAATTCCCTGGGGACAGACAACTAATCTTTTGACTTTGAGTGCATTTCTGTGGCTGCATCCCCACACATCTGTATTCTAAACTTCAAGCCCCATTAGTATGTAGAATACTAGGTAGAGCCCTGATGAAGGTTTATTTGGCACAGAAATCATCCTGTTATGCACAAGTGCATAGAATTAAAATAATAATTTCTAGTTGATTTCATGCTTCCGTAGCTTAATGGTCTCTAATGCTACCAGTAGATCCATTATACATATTTTTATACAGGAAAGATGTGGGGAAAGAAAATGTCAGCTTTTGAATAAACCTGTGTCCAAATTTAATCTAAAATGAAATTGAAAAGAAAATTGGAAATATGACTTTTAGAGGATTTACTACTTTCTCTTTTCTGAGTAATTTGATACCAAGGTATTCATAATGATCAGTGAAGTACTAAGGACAATTTTATGCTCATCTCTACACCAACATGACATCTCCCGTTTTTCCTTTAAGTGCAGTGGAATGTAATTAGCCAACAGCTTGGGGCTTGATTAAAATGTCACATTTTATAAATTTATGGTCATCTTCTGTGCCTTCCTGAAAGTGAAAGACTTAAAATTTGACTAGACCTGCATGCCAGGGAGAGGTATTCATTCATTAAGGAAAAGGGAAATGGACTCCTGGCGGGTGTTCAGGAGTTTCTATCCATTCCCTTATATTAGGCATGTAAAGGGCTTATACAAATTAAATGTGTATTATAATCATTAATTTATTTAAAAACAAAAGCTATAAAACTCATCCTCTCAATTATTTAGAATTAATATTAAAACTAATGATAAAATTAGGGTCTGATTTTTTTTTTATTGCTTCGAATCTCCTATTAAACAAACTAGAGATGGGGGTAGTAGATTGAGTTATTGGGCCTAATTTTTTAGCCTGTCCTGAATCCTTGTTTATTGCCATGAAACTCTGCAATTCTTCTAAAATCAAGAAGAGTATACTTTCTACCTCTTGACCTTTAGCTACACCGTGAGACTCACTTTGGCCAGTGGAATGTGGTAAAGTGACAGTGGCCAAATCTAGGACTTAAGGGGGTTTGCACATGACCACTGGTTCCTCTGCAATTAAATGCAAAGATCTTTCCCAGAAAAATAGTTGCCTCTTTGCTTGGAATACACTTGAGTAAGGAGTCAAGCTCAGCCAGACGTGCAAGATGTTGTAAAGTCACTCAGAGGATCTCTCCTTAGATCAGCCACTCATCATCCAGCAGACCCACAGATGTGAAGAATCATCATCCATCGTCACCACTTAAATTCCCTGGTTGTAGGTTAGGCAACGATACTTGACTGGTATAGAAATATAGAGAAAGAATATTTAGAATAAGTAAATAGCACTGCTCATGGATAACTCTTCTATACTCCAACACAAGCAAGTAAATTACTCACTTTCGGGGTAATTTAGCAGACTTTATTTTTAAAGTAATACATTTAAAACATAGGGGTGCTTAGAGCAGAAATGCCCTGCATCAAGTAATTTTTTTAAGAAGCAAGCACTCATGAGATATTAGTTGTTTTTCTGGTTGAGAAATAGGGGAGCTTATTAATTTAATACAGAATAACTTCATAATGTTATTCTACCTGTATCATATATCATTCGAGTGTCTCATTTGAAGACAATGGAATTTAGTCTTAAGCGCCAAGGGATTCATTAAGGGGCTTACATAACTTATGGAATCATTGGGAAGGCTGCAAAAACAAACTATTTTGAGCTTCTAGGAATGAGTCTCAAAACCCATTTCAGTACTGGGCCCCCAAGGTAGCCTAAGCGTGAGCCCTTACCAAGAAGTGGTTGTCCCCGCTGCCATCTCCACAACCACCTAGCCTGAGTTGGAATCACACAAGTAACACTTTTGCCTTCTTTCCCGCATAACTCAGTTTTGAATCAGAGTCTCCCTATAGTGCTTCTGATCAATAAAACATAGAGGTAGAAGGAGGTCAGTAAGCATTTGTAGGATGACTGGCGTGTCTACAACAGTGTAGGCACTGGCGAGACAACCAGAAACAGAACAGAGACCCCTGTCCTCAAGGAGTGTCCATTCTGGAAAGGGAAATAAATTAAATACATAAAAAAAATAGGGTGTTGGATGGTGAAATGTTGTCCAGGAAAATAAAGGCAGCAATGAGTAGGCAATGCCGTGGAAAATGGTATGTACCCTAAATATTTTGGTCAGAGAAAGCCTCACTTTAAAAGTGACAGCTGAGCAGAGTCTCAAAGGAAGGGAATGAGTGGGTTATGCAAACATCTGGAGGAACAGCATTCCAGAAAGAGGAAACAGCAGTTCACAGGCCCTGGGGGAGTAGGAGAGAGCAGACCTGAGTTTCCAGGGAACAACTAAGAAACCAGTGTGAAAAAAGAAAAGGGGAGAGTAGAACACAAGGGCCCCAGAGAAGTAACATAGAGACAGATTGTGTGGGGCATGATAAGGACCTTGTCCTTTACCCTCAGTGAAATGGGAAGACATTGGAGGATTGGACAAGATGAGCAAATTAAATTGCCATTTTTTCCCACTTTTTGAAAAAAAGGTGCAATCCACATAATATAAAATTAACCATTTTAAAAAGTGAACAATTCAGTGGCCTTTAGTACATTCACAAGGTTGTACAATGATCACTTGTATCAAGTTCAAAATTATTTTCATCACTTCTCAAAAATACTCTGTACCAATTAGGCAGTCATTCCTATCTCCCCTCCCACAGGTCCTGGAAAACACAGATCTGCTTTTTGTCTATGTAGATTTATTTGTTCTGTTAATTAATATACATAGAATCACACTGCATGTCATCTTTTGAATCTGACTTCTTTCACTAGGCATAATGTTTTCAAAGTTCATTCACACTGTGGCATGTATTACATATTAGTGCTTCATTCCTGTTATGGTGAATAACATTCCATGGTATGTATCCACCACATTTTTTATCCAGCCATCATTGACCCACTTATCAGCTGTTTTCACCTTTAAGCTATTGTGAGTAATACTGAGGTTCACAATAGTACTATTATATTCATGTGTACTATTTGTGCACCAGTAGTTGTTTCAGTACCAGTTTTCAATTATTTTGTGTGTACACCTAAGAGTGAAATTGCTGGGTCATACGTTAATTCTATACTTAACTCTTTGAAGAATCACCAAATCACTTTCTACAGTGGCTGCATCATTTTACTTCCCTACTATCAGTTTCTTCACATCTTTGCCAGCACCTATTATTGTCTCTCTTTTTTTTATTATAGTCATCCAATTGGGTGTGAAGTGGTATATCATTTTGCTGTCATTTTTCCAAAACAAAATTACTCTGGCTGCTATGGTGAGAATAGTCTGTATGAGGGTAAGGATGGAAGCTACAGTAATTGGAAGAGGATGTATCTTTTTCGGTAATAACTACTCTGGTAGAATAGCAAATGAATTTGCATTGTCTGTTAAAGAGATCTAGAAACGTACCAAATGAAAAACCATAGATCTACAGTTTTCCACACATAGAAAATCATGTACGTTGTGTTAAAAGAAAGAAGAAAAAGTAAAAGTAGTAACATCTTCCCAAAATGGTCACAGAATTTATACCATTGCTTCATTTTTGAAAGAAGTCATGAGGTTTTGGAAGCCAAGGCCCGTGATTGGAAGTGAATTTTGGGTTCTGTATTAGTCATTTTCCCTTCGGTTGTTAGAAACAAAAGAGCTGAATGAAAACTGGATTGTCATAATGGAATTAATTTTCTCATGTAACTGGTATACTAGTGGGATAGGAATAGCCTCACATTCAGTTTAGGAAAAAGTCTCAAGTGATGCCACTACAGGTCCCAGTTTCTCAATTTCACCTTTTTTGTGGTGTTTGCATGACTTTAGTACTTCCAAAATTTATTTTGTCTCAGCTTTAAATCCTTCAGGAAAATGTGATTTTTTTCCCAGATGTCCTAGCAAATGTTCCATGGTACCTCACTGATTCTGATTGGTTATGAGCCAATTATAACGTACCCATTAAGGTACCACATCTATTAAATAGATAGCCAGTCATCAGCAGATCTCAGGCACTATATGTATTCTTGTTAAATGCAAATCCAATTTATACATTGTTAGAAAGATTAAGCAGAAAATACAGAGCTCATTGTTACAAGAAGTGACGAATTGTGATGAACAGCCACCTGTCCCACTTTATATATATTTTGAAAAGCCATTTATTGTGAAGTGAGCAAACACTCTTGAATGCATATTTATAAAGATTGTTCCATTATCTGAAAGACAGAAGCAGGGATGTGCAAAGTGAAGAATGGAGTCAAAGTCAAGTTTAAGAGAATAGGAAGAATTAGGAAACAATGAAGGAAATTCATATGGGCTTACATAATCCCAGGTAGCAAGGTGGAAAGTAGGAATAGAAAAGATTGATTACAAAAGGTTGCCGTGAGTTCCACCAGTTTGTAATTATTTGGGCTATAGGCCCTGGAAAGTTAGAAGAATTTGAACTTCAAGGGTCATTTTAACTGTAACAGTCCAAAAACCTTACCTGCTATCTCAATCTATCATGAAGATTCGTAATCAGTGCTCCATGAAGCCCTTGAAATTATGTGTAAAATGTGTGTGTGTGTGTGTGTGTGTGTGTGTGTGTGTGTGTGTGTATCTATCTTTGAGTTGGGTCTATTCCTTTTATCATATTCACAGAAGGGCTGCAGTCCCCAAGAAAGAATGAATTGCAGGTCTTTTAAAAATGTAGACAATTTATTCACACTTGGGATTTAGAAGGGAAACATCTTTCAGTGACTTACTAAGCAAAATATGACAAGTGATGAGGTACAGAGAGACAGAGAGACTGCCGAGTGTGTTAGACTGAGAATTTGGGCCAAGAGGAGGACAGAACAGGTGATTAATTTCCACCGGACAGCTTACCTCAGAACGACACTCCGGGAATCTCATTTATTCATTTGTCAGCAAATTAAATGTCAGCAAATTGGGCCAACATATTCAGAAGTTACTATGTGTCAGGATTGTTTCAGAGCTGGTTTAACCAATACCAGAACAATTAGCCACATGTAGCTATTTGGTACTTGAAGTGTGGCCAGTGCCACATATAGAAGTGATAATATTTTTGAGATTTATAATACCTTATTACATATAATAAATATATTTTTACATTAGTTTTACCTTTTGCCATTTACTGTTTTAATGAAACTTCTAGAAAACTTTAAATCACTTATGTGCCTCTCATTGTATTTCTATTGGACAGCACTCTTCCAGACACCAGCAAAGACCCTCTGCTTATGGACCTTAAATTCTAGTGAAAGAAAGCAGACAATCAACAATAAGCATCCTAAGTGAAGTCTGTGGTAGGTAGAAGGTGATGAATAGTACGGGAAAACAGAGAAATAGAGCAGGAGAAGGAGATCAGGTATGGTGGGATGGTAGAAGGCATTTTTCAATGTAAGGGTGATGGCAGGTTGCTTTAAGAAATTCGAACTTTTGAATAAAGTCTCATGCAGGTATGGAGGATAAGTTTGTAGGCCCTGGGAACAGCAAGTGAAAAAACCTAATGTGTAAGCTTGCCTGACTTGTTTGGGGAGCCAGACCTCAGAGGCTGGAGAAGAGTAGACTAAAGTCAGGGAGGCAAAGGCTGTGGGATTGGACAGATCATGTGGTGCTTACAGACTTAGACATTGACTCTGGGTGAAATGGGAATCCAATGGAGGGTTTTTAGAGGAGGGATGGCCCAAATTTGATTTAGATTTTAAGCAGATTGCCCTGGCTGGTATATTGCAGTCAGATCATAGAGAGGCAAAGATGGAAGCAGGAAAGCAGCTTGCAGGCTACTGTAGTAATCCAGGTGGGAGACAAAGGTGACTCAGATCAAGGAGGTTTGGTATAGATACTTAGAAAGGGTCAGATCTCAAAACCATACAGCTCACCAGGAAAATACCTCCAAAGCTTCAGACTTAGGACAAACCAGGGAGACCTGAAGTTACTGGCAGGTTTTGCTGCCAAAATAATATAGAATTTATTCATTGGTCTGCTTATGTACAGATTTGAGCTCTGTTCCCTTTATCCCCACACAAGCTTTGAGTTATTTATATGTCCCTTAAACAAGCTCAAGCCTTTTGCTGGAAAACAATTATCCTTAGGAGCCGGGAGCTTTGCATATTTGATGATCAGATATGCATTTCTGGTTCAGCGTCTTTCTGGAAATTCTATTTTCTATTAAATCTCAGATGGATGGTAATAATAAATGTTTGTTTAGCAGCAGCTGGTCCCAGATTGTTATCCTGTCGTGAACATATTTTATTTATTTGTCTCCATTTTTTTAACCTCTTTTGGTAACCTTTCCTTTTTTCAAGGCTTTATACGTGAAATAAAAATGTGTGCTGCTTAATCTGTTCACTTTCCAGTTTCTCTCACTGAATTAAGTGCAATTGTATTTATACAAAAGGCCTCATGCAACTTGCTATGCATCACTGCTGATTTAAATAAGAACATGGGGAAAAAAAGAGATCTTCCAACATTATATAATGCTAGGGCAAATACTCCTCTTCTTAAAGTGTCTTTGTAGGGGAATCTTTAATGTTGACTTTGTACTGAATGGGTATGTTGCTTTCAAAAAAGTTAATCTAGTGTTAGATTTGAAAGCGGTAAGGGAAGAATGAAAGGAAGAACTTATCCCCATGAAGTATACTGCAGCATCGATGCTCTTCTTATCTTGTCCTAAGTGAAATGAATTCTTTTTTTAAAAAAAATGGACTATAATGTTCTGTTTATACTCATTCCAACTGGGTGGTAAAGTTTATCTTATAACCATATCATCCAGATCACTTTTAGGTAGCATTTACTACCAAAAATCCTAACAGAAGTCATTTATTCTTAGGCCTATATAAATTTACCAATTATTTTTTTCTAACTAAATTTATCTAAATTTACTGTGAATGAGTCAATTGTTCAAAACCATTATGAAACACCACCAAATAAACTAATAAATAAGAACAAGCTGCTCTTGACTTCTGACCACTTGCCTCTGAAGGCAGAATTGAATAGTTGGTAAGGCCGTGGTCTTTGGTGACAAACAGATCTAAATTCTGCGGACCCCAACCTTCTGACTTATTAACTTTGGAACCTTAATCAAGATATTTAGTATTTCTAAGCCTCTGCTTTCTTAATTACAGAAATAGGAAAACCTCTGCTTATCGTGTTGCCTCGAGCCTAAAGGGAAATGAAATACTATTTGTGCATTAGCTTTCAATGGCTGCATAACAAATTACTGTGAGCTTAGTGTCTTAACTCAACAACTATTTCATTATTCCACAGTTCTGTAGGCCATAAATTCAGATAGGCTCAACTGGGTACTCTGTTGAGGGTATCATGAAGCTGAAATGGAAGGTGTTGGGTGTCGGTCTACCTAGGCTCCTAACCAAAAGTTCTGGGGGCTGACAACTCCCCAGTGCATAACTCTCTCCACTGAAGGATGTTTCCAGGCTCATTCGGGTTTTCGCTTGAATTTGGTTCCCTGTGGGTTTGGACTGTGGTCTTCATTTCCTTGCTGGCTCTCAACCAGAAGACATTCTCAGCTCCTAAAGGCCACCTTCATTTCCTGGCTTGCGGTCCTGTTCCTCTTCAAAGCCAGTAATAGCATGTTGAATCCCTCTTGTACTTAGAATCTTCCGACTTCCCTTTACAGATTGTCCCTGACGTCTTGTTTTATTTGTACTTGTTAGAGCGCATGTGATTATATTGGACTCATCTGGATAATCCAGGATGCCATCACTATTTTAAAGTCGACTAATTAGTATCCATCATTATATTTAGCAAATATATGATGGTAACACCAGGGGCAAAGGTCATGGACCAAGATTCTGTTTACCTTAATTTGCAAAGTAATTAGCACACACTGCTTGCAACAGAATAAATGCTGAATATTAGTTGTTTACAGCAGCAATACTGCCATGATGTGTGGGTCTGTACATTCTAAATGAATGTGATACTCTGATGGAAATTGCAAGGTGTATCACTCAGATTGTATTTTAGATGTTTTATCATGAAGTGGGGTGATATCAGAGTATTTCAATGACAATTTTATTCACCTGAAACTGAGGAACAAAAATCAGAGAAGAGCTGTTAATCCTTACACCTCTTCTGAGCATTACAGGGGCTTGATGATTAGACAGCTTCCTGCTCACGGTTAAGGGAACCTGCGTTTCTAAAGGGTTCCACATGAATGAATAAATGTGACAGAAGACATTGGTGACATTGGTGACAGCAATTTTAACTGGATACAGCAAAGAAAGATAGGGGATTTCTGGAAGAGCACAGTAGTCTCACTTAAGAGAAAAGAACATTCCCAGGACGCTTGTCAAAGAGAAGTGAAAATGGATGCTTTATCCAGAATGAAAAGAAGCAAGGGTTAAGAGTAGTGTGTGCATGGAATCCAGACTGATTAATTGGATGTTTAGTAATGTTTGCAATGTTAAAAACACAACAGTGCTTGGAAGAAAGTTAAACAAAAACAGAAAAAAGGAAAGTAATAATATGGGTGATGCTGTTGATGCCCTGTCCACATCCCTTCATCATGCCCCATTCCACTAGACCTGGGTTTCTCAGCCTTGGCACTGTTGACATACTGGGCAGGATAGATATTTGTTGTGGGGGCACTGTCCTGTATATTGCAGGATATTTAGCATCATCCCTGGTCTCTACCCACTAGATACTAGTAGCACGGTAGCCTTCCCCCAACCACCCTCCATTTAAAGAAACCAGCAAGGTCTCCAGATATTGCCAAAGGTTCCCTGAGAACAAAATTGGCCCTGGTGGAGAACAGCATGCTAGGCCAATGATCCACACACAAATGTGTATCAGAATCACCTGGAGGTCTTGTTAAAACACGGATTGCTGGGCTTCAGCATTGAAGTCCCCATTATAAGTCAAAGGTGCTGCTTGAGAATTGCATTTCTAATAAATTATCAAGTGATGCTTATGCTGCTGGTCTAGGAACCATACTTCAAGAACCACTGCTGCAGACACCAAAAGCTTCCTGTGGCAAACATCGGTCACTTTCCTTGAGGGTTTTCTCCGGTCACATGTATGACTCCCTCATCAACCAGGAATATAACGCCAAGGAATAAATCCATCCAGAGAAATTGCCAGCAATGAGGGAAGGGATTTGGTGAATGATTACATCATATCCCTCACCTCTCAGGTGAGACAAAAGTGAGGCACATTCTTCATAGCCCCCACAAGGTTCCTGACAAGATCAAGCCCCAGCAATCATCCATTAACTAACCTCTGCTGGCTTCTTTCCTGCTCTGTCTCATTTTCTCTGTACTCTACTGGTGCTTCTTGGGTCCACCTCCAAAATGAACTATCTGCATTCAAATCATTATCTCCTGCTGGGAGAAGCCAAATTAAAGCATGTTTTATAAATATAATTTCTAGATGATATGGTTTGGCTCTGCATCCCCACCCAAATCTCATCACGAATTGTAATCCCACGTCTCCAGGGAGGGACCTGGTGATTGGATCATGGGGGCAATTTTCCCCATGCTGTTCTCAATACAGTGAGAGAATTCACATGAGAGCTGATGGTTTTAAGTATGGCACTTCCTTGCTCTTTCGCTCTCTCTCTCTCCTGCCACCATCTAAAACATGCCTTGCTTCCCCTTGCCTTCTGCCATGATTGTGAGTTTCCTGAGGCCTCCCCAGCCATGAGGAATTGTGAGTCAATTAAACCTCTTTCCTTTACAAATTATCCAGTCTCAAGTAGTCTCTTTATAGCAGTGTGAGAGGGACACATACACTAGGTTTTATTTTTTTATTTTCATTTTTATTTTTGTAGAGATGGGGTCTCGTTATGTTCCCCAGATTGGTCTTAAACTCCTGGCCTCAAGTGATCCTACCACTTCAGCCTCCATAGTAGTGTTGGGACTATAGGTGTGAGCCACTGTACCTGTCCTAGGTTTTGTTTTATTATTTATTTATTTTGAGATGGAGTCTCACACTGTTGTCCAGGCTGGAGTGCAGTAGTGTGATCTCGACTCACTGCAACCTCTGCCTCTCAGGTTCAATCGATTCTCCTGCCTCAGCTTCACGAGTAGCTGGGATTATAGGCTCCTGCCACCATGCCCAGGTAATTTTTTGTATTTTTAGTAGAGATGAGGTTTTTCCATGTTGGCCAGGCTGTTCTCGAACTCCTGACCTCATGATTTGCCTGCCTTGGCCTCCCAAAGTGCTGGGATTACAGGCGTGAGCCACCACACCTGGACTATTTTTAATTTTTTAAAAAGCTGTTAATTTTAAACCCTCTAGCTCAGGGTTTTTTTTTTTTTTTTTTTTTAACCAGAAACAAATTTGACTCCTTTGCCATGGAACATTCGCAGTCTGGAGATATTGTTAGTTGTCACAAGTGTGACTGGGAGGTGCTGATGGCATCTAGAAGCTAATGAGGCTACTAAACATCCTACAAAGCAAAGGACAGCCCCTATGACAAAGACTTATCTGGTTCTGAATTTCATTAGTGCTAAGATTGAGAAACTGAGGTCCAAGGAATAAAAGAAGAAACTAAAAGTTCCAATGAAGATGCATTCTCAGAAGTATGCAAGTGTCCTCTCTGAAATTAGAAGCTTGAGGTTCAAGTTCAGAGACTGATAAATTGTGGCCATTCATCTGCTTCAAAAATAGTAAGCATATTCATGTCATGGTATTTTTTCTTTCTTATCCTGTGAATTGGAGTATTCCTAGATTTATTTCCATAAGACTTTTGAATTCCTTAAAAGAAAAAAAAAAGAGGTTTCCAAAAGCAAATATTCAGTTTGCAACAGATCATCAGACTTGTTCTAAAGAAATACCGAATTAATTTTTGACATAAGATTGAATTGCCATTATACAACTGGAAGTTGTTATATTCAGATAGCTGCCTTTACATTTTCTCATCTGTTAATATTGCATGATTCAAACAGGTTTCTGGATACCTAACATACTACGGCATTTTTCTCAGTGTAATGTTTTGAAATGTTGAATGCTATCAAAAATGTTCAAATATCGATGCAAGAAAATTAATCTTGATAAATGTGTAATAAAAGATAATTGAAGAAAAAAGAATCTGCATAGTATCAAGTGCTTCTTTTTAAAATACAAGTATTTCAGATAACCAAACTAGCTTATGGGTTGCTGGTTTGAAAAAGGAAAGAAAATGTGGGAAGAGTAAGAGAAGAAACTCAATTTAAATATTTCTCTATAATAGTAATTTTTCAAAAAAAATATAGGTTGGTCACCTTAATTTTTGAACTTCATAGTGGATTGTTGTCAGAAGTTCAACTTTCAAGATTTTAGGTTTGAATGATTTTTAATACCATTATTTCTCAGAAATCTGATATCAAGTTATTGAAGGTCTAAAATTCAGCTTCGTTTTTCTCCTTTTACATGGCAAAGCCTGAAATAAAACTGGTAATTAGCTACAGATGAGTTTCTCTTGCAACTATTTTACAAAGAAAACGTCTTATTGACATTGGGCTGCAGAGGGAAATAGGGCATTTTATGTCATAATACTTGATTTGGTCAAATTCTTGCCTATAAAATCTAGTCATAAAACAATAACTACTTTTAAAACCATAGATTATTTTTGGAAGGTTTTGAAAGATTATTATGAAAGATGATTTTTCTAGAAAGAATATATTAAACTAATGTGTGTGTGTGTGTGTGTGTGTGTGTGTGTAACAGAAAATGAGAGAGTAAGAGATTGAAAGCAGGGACAGAGAGAGATGACGGATAAGAGAGGTGGTTAGGGGTATCTAATTAGAAACAGTTTTAAGGGTGCTGCGTGCAGTGGCTCATACCTGTAATTCCAGTACTTTGGGAGGCCAAGGCAGGCTGATCACCTGAGGTCAGGAGTTCGAGACCAGCCTGACCAACATGGAGAAACTCTGTCTCTACTAAAAATACAAAATTAGCCGGGTGTGGTGGTGCATGCCTTTAACCCCAGCTACTCCGGAGGCTGAGGCAGCAGAATTGCTTGAACCCCTGGGAGGCAGAGGTTGTGGTGAGCCAGGATCGCGCCATTGCACTCCAGCCTGGGCAACAAGAGCAAAACTCCATTTCAAAAAAAAAAAAAAAATGAATTTTAAGGGATGTATTTTTATGAGTTAATTTAACATGTTAATTTTTTCCTATGGAAGATGTTATCTCTTAGCTGTAAAGTGAAGAGATTGTATCCAATATCATCCAAGTGCTATTAAATAACATTGAATAAGGCCCTCATTTACTAATTGAGATTAAATGAAAAGATATTCAGTGTAAATTAAGAGAATAGCTATTACATGTACATATTTTGTTGTCATTTATTTTGTTTATTAGAACAAAAGAGTTTAATATTTTTAAAATGTTGAGATTTCCATCTCCATCTAGAAGGGGAATAAAAAACCAGTATTCTCAGAGACCAAGAAAAAAACAAAAACAAAACAATACCCAAACCCTCTACATATTATAATTTGGGCATGATGTCTCAATTTTTATGATTCTGAATAACAGGGTTAAGCATTCAGAGCTATATTGGGCGGGCTTTTCTCCAAGTCCACCCAAAACAGGAAGATGATTGTCATATTCACAGCTTTAGATAAACTGTAATATAAAGTGATTTGCATTGAGAGTGATTATATATCCAATTTAGAGATGCACAGTTCATGAATGGAACACATCATGGGACCCTAATTCCCTTTTGGAGCACAAAATGATAATTAAAAGACAAATCACACTAAAAAGAATTTTATATTTACATATCACTAGATAAGGTCAGTTTATAGGCTTTGGCCATCTTAATGCAGTTTATTATCTCTGGAAGGCTACCTTAAAAATCAGGATGGTTGTATCTATCTAGAATAGATAGATCAAAACAAATGGAAAGATTTGCCCCATTTGAAAAACCACTCTTTAAATGCATGCTGGGAATTCTAGTGACCTAAAAGGAAGATCACTTAGAATGCTTAGATGAAGGGTGAGCTTTGTCTTGCAATAGCTATGTTACCCAAGGCAAATCAGCCAACTACTCAGAGAAAGAGTATTCCCATGTGGAAAATGCTATGCTAACTAAATTTAACATAAGGTTACCCTGTTGAATAAGCATGATCAGATTCTCTACTCCTCACTGTGGGAAAACACGTGCAGTGAGGTGTGCTACTTCAGCAAGAATGCACTAAACAATATTAGGCTGCTTGCGGCCGGTCGCGGTGGCTCACGCCTGTAATCCCAGCACTTTGGGAGACCGAGGCGGGAGGATCACCTGGTCAGGAGATCGAGACCGTCCTGGCTAACATGGTGAAACTCCGTCTCTACTAAAAATACAAAAAAATTAGCCGGGCCTGGCGGCAGACACCTGAAGTCCGAGCTACTCGGGAGGCTGTGGCAGGAGAATGGCGTGAACCCAGGAGGCGGAGCTTGCAGTGAGCCAAGATCGCACCACTGCACTCCAGCCTGGGCAACAGAGCGAGACTCCGTCTCAAACAACAACAACAACAACAACAACACCCCACAATATTACACTGTTTGCAAGAGTGACTGTACACTCATAAGCATTCAAAATCCTGTCGGGAAATGGAGAAACACTATGTTTAAGAAAATGTTTTGAATATCTTGAAAAAGGGTATAAATGCAAGATGCTGTTGTTGTTTTGAGTATTGTTGTCTGTTATAAGCTGCCCTTAGTGGATCAGGATTGCATGGTGAGAAAAAGGTCCAGCTGAACACTGCCTGACTTGATTTAACGAGGACAAATTCAATAAAGTGAAAGTCCAATATGAAGACGTGGAAACAAGTACATACCCACTCAGAATTCAATCTCCAAATTACATACAGTTATTGTTGACTTATTCGTTTGTGGAATGATATTTAATGTAGCAGAAGCCATTTCTGAAATATGTCCAGGTTGGTTCAGAATTACTTTGATTTTTTCCTTTGAAGATATAGTAAGACAAAGGATGATGAATAATGAAGGGATTAGGGGATTACAAGGGCAAGGTAGAAATTCAGGTGATTGTGAAGTCAATGGAGATGAATGGAAAAACTAGGATACGCTTTGAACGCGATTCATCAGAGTTCAGTTTCTTCAATCTCTAATAGCCCACTCTAGCAGCGTTTATATTTGAAGGGAAGCCAGATGCATTCGAGTAAATGTGATTATCCAACAAACTGGCTACAATGGAATCCAATAAGAATTGTTTTTGTACGTTACCAACATCTATATCAAAAAATAATACAAATAACCATGGCTCTTCCAGACCTGATTACTCAGAGAATTATAAAACATTCTGCTGCTTTACTTTTATGTCTTGTACTTTGTTTTAGGCTGCAATAAGAGTAAAATTTTTGATACCTCGAGCCAAATTTCTGATCCTATGATTTAATGAGTGGGACAAGAATATTGAGATGAAAGTATAACACATTCTTTTTACTTCTAAAACATTAGACCCATTTTCAGTGTGAAAGATAAAGCCAGGAACCCTTCTGGCTACTAGATATCATGCAGCTTTATTTTTACTCCAGTCCTTCAGCTACAGGGGAAAAAAGAGAGTGAGGGAAAAAAAGGGAAAAGCCAAATAATATAACTGTATTTCATTTTCAATTCTCTGCTTTGGGGGAAGAGGGGAAGAGAGTATTAGTCAGTGTTTAGACTGTAGTTTTTTTTTTCTCTTAAACATATATACAAAAAATATCCCAACACCTTTCTGATTGATAAAGTGAATAAGGTTAGAATGAAAAGTAGGAAGTATTTTTCAATCATACCATTTTCTTTTAAAACAACGACAACCCTATATGGGACACTGAGGCCTTAGCCTATGTGATCAGGTCATAACAACTGAATAGATTAAGAGAGGAGAATGTCCTTACTCCTTAGAAATGGGTGTTTCTTTCCTGCTTCTCTTCCACAACTGTCACAATAAAGCTGAATTTTAAACAATTGTAAACAAAGCATTTGAGCCCATGAGAGAAAAATTTTCAAGACAAAACCAAAAGCCACAAGAGCCAAATCTGTTACAGTATAATGTGGATCAAGAAATTGTTTAGATAAACCCCAAAAGATATATAACATTTAATTTGACAGCTTTTCCAGGAAAACAACCTCATTGATTTAGGTTTTAGTATGCTAACACAATTCTGGAGAATTCAGGCCATAAGTATATTATTAGTTGAACTGAAAGAAAGGTAACTGCTGTTTTAATTTTAAAGGATATTGCAAAGGTTAGTGGTATGTTTTTATGGGCATAACATGCACAATTACGGCAGGCGTGATTGGCCAGAGTGGATTATATTTTACACATAATTAGTCTAGACATGTGTTGGTGCCACTTAGTAGAGGAGAGTGTGGCTAGTTTGCTAGCACTTGCTTCAGCTTTGGCATATTCATTTTTAAAAAGTATTTGCCTTTGATTTTTCATAGTAAAGCAGTTTTTGTAATAATATTGGGTAAATAAATATTTTCCAAAGCTATATGTTATATTAAGTAATTTATGTCATTATTGATTTTTTTTCCAGTAGTAAGAAAGTTAATAGTTGGAATTGTATGTAGTTGCCATAGTAACGCACACAAGTCTATTTTTCTTGAAGTGGAGGCACGCAATTAATCTTTTTTTAACCTATTTTACTATGAGAACGTCCACAGAATGCAATAACAGATCTGTAGTCCTAATAATTTTTATCATTTTTTTTACTGCAACTGTCTAAATAATCTTTTCAGATTAAAAATGTTAATTAGTAGAATTGTTTCAAATTTGAGAATAAATAAACATATTTTCTGTGAAAAAAAAAAGCTTCCAAAATATTCAGGGTCCTTTTGTATTATTTTACATTTTATGGAGTTCATTAACGTTCCACCCAAACAAATTTTAAATATGTGAGTCTTTTATTACTTTTACATTATGCATTTACTTAAAATGAAAATGACGTTCAACTTAAGGTGGCAAGTGTAACATGGCTCCAGAATATATTAACATATTTTATTTTTATATCATGTATTATTCAGCTTAAATTTGCATGTGCATATGTCTCTATTTCTGTGTTAATGTGTAGTTTTCTCTCACAAAAACTACTCCCAGTATTCATCAATTAATGTTAAATGAGGTTTTTAATGTTTTTGATAAGCTGATGTTAATCTATATTTCTAAAACAGGGTCACAAAATTAACTAGCTATATGAATCAGCCAGGCAATGAAAATCAGTGAAATGGTCCAGATGGAAGACGACAACGAGGAATGTGGTCTGGAAATCAGATGCCCAGGAGAAAGGTGGCAGCTCCACCTTGAACTCCCATGAGTACTGATGTATGCAATGTGCATCCAAACTTTTCCTGATTTTTAAGAGAAGTCAGAATTTTGAATGTTGACATAAAATCTGTTTGCATATAAATCTAGGAAACCAAAGCAATCGAATTTTTGAAAAATACACCAGGAAGGGTCAGAATCATCTGCAGTTTTCATCTGGATCACCAGCTGTCATTCTGCATATCCTACTTACCTCAAGGGGCAGCTTCAGTCTTGGAAACAGAAAATCCTAAGATGTTGTTGCCACTTGATCCAACTGGAAAATACTGGCGTTTACATTCTTGTTTTACAGATGCAGAAAGCAATATTTAACTGATCAGCTGCCACTCACATCATGAATCAGAAGCAGCCTTAAAAGAAAGGATCCCTTCTTGCTATTTTGAAGGTGAAATATGATCTTCTATCTAGTGACTGAAATTGTATGTTGAGATGAACGAGGGCCTCAGGGGTTGGGTAATCATTGAGGAATAACGAAATACTTTGGACTTGAGCTATGTGGGTAGCCGATTGAATTATGCAAGGGAACTTTGGTGGCAGAGGCTATGTAGAGAGACAGGACAGAGAATGTCCAGTAACACCGTTGTTACCTTAGATTCTATGTTATGCATTGGAATTATCATGGTCCCACGGCTTTATTAAGTAAGTCACTTCAAAAAGCAACAGTTTTGCAATAAGAAGTCTTGGAAATGCCAGGCTAGAGTTTGTGGTGGCCACTGGGTATAGGGGACAAGAAGGAAGGAAAAGCGAAGAGAGAGAGTGGAGGGAACACCACATGTGGCACAGTTCCAGAAGTCCCTATGCTGGCCCTGGGTAGAGGTGGCATCTGCCACTACTACCTCTTTTTTTTGCTCTTCCATCTCCTCTGATTTGTATAAAACCAGCCTGATATATCACTTCATAACAGAGTTATGAAAAAAGATCTGTGGAATCCCAACCTTTGAAGCCTACCCTCCCTTTACTCTAAAGGTCAGTCAAGGGAGTACATGGAGATATCTGACAAAATATTAATAGAATGTGAATTGTTAGAGTGGGACTAATTCAGCCATATGATTGAGCTTCACTAAATTTCTTAAGGTCAGGAGTGAGGGCTTTGTTAAAGAAAATATTTTAAAGTAGCCTCAGTAACATATTAGAAAATGTGATAAATTTGGATTTTGTGGTCATAAATTTGCCTTGAAGCTCTGTCATTTTTTTAACAACTGGGTGACACAGAGCAAGTCATATAGCTTCTTGTGCTCTTTTATGATAACTATATATCTTCAGACGCATAGGTCATGAGTTTTTTGTGATTGTTTCTGAAATATCTTTTTTCTTCTGTGAAAATAAAACTATGCCTATTATTAAGAAAAGATAACTTCATTATCTAATCTGAACTATTATATTAGAATGACTGCCACAAAGAACAATGCCATGTTTCAGATATTTTAAAAAATTTATAGGAACATATAAAAATCTAGCAGAGAAATGAACTCACAATAAAAATCAGACTACAATAAATAAATCATATAATACTATGCCAGACCATAAATTACTAAAGCGATTTAATGAAACAAAGCAACTTCTAAAATAGTTAATATTCTTTAACAATTTTATACTGTATATCCATAAAATATAAGCTGTACTTCTTACAAAAAGCATAACTTAAAAAAAATTCTAAATTTGAAATAAATTTAGATGTACAAAAGGAAAACAAAGAAGTTGCAAACGTAATATGTAGATTTCCCATGTATACTTTACTTCTCCAAATGTCTTACATAGACATAGTACAATTTAACAAAATCAGATAATTATGATTTAGCCATACTATTAACTGATTTTCACATTCTATTCAAAATTTTCCAGTTGTTCCACTAATATCCTCTTTCTAGGCCTGTATCCCATCAAGGATCTTATATTGCTATAAGTTTCATGTCTCCTTAGGCACCTCCAATGAAAAGAATTTCTTAATTTTTCTTTGTCTTTGTGTCACTTTATCTTTCAAGAGTACTGGACAATTATTTTTTAGAATTTTTCTCTATTTGGCCTTGTTTGAGAATTGTTATGATTTGGTTGAGGTATTACTGGCCAGAGCACCCTAGAAGTGATTGTTGTGTCCTTTCTGGTTCATCATATTAGGAGGTACATGAAGTCAACATGCCTCATTTCTGTTTACTTTAACTTTGATCTCTTGGTTAAGGTAACCTTTATTTTTAACCATCTAAGTAAATGAAAATTATCAACATTTCGGTTTTCTTTAAAAAAAATTTAGCAGTACATATATCTCTTAATTAGATGCCACCTGAAATTGAGCCTAACATAAATTATAATAATTCACCCTCACTAGATAGTGGATTCTAATAAAGTATCATTGTACATTTTGGTATGCTTATTAAAAGTTAATAATAGTATAAAATAAAAACATTAATTCTTCCTATACTTTGATTTGTTGTTATTGTTTATATGGAAATGAAATATAACCTTAGCTACATTATGGAGAAATTTAAATTTAATTTATAAGGTTTAATATGGCTTTAGTAAAAGAATATCGTGACATATGAGAAGTATTTGCATAGAAATTTTCTTTGTTAATTCTGCTTATTAAGATGGTTTCAGAGCTGTGATATCCATTTCACTATTAAAATGTGACTTACGACTAGTAATTTCTTAGGTGTTCTGTAACAAATCAATAAAAGTTCAGTAACGTTTTCTTCTATCTTCTTTGATCCTCCTAGCATCTCTGATGATATTCCCCAAATCATAAAGCAGGCTTTCAGACATTTTCAGGGCATTGATACAACGCCCCCTGAAGGTGTTTCCTATGGTTTTAATTTGCAGCTGCTTCATAGACTCATGAGGGCTATGTCCCATTTCCCCAGGGAGAGTATCTCCTCATCTTGCAGTTGGAGAGATGGTGCTTATTATATTTAGAGATAAAAACAGTAAAACAGAAGTTTGTCTTTAAAAGAAAGCATTGATAGCCCATTTTAATGCTTGGCCTTTCAAGACAAGAACTAAATAAAACATTTTGTTATAACCACTGAATTTCCACATTGGCAAAGTTCTTTCTGTATCTTCCATAATAATTAATTAGAAAGAATGAAGTTATGATGCAGAAGCCAATCTGATTAAAGTGAATTGAGGTTGGATTTTTTTTTTTTACACAGCTCTCAAACAGCTAACCAGTAATAGTCTAGCATGTCTCTTCAGTCTGAGACTCCTCAAAAACCAGTGCTTGTTTATTGACATTTGTTAAGGACTGAGTAGACTGAACATATATGCATAGCTGTAGGGGTCTGGGAATAAAATAAGACAGGTGTTTGTAGCAATTTACAAAGCACTTTTATATACCCTTATCATTGATATCATCACATTATTCTTTGCAACAGCAATCAGGGGGAGATTTTACTACTGCTATATTACAGAGAAGGAAACTGAATGTCTGAGTGAGAAAATTATTGGCTAAAAATTACAAAATTATTTAAGAGATATCCTTGAGACTTAAACCCAAATCATCTAACAGGAAAAACTGCCATATTTCCATTACACTACCCTGCCTCTTTTATAGAAGTCATGTTCAGGTTACAGAATAGGGCTCTGAAAATTCTTTAGACATCTTCAAATGAGATTGACTATGGAAATGGATTAGATTGTGTTGAATTTACATCTCTGTCTTCAGATGACTCTCACATTTATATCTCCCATTGAGATCTTTCTTCGAAGCTACAGAACCACATACCCAATTGCCCACTTGATATCTTCCTGTGTATGTCTCAAAGATATCTCAAAATTATCATATCCCAAACTATCAACCCCCTTCCAAATCCCACCAAATCTTGAGTGCATCCCCTCTCAGTGAATATCACATCACATCATGTACATTGCTATAAACGCTAGAAACAAGGAGGAAACATTGACATATCCCTCTCCCTCCTTCTCTTCTTCCCTCACCGTAGCCAACATATCATGCAAATCCTGACAATTTTCACTCCTAATTTTTTTCAAGTCTGTACTCTTTCCACATCTCCATTTTGATCATCCTAAACCAGATGATCATCATCACGGCCTGGACTCCTGCCATAGCTTCATATTTGGAACTCCCACACCCATTCTGGCCTTTCTCCAAAACATTTTCCACTCTCTGGATGGAAGGCTTTTTTTTTTAATGCAAATTTGATCATACTAAAAACACTCCACTGGCTTTTCATTACTCTTTAGATATATCCAAGATCAAATCCTTAACATGGCTTATAAAACCTTGAATTGTTTGGCACCTGCCTAATTTTCCAACATCACTTTATATCAATCCAAAAGAAACCCACAATTCCCAGGCTACCTCCCACAATGGTAACTGCCCATCATCCTCCCTGGCTTTCTTCTTTACCTTGAGCAGGTTAGTTTCCATTGCACCTCAGGATTTTAGCAAACCCTGCACTTCTGCTTGGCATATTCTCCTTTGCCACTAACTTTTACCTGTTTAATTTCTATTATTTTTTCTTGGATCCCAGTATAATTGTCCCTTCTTCAAGGGAGTCTCCGAGACCTTGCAGATGTGGTCATATCCTCCCTCTAATAGGTCTGTGGACCTGTACCTTGAACCTTGTACCCACTATTCACAGTTATAATTATCAATCATTTCCACGAATCATTGAATGCCTATCTGCACCTCTCAAGTGTGATTTCCATGAAAGCTGAAATGTTGTTTCTCTTGCTTGGCTCACCTTTACACCTCCTCTCCATCTACTATCACCCCTAACCAAGCAACCAAGTCACATTTGATGAAAGGATGAGTATATGAATACCATTTTCCCTGGGCCTTGTCATTTAGCTGAGGAAATCCATGTTCCAATGCAGGAAGAGAGGACTCCTATTGTTGGGCCAGGTTCAGTAAAATATTTATCCCAAGTAGTGAGTATAGAATATTAGAGAGAGAGTGAAGTGTAATCCTGTAGGAAGCAAAAGTCAAAAGTCAGAAGACTAGTAAGCAGGTATTAACAAATGAGGGCAAGATGAGGTTATAAACTAGGCTGAGATTCAAACCCAGGACGTCTGGTGATGAGATTAAAAATCTCATTATCATTAGGCCTGGTCAACCAATGCTTTGTTCCTTTTTGAGGCTTTTTGGTAATAGCTTCATAGTTTTTGCTTTGGAGAACTACTCCTTCTATATTTCAGGCTGCCTTGGAAGGGTAATGGACCAGAAACAGCCAGACTCTCCCTAGTTTAAGGCCAAACTGTCTCTCTTGAATTTTTAATCCTGAATGACATGACCCACGTACAAAACATATTTGGAATTAATTCATTCTTTGCATTATGTCCTGAAGTCATGGAGCATTAATTCTGCTTACCTAAATACTAGAGTGCCTTGGTTCTTGTTCTTTCTGAGACAGGCTATTTAGGTTTCCCTTGATTCCCATATTCTTCCAATAAATGCTTTTACCTATTTATCTGTTTTATTTATCAGCTATGTATGTATGTATGTATGTATCTATCTATCTATCTATCTATCTATCTATCTATCTATCTATCATCTATCTTTTATCTATCATCTATCTATCAATCAACTATCTAGGCTTGAGATAGTTAATGCTAGTTTCTGTTGCTTATAGTAATATGCACATTAAAGTCACTGTAGGATTTAGTCTGTGAATGGATTGCAGGAAATTGATTCACATTTTTGATTAACATCCCAGTTTAAAATAACTGAAAAAGATAAGCTGGGAAGAAAAATATAAATGAAATATTAAAAGCATAATTTGAGGGATAAAATACATGCAAAATATGCCTTCTGTGGGAGACAAATTTCTTTCATTAAAAAAACTATAACAAATTAAATTTTTCTGGCAAGTACACACATTTTATTTTTATATATATTTTAAATGAAATTATAATGAAGGATATATTCAAGCAGATTGACAAAACTGCTTTGACAACTCAAAGGAATAAAAGTTTAAAGGGAAAAATCAGCCCCCATTATGATGTTCAGTGTCACAGAAAGAGAAGAAGTTCTGGCGGGGTGTCCCCTCAAGCTGAGACAGTGCCCCCTGACCATGTGGAAAATTGAATTCCTTTTTGTTTTAAATTCTCTTTTCAACTTAAGGATGAAACTTCCAAATAATTCCATTTACTTATCCATCATTTTTGGGCTTTGAAAAAAAAAACATCTGTATACTCACTTATTTTATCTTAGTCTCTGCTCTAGATGTCATTCCCATTTTGGGAGCTTCCCTATAGAAGTGAGAGTCCAGAGAACAAAGTGATGCCCTAATGTTAGCTGATGATCCATATTAATAGGCATTTGAAAAGAATAGCACAACAGAAATTGCTGTTTAAATGAATGGTACCCTGTCTTAAGGACAAAGGCCTCCGGTGACTTCTAGATGAATTCAATATACCTTAATTACTGTGCACTAGAAAAAGTGTATTGTTGATCTTATGGAACGAATACTCTCAGAATTTCTGCCCCCTGAAAATCTTCTACAACAAAAGTTCTGATTGTTAGTTATTTGCCTAAAATTGGTTAAAGAGTGACAGTGTTTGCATGATTGTTTATTCTTTCTTCCACAATTTTGAAAGTCATTCATTCATTAATTCTGCAAGCAGTATTTGGAAACCCACTCTATATCTGGCATCATACCAGACACTGCAGTTATGAAGATAACTCAGATAAAGTCTATGTCATCAAGTATGTCAAAGTTTAATTTGGTAGAAAGAAATATACATGATGTATTCAATACGATGCATTTGGTGACAAGAAACAGAAAATTGGATTCCACTTCATGCATAGTAAAAGAAAATTCAACAGATCAAAAGTGAGAGCAATGCTTCAGATTGCTTTTTATCTTTTCTTTCTGTCATACTTAATGTGCTATCTTTTTTCATAGGCTTCTGTGTTCCATAGCATCAAGACGCCTGCAGCACCTCCATGCATATCATCCTCACACAATAGTCTTCAAAAGCCAGAAAAGAGAGGGAGAGTCATGGGTCATCACTTTCTCAAGTTTTTAAATTTAATTATTTTAAATTAAGAAAAATTGCTCAGACATCTTATGACAGGCCTACTTCATTTTTCTTTAGTCAGAATTGTGCCCAATGACCATTTCTAAACCAATTATTAACAAGGACAATGGAGATACTGACTTGTTTTTCAATAGTCAAAATCTACCTTCTGGTGTTGAAAAGGGAGCCAACATCAACTGAAGTGCATGACTACATGATTCTTGAACAAATATGAATGAAGAAGAAAGTATGGATTGGGTTTGTGTAGCCAACTGGAAGTCTACTACATGTAGAAAATTGTAATTCAAGATGAGTAATGCTGTAAAAGATATATGTACAAGATCTATAAAGTTTTATAAAATAATCTAAGAATGAAAAATTTTTTATTTCTAAGTTGATTAGTTATGACTATAAGTGCAAGAAGAATTCACAGAAGGATGAAAAAAATCTAAAATCCTGGCCAATTCTTGTCAAAGCATAATTTCTTTATTAACAAAAACCTCTTTTCCAGTGGAATGAAAAAACATTAGGGAAAGAGAAAAGAAGAAACAGGGTTTTTTGCTTTGTTCTATCTCTGAGTCCATATCAGTGGTTAATGTCATGTAACAATCTCTAAAATCTGGTTAAAATTTCTCATGAGTGTATTATGAAACTTAAATGGGATAAATGTATAAATGTAAGTTGTGAATTTTTAAGTTCCCATACAAATATAATATGTATTCATGCATGTATATATCACACCTCTCTCTCTGCCCATCCATCTTTTTATCTCATCAACATAGTCAGTCAATGTCACATCTATTTTTACAATATCCTCTTGTTAACTAATGCCATGTACTAAATTCACAGTGCTACCTACAGCCAATTCCATCATAATTTTCAGAACATCAAAACTATCAAGAGAATACAAAATCAAAGTGACTTTTCAGCCAGATAGGGCTATGACATCTAAATTGTATATTAACAGCTCCATGTTCCACAGACAGGAATGTGAATCTCTGCTGCATTATGGTGCTTTAGAAAGAAATAAGAAGGCACTTTTCAGGTAATTATGCACTTGTCTTTGCCTTCCCAGTGCAATCTTAAAGTGTGGGGATTTTTTTTTCTAGCAGGCACTGACTTTCCTGTTCATATAATAAATGCTAGTCAAGGAAATTCTTGTGGAGCGACATGAGGCCATATGTTATGTTTTCAGTCATCCAAGTCCTCAAAATACCTTTTTTTTTTAACATATCTTCTTTCCCTGATGAGCCAAAGTTGCCTATTGAGATGGTCTTATTCCCCCAATGTAATCTGATAAGAATTGTTAAAGAGACCAAGAATTTACACATGTAAACTGGTTGCCTATAATAACTGTACAAAAACAACATCAAAAAATCATCCACAGCTTGTTAACTTTCAAATCACATTCTTACCAGAAAAGTTTTCTTTTTTAAAATCTTGGGCACAGTAGGCTTTTCTTGGGGATGTCTAAGAACTGACACAGGAAAAAAAAGGAGGAAGCTGAATTTGAAGGATATGCAATTTTCATGCCCATGTATTATCTTAGATATTAGATTAGTCTTTCAAAAGGTACCTAATCTTATTGAATGAAATCCAGATATCTTCAGTTGTGTTGTAGCCCTTGAAGATTACTGGGAAATGAGTCCCTCTTAGTCATCCCGGGTAGCTGGGAACTTGGAAGTGGGAAATAAATTTTTCTTTAGAAAAGAAAGCAATCAGAGAATAGATATATAAATACCCACTAAAGCCATAGGATGGGATGCATTAACACATTCAAAGACAGTATGAATTATAGGATTTTGTGGTGATGGGATGCTCATTCTTAGAAGTTCATAAAATTGAGACCACAGAGCCAAACAGTGGTAATCTTCACCCCAAAAATTGGACTAGTAGAACCCTGGCAGGAAAATTAACCACCAGATGGATGTGGTAGATTATCAGATTTTGTTGCCATCTTACATTCAAATCATTCAACTATATTGCTGGTTTTTTAATATTTTTATTTTTATTTTTTTACGGAGTTTTGCTTTTTTGGCCCAGGCTGGAATGCAATGGCACGATCTCGGCTCACTGCAGCCTCTGCCTCCCGGGTTCAAGTGATTCTCCTACCTCAGCCTCCCAAGTAGTTGGGATTACGCATGCACTACCACGCCCAGCTAACTTTTTGTGTTTTTAGTAGAGATGGAATTTCACCATGTTGGTTAGCTGGTCTTGAACGGCAGATCTCAGGTGATCCACCCACCTCATAGTTATGTACCATTATTGGACTTCTGACTTTATCAATCAATCAGCAACTCAATCCCAAGGCAATGACCCAAGATACAATCTTACTTTTTATAGTGGCAACTTTACCAAAGCAAATACTAAGTTGGGAGGACTTGACTGTATGGTTATGTCTCTTCTAGGCATCAACCTATTAGACATTTCCTTTCATACAGGCTTTGAATTTCTATAGGATATTACACATTGTCTTCTGAAATTGAAGCTTTACTTAAACCCACTTTCATTTCTATATACCTGCAATTCTGCTCTGTGATTTTATGTTACTTTTTTAGACCTAGAATGCCAATTTTTCCACCTCTGCTTTTTGTTCCTACAAAAAATCGTATCTTCTGTCAATCTAGTTGCACACCAGAATGAAATCTGGACAATTACAATATCAACTGCAATCAAGACAGCTTTCATTGTTTTATTCATTTTGGACTCCATAATATGTAATTTTCTAGCAAAAATGTGTTTGTAACTGATTTTTTCCTCCTGATTGTCTCAGTGACCCTAAAGGAGCCCCGCTTAGGACTCAAGTTATCAGGGCCATGTCTTTCTTACTAGGTTACAGTCTACTGAAGGTTCTTACACAGCACTATGTGAGTAAAGGTATAGATATTATCAACGTCTTTCACCAAATGCTTAAAAAGTTAGGTGTCTTTCAGCTTTCAGCGACATACTCAAATAGGCTTAATTCAAGAAGGAATTTAGGGGTTCATGTTTTAAAAAAATTAAGGTGTATTGGCTTCAGGCTCAGGTGTATGCAGATACTTAAGTAATATTGTTAAAAATCTTTCCGATTTGTTCTCTGTACCTGGCTTTCCAGTTTTTTCCCCTCTACTCATAGGCAGTCTAGTTCCATTGGTAATCCCCAGTATCTCCAGGCATATATCTTCTTAGCTTTAATAACAGAAAATCTCATCTTTCTAGAGAGATTCAACAAAAGTACACCATAAAGACTCATCGGCTATGAATGGCCCAGTCAGATTCACAAGCTCACCCCTGGAATTTGGTATAGATTCAGCCCCAGAATAATCATAGGGTGAGAAAGTGGAGGATGGGTGGATTCTCAAGAGAATGGAGATTCTGTTACAAAACGGGATGAATAGATGCTAGGAAGTTCATAAGCAGATTTACACCAGCATACTAGACACCATTTCTTTACCACTGTCAATTATCCCAGCCACTTTTGTGGTAACAAGTTTCTTGCAAATTTCAATCAGCTTTGTGAAAGTGCAACTAAGAGAGCCTCAACTCAGATCCATATCCCACACTCTTAGTTCCTGCCCTGGGGCTTCTCTGACTCTGTGGTACCAGGTACCCACAGGAAGCTATCCAGCACTCAAGCATGTGCAAACTGGAGAAGGGAAGTAGTTAATCTCTTTGGGTTACACTTGATTAACAGGTGACATGAGCTAGTGGATTAAATACCTCTGCTTTTTGTCCACAAGGGACCTGCTGTATTGAGTATTAACCACCCCTAGTATTGAATTATTGTACTGGTCTTCCTTCCTGTCTCTCTTTCCTGGTACCTGAATCATTCTCTCCATATTGTATTTGCATGCAAGCAACTACCTTAGTATCTCCCTGGAGAAACCCAAGCTATGACAGCAGGTACCAGAATTGGCCCAAGAAAGTAGACCTTCCAAATGGATTTTGCAGCTGGATCACCTGTGGGCATATGGTGAGTGTGGTAAGAATTAGTGAAGGAATTACTGTGGCCTGTGCTAGGACACTGGTTACTAAGAATCTCCTGAGTGGATCAGAAAGAGGTGCACGTGAAAGAATCAGCAATGAGTTCTGAAGTAGTCATGATACTTAAATAGTGTGGAAGCAATCACAGTTGTAAGAATTGAGTAGCAGTTTTGGAAATCTTGAAAAAACAAATGACGACCTAAGACAATAACAAGTTCAATAAATGTCTCTGTCCAATGCTAGACTAAAATATCCACCCATGTATATATAACATTGTTTTTTTCCCTTTCACTTTGCTTATTTGTTTGTTTTTATTGTAAAATATTTTATATACATAAAAAATGACGTAAAACATACGCATACAGGTGTGACAATAGCTAAATAGTGAATGACTATAGCACCACTTACTAAGTAAAGACACAAAAGATGATGAGCTCCTTAGAAGCCCTTGTACCATGTACATAATGTGGTACTTACGTCTTATCTCCTGCCAATAACCCGCTCCCCCAACTCTAAGTAAACCTGCCCTGCCTTTTATGGAAATTATTTCCTTGCTTTTCTTTTTAATTTTACTAGTCATTATGCTTCCCTAAGCAAATAAACTTTAATTATGTTTGTTCTTGAAATCCATTGTTTAGCAACATAATATTTCAGAGATTTATCCAGTGCTTGTTGATATTCTTCCAGCAGACCTATACGAGTTGTCAATATCTGGCATATTTTCTGTTTGTTCCAAGCCAATGCCATACCAATGATTAAATATTTGTAATATAGACTCCTGGACTCATCCATATAGTTTTGTGTAGCTATAGCTCATCTCTTTTCATTGTTATTTAGTGTTCCATTCTATGAGCACAGCACAATTTATATGTTTCCTGTATTGTGATGGACATTTTGGTTATTCTTGTTTGGAGGCATCATGCACAATGCTGCTACCGACTTCCTTGTACTGTATTGTGGTACAAATGTATAGGAATTTCTCTAGGGTATATATCTAGTGCTGTCTTAGGGTTTACATATCTTCAACTTTAATGGATCATGTTAAATCATTTTCAAAATGTAGTTTGCATCCCTACCAACAATATATGAGAGTTCTCAGTTCCATGTGCTCACGAACATATGGCATTGTCAGACAGTGTAATTTTTGTTGATCCAGTGGTTATATATTGATGATCACACTGTAATTTTCATATTTATCTTCCAAGTTGCCAGTGAGGTGAGCAGATTTTAGTTTGTTTATTGGCCATTTGGCTTTCTTTTTTCATGAAGGGTCCATTTAATTATGCTGTACATTTTAAAAATTAGGCAGTCTGTAATTTTCTTATTTACTTGGAGGACTTCCTTATTTATGAGTTGCAAATACATTCTCCCACTCTGTGGCATGTCTTTTTACTCGTGACTTTGGTTAACTTTTTGCTGAAATACTTAATGCCAGAGCTAGCATCAATGACTGTATGTATTAATTTTTTTCTCACTTACAATGCAGACATTATTCTTATTTTGAAAGAATTGCACACCTAAGGGTCAGCTTACCTGCAGGATGAATAATGAGTCCTTGGCTTAATAGTCTTCATAAACGCTGAATGATGAGATTAGTGAGGAAAATAGATTGAAACGATCTTTTGTCCGTGATTTAATTTCACATTGCTTCTCTGGAAAGGAATAAATATGCAATTGCTTATGAAATGCTGTGCATGTGTGTGTGGGTTTTATGTTACTGGCTTACCTTTGGAGGACAGAAATAATCTATTGTGCCTAAAAACATGTATGCTTCATTATTTGGTCTTATTTTTCTGTTTCCTAAAGGGAAATAACTGAGTCCTTTGGAGCTGAAAATGAAAAACTGAGTAGCTGGTGGAAGAAGCGAGATGGGTTTGGAACTCACAGGCTATGTTTCTGGATGCATCACATTTGCAAGAGGGAAGTTTTGGTGTCCCTGTGGGTATATTAGCACTCCTTTACTCCATTTCTCTGTAGCTACTCAAGCAAGTGACAAGTAAGTATGTTGAGACCACATGTGACATATAAATTACAAGTTCTCCTGCCCCTCTAAAAGTTTATTCAGCATCAACCTTTGCACCAACACACTAAGGCATAATAGCTGATAATTTATGAGTGTAATTTGAAGGAAGCAATTCTGTTTTGTGATTATGGTAGTAAATAAAAGATTCAAATCCTCATTGACACACCATGAAATTCAGCTTTACTTTTTTTTTTTTAACCTTGATATTGTTTATGGAAAGAAGGCTGCAGAGTCCAAGAAAGGTGACAGATATGAAGAAATGCAGTGGTTGCAAAGGACAAAGACAATGGCAACACAAATAAAAGAAATTATGAGAAGGAAATAAATGTGAGTAAGTTCAAATTTTAGAATGCTTTTATTTATTTCACTTGTGAGGGAAAGGGCTTTGGAAAATGAAGGTATGTCATATAGTTTGGCAATATAATGGATAGGAGAAATGATAGACTGATGAGAGCCTAGAGGGAAGACTTGGATGGAAATTACTTTATGATTTCATGATTAAGATACTTTGAAGAAGTATTCACTTTCTTGATAGATGAGATATACTGGTGTGAGCCAAGGGATTCACTGGAGTCTCTCTCTCTCAGTAAAATATCTGCCCTGCAGACTGCTATGGCAGCCACAATTGGGCAGCAGTTAATTATACTTTTCCTTGGGAATTTAAAAATAGGTATCTTTCCAATTATTCTTTTAGGTTAGAACTCAAGCAGCAATGATAAAACCTTTGTGGATATGAAAGGGTGTGCAAATACTGAGATTGCCAACTGGATCCCTTCAAAGTTTCCATTAGCCAGAGGTCTGGATTCCAGTTCAGATCAATTTAGAGATCAAGTGAGATGAATGTGAATTTTTATCCACAGATGATAGCATGATCTGAAGTGGAAACTAGGGGTACATACATCTTAACAAGTGTGTTAGGCTCAGAAGCTGAATAATTTGTGACTTTGGTGAAAATAGTCAGAATTCCATTTTAGTAGCACTACATTTTATTTCTACATAAGAATTCAGCATAAGTGGTAATAATAATGATTTTGTTACATGATATTCCTGCTAAGATTAATATTTGGTTTAACTTAGTTGCTCTATGGTAAAGCAATACCCTGCATGAAGGTTTGTTCACTAAATATTTGTTTTGGCAAGTATTACATAATAATAATTTGCATCTATCCAGAATTATTTTTATTTTATCATAAGCTTTAACATACTAGCTCAGTTTTTTTTTCTTTTTTTTTTTTGCAGTTGCAAGATTTAATAGTGTGAAAACAGAGCTCCCATACAAAGGGAGGGGATCCAAAGAGGGTAGCCGTTGATGGTTCAAATGCCTGGGTTTATATTCTGATCATTTTCCCTCTCGCTGTGCTGTCAGGTGATAGATGATTGGCTATTTCTTTACCTCCTGTTTTTGCCTAATTAGCATTTTAGCGAGCTGTCTTTACTACCTGATTTGTTGGCGTGCTCTAAGTTGCAAGCCCCGTGTTTAAAGGTGGATGCGGTCACCTTCCCAGCTAGGCTTAGGGATTCTTAGTTGGCCTAGGAAATCCAGCTAGTCCTGTCTCTCAGTACCCTCTCTCAACAGGAAAACCCAAGTGCTGTTGGGGAAGTCGACTGATGTCTGCACTAACTGCTTCCTGCTGAATTGGGGCATAGTAGGGGTTGTGCAGTTCAGATTTCCTCGGGAGGGGTGCCTTCGATGTCATTAACATCAGAGCATGGGCTAGCAGGCTGGTCCAGGGGTCTGCGGTAGATCTTAGTCATGGACTGCATCTGGGGCTCCATTTGAAGAACGATTTGTAGTTTTACAGCTTTGATTCTGGAAGAGACAAAGTTATCAAGGAGATTAAAAATAGAGGGATTGAAATGTATGGCCTACAGTGCAGGGGATTATTTCTTTGGCACACTTCACAGGCCCTGACTATCTGCTTGATAGTTTTGAAAAGGTCTGGTCCAGTAAATAATAGTTTGGTCATCTGATGGGTGCTGTCAATGCCTAAGTGAAAGGTTTGGTGAAGGGTTTTAAGTAATTTCCATTGGTTAGCTGCAAGCAAAAGTATTTTTCCTTCTTTGGTGGCTAGCCATCCTGAGGGGAGGAAACTATGTCTTCATGAGGTTCCCATTCTATTTCTTCTGCTGAGTATTGGGGCTTGGTTTCCCAGAGGGGATTACCCCATACTAGGGGTCCTTCTATAAGCATTTCTAATGGAGAGTCCTGCCTTGCGGCTTTTTTTGCTTCAATATCCGCTTGGCGATTGCCTTCTATTTCCCTTTCCTCTTCTTTCTGATGACCCTGGCAGTGTAAGACTGCCACCTCTTTAGGTTTCTGTACAGCCAATAATAATCTCCTAATGGCTTCCTGATGGTTGATAGGTGTTCCCTCAGAAGTTAGGAATTCCCTCTCTCTCCATATTGCTGCATGGGCATGGAGGACTAGGTAAGCATACTTAGAGTCTGAATATATATTTACCCTTTTTCCTTCTCCTAATTCTAGTGCCCAAGTGAGGGCTATTAGTTCTGCCAGGTGAGCACTAGTTCCTGGAGTGAGGCGATTACTTTCAAGTATTCCATTATCACTGATCACTGCATACCCCGCTTTTCAAAGTCCTTTTTCTGCCAAGGAACTTCCATCAGTATACAAGTTGAGGTCGGGATCAGTCAAGGGAACCTCTAGAAGGTCCCCTCGAGCAGCATAGGTTTGAGCAATTACTTGTTGACAGTTATGTTCTATCTTTTCTTCATTGTCTGGAAGAAATGTGGCTGGGTTAAGAGTTGCACAAATGTGCAGTCGCAGCACTGGCACTTCAAGTAATAGAACCTGCTATTTAAGTAAATGGTTGTCTGACAGCCACAAGTCTTCTTTAGCAGTGAGTATGCCGTTCACATCATGAGATGTCCACACAGTAAGATCTCTTCCCTGTATTATTTTAACTGTTTCAGAAACTAAGACTGCTACTGCTGCCCCTACCTGTAAACAATGAGGCCAACCCTTTGCCACTACATCAGTTTCCTTACTCAGGTATGCCACAGGTTGCAAGCTTGTCCCTTGGACCTGTGTAAGGACTCCTAGAGCTATTCCTGTTTTTCTGTGACATATAAAGAAAAGTCTTGCCCCGTTGGCAAGCTTAACACTGGGGCTTGGGTTAGGGATTTCTTTAGGGCCTGGAAAGCTGCTTCTGCTTCTGGTGTCCATCTTACTAAATGGGTATTGGCTTTCTGAGTTTCCTTAATTAGTGTATATAATGGCTTGGCTATTTCGCCATACCTGGGAATCCATATTTGGCAGAAGCCTGTTATGCCAAGGAACACTCTTAGTTGCTTTAGGGTTTTGGGATGAGGATAAGCCAGTATGGGCTGGATACATTCCTCACTGAGGGCCCTGATGCCTTTGGATAATTTTAGCCCTAAGTATTTAACCTACTGTGAGCAGAGCTGAGCTTTTGGTTTGGAAACCTTGTAGCCACAGGTGGCAAGGAAATTTAAGAGCGCTTGGGTGGCTTGATGGCACAAGGTTTCTGAATGGGTGGCTAAAAGTAAATCATCCACGTACCAAAGGACAAGAGTGTCCAGGTACAAGAACTGGCTCAAGTCTTGGGCTAATGCCTGGCCAAATAGATGGGGGCTATCCCTGAACCCTTGGGGTAAAACAGTCCAGGTGAGTTGAGATGTTGGGTTTGAAGGATCTTCAAAGGCAAACAAGAATTGAGAGTTAGGATGTACAGGGATGCAGAAAAAGGCATCCTTAAGGTCCAGGAGTATAAACCACTTTGCTTCCTCAGGTTTTTGGGAAATCAGAGTATAAGGGTTAGGTACAGCTGGGTATAGAGGAACAACAGCCTCATTGATAATCTTGAGATCTTGCCTAACCTCCACTGCCCATTGGGTTTCTGTACTCCTAAAATTGGAGTATTGCAGGGGCTACTGCATGGTCTTACTAGGCCTTGGGCATTTAGGTCCTTAGCAATCTTTTGGAGTCCTTGTTGGGCCTCAGGTCTAAGCGGGTACTGCCTTTGGTAGGGAAAGGAGGCAGAATCCTTTAGTTTAATTGGAAGAAGACAGGCATTCTTTGCTCTTCCATATTGTCCTTCTGTTGTCCAGACTTCAGGATTAATTCCTTCCTCAAGCAGGGGACAACAAACGGGTGTTTCTTCTCCTATGTTCAGGTGTATAATGGCCCCTGTTTTTGCTAGAATATCTCTCCCTAACAAGGGAGTGGGGCTTTCAGGCATAATTAGAAAAGCATGTGAAAAGAGTAAAGTTCCCCAGTCACAATTTAGTAGACAAGAGAAGCAACTAGTGACTGGCTGTCCTAGGACCCCTTAGATAGTGACAGATCAGGAGGACAGTTGTCCAGGACAGGAGAGTAAGATTGAGAAGGCTGCACCAGGGTCCAGGAGACAGTTAACCTCCTGGCCCTCAATGGTCAAGCATACTTGGGGCTCTGTGAGGGTGATGGCATGGGCTGGCACTTGCCCCAGGCACCCTCAGTCCTGCTGCTGGATCATCTGGTTAGTGGCTTCTGACTCAGAGGAACTTCATCCCCTTGGGCAGTGGGCCTTCCAGTAATTCCCTTGACATAAGGGGCATGGACGAGGGGGCGGCTCATTTCTACTTGGACAATCTTTTTTAAAGTGTCCTTTTAGACCACACTGGAAGCAAGACCTATTAGGCATTCGATTTGCCCAGCTTTTACCTTTCCCAGAGCCTCCGAAGTCCACTTGTCTGAGGGCCATGACTAAAGCAGTGGCCTTCTGTTTTTTTATCCCATTTGTCTTGTTCTGCCTGCTCCTCCCTATCTCTATTAAAAAAACCGAGGTTGCCAAGTTCAATGGGGTTTCTAAGTTTTGCTCTGGGCCTAAGGCAGACTTTTGAAGTTTTTTTCTAATGTCTGCAGCTGACTGAGTGATAAACTTATCCTTTAAGTTTAGTTGGCCTTCAATAGAGTCAGGTGACAGAGAGGTATGCTTTCTCAATGCCTCCCTTAGTCTCTCCAGAAAGGCGGTAGTATTTTCTTCCTTTCCCTGTGTTATAGTGGACATCATTGAATAATTCATAGGCTTCTTCCTAGTTTTCCTTAGTACTTCTAGCACGCAAGTTAGCAAATGTCTTTGGCACCAGTCTCCATGTTCTGATTCTGTGTCCCAGTGAGAGTCTACACTGAGAACTGCCTGCTGCCTGTGGGGAATCATTCTCTTTCCTCTGTTTTTATCCTATAATTGACCTGACTGAGATACTAGAGATCACCAAACTCTCGGGCTGCAGTTATGGCGGCACTTCTCTCATTTGGGGTTAGTGTCTGATTTAGCAGTAACATTATATCTCTCCATGTCAGATCAAAGGATTGCCCTAACCCTTGTAAAACATCAATATAGCCATCAGGGTTATATGAGAATTTACCTAGGTCTATTTTAATTTGCTTCAAGTCTGAGAGAGAAAAAGGTACATGCACTCTGGCTGGGCCGAATTCTCCTCCTCCCACCACTTGGAGGTGGCATAATCAGGGAATATTGGCACTCTTTGGTTCATTGTTTACCCCTTTGTCTATCTCCTTTTGGACCATTTTGGTTGAAGGGGCATCCTTATTAATTGGGGAAGGAGTCGGGGGGATGCCCGGGTAGGGAGGTAAACTCTGAGGGCTTCCTGTAGGGCATAAATCACACTTTTTACATAACTGTGAGTTGTCTCTTAATGAAAGGAAAATTTGTACATATGGCACTTCACTCTATTTGCCTTCTTTTCTACAAAAGAGGTCTAGCTGTAAGATGGTGTTATAATTTATACTTCCCTCAGGAGGCCAGGTTTCTCCCCCTTGGAAGGAGATCCCCCACGAGGATATCATGACCAGGCAGTGCTGCAGAAGAATATAAGTTGTTTGTTTTGTAACATCTGAGGGTCAGATTTGACCCAATTCTCCAGAATAGATCTTAGGGGCATTTTTGCCTTGGGGGGAACATTTCCCATCACTTTGGAGGTCCCTTCATGGTCGCCAAATGTTACCAGGGGGTCCTTGCTCCCAGAGCTCCCAAGATGGTGGCAGTCAGCTTCCAAGATGGCGGCAAGCCTCGTATTCTCTGACCTGGGGTTCTTGGCCTCACGGATTCCAATGAATGGAATCTTGGGCAATGTGGTGAGTGTTACAGCTCTATTAGAAGCCGTGGGTCATGGAAGAGAACCGTGGAACCCAGTGACTAGTGTTTGGCTCGACTGGGACCAACCTGGGCACTTAGCCATGCAGGAACAATGGCAAGCCTGTAGCCCAATCGGTAGTGGCAATGGGTGCCTTCGCTGGATCAGGAGCACAGCGGACACCCTGCCGGATCCGGAGGGATGGAAGTCAGCAGCGGGTCTGCAAGGGCAGCAAACAGCAGTGGTGGATGGTGAGGAAAAGCTCAGCTTGAGCCATAGCAAACACGGACCAGAACAGAGTGCAGTTGCAAGATTTAATAGAGTGAAAACAGAGCTCCCATACAAAGGGAGGGGACCCAAAGAGGGTAGCCCAGCTCACTTTTTTTCATAACAACCATGTGAGGAAAAAAGACAATTATTACAAATGAGGAAACTGAGGCAGAGCTGTAAAGTAATTTTCCCCATGCCACATTGGTACTAAATGGCAGAACTGTGACTAGAAGGCAGAATTCTTACTCTCTAAGCCAGTGTAATGTCTTTACTAATTTTCCCACAGAGCATGATGTTAGTAATAATAAGCAGTAGCTAATAAGCTACTATGGCCATGTTAAAGATGGATTATCAAGTACATATTATTTATCTGTGCCTAATAAATACTCAATACAATCATCCGTTGGTATTTATGGGTATTGGTTCCAAAATCCCTGTGGATATCAAAATCCTCAGATGCTCAAGTTCCTGATATAAAAATGGCACAGTATTTGCATATAACCTATACATATTCTCCCTTTTACTTTAAATCATCGCTAGATTACTTATAATGTCTAATACAATGTGAATGCTATGTAAATAGATGTCATACTGTATTGTTTTTTAAATTGTACTTTTATTGTCAACTGTCATTTTTTATTGTTTTATTTCAAATATTTTTGATCCATGGTTGGTTGAACTCTCAGATGCAAAACCTTTGGAAACAGAAGGAATTGTCTTCTCATGTGATACTTCACTGCCTCCATCTGGGACCTCTCTTCCATTTCCAGTTTGATCTCTAATCCCTGATTTTCCAATTCTGCCTTCCGTTCTGCCAGCCACTCACACTCAGATAGCAGTCAAACTTAACTCTCCCTGAAGGTTGTGTAATAAAATTTCTTCAAGGAGTACTTACATTTAACAGGAACCTAAGAGACCCTTCAAGACACTAATTTCCTGTGAGTTTGTCAGAGGGATTTGTCAAGCGCCACTCACATCACAAAATTTATGAAGACAAACCCTGGAACAGAATTATTTCACACCTATGAATCAGGTGAAAAGAAGGGACTGATAGCTCTTTCTTCCTTCTTCTCAAGTTAAATGTATATGTTTGTAGCCTGACGGAAATGAAAGCCCGTGAGATTTGGAGATGGAGGCCAAGCTCTGCCTTTCACTAAGCTGGGCGACCATTTTTGCTTTTATTTTCTTGTATAAAATAATGTTGCATTATTGCCTACTTTGCACAGTTGTTGTGAATGCCAAGAATAATCCCAAGTCGAACATGGTGGAAGTGTACATGTTTCCTTTTCCTTTTCAATTAATGTCCTTGTTTGACCTATCCAGAAGTACATCCTTTAGGTGGCATTTAATGGAATCTTTGTGTATCTGATAGGAAGAAGTGTCAGTACCTCAGCAACACTAGTCCTGAGTGATATTTATTGACAGGTACTGTGAGCTAGAAATGAATGGTATGAAGTGTTTTACATATATCATTTAGTCTGCTGTACACCCTGTAATGACTGTCTGCTAGAGAAGGAAGCAAGTCTAGAGTGTTAAATAATTTGCTCTCTGTCACTCAGCCAAGAACTGGATCTTGAACTCAGATTGTCTTACTCCAAAGCCCAGAACTTGTTAATCCTAGAGCCGTAGTAGTGGAGAGTTAGAAAAAGAGCATTTCTGAATATTTTCAGGATTTTATGATAATGAAATGAAATATCATCTCTTTCTCTCATGATCTTAGGGAAGACTTAAAGGTAGCTATTTGTTGGAAGATCTGCATCATATTACCTATCCACAAACATGAAAAACATTGTCCACAACTGATGTTTGAAATTTCACTTGAGATTAATTGGCTGATGTTTCCTAATGTAAATTAATATTAGAGGAAATTGTTAGGGCTTTGAATTTATCTTAAACATACAAATTCAGTTATTTTGATTTCAAGAATTATTTTCCCCTTTTCATGTTCACTAAAAATAATCTTAGTTGTGGGAAAGAGATTTAGAAAAAAAAATGAGAGTGACTAAATCCCTTTTTAATACTCTGCAGAATTTACAGCATATGATAAAACTGTTTTTCTTTTCTGAACAGAAAAAGTGTGGCTAATGTAGAAGCCTCTTACCATTTGATTTGCTCAAATGCCTTCTGTATTTGTATTTTTTCCTTTATAAAAAATAAAGAAGAAAATCTCAGGGAAAAGCTCTTTCCTAGGACATTATTTTGGAGATTGGTTTCTTTCTCTGGGGGAGTAAAACCTCATTGCCATCTTTCACAGGATAATTTTTTGGAATATAAGCAGGAGATTCTAAATTTATTGTCTTGTGCTTTGTTTGGCTTTAGATTAAAAAAAAAACCCAAACGTTTGTTGATGTAAACTGAAAATAAATTTGGAATGAGCTGTGTGCACTTGGAAATGAGAAGGTGAGTTTGCCAGTTATGAATTGCATATGTATATATGTGTGTGTGTAGTATATGGATATGCATAATATGTAAGTATTTATGTTTGGTAGTATGTATATGTTGGAAGTACATGTTAAATTATTTAAATAGAAGGGTTTTGGACAGACAAGGGAATTATTAAGGACAAATGAGAATTTTTAAATTTACTTTGGGATTTTGAGAGAAAAATACTTTCTCAGGATAGTTTGGCATACTGAAAAGAGTTTATATTTAAAAAAACTTTGTTGATATAAACTGAAAATAAATTTAGAATGAGTTGCACTTGTAAATGAGAAGGTGAGTTTGCCATTTATAAATTGCAAATGTACATGTGTATGTGTTGCATATGAATATGCGTAAGTATGTATATATTTATGTTTGGTAATATGTATATTAATGTTGGAGGCAGGTGTTGTTAAGTTATTTAAAGAGAAGGCATTTTAGACAGACAGATGAGGAGGTTATGAAGGGCAAATGAGAATTTTTAAAATGTACTTTGGGATTTTGAGAGAAAAAGATTTTCTCAGAATAGTTTGGCACAGTCAGAAGGATTTGTATATATAATTTTAAGCTTGTGAGTTTCTTTTACATACTTTCTGTCTAAAAGCAATACTGTATAAAATGGACAAAAAATGTAAAGTCAAGTAAGCCTGGTTGTGGGTTGAAACTCAAAAGTGCATTATATCCAAGAAAACAAATAACGACCAGCTTAAAGCCAGGGTCTTTCTTTCTTTCTTTCTTTCTCTTTCTTTCTTTCTTTCTTTCTTTCTTTCTTTCTTTTTTTTTTTTTGTTAATGGATTTGTCAAGGGCAAAGATTGTTTAGGTTTTGCCCTGTGACTGTCTCACTATATACAACGTGAGAATAATGTAAAACTCTATGGATGAAAGATGGAAGAAATAAGTAGTGAAAGATAATGCTATCTGGAAAAGAAATTTATTATATTAGGCAGTTTGTGATTTTACAGTGTTTTAGAGGTTTACCTTCCATGGTAAGGATGCCAGCTCAGAAGGAAACTTATCATTCACTCTTGTATTTTCATCCTGGAAGAAAATTTTATGTAAGTAATAATACTAGGTGATATGACACAATATTATTCTACTTGAAAAGCAAAGCTAGGAAGGAAAAGTTTTGGCTTTCTTTTATAGGACTGTGTCATTTGTTCAATGGCAAATTAATATAAGCCTTTTTCTTGGAAGATTGGGGCAAGTACTTCTAAGATGGAAATGCTGGGACTTTTAAACACTGCTAATATTGTAGTGCTAAATCTATCATTTTCTGCCTAAATAGACAAAATATTGCACTAAACAATACAGCGAACTCCTTTTAAAGCTGAAATTGTTATGTGAATTGTTAACTAGAATATGATCATTTCTGAGTGATGTTTCATACCTTTATAAATGTCTTTCATCCTTCATTTACTCATCAGTGCTTTTCAATTCTCACTAAATAAGAATTATTTAAAGATTAAGCAACGTACGCAGTTGCTTTTAAATTATCTTAACATTATACAATCTTTGCCACTCTTACCATTGGAAGGCCATAAAATAATTTGAATAGAATATGTGACCAACTAAAATGAAGATGATTTTATTATTCATGAAACTTTAACATGAATAGTTTAGAGCCTGAATTTCTCCATTATATTAAATTATGGTGCAACATAAAACTGTCAGACTAGGTTGTAGACTCATAGTCCCCATGGAGTTTCCTTATGTTTTCCTTTAAGATTTCCTTCCTCTAATACCTATAAATTCAACTTTTGGTTCATGTCTTTCTTCTGATATCCCAAAGCCTTATTCACTGACTTTTTCCTTTCTTTTCGGTTTGATGTTATTTTAGAAATAACATTTTTTATAACAACATAAAAATTCAGTAGTGACTAATATGCTAAGTTGATAAACCCTTAAGAGTTAGAATAGATTTTTGGGATAAACCCTTGTGCAAATGTCTCCCAAGACTACTCTACTTGTGGTCTTTTCAAAGGAGATTTTCCTCTATTCCAGAACTCAGGGAAATGTGACACCTAAATTCCTCCAAAGTAGATCTGCTGCTGTGAAGAATGGTAGTCATGTGCACTGGCCTTGGGATGAGACAGAATTGTAATCTGTCTCTTTCTCGCTAAAGGATCTGGAACATACCTCTGAGTCTTGGCTTTCTCATCTGCATAATGAGGCTAATTGCACCTCACCAACACAGTTGTTGTGAGGACTACATAATGTCATTCATGAAAAGCACCTAACATGGTCCCCAATACACAGTAATCTTAAGATTTTTATTGTAACTGGATCTGCAGGCTCTTGAACTCAAAAGATCACATCCTTCTTTCCTCTGTTGGACCTAGAATTATAGACTAGAACCCTAGAAGGGTTTTCTGAAGGGTTATCATAGTTATAGTATTTCAGGTTGGTTCCTTGGTCCCTGTATGGAGGGAAAAACAGTAGTTGCCTGCTTCCTAATCTTGTCACTTGAGGGGCTAAAAGCAAGAGCCCCTTATACCATATACTAATAAGAAGGCCACATACCATAGTTCTAAATATTTAAAAGTTATAAAGTAAAGCTAATAAAATTTCCTGTGTAATGTTCTGTGCTCTTAGCTTAATAAATATTCCTTCATAATGACTTAGAATGCCACATTCAAATTTTAAATGCTCCTTGAATTCCTTGAAAACTCCTTGAAGTCCCATGATGAAACATGGGTGGCTGCAGGCCATGTTTAGATTCATATTATAAAGTATTTATATTAAAGTTTCATGAATAATAAAATCATCCTCATTTTAGCTGTTCACACATTCTATTCAAATTATTTCATGGCTTTCCAATGGTAAGAGTGGCAAGGATTGTATGATATTAAGATAATTTAAAATATCTCTTTTTCTCTCAAGCTCTGTCCTGCACCATGAAGGGCTTTGTGTGCATCCATGGGTTGCTTCTGCATGCAGAATGAGACTGGAACAAAAAAGAACCATTTAAAACACAGGATCCAGGGTAAGGGCTATTTCTGTCTGGCTCTGAAGGGCTGTTGCTGTTATTCTTGGGTGCCACCACACCCAAGGCTGACAGCAACTTGTCTCTCTTTAAAACAGTGATTCAGGATTTTAAATTGAAGATTGATCATACAAGCTGGAAGACGTCCCATGACACTTTATTTGAAATTGGAACATCAGAATTTGGTTGGGTCTATCTTTTACTAACTCTGTACCATGAAAAAATTATTTAATATTTCTGAACTGTGTAAAGAATAAAATTAGATTATGAATTCAATCTGTTGCTGCATAATCAATTACCTCCAATCTTAGCAGCTTCAAACAACAAACATAAATAAACTTAGTTTCTGCAGCTCAGGAATTCAGGAGTTTAGCTAGATGGTTCTGGCTTGGAGTCTTCCATGAGGTTGCCATCTAGAGGTCAGCCAAGGCTGCAGTCATTTGAAGGTTTGACTGGGGCTTGAGAATTCACTCTCATGGCTAGTCACATGTTCACTTCTGTGTTGGCTGTTGGCAGGAATTTTCAGAACCTTGCCATGTGGGTCTCTCCATATGGCTGCTTAAGCATCCTCATGACACGTCAGCTGGTCTCCCCAGTGGGAGTGATCGAAGAGACAGAAGCAAGAATGTCTTCAATGACCTACCCTTGTAAGTCACATACCTCACTTTCACCTAATCCTCAAAAGGAGAGAGTTAGACTCCACCTTTTGGAGGCAAGAATGTCAAAGAATTTGTGGACATATTTCAAAACCATCACTGGATCATATATGTGAAAATAAACACTTACAAAAAATAAAGTGCTATAAATGGGATACATTCAGATAAGGAACCCTTCTTTCAATGCCATCCCAGAATTCCCTCAGCTTAATTCTCCCAGAAGCTTCAAGACCTTCTAAAATTGTTTGGGCTTGGTCTTTATAGTCTGGAGGCACCAAAAGCCTGAGATTTGTATAGATTAAGGAAGAATCAGAATCTAAGAGACATTAAATGACTAGCCAAAGATCACACTGCTAGTTGGTGGAAGTCCGAGGAGTTTGTCCTAAGTGTGCCTAACTTCAAATCCCCTCATCTTAATCATTGTGTCACATCATGTCATAAAAATGGATGAAAGAAGAAAGAAGACACAAACACCCAGTATTATTTTAGGACAATTTCATGGCATTAAGTGTGGATTTTCGTTTTAGCTAACATTTTCATGAAGGAAAATCTTTGAGGATGTTCTCTCCATTAAAAAAAGAAGGAAAAAAACTCAAGATAATTATAGATTTACATGCAGTTGTAAAAGTTAGTAATGTAAAGAGAAGGCTTGTACACTTTGCCTAATTTCCCCAGTGGTAACTTTTTTAGAGCTATAGTATGATATCACAACCAGGATATTGACATCAGTCAATCCACTGATCTTATTCAGTTTTCCTAAGTTTACTCTTTAATGTGTGTGTGAAGTTCTACACAATTTTATTACTCGTATAAGTTCGTGTATCATCACCCTGGTTAAAATACTGAGGGGTTCCAGTGCCACAAGGATCCCTCCTATTCTTTTTGAGCCACACCCATTCCCCTTCTTCCCCAATTTCTCCACCTCCCTTTCTAACTATCTGCCACTAGTCTGTCCTCCATTTCTAAAATTTTGTCATTTCAAAAATTTAATATAAGTGGAATTATGTAGTATACAACAATTTGGAGTTTTGTTTTTGCTCAACATGATTTCCTAAAGATTCATTCAAGTAGTTCTGTATATCGATAGTGTATTTCTTTTTATTGCTGAGTAGTATTACAATTTTGTTTAACCATTCAACTCTTTTTTGTTAGTTTCTTTTTGTTTTTGAGATGGAGTCTGTTGCCCAGGCTGGAATGCAGCAGCGCGATCTCTGCTCACAGCAACCTCTGCCTCCTGTGTTCAAGCTATTCTCCAGCCTCAGCCTCCTGAGTAGCTGAGATTACAGGCGTGAGCCACAGCGCCCACCCTAGCCATTCAACTCTGAAGCACATCTGGGTTGATACCAGTTTTGGGCTGTTACAATAAAACTTCTATGAACATTCACGCACAAATTTTTGTGGGAACATACGTTTTCATTTCTCTAGGATAGATGTACAGGAATAAAATTCTGGGTCATATGGTAGTTGCATGTTTAAATATTTAAGAAACTGCTAAACTGCTTTCCAGAGTGTCTGTACCATTTCACAGTCCTAAAAGCGATGTATGAATGATCCAGTTTCACCATTTCCTCATCAGCATTTGGTGTTGTAATTCTCATTTTAATAATGCTTATAGATGTGTGGTGATATCTCATTATGGTGTTCATTTGTATTTCTCTAATGACCAATAAATATTTAACATATTTCCATGTGCCTGCTTTTTTGCCATTTTATATCCTCTTTGGTCTATAATGCCTTTTGTCCATTTTCTAATTAAATATTTATGTATTGTTGAGTTTTCAGAGTTCTTTATATATTCTAGATATTATTCCTTTGTCAGCTATGTGGTTTTAAAATATTTATTTCTATCTTGTAGCTTGTAATTTCATTTTCCTCACGTGGACTTTCACAAAGCAAGTGTTTTTATTTTTGATAAAATCAGATTTGTCAAGTTTTCCTTCTGTGGATCATGATTTTGTTGTCAAGTCCAATAACTGTCTGCCTAGCTCCAGATCCCAAAGTTTGCTCCTGTGTTTTTATTTCTAAAAGTTTTCAGATTTTGTTTCACATTTAAGTCTATGACCCATTTTGAGTTCATTTTTGTATAAATTGTGTCACTGAACTCAAAGGGTTTTTTTGGTATGGATTTCTTTTGTGTTTGTGTTTTGCTTGTTTGTCTTACTGTTCTATGTTCTACCACCATTTGTTAAAGTGGCTAACCTTTCTCTGTGTTGATTTTTGCACTTTGTAAAAAATCAGCCAAGCCTTTTTTTTGGGGGTGTCTATTTCTCATCCTCTATGCTGTACCATTGCCTATGTGCCTGTCTTTTTTTTTAAATTTTTTAATTTTTTTTATTTCGCAGGGGGTAACGGAGTCTCGCTCCTTTGCCAGGATGGAGTGCAGTGGCACTATCTCGGCTAACTGCAACCTCTGCCTCCCAGGTTCAAGCGATTCTTCTGCCTCAGCCCCCTGAGTAGCTGAGACTACAGGCATGCACCACCATGCCTTGCTAATTTTTGTATTTTTAGTAGAGACAGGGTTTCACCATGTTGGCCAGGATGGTCTTGATCTCTTGGCCTCATGATCTGCCCACTTCAGCCTCCCAAAGTGCTGGGTTTACAGGCATGAGCTACCTAGCCCGGCTCCCTATGTGCCTATCCTTTGGCTAATACTACACTGTTTTGATTACTGTGGCTATATAGTAAGCATTAATCTATATTCTTTGTCTAGATGGTTTTAGCTATTCTAGGACCAATGACATCCATAAAAATTTTAGAATAAGCTTGTTTATGTGTACAAAAACCTTGCTGGGATTTTGATCAAAGTTGGATTAAATTAATAGATCAATCTGGGGTAAACTAACATCTTTTTTTTTTTTTAGATGGAGTTTCACTTTTGTGGCCCAGGCAGGAGTGCAATGGGACGATCTCGGCTCACTGGAACCTCCACCTCCCAGGTTCAAGTGATTCTCCTATCTCAGCCTCCTGAGTAACTGGGATTACAGGCATGTGCCACCACACCCAACTAATTTTTGTATTTTTAGTACAGATGGGGTTTCACCGTATTGGCCAGGATGGTCTCAATCTCTTGACCTTGTGATCTACCTGCCTCAGCCTCCCAAAGTGCTGGGATTACAGGTGTGAGCCACCACACCTGGCCTAACATCATTATTATGTTGAGTCTGCCAATCCATGAACATAGTATGTCTCTTTATTTTTTTAGATCTTCTTCAATTTCTTTCATTAGCATTTTTTAATTTTTGGCATACAGATCCAATATATGTTTTCTGAGCTTATAACTAAGTATTTTATTTTTTGGAAGTGATGCAACTGATATTGTTTCAATTTTATTTTCTGCATGTCATTGTTGGTATATAGAAATGAGATTAAGTTTGTGCATTAATCTTGTGTCTTGTGACCTTGCTGAACTCACTTAGTTTCATAAGGGTTTTTGTTGTTATTTTACCTTTTTGGTAGATTACTCAGGATTTTTATGTCTTTTGTAAACAGAGATAGATTTTTTGTTTACAATTTATATGCTTTCATTTATTTATCTTGCCTATTGCTCTTGCTGGAACTTCCAGCATTATGTTGAATAATAATGATAAGAGCAGACATCTTTCCCTCAATCTTAGGGAAGAAACATTCAGTCTTTCACAATTAATCATAATGTTAGGTATAGGTTTTTCATGGATGCCACTTAGAAACTTGAGTAGGTTTCCTTTTAGTCCTATTTCTCTGAGAGTTGTTATCATGAACAGGTATTGAATTTTTGAGTCAATTTATATGAAAATATGTTTTCTTCTTCAGTTTGTTGATATAGTAGACTTAATTGAGTAATTTTTGAATATTGAATAGCCTGCCTACCTGGAATAAATCCTATTTGGTCAACCTGCGTAATTCATTTTACATATTGTTGGATTTAGTTTTCTTATGTACTGTTGAAAATTTTGGAGCCTAACTTCAGTGGAGGTATTGGATATTGGTCTGTAGGGGTTTTTTTGTTTGGTTGGTTGGTTTTGGTTTTTGATTTTTGGCATGCCACTGTCTGATCTGGCAAAAGGGTAATATTAGGACAATGTTGGTCTTATACAATAAGCTGGAAAATGCTCTCTTCTTCTGTTTTCTGGAAGACATTGTGTAAAATTCATGTTGATTCTTTAAATATTTGGTAGAACTCTCCAGTGACACAATCTGGTCTTGGATATTTCTTTTGGGAGAAGCTCTTAAATTAATAATTCAATTTGACTGAAACTTATGGGGATATTCAAATTGTTTATTTTAAATTTGTTTGAGTTTTGGTAGTTTGTGGTTTTGAGAAATTGTCTCCCATTTCTCCTAAGTTGTCAAATACATAAGCACAAAGTTATTTGTAGCAATCCATTACTATCTGTTTAATGTCTGCATGTGCCATAGCGATAGTCCCTACTTCATTTCTGATGTTGGTTGTCTTTTTTTATTTTAATAACTCACACTAGAAGTTTCTCAATTTTATCACGTTTTTGAAGAACCAGCTTTTTGCTTCATTGATGTTCTTTATTGGTTTCTTATTTTTTCTTCCATTGATTTCTGCTGCTCTTATCTTTATTATACCTTTCTTCTCCTTGCTTTAGGTTTATTTAATCTACTTTTCCTAATTTCCTGAGGTTGGAACTTAGGTTGTTGATTTGAAACTTTGATTCTGACTCATTTCCAATATAAGGACTTAGTGCTATAAATTTTCCTCTCACACTGCTTTAACTGTGTCTAATAAAGTTTTATTCTGTTGCAGTTCCATTTAGCTCTTTTACTCTCCTAGTTTCTAAATATCATTGTCTTAGATATCAGAGGGCATTATAATGTTTTTAATCTAAAATATGATTTATAAAACTCATAAGAAAAAATGGTGTATTGTATGTACTCATAATTCCATTCTGTTGTTCCTTCTTCCTTCCTGACATTCCAAGATTCCTTTAAAAAAAAATTCTTCCTGCTTGAAAAACTTTCTCTAACAACTAGTCTTTAAAGATAGGTATGCCAGCCAAAAATTCTCTTAATATTTTAGATTTGATAAGGTTCAACAGATATAGAATTCACTGTTGACAATTATTTTCTTTCTACACTTCAAAAATATTGTGCCACTTCTGGCCTTCATGGTTTCAGATGAGAAATCTAATGTCTATTCAATTTAGTGCCCCCTTAAAAGTAATGTGTAATTTCTCTCAGGCTGCTTTTGAGACCCTTTTTTTATCTTTAATTTTTAAAAGTTTAATTAAGTGTTTCATGGCATAGATTTTTTTTTAGATTTATTCTTATTGGGTTCACAGTTTCTTAGGTCTGTAGGTTTGTCATTCACCAAATTTGGAAAGTTTTCAGTCATTATTTCTTCCAACACTCTTTCAGCCCCAATCTCTTTCTTCTCTGTTTCTGGTATTCCAATAATAGGAACATTGGATCTATTGTCATTATACCAAAGGTTATTTTCCAGTTTATTTTCTTCTTCATTATGTTCTATCACCATGTTTTGTCTTTGGGTCATTTCACTTTTAAGTGATCACAGAACAAAAAACCAAAATCAGCGAAGTGATTTTTGTAATGAGATAGTTGAGAGTTTCAAAAGATATTGGAACTAAAGATTACACATATTATTTTAGAAATATTATCTTAATTCCATGGTAAATATTTATTATAAAAAATAGAAAAAAACCCCAGAAAATTAAAAGAAAGGTTATGTGATTTTTATTTTTTGGTACAATTTCAAGACCTAGAAGTAATCAGTCTTCTATATTTCTTTTCAGAAATTATATTTGTACTCAGTTTTTTTATTTTCTTATACACCTACACATGCGTGCATACACACACACACGCACACATGCACACACACATTTTTTTCTTATCTTTTCATAAATTTGAAATTCTACCTCATTACTAACCTTAATACTTTATTCTAGAGTATTCTGATATTTCAAATTTTATAGTCTTCTGAAATTCCACATGCAAAAGTAGTTTAAGCCAGTAGTATTAATAAATTTAATTAATTGAGATAAACTTTGAGTTAATGATCACCATATCATGATAGGGATAGAAAAGAATGAATAATTCTTTACATTTCTTAAATACCATATTAATGCCTATGCCCACCTTAATAATTCTAAATTTCAATTTATGTATAATCAAAATGATCTACAAAGAAGAAGAAATAAGAAGATTTCACAGAAAGTATTAAATTAAGTAATTAACATCATAGAAGGAAGCCAGTTGTGCCACTGTAATTCCTTGCTGGAAGGATGAATTGGAAGTGATAGTAATGTACTATCCTTTGGAACACTTTGGAGATTTGTATTTCCTGTATATTTTTGTCTTTCACATGGCCCTGGTGAGAAATATAATTATAAAAGGACACACTGTTCATCTATATTTACAATACCTTTTTTCTCTATTTTTTGCCTTTTTATAAATTCTACCCTTCTATTGAACTTATTCAGGCATTATAATGATAAGGTTGGATTGACTCATTAATGCAAAATATAGCCACCTAGATATTTATGACTCTGTATTTGATAAATGTTTTTGTTTACTACTGTGTTCCCTAAGTGGGAAAAAAGAGAAAATTTTAAGTTGATTTATTTACAATATCTTGCCAGCTGAGTCAGGGCTTGAGTTAGGAATACAGAGCTCTACAGCCTGCCAAAGTAAACTTTACAATTGTTTCTTATGTACTTTTATCACCTACATGACTTGTAGAGATCACTCAAAGGCATTCAGCTTCAGTCTCTTTCATTCATTTGTTCATTCACTCATTAAATATTTATTCACTTTCTACTGTTTTTCAGAGTCTGTCTTAGGTCTTAGGGATAGAGTGGTATATGTGTGTGTATATATGTGTGTGTGTCTGTGTATATATATATGTATAATACATATATACTTACGTATATGTACTATCACACACTTTATACATACACATACAAGCATATATCCATTGACACATATTTTACTACATTTGGATACAAACGAATGCACATACACACACATATGCAATTTTAACACAGTATTTTAGTCTTATACTGACCTCTTAACCCTGAGTCATCTTGGAAGTCTATGAGATCATCACATTGGAAAGTATATTAAGAGAAGATAAGACAGAGAATTTCTCTTCTGAAGCTTAGGGTCTAGAATTTCTGATGCATCTATTGATGATTATTCTTAATGTTTGGAAACTCGTGTTTATAAGTGATAAACTAGACCTAGAATACAAGAATTCTAAGAGATAGTACAATTTGGGAAGAGGCACTCGGTGGAAACTTGCTGAGCTGAATTGTACATGGCCTTCCCCTCTTAATATTTCTCTTGGACTTACGACAAAGTGAGCTGTGTCTGTTTTTCCTGTCATTGGAACTATGGGTTCAGGAATGGAGGACACTCAAGAGTCCCAGCAAAATGCAGCAGTGTAGGCACAGTTGGGAATCCTGTGCTCTCTGAGGCAGTTCCATAGTCCAGCCGGTCTGATGGACTGATCCAATGACAGCAATAGCAAACAAAGCTCAATTTTACGTTTCGACATAGTTTCCTTTGGCTCAGAGGAATATTGGAAGGAGATCTGATTTGCATTTGAGGCAATAGAGATAAAATAGTTAGAATGCGCAATCCAGGATCCCGAAATTTGCCAAAGAAAAAATTACTCCTCAAGGGAATAATTCACCCAGCATCGGTGATCAAAACCAGGAAAACCATAATACTGGTTAGTAGTTTCAGCATAACTAAAGCTCAAAACTGTGGCCTTCAGAGAATAGAGTAATTCAAAAATTTCTCTCATTCAAGTTTTGAGAACTAATTGTACTGCTTCTATTAATTCCCATTTATTTTGTTTTTGCATTTATCCTTTAATAACATGGAGTTGACTAATAATCTGTGAAGATATAAGTTGACAAATACTGGGAATTTTTTTAAGTCACAAGCAAAGGGAACATTCAGAAGAAAATATATAAATGTTAAGAGTAAAACTCTAAAGATTATAGAGGGCAATGTGGGAGAGTATCTTTATGACCTAGGAGTGGCAAGGGTATACTCAAACAACATATTCAATATATATATTATATATATATATATTATGTATATATATATTATATATATATATTATGTATATATATATTATATATATTATATATATATTATGTATATATATATTATATATATTATATATATTATGTGTATATATATAATATATATTATATATTATATATATATAATATATATATTACAGAAAGAATAATAGATTCATTAAATTAATCCAAATTAAAGATTTCTGTTCAAAACACGTTACCATCCACAAAGCTGACAGATGGCAGATAGGGAGACAATACTTGCCATGTCTACATTTGACAAGGAATGGATTTCTAAAATGTAAGAAAATCCTAAATGGAATGTAATTAGAAAAATAGGCAAACAAGCTGTGCAGGAAATGCACAGAACAGGAGGCCCAAAGCTTATGCAGAGATCATGAATTCATTAGTAAGTAGAGAAATTCAAACAAAAGAAACTATAAACCTCTAACACTTATGAAATGGGTGAGATAGGGCTGACCAAGATGGAAGGATCTAGAAAACCATATACATAATTTTGGAGAGAAATCTGGTAGTCTGTAGTCAAATTCCATACGAACCATATGACCCAACAATTCTAGCACTATGTAAGTAACCCAGAGACATTTCCTTATAGGTCCATAAGGGGATTTGTAGGAGGATGGTTATTATAGTGTAGTGAGTAGAAAGTAAGCTGCAGACCCTCACTAGGGTAATTGGTTAGTATAATAAAGTGAATGGAATACTCTTTTAGTTTGGGATAACCTAGAAACAGACCATGTGACAAAGATACTGTATTTGGGATGTACAGGTAACAGGTAGGAGGGTGGGAAGTGCCAAACGAAAGGGAAGACAGCAGCTAATTAAGAATGTATTATCGGTCTGGCGCAGTGGCTCACGCCTGTAATCCCAGCACTTTGGGAGACCGAGGCAGGTGGATCACGAGGTCAGGAGTTCAAGACCAGCCTGCCCAAGATGGTGAAACCCCATCTCTACTAAAAATACAAAAAATTAACCGGGCTTGGTGGCACGCACCTGTAATCCGAGCTACTCTGGAGGCTGAGGCAGAGCACTGCTTAAACCTGGAGGAGCGGAGGTTGCAGTGAGCCGAGATCACGCCACTGCACTCCAGCCTGGGCAACAGAGTGAGACTCCATCTCAAAAAAAAAAAAAAAAAAAAAAAGAAGAACGTATTCTCAATTCAACAACGAGCTACTGGAGCTCCCTTCTCTGGGGAACATCTGGAGGCTGGCTTAGCACACTATACAGTTGAGAGGAGATGGAGCTGAAGTTATACAATGGCCAATCATAGGTTGAGGACTTCTCTCAGGAGGCATAAAGTCCTTAGCTTTTGGGGCATGATATGGGCAGCATTATGGTCTCTGGAGGTCCTCTGGCAATGAAATGTGGGTGTAAACATTTGGAAGTTCACAGGTGTGCACAGACATGGGAAGGACAGAGGACACTTTTAGGACCCTGACTGTATTTACAACATATCCTAAGCAACAGTTAAAAGAAATGGGGTATATAGCCACATAAACATGGAAAGACCTCATAAAGAGTTGTGAATGAGAAAATGCAAAACAGAATGAAATCTATGGCACAATCCCATTCATGTAAATATACATGCAGAGGGAAAAAAAAACAATAGTACAGACTTCATAAGAAAACATGCAAATGTGAGACACAAATCACAAATAAAATGGTTACCTAGGGAAAGGGAAAGGTAATGAGAGAGGCGAATGGGGCATAAAAGAAAGGCCGTTTCAAGGCAGTGAACTGAAAAATGCAATGAGCAAAATATCTTCTCTTGAGTCCTGAAAAAGGAAAAAGAATAAGTTCAGGGTTTTTAATTCCGTTGTTTCAAAATCTTTTTCTACACGTCAACTCAGTCGATCTAAAGTGATTGGGTCTTCTCTTGGTATACATCTGGAGATGCCTACTTGAAATCTAGTACTGGGTTTCAGTACAATATATAATAAAGGCAAAAACTTGCCATTTTAGCATATGTAAGGAGACTAAGCATCTATACCTACAAGTAATCATCATAATAATAATAATACTGTTATTAAACATTTACTGAGGACTTACTAACTTGGAATTTATGTACCGTGTGACTTGTAAGCATATAAAAATCATATAAAGTGAGCAGAAAATTAAGTTTGCCCCCAAAATTTCCTTTAGATTCTTCTTCTTTCCTAATTGACATACCACATTTTTGCACATATTAAAGCATCATAAAGTATCTCTTTACCTGAAGAGATCTTCCTAGAAAATCGCAAGAAACTTGATATTTAAAGGAAAGAAGTACTTAAACACACATTATCTCATTGAAGACAGGTATACACATTCAAGCTGGGCATGATGGCTTACGCCTGTAATCCCAGCACTTTGGGAGTCTGAGGTGGGTGCATTGCTTGAGCCCAGGGCTTTGAGACCAGCCTAGGCAACATGGCGAGACCTCGAAGTACTTAAATACACATTATCTTAATGAAGACAGGTAAACACATTCAAGCTGGGTATGATGGCTTACACCTGTAATCCCAGCACTTTGGGAGTCTGAGGTGGGTGCACTGCTTGAGCCCAGGGCTTTGAGACCAGCCCAGGAAACATGGCGAGACTCCATCTGTACAAAAAATGTTTAAAAATCTGCTGGGCATGACGGCGAGCACCTGTGGTCCCAGCTGCTTGGGAAGGCTGTAGTGAGTGGATCACTTGAGCCTGGGAAGTAAAGGCTGTAGTGAGTGAGTCATGATTGCGCCACTGCGCTCCATCCAGCCTGAGTGATACAGTGAGACCCCGACTCAAAAACAAACAAAAAAGAAACAAACAAAACAAAACAAAACAAAAAAGGAAAAGAAATATATACACATTCATATAATATTGTATTGCTATGTGTTCAATGAGTAAATCCATCAACTCTTTCTTTTAACAAATGAGTTTAACGCATTTAGATTTGTTGTTATTACTTATATACTCAGTTCATGGTAACTCCACTTCTCATTTCCTTAGACAAAAAAGCCTTAGAGTCATCTTCCACCTTACTGCCTGCATGAATTCTCTCAGCCAGTCCCTTCACAAGGCCCTGCATGATCCAGTTTTCATTCTCACTCTCCCTCACTTTCTCCCTCCTCACTGCTCAGCCACATAGACTTCTCTGTCTTTTTTTCTTGCCCAGATCACCACGTACCAATTCAGAATATTTGCTGTTTATTTTACCAGCTATTTTTTGGAGAGAATTCCAAACTTCGCCCCTTCAAGTATTTTTATAATGCCATCTTCTCAGTGAACTTTTCCCTAGCCACTCTATTATAGATTTTCCTTCCTGCTGGCACTTTCTATCCCCTTCCTCTGATATTTTTCTTTATAGCAATTTCTCTATGTAATTTACTATATCTTTCATTTACTTACTTTGTCTTCCCTTCACTGGGATGTAAACTCCACCATGGCAGGGAGTTTTGTCTGTTTTATTCAATTCCATAATCTCAGAGTTTAGAACAGTGCCAGGAACCTAAGAAGTGTTCTCTAAATATTTTCTCTATAAGTGAATCAATTATCAACTTTTACAAAATATTTTCTTTGCTTTGCTTATTTATCTGATTTCTATTGAACTGATCAAGTTTTCTAAACCCTTTTATTCTTCACCTGACTTGGAAGTTTCAGATTTTATCATATTTCAATAATTATTTTTATAACTTTTTTGCTATTTTAATGTAAAGCACACTGATTCGTATCATACATTTACAATAATTAAAATAGCTGTTAAATTTCACAAAGTAAGCATATCTGTGTAACATTCCTAGAACCCCAGAAGCTATTTTGTGCTCCCTTCTAGTTTCTACCTATCCCCACGAGGATACATTTTCCTGACTTCTAACCCCATATATTAGGCTTACCTAACCTTGAACTTCATATACATAGAATCTTTTAGCACGTGCTCTTGAGTGTCTGTCTTTGTTTGCTTAACGTAATGTCTGTGAGATTCATGCAAGTTTTTGAGTTTATTATCATTGATATATATTATTCCATTGTATAAATATGCCACAATTCATGTATCTGTTTGACTATGGATGAAGATTAGGCTTATTTCCAGTTGCTGGATATTAAAAATTCTGCTATGAATATTAGTATGCATTTCTTTGATTTGAAAAATGTGTGCATTTATGTCAGGTATATACTGAGAAATTTCTAGATCATAGGATATGCCTATGTTCAGCATTAGCAGATATCGCCAAATGATGTTCCCAAGTGGATGTATCAGTTTACAGTCACATCAGCAATATATGATTTTTTCTATATATAGTTAATAACACATTTTCAGAAACATGATGATTATTGTTATATTATCTCTGTCATCTTTCTGCATAAAATAACACTCCAACACACTTTAATTCAGAGTGACCTTCTCATCACAACCATACCTTTATAAATATATATAATTTTAATTCTACATTCATTAGATTTATGAACACATTTTACTGGAGTCTTTTTTTCCTCACTATTTTGTCTTCTATTCTTTCCTTTAACTTCCTCTGGATAAAACATATCCTTTAGTAGCTCTTTCTTTTAGATTTAAAGGTAGTAAATTATCTTGGCTATCATATGTACGACAAATTTTTAACTTTATTCCCTACTTCTGCTTTATCTCAATATAAAATCCTAAACTGACAGTTATTTTTCCTTAATAAAATAACTCTATTGTCTCTCTGGTTCTGATAAGAAGTCTGCCGTTAGTCATAATTTTATAAAGAATATATTCCCTTTGGCAGCACTTAAAATTGCTCTGAATCACTGAGATTTTGAAGTTTAAATAAGCTATTCCTGGAGTTTAATTTGTTTTTATTTATCCTGCTGGGTGGCAAAGTGCTAGTAGCCTCAGGTTTATTTTTACTTATTTAACAACCCTAACTTAAAAAGCTTCTTATTCCCTGGAGTCCCAGAAGAAATCCCAGAAATCATTAGATAATGCGTGTTCTTTCAACAATACCTACCTGGGAGTTCAAATATAGTCATTGGCCAGCTCTGGGTTATATGTGTACATGTGAGATCAGATGGTTGGTGTTAACCCACCTTAGCTGCATAGATTAAGACAAGAGGGTGGGGAAGTTCCACAAACACCCTCTAGGGATTTTGAGTGGAATTACAGCAGGAGACTGTTAACAAAAAAATGGGGGTATGGATGTTTCTCAAGTCAATAGATATCTACTATCCAAGATTAAAAAATTAGAGTTTTGCATTTGAGTTTGGAACAGTGGTAAAAAGAGGAGATAGGGTGTTTCTGCCTGGACAGAGGGACGACCCATACTTTTAGTTGTCTGGCAGATCAGAATGTAAAAACAGTATTGTGGCTGAAAAGATATGCTGGAAAATAAGAGGGCAAAAATCAGGCTATAAATTTGGACGTCTCTTCAGAAATAGTGATTGATTGATGGAAACCATATGATGTGGTTAAGGACATACTTGACAAAAGTAGAAAACTGTGATTGGAAAACTGGTTTGAAGTAAAGAGAAAAGTAGGGAGTGTTATGGGCTGAATTGTGTTTCCCCAGTTCCCATATTGAAGTCCTAATTTCCAGTCCTTCAGGATGTGACTGTATTTGGATAGAGGGTCTTTAAAGAGGTGACTAAGTTAAAATGAAGCTGTTAGGGTGGGTCTTAATACAATTTGATCAGTGTCTTTATAAGATGAGGAAATTTGGACACACAAAAATGTACACCAAGGCACACGGGCATAGAGGAAAGATCATGTGAGGACATAGCAAGAAGGCAGCCAGGTGCAAGACAAGGAAGGAAGAAGAAACCAAATCTGCTGACACTTTGATGTTGGAGTTCTAGCCTCCAGAACTTAGAAAATAAATTTTCATTGTTGAAGTGACCCGTCTATGGTACTTTGTTATGGCAGCCCTAGCAAACTAGTATAGGGAGTGATTTCAACATTTCGAGTATAGCAGCAGTGGAAGCAGGGAGAAGTTATTTTAGAGGTAAAATATACCAGACATGGCAACAGATTGAAGGCTAGGGATAAGGGAGAAGTAGAGCAACCCTCTGTTCAATATCTTTTAAAATTAAATTACAAAACAAACTCCCACATATTGTTTGGTTGATAATTCTTAGAGTAAGTATGCAAAATCTGTGATGAAGCACCATGTGGCTATGCCAGTCTACTATATCTCTTAGCATATATGGAAGTTTGTTGATTCTTAATCTTGCTGAAAGGCAAGAGAGAGCCATAAAATACAACTTTGCATTCATGATACTAAGTTCACCTCCCTTGAATAGTAGGCTATGCCAATACCTGGAAACAAAAGCAAGATGGGTAGCTTTACAAAGGCTCAGGGTTACTTCTACAGCTGCAGCTCAATAACGGCATTGGGAAATCAAAACTTTTTACTTCTCCCTAAGCTCTTTTCTTACAGATGGTACCGCGAGTTGACTTTTGTATGTATGTTGTATATGATGTTGGTTTTGGCCAAGGAGAAAAAGCTCGTAAGACCATCTACTTTCTGATTCAATTTCCTACAGCAAAAAAAAATAAATAAATAAATAAAATTAAGATAAGAATATTAATAGGCAACTGCAGTCTTTTAAAAATACAGGTTTGAATAGGGGATTTTAAGTGACTTCTTTGGGGTTTACTTACTTCATATACACTCCATAAATCATGCAGGCATTTATTGCTGCTGTAAAATGGAATTTGTAGAACTGACTGTATTTACTCATAAGTATGAAGTATACATTTTTGTAATATATATATAGACTGGTTTATAATGTGGGAAACATAAAAATGACATAAGGCATACAATTAAAGAAAACTTTCAAAAACTGCGATTTTTTCTATTGTAGATCTTTTTACTTTTGTGGAAGGATTACCATATAACGCAGTAAAACACTGTGCTTACATCTCATTTTACTTGGATATACTAGCCAGCTTCTTGCTGAAAGTCTCTATTGCAAATATTTTTGTACAAAGGAAGAAGATAGGCTTTGGGTTTCCTGTTTGCATTCACTCTATAAAAATCAATGCCAGTGTGTCCAGAATTGGTGGGTTCTTGGTCTCACTGACTTCAAAAATGAAGCCGCGGACCCTCGTGGTGAGTATTACAGTTCTTAAAGGTGGCGTGTCCGGAGTTTGTTCCTTCTGATGTTCGGATGTGTTCGGAGTTTCTTCCTTCTGGTGGGTTCGTGGTCTCGCTGGCTTAAGTGTGAAGCTGCGGACCTTCCCAGTGAGTGTTACAACTCTTAAGGCGGCGCGTCTGGAGTTGTTCGTTCCTCCCGGTGGGTTCGTGGTCTCGTTGGCTTCAGGAGTGAAGCTGCAGACCTTCGCGGTGAGTGTTACAGCTCATAAAGGCAGTGTGGACCCAAAGAGTGAGCAGCAGCAAGATTTATTGCAAAGAACAAAAGAACAAAGCGTCCACAGCGCAGAAGGGGACCCGAGCGGGTTGCCACTGCTGGTTGGGGCAGCCTGCTTTTATTCTCTTATCTGGCCCCACCCACATCCTGCTGATTGGTAGATCCCAGTGGTTGGTTTTGACAGGGCACTGATTGGTGCCTTTACAATCCCTGAGCTAGACAAAGAGGTTCTCCACCTCCACACAACAGTAGGCAGATACAGAGTCTGGACACAAAGGTTCTCCAAGTCCTCACCACAGTAGCTAGATACAGAGTGTCCATTGGTGCATTCACAAACCCTGAGCTAGACACAGGGTGCTGATTGGTGTGTTTACAAACCTTGAGCTAGATACAGAGTGCCGATTGGTGTATTTACAATCCCTTAGCTAGACATAAAGGTTCTCCACGTCTCCACCAGACTCAGGAGCTCAGCTGGCTTCACTCAGTGGATCCTGCATGGGGGCTGCAGGTGGAGCTGCCTGCCAGTCAGGAGCCGTGCGCCCCGCACTCCTCAGCCCTTGGGTGGTCGATGGGACTGGGCGCCCTGGAGCAGGGGGCGGCGCTCGTTGGGGAGGCTAGGGCCGCACAGGAGCCCACGGAGGTGGGGGGAGGCTCAGGCATGGCAGGCTGCAGGTGCCGAGCCCTGCCCCGCGGGAAGGCAGCTAAGGCCCTGCGAGAGATTGAGCACAGCAGCTGCTGGCCCAGGTGCTAAGCCCCTCACTGCCCTGGGCCGGTGGGGCCCGCCGGCGGCTCCGAGTGCGGGGTCCGCCGAGCCCACGCCCACCCGGAACTCGCGCTGGCCCGTAAGCACCGCGCGCAGCCCCGGTTCTCGCTGGCGCCTCTCCCTCCACAACTCCCCGCAAGCTGAGGGAGCCGGCTTCGGCCTTGGCCAGCCCAGAAAAGGGATCCCACAGTGCAGCGGCGGGCTGAAGGGCTCCTCAAGTGCCGCCAAAGTGGGAGCCCAGGCAGAGGAGGCGCCGAGAGCGAGCGAAGGCTGTGAGGACTGCCAGCAGGCTGTCACCTCTCACCAGGTTGGCAGGTTTGTAAATATTTACACTGGGTGGCAGTTCCAAGGCGGCCATTTTTTTTTCCCTGCGCAATGTTCCCTCTCCATTAAACCACTAACAAAAATCTGCATGCAAGGAATTCTGGAAAAATAATGAATTAATGAATAATTTTGGTTGAGAGACCTGTAGCAATGATTTCTATTAGTCGTCTATTAGTCTAGATAAGAATCTACTCACGGTGTGTCATGCTTCCAGTTTATGCTCTCAAACAATTTTAATGTATCATTAGAGTTCTGCATTCACCTTTTTGAAATAAGATATACCTGAGAGATTTCCTATGGATAGGGAAAAATAAGATATTGAGAATTAGCTATTCTTAGACTATTTTAAAAATTGAAAAGGACAAGATTCAATAGCCTTCATAGGGCACTATATTTTTGCTCAAACATCAATTGTGTGTTTCAAAGAATGCTGAAAAATATATTTAAGGACATTATTTCAAATTGAATTTTTAAATTGCTAATACATCTAGAATTCCTAGAAATCACTTATTTATATTATTTTTCACATGTTGAGTATACAACTTGAATATAAAGAAAGAAATGGATATTATCTTAAAGTGCCCATTGAGCTACATGTTCCTCCTCCGTTCCACTATAGTCTATTTTATCGTATGTATTTTTAGAGTGTATGCAACAGAATGACTTTCTCAATAGTTTCTTTTAAACAATAAAGTAAAAAATACATGCTACTTTTTCTGTTAAGTAACTTTATTTCTCATTCTTTTTTTTTCTTAAGTAATACTTAAAACATAGGCTTGTGCTTCTAGAATAAACATATAATTGTACAGGGCAGGGCGCGGTGGCTCACGCCTGTAATCCCAGCACTTTGGGAGGCTGAGATGGGCAGATCACGAGATCAGGAGTTTGAGACCAGTCTGGCCAATATGGTGAAACCCCAACTCTACTTAAAATACAAAAATCACCCAGGCGTGGTGGTGCGTTTCTGTAGTCCCAGCTACTCGGGAGGCTGAGGCAGAAGAATCGCTTGAATCCAGGAGGTGGAGGTTGCAGTGAGTCAAAATCATGCCACTGCACTCCAACCTGGGTGACAGAGTGAGATTCCATCTCAAAAAAAAAAAAAAAAGATATACTGCAATCTGTGGCAACCCACTCCCCTTATTAATAATAGTCTGGTAGTTGCTGAAATGTATTCTATATAATGTATCAGATAATTACAATTTTTAGAGACCACGAATGAATTGTATAGTGACTACTAATTCTTAGTGTCCCCATATTAAATCACCAAAATCTTGTTCCAGAGGGTGAAGTGTGAAAAATCAATTTTTACAAATATAATCCATGAATGAGCAAAGAATATTTTCCCTAGCAAGAAAAGCAGTATCAAAGGCCTGTTAGCTAAGCAGGGATGAATTTCTGATGGGGGTCCCAGAACTCTTTGAGGTCTGCCAGCTAAAAACAGCTTTGAGAAGACATTTTGTCAGATTGTCCCTTGTCCCCATTTAAAGAAGCATAGTGATACATTTGTGCCGTTCTCAAACTGAGGGCTTTTAGTACCTGCTTGAATGACCTAAAATCACATGTAGCTCCTTAAATGGTAGATGCAGTGGTACTTACGCATGAAACAGTATGGTTCAGTTTTTGTAAGCTTTCTGAGACGACTAATGGTCCTTTAAGTAGAAAACTGATTCCCCTCAATAAATCACTATCATCAGGGAGCTACAAACACAGATCCTTAGATATGCATGGAGATAACCTTTCCCGGACAGATACTTGTATTGATCACTTGGTTAGTATTAGATGTTGTATTGATTAAATTGACTAACATTTTAAAAACTTGGCCTCTAAGTAACAATTTGAATAATAGTTTGTTATTCATACGTGTTGGTGTTCTGGAGCTTGCCCAGCAACATCTCCTTCTCTGCCTGGCTTCTGAATATATTTAAAAATAAGACAAAGGAATTACACACATGGGGGTCAAATGGCTCATTTACTATTGATGAAACTGATATGGGAAAATGGTTATTAAATTTGCAAGAAATGAAATTTCCAACACAGAAATACAGCCCTTTCATTTGAGCTGAATTATCTGCCAAGAAGCAGACCACCCTAAATTAACCACCCTAAGCTTTTACTTGTAAACCTGTGGACTCTCAGAGCAGAAAAGACAACATACCTTAAGAGGGAAATTCTGCTGCTAGACCAGATGGGTCTGGGTGCACACATCCACAGAAAATTAAATGAGCCTCTGTAGGACTGAGTGCCTGAAAGGGAGGAGAAGGGCCACTCATGATACATGAAGGGAACTCCCTCCTCATGAAAGACACATGAAAAACAGGAAAGAAGCAGTCTACTTAATAATGAGCTCAACTTACATATTTTCATACTTCTGTAGGAAGAAAGGTATAATTGCCAATCTTTTTGTCTAGAAATCATGGATCCAAATAAAAACTAGAGAATATGATTGGACATCATAATTTTTTTGAAAGTACAAAGTGGGTGGGGGGGTATAGTCATTTACCCCCAAACTAAGAAGACAGCCTATTTTTTTATAGTTAAAGAAAGCCATTATTTTTCTACTCAGAGTATATAAAATGAGGATGGATTCCATATACTCAGAGTATAGAATAATAATTCACCTTTGCTTCTGGATTATTGTTTAATAATGATGCTTATTGAATACTCTAGAGGAGAGTGTTTTAGACACGGGGTTCATCCTAAAAATTAAAGTATATTATGATGACCTATATCCATAGTTGAACGTTCAGATGTTTACATGTACTAGGCAGGGAAACTAACTGAGTGAAGGCCAGGTTAAGAAAAACAACAGCATATGTGTGACACAAAACGATGACTAATGCTTAGCCTCATAGCAGGGAAAACAACTGGGAGTGATGGGGACTGTGGCAGATTCGTGCCTAGTCTAAATGCACGTATAAGGTCTAAATGCTAGTATAAGGTCTGTATGATTTTTCTAGTGTTTTAAAAGAATCTAATAATTTACATTTCATATAAAATCTGCACTTTAATGTTTACAATCATTAAAAACAAAACAGAGCTCCAGAAATGTTAGAAGCCAAAAATATCAGGAAAAATCTTGTCAACACCACCCTGTGGATACAGTGAATGGCTTCTGACTTTCTTTCCTGCCTTGTGTTACTTGCTCCAGATTCAAAGTCCTGGAAAGAAGGGAGCAGCCAAATAGACTGAATTGGCCACATTCTCTAACCTCTGCTTTTTCAATATATTTTAGAGAATGGAGAGAAGTTTCTGATCCCTTTGTCTTCATTGGTAGGAGTGGAAATTTGGGATTTTACTTACAATAAGCTTACACACATCAGCATTGGTGAACTATGGCCCTTGGCCAAATCTGGATCATTGCTTGTTTTTCTAAGTACCCTTTATTGGAACACAGTTAAAATCTATCTGTGCATACATTATCTATCTATGACTGCTTTTTTGCTTTAGTAGCAGAGTTGATAGCTGTGGCTGAGGCCATTTGGCCTGCAAAGCCAAAAAAATCTGTCCTTTTAGAGAAAAGTGTTGTCAACTCTAGAGAAACAGGGACGGTTAACACATGATATCTACAATGACAATATGTCTGCTGTTCACCATATATACACAGTGACTTTAAAATTTGTTCTTAATGTACTCATGTAACATTTAGAATATATATATTGAATGTATCTTTTCTTTACAAAACTCAATACTAAATGCTGAGGTTATAACCAGATCCCTGCACTCAAAGACTCCACGAACTAGTGTGAGGAACAGCAGGAAACAACTGATTGTAATTAATGCCATTTGAGGTAAGTGGAAAAGAATAAAAAAAGACACATAAAATATGTGAGGAAAATGCAAAATAAAATATATATTCTTTTAGCAAACATGAGCACATTGTGTTTTTACCAAAGATATTAGACATCTTTGTCAGTGAATAGAGCATTGATAATAATGAACTAAAAAAATCCTGTACTATTTTAAATTTGAGTGTAAACATGTTCCACCATGAAGATTTCTTGGGCTACCAAAAATGGTAAAATTTAGTGGTTTGGATTGACCTTACATATGTTGGAACTGCTAAACTGAGGGGAAGTGGCTCAAAAATATGTATTAGTTAGGAATTGCATTTGATAGCAGGTAAGAAAAAATATAACAGCATGTAAGTAATATTTAAAGCATAGTGTTGTCCTGAATGTGTAAACAGTTAGTTGGTCTCAGGCAACAAGAAGTTTGGAAATAAGCATTGAGAGTTGGCATAGCTATTCAGTGAAGTCATCATGAAGAGCGACATTTTCTGTCTTTTCACTATGGTATCTTAGATTTACAGGTTTTACCCTCAGGGTCTCAATAAGACTGCTTCACATGCATAACCCATATCTGTGTTTCAGCTGGAAATAAGGTATGAGGACCAGAGGGCAAAGGGGGCTGTGCCCGGCAAGTTCTCTGCCTCTCTTTCAAATAACTTATTTGAAGTATTACACAGTCCAATCACAAGTGCACAGATAGGTGAATGTCAGCAGTTTGAACACACCCATGTAATCAACATCCAGGTTAACAATTAAGAATTAAAACAATACTGGCCTCCAAGAAGCTTCCCATGCCACTCCAGACAATGATTACCACTATCTTGACTTCTAACACTAAAGATTAGTTTTTCCTAGTTTTGAGCTTTATAGAAATGGAATTATACGCTGAGTATTCTTTGGTCGGTGACTTATACTAAGGATTACAGTTGTAATAGTCATCCTTGGGTGTAATTGTAGCTTGTTCATTCTCATTGTAATAAAGTATTTCATTTTACGGTTATTCCTAATTTGCCCATTTCACTGCTGATGAACATTTGGGCTATTTCTTATATTAGACTATGAACTTTGCTATAAGTATTCTAGTGAGTTTGTGTTCTTTTTAGGTGAACACATGTATTCATTTCTGTGGGGAATATATCTAGCAGTGCCTGCATAACTCAGAGGATGTGGTAAACATTAGTAGATGCTTTCCAGAGAAACTTTACCAATTGAAATCCCACTAATAGTGTCTGAGAGTTCCCATTGCTCCACACCTTTGCCAACACTTGCTATGACTAGTCTTTTTCATTTTAGATATTGTGGCAGTTGTGACATTTGTCTCTTAGAGGCCCTACCCAGAAAATTCTGTTTACAAATCATTGGCCAGGATGATGTCATAGAGTAAACCATAGCAGGAAGAGATTAGCATTTCTGCCTCCAAGATGGGAGAATATGGAGGAGAATATCAATGACTTCTGGTAGGTAATCCTTAGAGACTCTCAAGGGGGAAGAATCCAAGAAATGGACTACAGCGTCTCCACTGGAGTGAAACATAGTATGATTCATTTTATTTCTTGCTCACATCTGGTGAGAGAACATTTGGATCTCTGCTATGTAAAGGAATTTTGAGAAACTAGTAGCTTAAGCACTAAGTACCTAAAAGCACAAGGAATCATATACAAAGATGCTAGATTCTTACTTTTAATCAAATGGAAAGCAAAAAAGAATGGAAACTGGGAATCAGAAAGGAAAGGTTAAATGTCCATAGGGCCAGAGCAGGAAAGTTCCTCCATGACTACTCTAGAATATTCGGGACCATGATTGGGGACATCATTTAGGAGAGCACCAAAGGTCCTTTAGTAGGAATAATTTGGATTTCATTCATTAAAACCACGTTGTATTAAAGAAACATGAAGCCAAAGAACACCGTAATAGTTTTCACTCTTGAAACACTTCAGAAGTGAACAAGACTCCTACTACCATGAAAAGAGTTGAGGAATGACTTGATAGTCTAGTGTCCCAGGAAAGCTCTGAGTCATGCAATAGGAAACTTGTTTTTCTTCTTAGGATAAATCTCCACTTTAATGTACTACAGCAGGGAAGCCACTTGGTGACAAACACTAATGTCTGCAATGACTGGACCGGTAACACTACTGCTCGTTGAGTCATGTGGGTCAGGTGGGGACAGCACTCGAAGGGTATGTTTCTTCTAAAATTGGTAGCCACTACTCATTTTAAAGCAATTTTTAGAATTTTGGATCTATAATTGCTAGATCTCATTTTTCTTCAGGTATTTACCTTTAATATTTAAATCTTACCAAAAATTCAATTTTTTTCAGAAAAAGAAAACATTAGCAGCCAAATTAGCCAGTCTGCCTGTGGAATGAAGGCTCCAGTTTTTGACCTCTAATGAAAGAAGAAAGAATACTCATTGAGGTTTGTGTTGACACTCTCAACTCCACACCAGTTATGTATTTTGATTAAGGCCTTTAACTCTCTCTAATCCATCCCTGCTTTCCTCCATGTTCAAATGAATGGTTTAGCTAGTTGATATTTGAAGTCCCACTTAGTACTTGAATATAATAATGCTGAGATGCCCAGTGTTCTAGGTTGAGGCTTTCTGGAAGCATAATGCTTTCTTTCAACTTTTTGGCTCACATTTTAAGTGATATTTTAAGGGGTCTCTGTCAAGCTCCCCTTCAGCTTGGTGAGAAGATCATTGTCTTAACACTTCCAGGACAGCCATAAGATGGTGTACTTTTGTAGTTTTTTGTACGTGTCACTCCTTTTGAACATCAAGCAGAAATATTCAGGATCTTGGGCAAAAAGTGTAAACCCTTAATTATATCAAGTTAATATTCTTAACACTAATAGTCTGAAATGAAACAACAGTGTAATGCAATGCTAGTGAGCCTTTCACAGGGCCATTCAGGAGATAGACATGAACGCTCAGGTTATATGAGTTCACATCTCAGAGATCCATACAGTTAAATCTATAGGAAATAATATTACTAGCAGTTTTGCAATTATGTTTATGTAAGTGTGTGTATATACACGTTTGTTTATATAATGCTTAAATATATATAAAATATATATAATGCTTAAAAGTATGATTGCAATTACAGTTGACCTTGAACAACACAGGTTTCAGCTGCTTGGGGCCATTTAGGCATGGATTTTCTTCTGCCTCTGCCACCTGGAGACAGGAAGACCAACCCCTCCTGCCCTCCTCCTCCCTAGCCTAGCCAATGTGAAGATGACAAGAATGAAGACGTTTATGATGATCCACTTCCACTTGATGAACAGTAAATATATTTTATCTTCCTTATGATTTTCTTAATATTTTCTTTTCTCTAGCTTACTTTATTATAAGAATATGGAATACAATATATATATCATACAAAATATGTTAGTCAACTGTTTATGTTATCAGTAAGGCTTCTAGTCAACAGTAGGCTATTAGTAGTTAATGTTTTGTAGAGTCAAAAGTTATAAGTGAATTTTTGACTATGCAGGGGGTTGGTTCCCCTAACCCCCCCATTGCTCAAGGGTCAACTGTATGCATAATTCCTATATATATGTGTGTGTGTGTGTTTTAACTTGACTGCTGTTATATCTATGCATACTATATGTCCACAATATATACACCTATATATTTAGCATCTAGTCATTTTAGTTTTTCTCTTGTTTGTATGTCTGTATTTTTATATTTTCTGATTTTTAAATGAGTGTACATTACTTTAAAAACTATTAATATACTTAAGTAATCAGAATAGCGTATGCCACATAAACTGTATTTCGGTATTTTTATGAAAGATCAAGATGAAAATAAATCCACTTTTTGTTAATTTTATTTTTTTAGATGGAGTTTCGCTTTTGTTGCCCAGGCTGGAGTGCAATGGCGCAATCTCGGCTCACTGCAACCTCCACCTCCCTGGTTCAATTGATTCTCCTGCCTCCCAGGTTCAAGCAATTCTCCTGCTTTAGCCTCCCGAGTAGCTGGGATTATAGGTGTCTACCGCCCCGCCTGGCTAAATTTTTTGTACTTTTAGTAGAGATGGGGTTTCACCATGTTGGCCAGGCTGGTCTCGAACTCGTGTCCTCAGGTGATCCACCCACCTTGGCCTCCCAAAGTGCTGGGATTACAGGCATGAGCCACTGTGCCTGGCCTGTTAACATTTTTAATTCAAGATGCATTTATCAAATAATAGCAGAGCCTCCTATGTACTCAGCCACAATATTTTCCTAAGTACATTGATATTTTAAATTATAAACAAGAGTTAAGGGAAAGAAAACAAATACAAAATCAACACACATGTTGCTAACTGTATGAAGAATGGCATTTGTTAAGTGGGATATACTCAATGAAAAACAATAAAAATATGTTAGATTTCTCTCCATTGTCTAGACATCCAAAGGAGAGGGGGTGAAGAGAAGAGTGATTGTGCATGGAAAATTAAATGTGGATTTGCAGTCTGTGCTGCCAGCAAAAAATTGCCGTGCTATTTGGGGTTGAAAAGGCATCATGTTATGAAGCAAGGGGAGAGGTAATTGTCTGCCTCATTCCACTGCTGAGCAGACTGTATCTAGAATATCATATTTATTTCAGAAAATAAGAATACTAAAAACCTAAAATTATAGCAGTTTCAGAAAAGAACAAAAAAAGTAAGAGAAAATGTACCCTTGGCTGAGAATGAAAAACTAAATGAATTAAGTGTGCATGAATAAATTAGTGATATGAGTACTGAGGAAAGAAACAGAACTACAAATGATGAAGCAGAGAAAGAAAAAAACATTTTGGTTGCCAAAAAAATCTAAAGAAAAAGTTCACAGAACCGTCTATGTCAATTATAAAAGTAGTGTTTAGAAATGTTAGAAAAGCTACTGATCATGAGTTTTATTGGCCAATATGCAGTTTTCCATCCGTAATGTGTTTATTTATTGGTCTTTAATACACTTACCATTGAACTAAATTGGGTGAAAAGGCTATATCTGTTCAGCACAGTAATGGAGATAATTTAAAATACCCTTTGGCCCTCCCAATACTTATAAATAACAAATAAAATTGGTGCTTTTATACTATCAATATTCAATGGTAGAAATAAAGAGATTGTTACGTTAAGTTCATAATCATCAGTATTTATAGGCCAGGCACAGTGGCTCAAGTCTGTAATCCCAATACTTTTGGAGGCTGAGGCAGGAAAATCACTTGAGGCCAGGAGTTCAATACCAGCCTGGGCAACATAGACCCCATCTCTACAAAAAAACAAAATAAAAATTAGCCAGGTGTGGTGATGCACATATGTAGTCCCAGATACTCTGGAAGCTTAGGTTAGAGGATCACTTGAGCCCAGAAGTTTGAGGTTACAGTGAGCTATGATTGTGCCACTGAACTCCAGCAAGGGTGACAAAGCAAGACTCTGTCTTTAAAAAAAAATAATTAGGACAGGTGCGGTGGCTCCTGCCTGTAATCCCAGCACTTTGGGAGGCCAAGGTGGGTGGATCACAAGGTCAGGAGATTGAGACCATCCTGGCTAGCATGGTGAAACCCTACCTCTACTAAAAATACAAAAAATTAGCCAGGCGTGGTGGCATGTGCCTGTAGTCCCAGCTACTCAGGAGGCTGAGGCAGGAGAATCACTTGAACCCGGGAGGCCAGAGGTTGCCGTGAGCCGAGATTGCACCACTGCACTCCAGCCTGGGCGACAGAGTGAGACTCCGTCTCAAAAAATAAATAAATTAATTAATTAATAATAAGAAATATTTTTAAAATAAAATGAGTGACCAGTTTCCTGCAGGTACTGTTCAAAATATGTAAAAAATACAATGCCTGCCATTCTGAAGGTAACATACTAATTAAGTGAAAACATAGTTAACAGCACTCCATGAAGTTTGAATAACATAACTCTCAATGAAATGATGAAAACATATACATAAACCTGGTGGCTATAAGAAAATGCCACTCGGATCTCCAACTACAGGGATTTTAACTGACTAGGGGCTTGAGTACCTGGAAAATCCATCCCTATGTTTTTGCTGAGGCTTCAGGTCACATGAACTGCTCCTAGTGAATGGCTGACATTACAGGACACTAAGGCAAACTTGTTCTTGGGAGATGCAGGAATCCTCTGATGGCTTGACTCAAGGACTCGCCAAGAGTCCTGCTAAATCTTTTTTGAGACTGCATCCAATTGAACTTCTTTCCTTCTTTTTTAAAAATTTACAGTCAGACTTGCATGTTTGTTGGCTTTCTCAGCCTTTCTCTGCTCTTTCTATATTTTCTGTCTTAGGTGTTTCCCTTAATCCTTGCAAATTTAATTGTTGATATGGTTTGGCTGTGTCCCCACCCAAATCTCAATCTGAATTTTATCTCCTAGAATTCTCACGTGTTGTGGGAGGGACCCAGGGGGAGGTAATTGAATCATGGGGGCCAGTCTTTCCCATGCTATTCTCGTGATAGTGAATAAGTCTCACGACATCTGATGGGTTTATCAGGGGTTTCCACTTTTGCTTCTTCCTCATTTTTCTCTTGTCGCCACCATGTAAGAAGTGCCTTTTGCCTCCCACCATAACTCTCAGGCCTCCCAAGCCTTGTGGAGCTATAAGTCCAATTAAACCTCTTTTTGTTCCCAGTTTCGGGTGTGTCTTTATCAGCAGCATGAAAACGAACTAATAACAATTGTCTTTGCATCTACCTCACTGAGGACCTGGACTAATAAAATTGCATTTGTTTATTCTAATCCTTAAAGTCAGTCTATTCAGATAGGTCACAGATGTAGATAGTTAATATTTCTGGCATTTAGCCTTTTTATATTCAAATTTTTTTTAACTTATGGAAATTTGGCCAAGATGGCCAACTGAGCACAGAATTACCTAACCCCAGACACAAATTTAAAATTCAGAGGAAATAGAACAAATACAGGAACAATTCTGCATTAAAAAAAAAGAGAGAGACAGACAGAGGAATTTGTCAAGGAAAAAAATTAGATAAGACTAAATTGACAAGTTTTATGGAAAATATAAATCAAAGATTATGAGAGGAAATAATATTTGATGGTATGAATAGAGAAGTTTGTAAGAAATAGAAAAAATTTGTTTATATATGTTAAAAAGTCAACATGTATAGTAGGAAAAGCTACATGATAAGAGCATTAATAAACAACAAATTAAACAGGAAAAGTCAGTTAATTTTAATAAAAGGTACAGAAAGATGTAACACCATCTCTATAGAACAAAAGGCCTCATTACATAGTTAAAAATAAATAGTGATCTAGGAGAAAATTATCTGTAGAAGACTGATGTTGAAAATATATGAAGAGATCTTACCAATAAAGAAATACCAATAAAGAACAAAATGGAAGAAACTTATGAATTACCACATTAAAGAAACAATATAATTAGACCATAAGCATGTTGAAAAAATGCTTAACCTCACTAATTACCAAGGACATAGAAATTAAAATAACAACTTGGCAGTATTTCAAAATTAGAAATTTAAACATATTTTCATTATGCAACTTTACTTCTGGGTGTCTACTCTAGAAAAATATTTGTCTATGGCTATGATGCAGAACTGATATTGAGCCTGTTATAATGCCATTTTTCTATAGCTAGCTAATTCTGAGTTGTAGAGAATCTCTTCCAACTGGGCAATGTCCAAATCATTCTGAATGATAAATATATCAAATAGCACTCTTGGTACTAAGTTATTTACAAAGATGTTCATTACAGAATTGCTTGTAATAATAATAATAGCCCCCCCCACCAAACAACCCAAGTATCCCTCACTAAAGGAATGAACACATTACGCACATTTATATGAGAAAGAGCAAACCTGTAGTTAAAATAAATGAGCTAAGTCAACATGTGACAACGTTTAAATCTCAAAGCCCAATACTGAATTCTTAAAAGTTGCAAAAGGACATGCATGACTTGATTTTATCTATTTAAAGTTCTGAATCACAAAATGTAAACTTGTTATAATGAATTCTAATATACAAAATAATAACAAAAAAAGCAATCTGGATGTATACACACCAGATTCAGAAAAGTGGTCATTTTTGGTGAGTTAGATTTCTTGGGCTTTAACTTTTCATGCAATATTTAATGTTTTATTTTATAAAAAAGAGAATTGCAGCAATTATGGCAAAGTTTCCCTTAAATTCTATGTCACTTTCATATGTTTGAAATATTTTTTAATTTAGAAAAAGTGATCAAGAAAGATAAAACAGTCACAATTTTTAGTAGGATACTCATTCTTTCCAAAATATGGCCAAATATTTAAGCATTTTAAAATGGAATATATTATAGATATATTCTCTAAAGATTCAAATTTTTGAATTTATGTTGATGACAGTAGCTTAAAGCAGATTCTCCTATATCATAGTATTTCTTTCACTACGTTATAAATAAAATGAAATTCCTACTAATTCTTTTTTTTTTTTTTTTTTTTTTTTTGAGACGGATTCTCGCTCTGTTGCCCGGGCTGGAGTGCAGTGGCGGGATCTCGGCTCACTGCAAGCTCCGCCTCCCGGGTTCACGCCATTCTCCTGCCTCAGCCTCCCAAGTAGCTGGGACTACAGGCGCCCGCCACTACGCCCGGCTAATTTTTTTGTATTTTTAGTAGAAACGGGGTTTCACCGTTTTAGCCGGGATGGTCTCGATCTCCTGACCTCGTGATCCGCCCGCCTTGGCCTCCCAAAGTGCTGGGATTACAGGCGTGAGCCACCGCGCCCGGCCCCTACTAATTCTTTGAAGTATATTCAGAATATAGTTATTGCATCTTTCAGTATCTTCTGGCTGGAAATAGAAGACTTTTGAAATTCTTGACATAAAAATTGTGACACAAATTCTAACTAGTGTTTTAAAGACTTGTTAAATATATATATTTTTTCCAAATAAAATTTCTTAATATTTCATGATATGTATTTTTTTTCATTGAAGATGTTGGTGAGAAACTGATTCAGAAACAATAAAGTAGTGGTGAATAAAACTGTGGTCTGACAAGCAAAACAGACCAGTAAGAACTATCATGTGTTTAAATTTATTTTAAAGTGAAAATATCTTCCCTATATTTTTAAAATCTTAGGCAGATCTCTGGCTAGCATACTCAAAATAAAAACAGAATTAAGTATATAAAAACAAATTTTGGGCCCAGTGCAGTGGCTCATGCCTGTAATTCCAGCACTTTGGGAGGCTGATGTGGGCAGATCACATGAGGTCAGGAGCTCGAGACCAGCCTGGCCAATATGGTGAAACCCCACCTCTACTAAAATAGCCGGGCATGGTGGCGTACGCCTGTAATCCCAGCTACTCGGGAGGCTGAGGCAGGAGAATTGCTTGAACCCGGGAGGTGGAGGTTGCAGTGAGCCGAGTTTGTGCCACTGCACTCCAGCCTGGGTGACAGAGCGAGACTCCGTCTCCAAAAAGAAAAAAAAAAAACAAACAAAAAACAAATTTTACTGAACATCTATATTTGCATATTAAACTTAAAATAATATTTGTTTTGGAGCACGATGAAAGAAATCTAAATGCCTGCATTATAGATTGAGGCCTTTTCTAGGAAATCAAATGAGTGAGAAAAAATTAATTCAATTCTTGATTTATGCTTTCTTTTTGCATTGGACACACTCATAACTTTGAACATTTTAAATATTAGTTTGGTATACAAAACTTGATTACATCTACTTTCTCAGCTAATGATATTATTGCAGCTAATTTGGAGTAACTATAGTCTTTGCTTCCCTAAATGTGTCTTCAGAAATAAGATGTATCTCTAAGATGATGTAAAGTCTCTTTCACTATTTATAATCAACATAAAGGAACCTATTTTAGACTTGTGACATTCAAACAATTTTTTTCTATTCTTTTTCTTTATATTTCAAACTAAAAAACGTAAATATTAGGTATGTATACACACATAATATGTATATGTGTGTGTGTGTATCTATCTATCTATCTATCTATCTATCTATCTATCTATCTATCTACCTATAGATGTAAGGTTTCCTTAGATGTAAGGTTTATATATGTATATATGTGTGTATATATATATAGATGTAAGGTGTATATATATGTATTTAAGGTATATAGATGTATATATATAGATGTATATATGTGTATGTGTATATATGTATAGATGTAAGGTTTCCTTCTATTTTCTATTTAAGATTCTCAGTCCTCTACGCTGTCACAATATTTTGGGTGGTTCTAATACAGCATTTAACTTCTGAGTATCTAGTCCAGAAAAATATTTGTCTAGATATATATTTTAAAATATATTAAATTGAATTATAATTATACATTTGATTTTTTTTCTGCTGGACTGTAGGTTTCTCAAGAACAGGGGCCATATCTTGCACATTTTTATATAGTGGAATTTAATAAACTATCACAATGTAGATTATTCAGTGAATATTTGTGAAGACAATACAAGAATTCATGTTCCCTCTCTAGAATAAATAGAAGCCATGCATAGTGTATGACTGTTATGTTTTAGGACACATTTTCTCATTCTTTTTCTACTTCTGTTATTATAGCAGACTTTTTCTAAGGAGAACATGCTTTTCTTTTTTCTCCCTTTGAATCCTTAAAACATGTCTGGGACATAAGGGAAAACAATATGGCAAAATGTATTTACATAATACCAATTTATTCAGAAAGAACTAATTGATCACCTACTCTGTACCAGGCTTGGTACTAGACATTGGGAATACAATGATGCAGAGAAAACCATCTGCTTGGAATACAGTGATGCAGAGAAAACCATCTAGTTCCACTGAACAGAAAAGCTGTATTACTTCTTGGTGTCACACTTGTATAGAATCATACATAATTGATCCTGGGTATAACTTTGGTTACAGATAGTATTTTTTGTTTTCTAATCATCAGTTTTAAATACCTGGAATCTGATGAGGCTACACTGCAATGTTTACTGAATATGCTTCCATAATAGAGTCCTATTTCCCACTTTCAAAACAAGGTGTACAAATCACAAAATCTGTCTTCCTCTGGTTCTCTGATTTGACTGTTCAACTTCTGGTCCCAGCTGGAAATGATAACTTCATGTTTGTTCACAAATGAATAATGAATTTTTAAGTCTCCTTTGCCTCAGATTGATTTGGAATAAGGGCTTGAACTGGTTGTTGTATTATGAAGCCCATATTTGCCTTCTGTCAAGCAGGGTGGTCCTTGTATTTCAGTTCAAAAACCATCTTGTGTTTACAGGTTCATCACTATAGGTTTTTTGTTTGTTTGCTTCTTTTGTTTTCTGAGAAATTACTAGCTTTGGAGATAATAACAGTTCTGCTCAGAAACTGCAATGGCCAAATATCCTACTCTACTTGTTCTGTGTTTTCCTAAATCTTTAGGTGAAGGAGCTTGCCAAATTGTCAGATTGCTTTGTTGTTTTCCTGTGATGTGGTTGCCAATTTTAAACATTCATTGCTGAAGAAGTGGGATTGTGTGCGACGCCTACCTAGTATTGGGTGACAAGAAATTGCTACTTCTTTCATTCAATTTCTATTCTTTTTTGCTTATTAAACTATTTGGCACTCTTTGGAAAATCTCATTGTCTTTGGACTAAAGATATTTATCACTGTAAGTGAAGAAACTATTATGTAAAATAGGCTTAAAGCCACAGTGATGTTGAGAGCAGCCCCCTTTATCAATGCAGGAGGGTGGCTCTATTTCCATCAGTTACTGGCCTATTTTTCCTCCAGTTTCTGGCAGCATATTTGGATTGCCACTTTATATTTACTCACAGACTGCAGTAAGATCAAGAAGATGGGACACTCTAAGATTCTATTCCCCTTGGGTGCCTCCACTCCCATGAAGGAGTATTGCTGATTTTAACGATATTGGTGCTGTTCTTCTCCACTCCTCTGCTTTAATTTCCCTTCCCTGCTGCTTTGCATATTGAACAATAATGAATGTTTTCTGAGCTCCCACTGTCCTCTCACCTACTCTCACTCTCAACAAAAATGGAAAAGTTTTTTAAAGCCAATTTCATTTTATATTAAATTCTACCAAAATTTGCTCAATTGCATACGAATGCCCAATGTTATTAATATTTTTTCCTTGAAAAGATGCATTCAGAAAAGAGTGATCATTTCAATTAGCTTTTGCTGAAATACTGCAGAAAGTGTTCAGTGATGTGTTTAGCATCTGTGTATATAAATTAAAATAATGTATAAATGTTTCTAAATATGTAACTCCCCATTTTGCTCATGAAGATTGACTGCAAAGGAGTGAGAAGGAATTTTCAGGGGTAAAAGGAACCTTCTACATCTTGATTGTGATTACATGGGTATATATAGCTTATATGTATATGTGTGCATTTGTGTGTGTGTGTGTGGTGTGTGCACATGTGTTTTTGTAAAAGTCATCAAAGTCTATAGGTAAGATCTGCAAATTATAAGTGAGAATCTGTCATATGTGTTCAAACGATTAAAAGCAGGGAGCCTCAGCAGCTGAGAACTCAGACATTAGCCCTAGACAAATAAATGTGTGATTAAAAATTGATAAGTGGTTTGAAAACATGGTAACTGTCAGAGAAAATATGTTGTAAACGATGATTTAATATAATTAAACATGAATCACAGCAAAAGTATTTAAAAACTGTGATCCACAACTCAATTTCAACTACGAATATGATGGTATCTATATGTTCATTGCTGGGGTTGGTGGGTGTGTAGGATTGAGGGAGAATAGAATATATTTTCGCAGGTAAGATTCAAATATTCCGAAATTCACTCAATTGCATATGGATTTCCAATTATATTTGTATATTTTTTCCTGAAAATTTAGATTTTAGTGGGAAATAAATTCCTCAAATTTAAGCAGAAGAAAAATGGACCTGTGGAGGGAGAAAAATAATTTGAAGTTATGTATTTTTAGCATTTCCAACAGCTCTTTAAAAAAAATACTATTTATAGGCATTTGAAAGATCCAGTAGAAAATTATTAACCTGAGAAGCTACTAAAATCAATACAAAGGATGAACATTATAGTATTTGTCTCTGCACAGAACACAATTAGTCATAGTAATACAAATTTATAATAAAATCACATGAGGAATGATAATTATTATCAGTAAATATGTTAGAAACTGATAAATCATGAATTAGAAGTATATTAAGAATGTGAACATAAATTTCAGAGGAAACAACTGAAAATATTATTCCTTATTTATATTTAAACACTTTGCATATATTTGATGAATAAATTTTAATTTAAAAATAAGGAAAGCAGCATACCTTTACAGAAGCATGCTGCAGGAAGGAGCTCCAATACAGTTGAAGCTCCAATTTTAGGAATGAGAGAAATTCCTAAAATTTATCCTTCGATCTCTTTTCCTTTCCTTAAGCAACCTGTATCTATATTTCTGCCTCTTTCCCATCTTTATCCACAGCCCTGTTCACTGGGGCAGAGCTATGTCTCTTCCGAGGCATGGTTGGGTATTCCCTTCTCATGCAGTAAGATTTCAAGGTATTTCTACGACAGAAGAAATCTTTATAATAAGTAGGAAACTTTCACACAATTGTATTCATTTTATTGTAAGAGCTAAAGACAAACCACATATCAGAAAAGTGAAAGAAAAGATACTATAGCTCGTAGTGTTGTTTTAATGCAGTAGCATTAAATATATCAATCATATATTTTTTCTTTTATGCTGTATTTTCTGGATATTCTTCACCTAAAAATTAGCCTTCTGTTTTAGAACGAATAAAGAAACAAACACCCCTTAGTGATTTGCACTTACTCCTCCGTGCACCCTCAAATAGCCATTGGGCAGAGACATATGATTCCAGTTTTTTTTTCCCTCTCACAATTATTATTGGAAGCCTCATCCACTACGGTTACATTTCAGTCACCTATCTTTGGGTCATGTGTTTATCTGTATCCTCAGACCCCAACCCAGAAGCACAGCAGCTGTTGCCAGTGACCTTCTTCCTTGCCATCTGGCTCTATTTCAGATACTTGGTAAGTTTTCTCTGCCCTTCTAAGGGGGAGAGCAAGTTCTCTCAAGGACTCACGAGGCTTTGCTGCCAACAAGTATCATCAGTGCAGAAAACAAAGTATTCTGTTTCAGAGAAGATTTCCAGGGCTTTCTCCTATCTTATATTTAATTATATACATAATGCTTGTTATTGGTAGAGAGTGTTATATAAAAAGTAAAAATAAACAAAAAAACATTCTTTTTCTCCCTATTAACTTTTATTTTAAGTTCCAGGGTACACATGCAGAAGGTGAAGGTTTGTTGCCTAGGTAAATGTGTGTCATGGTGATTTGCTGCACAGATCAATCCATCACCTAGGTATTAAGTCCAACATCCATTAGCTATTCTTCCTGATGCTCTCCCTCCTCCTGCCCCATGACAGGGTCCAGTGTGTGTTGTTTCTGCCACGTGTCCATGTGTTGTCATTGTTCAGCTCGCCCTCATAAGTGAGAACATGCAGTATTTGGTTTTCTGTTTGTGTGTTAGTTTGCTGAGGATAACAGCTTCTAGATCCATCCCTGTCCCTGCAAAGGACATGATCTCATTCGTTTTTATGACTGGATAGTAGTCCATGGTGTACATGTACCACATTTTCTTTATCCAGTCTATTATTATGGGCATTTAGGTTGATTCCATGTTTTGTTATTGTTATAGTGCTGCAGTGAACATACGTATGCATGTATCTTTTTAATAGAATGATTTATATTCCTTTGAGTATATACTCAGTGAGGGATTCCTGTGTCAAATGGTGTTTCTGCTTCTAGATCTTTGAGGATTCGCTACACTGTCTTCTACAACGGTTGAACTAATTTACACTCTCACCAACAGTGTAAAAGCTTTCCTTTTTCTCCACAACCTCGCCAGCATCTGTTGTTTCTTGACTTTTTAATAATCGCCATGCTGACTGACGTGAGATGGTATCTTATTGTGGTTTTGATTTGCGTTTCTCTAATGATCAGTGATGTTGAGCTTTTTTCGTGTTTGTTGGCTGCATGAATGTCTTCTTTTGAGAAATGTCTGTTGAAGTCCTTTGCCCACTTTTTGATAGGGTTGTTTTGTTTGCTTCTTGTAAATTTCTTTAAGATCCTTGTGGACTCTGGATATTAGGCCTTTGCCAGATGGATCAACTGCACAAATTCTCTCCCATTCTGTAGGTTGTCTGTTAATGCTGATGATAGTTTCTTTTGCTGTGCAGAAGCTAGTTACTTTAATTAGATCCCATTTGTCAATTGTTGCTCTTGTTGCAGTTGCTTTTTGTGTTTTCATCATGAAATATTTGCCCATGCCTATGTCCTGAATGGTATTGTCTATATTTTCTTCTAAGGTTTTATAGTTTTGGGTTTCAACATCTGAGTCTTAAAACCATCTTGAATTATTTTAACCAAAAAACTTTTTAAAGGTATCTTTGAATAGATGTTACGGGTATTTGAGACTGCAGTAAATTTAATTTACTGTAGACTTGGAACTTTCCTCTGGCTGCCTCTTTGATATCTCATTGCTTGGGCAAGTTTTCCTTCTTGCACTTAGTTTTACCCTAAGTAAAGGGTATCATTGTCCTCATAGACTCTAAAGTTAAGGCTGCAAACTTGACTTATCTGTGAATACGTTTAAGTCAGCTTGAATATAAGATTGTGATACTCTAGAAATACTAGCATCATCTAAAAAAAATAGAAAAGAATTCTACTTTCTCTTATGGAAATGAGATATCAGTTTGATGCCAAATAAGGTATAAAAAATAAATGCAAGATTTTATTTTCTGCTTAAAGACACCCATAAGTGGTTATGCTTTCAGTTACCTTTCATTTAGATGACATGGGTATCAACTGTATTTTGCATGAACCTGATTTATGCTCACAATGGCATATTTAACATGTTTTAATGATTGGATTATATACTGAAATACACTACATTATGCATATTATAAATTCTATAGCTTCAATAATGTTTGTTAACTTTGTGAAACATATGGTCATAAGATAACAATGTGACCCCGTGGTTGTTATTCTAAAATTATCTTTCTTATCTGTCACTTTTTTTTCTTACTTTGGTGCTAATATGAACAGATAATGATTAAGATTATTCAGACTTCTACAAACAACTAGAAGAAAGGCAAGATTTCCACTTAACCTGGTCGAGCTCTCCAAATCAGCACTTGCAATACAAAGCAACCATTTTGATGTCTATATTTATTTATGAGCATGTAGTTCTGGATTTTTTGTTTTCTTTCTCTTTGTAGCAACAGCTATGGGTGAAGAAATGTCTGTTTAGCATGCAAATTCCTGGAGAGACTGTCATTTGAACTAACTTTTCATAGTTCCTAACAGTGTCAAAATTTTAAGGTGGCAGAATGCTTTTTAATAATAGAGAGATAAAAAATATAGAAACTAACCCATTTCTTCTCTGGGACGCATGAGATAAAGTGGAGTAACTAAGCAGATAACAGTAAACTTGTGCTTCATGCTATAACCCTTAGAGTGAATCCCTTTATCTCCCAGAGTGTTTCATGGGAACGAAACAAAGTGAAACAGCTTTCAGAGAGATCTCTGGAACCCATCCTTAGTGATCCTCCTCCTCAGCCTTGTATCTAACAGGAGCTTCTACAGACTCTGCCAAATATAAATCCAGACACATTTTAGGACTGATGCTTCAGTTGCGGATCTGATGAACTCTATGAATCACCTCCCCAAGAATATATGCATATGCACATAAAAGAAAACTTTGCAAATGTTTCTATCATACCAGAGACCTAGTCATAGATGCCCCTGCCTCTGAGTTAGCCATAACACTGTTGGTAATTATAGACATAATTTACTTTAACCTTTTTTGGAAATAGCTTTCGTGTTGTCCTCTGCAGGATCACATTTTCTTTATTCTCACTCCTTGAACTTTGGGAGGGACTGATCCAATCTCTTGCTCTGTCTGGGTGGCCACATGACTCAGGCTTGGACATGTTGGCCACATGTTGAGGTTAGGTATAGTCATGTGACTGAAGCCATGTAAATGAGCCCCTGGAGAATTTGGGGGAGCTTCAGGGAAAAGGTTTTAAAAAATGTTTTGATCCGTTAGTAGTGTGTATAAAATATGTTTGGTCATGCTGGCAACTGCTATGCAGAGTCTAGGATTAAGACAAGAGAGAAAATTAAGGACAAATCCAGGAAGAGGAAAGAGAGAAACTGAGAGAAAGTCATCATTTGAGTCCCTAAATCCACAGTGTTGGCCACATGTTGAGGTTAGATATAGTCATGTGACTGAAGCCATGTAAATGAGCCCCTGGAGAATTTGGGGGAGCTTCAGGGAAAAGGTTTTAAAAAATGTTTTGATCCATTAGTAGTGTGTATAAAATATGTTTGGTCATGCTGGCAACTGCTATGCAGAGTCTAGGGTTAAGACTGGAGAGAAAACCAAGGACAAATCCAGGAAGAGGAAAGAGAGAAACTGAGAGAAAGTCATCATTTGAGTCTCTAAATCCACAGTGCCTAGAACAAGGCATCACTTACAACTTTTCATTAATGGGAGCCAAGTTCCCTTTGTGTGCTTAAGCCAATTTGATTTGGATTTCTGCCCCTTACAAACATGAGTTCTGAACAAGGGACTCAGCTACTGAGGTAGAAGTGTAATTATATAGCAGGGGAATAAATCCAACTTCTTTGTCTTGGCAAAAAACCTGTCTTGGAAAAAATCAGTGGATTTTCCTTTCCAAGTAGAAATGCAGTGCAATTCTAAATGGAAAGAAAATACCTAAATGAAATCCTTTGATTCTTTAAGCTTGAAGGGGAATATGACGTTCAATATATATTAATTGCTTTATATAGCCTTATTTAAAATCATTAATCTTCAGATATCAGAATCTATATAGATAAGTAAAAATGAAAAATGAGGGTCATTTCATGGCTCTTATTGTATTTTTCATTTTAAAAATATGGATATGATGATTAAATTTCTATCCAACTATTTAAAATATATAAAAATGTCCAAAATCAGTGTGAGTTGGAGCTGATATGCATCCCTTTGAAAAGTCAAATGATCATACAATTTCAAACCTTAGTTTCATGCCTAAAATATCATGGGAACAGCACTTCATGAAGAGGAATGCCCAAGTGTCTTATTAAACTGTTAGGTCATAGCACATCAAAGCTGGGATGTAGTGCAGGATCAAATGTAACACAATCAAATTGGCAAGCAATGAAAGTAACCCATAATTATGTTTCAGATACAAGGTGGAAATCAAGGTCTAAAATGACACAAGTTTCAGATAGAAGTCACTCAACAGTAAAGGGGAAAATAATTAGTGGGAAGCAGTATACACAGATGTGAGAATGCAAACTTTAGTTTTAGATATACTTGGATTCAGTCACTAGCTTCATTATCTATATAATCTAAAGTCCATGACTTCTACAAGTTACTTAATATTTCTAAGCCTCAATATCCTTATCTGTAAAATGGAGATAATAGAATTTATTTCATAAAATTGTGAGAACTAATTGAACTACTGCCATATTATTATTTGAGCTTTAAAACCATGAGACAATGCACATCAAGTGCTTAGCAAGGTTCTTGACCCAGAGTTAGCATTCGGTGAATTGTAACTGCTCTTTTATGATAATTATCATTATAATCATTATAATAGCATCAACCAATTCAATTCTAGTTTGCACAATAATTCATTAATGACCAGTCCAATTCTTGCTCAAAAGGTAATATTCATTTATGCACCCAGCACATGCAGAAGTAATATATTGGTTTGCATTCATATGTTTGCAACGCAGACACATAGTGTATGAACAGACCAGCAAGTTATTCAGCAGTTATAATGATGCTTATAAACAAGCTTTTGTAGTCAAACCCTGAGTTTTTATGCTGTCTTTTACATTGTATGTGATATGAATTTCATCTGAGGTTGCTTTTCTGGGGTGTCTAATCTTTTGGCTTCCCAGGGCCAGATTGAAAGAAGAATGGTATTGGGCCACACATAAAATACAGTAACACTAACGATAGCTGATAAGCTAAAAAAATCGCAAAATAAATCTCATATGTTCTCAGAAAGTTTATGAATTTGTTTTGGGCTGCATTCAAAGCTGTTCTGGGCCACATGCGGCTCGAGGGCCATGGGCTGGACAAGCTTGCTTTAAATGATATAGTGATTTCTGTCTGTTTACCATTCAGATTTCTTCTTATATTTTAGGATTCTTTCTTTAAGCCTTGGCATGGCAATATAAAAGAATTTAGCAGGCTTGGTGGGGTGGTTCACACCTGAATCCCAGCACTTTGGGAGGCTGAGGTGGGAGGATTGCTTGAGACCAGGAGTTTGAGACCAGCCTGGGCAATATAGCAAGACCCAGTCTCTAAAAAAAAAAATAAAATAAAAATAAACTATCTACGTAAAAAAGAATTTAGCAAAAGATGGGGTTAAGAAAGAGAAGAGTCATGTTCTAAAACATCTATCTGCTGTTAGATACAATTCCTAGAATAATGATTTCATTTGAGGTTCTTTTCTGGTACCACCTTAAAATATGCCATTTCACAATACATTCCTAACAACTCTAAGATAATTTTAAAATAGTGGCTGTGATTTGAAAATATAGAACTTAAAGATAACCTTTAAAAGGTAAACATTATCATTATGATTACTTGCAATATTTTTAACCTAAAAATTGAACAAGTAGAAAATTTCTGAAGTAGGAGTTCCATCTAAAGCAAAGTATTTTGATCTGTGGCTTGAAAGGGATTTGAAATAAATAAAGACTGTTTTTTTTAAAAAAAAATGAAGGTTTTTAATGGTTACAATTGAGTTAAATTGTGCTGCTTAATATATGGAAAGCAGTGGACTCTGGAGAAGTCCGTGGTCCATAGTCACTTATGTGAATGATGTTTTGACCTTGACACAGATTGGTAGAAATATTATACAAAATCTTTGTTTAGAAATGTGCTATTATTGTTATCTATAATTGGATAAAATTCCAGATGTTTCTTGTTCTTGATTTTACACATATGTTGCCATATATTATAACTAATTTGGTGACATAAAATAATTCTTTAATTAAATGATCATAAATTTTAGGTTATATGTAAAGTAATTTCAAAAAATTTAATGTTCTTAGGAGGCATTATTACAGTTATGTAAAGTAGATAACCAGATTTTAATGAATGTTCCCAAAGATATTGTACACTAATACATCCCAAATATTATTAGCATGTTATCTAGTTAAAACATATAGTTCTTATGTCCTGAGTTGTGATGTTTTCAAAATAAAATATTGTCTCAAGCATTAGAGACATTAGATTTTGATTTGCCCTGCACAATTTTTATGGCAAGAAAATGACCAAAATAGATGTGCTTGGCACTTTGAATAACAGTCAAGACATAATCACAGCTTAGAAAGGAATCTTCCACCAGAACCATAGAGAAATGCTGATAGTTATTTGATTTAGGGAAAGAGTTTTGCTTGTCAACATCCCATCCATCCTCACCACTTTGTTGTCTCCACAGCACTATGACTGGTGTGTTGTATCTCCCTCCATACTAAAATGCAAGCTTCTAAGGGCAGGGATTGTGTTTTCTTTATTTCCTGTGGTATCCCCAGTGCTTAGAATAGCGCCTGGCCCATTGTAGTGATCAATCAATCTTTTTAGATGAATATTTCAGGTATTAAGTTTTGGATGGAGGCGTGTCTTTCTTAGCAGTGGTTGAAAAACTAACTGTGGGTGTCTCAGTGAGTCTCAGGTGAGCAAAGTTAATGCTTGACCTGGTTTTTCTGTTTGTGAATAATTATAAAGAAATGGGGTCTCTGAAATTTTTATATTTTAAAAAATCTCAAATCCTGATAGGCTTTGAGAACACCTGTTCTATAGAGTTTAATACTTAATTGTCACCATAATATTTTATTTATTTATTTATTTATATTCAGTATTATTATTTTTTTGAGACAGAGTCTTACTCTGTCGCCGAGGCTGGAGTGCAGTGGCGCAATCTCAGCTCACTGCAACCTCCGCCTCTCTGGTTCAAGCAATTTTCGTGCCTCAGCCTTCAGAGTAGCTGGGATTACATCTTTCCCAATGACGTTGATGTGTAGAAGATGCCCTGAGGATGGTTCTGCCACAATAGATTGCTAGTATTGAGGAAGATAATCAGTATTGGTGCATTACCAAGATCCCTAGTGGCAGAGCAACCAAAAATGCCTTATTTCTGCATGGTCCTAATTTGTAAACTGGCAACTACTTAGCACTGCAACTACGCATTATGGTAATTGTAGAGTAATCTAGCACCAAATAATGACATGAAAGGGCCTTTCCAATATAAAGCCAAATGCTGAAGAGTTTAAATAACAAAATAGTAATAGTAACAGATTTTTTTTTGAAGTCATGTTTATTCTAGTTCATTCTATTCTTGGAGTCTATTCTAGGAGTTAATTGGCCTTACTTTATCTGAATATTGATTTTAATATTTACCCCTAAGGAATTTGGCCAAAGTATACATTTGATACCCTTCTAGTATATGAAAGTTTTAAGCTGGTGTTATATTACCTATTTTGCTTTAGAACTATTGCTAATAACGTTTTTATAACCCTTTTGACAAAGAACCAGTTTTCAAATAAGCTCTTTAAAAATCACTAGAATAATTGTTGGTTATATTCTCTTAATAATATTAGTATAGATGAGATACAAACTTATCTTTAGCAAAACTACATGAACTTATTTTTAGTCTTTGATATTTAAGTATGTTCCTGTATACCTTCCCCTATATTCCTCTTACCAGCTATTAAGACTTTACCATGCTATGGGGCTGGGTAAAGCCCACATGCTTTCCATTTTGCAGTTTGAACTCATAGAACCATTCAGGGCAATCTAGCTCAGCTCTGGATTCTCTGAGCTAGTATTGAAGTCCTTTGAGGAGGATGTCAAATATCAGTGCTGTTCTTCCTCTCTGTATACGTTGGCTGTTCACACTGACGAGAAGCTAACTTCTTCCCTGTGAGTTTTCCTCAATTAAATATTAGAGGCAGGAATGAAGCCTCTTACAATCTCCTTTCCTAATTAGAAAGGAACTGGCATATGTCTATGAAAGAAATAAAGCTTACCCTCCTTTCTTTGACTATATATTTTATCAATTTTATGGTGTTGTCTCTCTTATCTCCAGCGCAATTATAAAATTCGAGGAGATAAATTATTACAAATAAGTCCACTCTAAATATACAACCCCATATTATAAAACGATTGAGCAAGAAGTAAACTGTGCTCTATTCTGCTCACAGGAGATAGATTAGCTTGACCATTTTGAACGAGCCTTCTTGGAACAACCCCATTTGCCCTTGGATGCCAGCATCTTTTCCTGTGCCCAATAAGCAGCCAGTATGATGCAGAGTACACTAAAAATAAGAACTCTAGAATCAGATGAAATGAGGCCACTGCACTGTGAAAACTTAGAAAAGTAGAAAGTAATTTAGTTGTATTTAAATGTTCCAACTTTCTTTAGCTTTTCAGGTGGTGCTTTCTGGAATCTGAGAGCCGCTCTGGCTGTCAAGGTTTATTTTGGTTCTCTTTCTTCTGTTATTTCATAGCTATGCCGAGGAATTGCATATTTTCCAGAATTCCTTAAATTCTAGGGAAAAAATGAAACACATGCACCCTTATCCCTCTCTTAACTTCCATCTTTACTATGGGGTTTTCCAGATGGGGAATATAGGAAGTAATAATGAAGATGATACTACACAGCCACCGTGGTTAGTGGGTTGGTTGGAGATACCACTGTCAATTTCACTGCAGTGGCAGAAGATACGAATTTTGATCCTTAAACTAGGATCCATTTGTGCCTTATCCATGGCAAACTGGTTAATTTTGACATCACAGCATTCTGTAATATAAGCCTGGGGAAATTGGGATTCAATATGATTTATATTCCAATTGCATTCATTACTTCGGAATGTTTAATTGAATAATTTATAACAGATATGTAGAATTTTTAAATCAAATGTTACACATTAGTGGAAATTCAAATTTTATTAATAATACTTCTCTTCTAAGCAATGACTTGGCTAACTCTTCTGAATTATCCACCCTTACCCTGCTGAAAGAAATGTGATTACATTTGAGTTCCTTGAAAGGAAGCAACCCCAAAACACCCAATTAAGAAATAGAACAGAGTATACTAGAAGCTGGGAGGGGTAGGGGGAAGAGGGTTGATGGGGAGAAATTTGTTAAAGGATACGAAATTACTGCTGTGTAGAAGGAATAAATTCTAGTGGTCTATATCACTGTAGGATGACTGTAATAAACAATAATGTATTATGTAGTTTCACATATCGAGAAGGAAGATATTGAATCTTTCCAAGAAAAAGAAATGATAAATGTTTGAGATGATGGATGTGTTAATTACCCTGATCTGATTGCTATAAATTACATGATGAAAACATCACTACATACCCCATTAATATGTACAATCATTGTTCATCAAGTTAAAAAAATTTTAGCTGGGCACAGTAGCTCACACGATCCTCCTGCCTCAGCCTCCCAAGTAGCTGGGATTAGGCGTGCACCACCATGCCCAGCTAATTTTGTATTTTTTGTAGAGATGGGGTTTTCATCATGTTGGTCAGGCTGGTCTGGAACTCCTGACCTCAGGTGATCCACGCACCTCTGCCTCCCAAAGTGCTGGGATTACAGGCGTGAGTCACCATGCCCAGCCAAAATATTCTTCATATAATTGCTGAGAAAAGACATAGAGAATCCAGGTTTTATATATGACTCAGAAATTCCATTTCTAGGAATATACACAGGAGAACTAAAAGCATATCAACACAAAAAATTGCACATAAATGTTCATAGAAGCACAGTAGCCACAACATAAAAACAACTCAAATGTCCACTGACTAATCAATGGATAACCAAAATATGGTATGTCATACAATGGAATGTTGTTTAGAAATAAAAAGCCCATCAGTAATAGACTGGATAAAGAAAATGTGGCACATATACACCATGGAATACTATGCAGTCACAAAAAAAAAATGAATGAATGAGTTTATGTCCTTCGCAGGGACATGGATAAAGCTGGAAACCATCATCCTCAGTAAACTAATACAGGAACGGAAAACCAAACACCGCATGTTCTCACTCATAAGTGGAAGCTGAACAATGAGAACACATGGACACAGGGAGGGGAACATCACACACCAGGGCCTGTCAGGGGGTCGGGGGAAAGGGGAGGGAGAGCATTAGGACAAATACCTAATGCATATGGAGCTTAAAACCTAGATGATAGGTTGATAGGTGCAGCAAACCACCATGGCACATGTATACCTATGTAACAAACCTGCACGTTCAGCACATGTATCCCAGAACTTAAAGTAAAATTAAAAAAAAAAAAGAAATGAAGTATCGATGCATACTACAACACGGTTGAACCTTGAGAACAGTATGTTAAGTGAGAGAGGCCAGTTACAAAAACCATATATTCTATTATTCATTAATATGTAAGGTCCAAAATAGGCAAGTTTATTAAGATAAAGATAGATAGAAGTTTCCTAGGACTGGAGGGTGGAAGTGACAAGGAATGGATCAAGGTAATGGGTACAGAATTTCTTTTTGGGATAATGAGAGTGTTTAAAATTCAATTGTAGTGATGTTTGTACCACTTTACAAATATACTAAAAACCAATAAGCGTATATTTTAAATGAGAAAATTATATGGTATGTGATTTATATCTCAGTAAAGCTGTTACTTTTTAAAAATAAGATTTTAAAAGTAATTTTTTTAAAAAATGATCAACCATTTGTAAGAAATGGAATCCAGATAATTACCACTGGATCAATTTGCAAATATTTCTATTTGCACTAAAGGATCTTGTTGGCGATACTATGCTGAATGCTTAATTATGCTATTAGAAAGTGGTATTGTCATAAAGCAAGAACTTTTTTTTAGAAATTGTTGTATAGCACATTTGTATATGAAGAATGAAGTATTATTGCCTTAGAAAAGCTGACAATGTGTATCATGAACCCATTTCATTATTTTGAAAACTACATTTCGATCTTGTATTCATGCTCTAATTCACAAGTTAGAAAAAATTCATTTCATTGTTTCAGGCCTGGATTAATGAGGTTCAAAATATGTAAATGACATATTGAATTCCAAACCCAGTTATACTGATTCCATCTAAAATAAGGCATATTAAAATATTCACTTCAGTATGATCATGCTTTCTGCCAATGTGATTAGGAATTGGGACTTATGTGATAAGAAAACACATAGAAGAATGTGTTTCAGGGATATAAAAATCACCATTTATTCAAATATTTATTGAACATCCATAAAATTTGCCCTATGATGATGCTACATACTCAGAAAGATGAGAAAAGCAAATACGCTGTCTTTAGGGGCTGGTTGAGAAAGAAGGAAAGATAAAAGGATACACACATACACACACGTAAGAACACATATAAACACACAGGAAAATTACCACACAAACTTATAGGCAAATGCATACCCAGTAACATACACACACGAGAATATCAACATGAAACATATGTGTGGACACATGTGCACACACAAACAAAAACAAACAAAAAAAGGAGAGAAATAAATTGAAATCATTTCTCTTTGAGAGGGTCAGGGACATTGAAGAAGTACCTTGTGTCACACTGTTACAGTATAGAAGATGTACTTGGGAGAGTAGTGTTTGGATTTGGAAAAACAATCATTGAGAATCAAAAGATGGTTACATAAACCTAAACCAATAACAACAACAGTATGTTTATTGGGGGTGGGAGGGGATTCTTGACTATTAGTGAAAACACCTTGATATTAGTAGGTTTGAGAATTGATGTCATGTTTTTAGGTGACAGTTTCCATGATGAGATTGGATAAATTTAATAACAGCCTGGGATTGAAATTGACAAAATGTTACAATGTTAAATTAGGGTGCTAAATTCTTCTACCAAGACAAAACTGATCACATGAAGTCCAGACTGAATAGTAACAAGTGCCAAAAAGAAACAAGTGTGAATGATGAGACTGAAATGTGGTGTTGGTGGAGTGAGATTTGAAGATTTACTTTACTGATGCCATATGTCCATGTTGCTGTTTTGTAAGATCTGTCGTATACTGGGCATTGTGATACCTACTTTAAGCACATCATCTTTCCGAGATGTTAAGCTGTATATGGTAAGGATTATTACTCAACATTGGTAGATGAGAAAGTTGAAGTCCAAATAGACCAGGTATATGCTCATAACTAATAAATACTTGTGGCATAGTAAGGATTCAAACCTAATAAGATCTTGCCTCAAAATCTGTCCTATTTAGAAAATCTCATGGTTTCTCCCTGTTGCGAATATCTCAATAAATATATAATAGTCACTGTAACTGATTTCATAGTGAATTAGTCTTGATTTCAATTTGATTCTAGTCCATTATTGCCTCTTGAACCTCTTAGCATAACATCTTTTATAACGATGATTCCATAATAGTCTAATCATTTTTTATTTTCACATCTTCATGTTTAAGAATGTTTACTTGTCCTTGGTGAGATTTTTAAGGTTTTATGCAAATAAGCCCAATAAGATATGCTTCTTGGAACTCAAAACATTTGATTTCCTAATGGTCTCCATTTTCCATATATGAACAATGAGATTGGGCTAATTAAAGTTTTTCCCATATGACTTTATTGAGAGAGTAATGCTATTTAAAAAGAGGTGAGACACCAGCAAACATACCAAGAATGATAATAGCTACCTCCATTTCCCAGTATGGAAATATTAACTCATATTTCCATAGTGATTCTTTCTATCCTCAGTTTCAGTATGAGTTAATATTTCCATAGTGATTCCATGCAATGTGGCTTATTTGAGGAGGTGGTATGAGCACCGTTTTACAGGTGAGGAAACTAAAACTCAGAAAGGTTATGTGACTTTTCAGCATCACACAGCTGGGTAAACTAATTTTGAAAATTCACACAGTAGACCAGGGAAAGCTAACAGATTATAAGAGTTTAGGGAGCTAGAAAAATCATTTTTCTTATCATGTGACTTTGATATTGTCTACTTTCTCATCTGTCAAAATCTGCTAAATTACAAAATCTAAGCAAACATGTAAAAGTATATTACTTATGCAAGGTCCAATTTTGTCAAATATTCGTAACCAAGTAACACTCACTGGATTTCAAGTATATGTGGAATTGATGAATTATTGGTATCAGAGACTGTGATCTACGTTTGCATTTTCTTTAATCTGAAGAAAAGTATTACATTTTTACTTGATGCTGTAAGACAAAAATAAGCTGAAACATGGTATATTTGATATGCAATTATGTGTTAATAAGCCATCCTTAAAATGTAAATGTAATGTATCTATCTCAAAATGATTTACTCAATAAATATTTATTACAGACCAACTGTATTTCAGGCACTGTGATAGACATACATGAGTAAAGCCAAGTTTTAAAATAATGATAATAGATACATGCCCTTTTAATCGCTGTGGCAGAGACTGGTTACCTTTCACCCAATCAGTTTCCTCTTTGTCCCAGATACACAACTAGGCTACATTTCCCAGTCTCTCTCACAGTTATTGCCAGACATGTGACTGAATTCTGGCCAGTAGGAAGTTCTTGACAGCACTGTGCACCCCCTACTCTTCTTGCTCTTCACTTTCCCGGGGATGATCTTGGAGGCCAAGTTTTGAAGATGGCAGAGTCACAAAATGGAAAAATCCTGAGTTCCTAAAACTCTGCTTGGTCTAGAGCGGCCCATGAATCAGGAGATCCTTATGGACTTTATATGAGCAAGAAATAAACTTCTATCTAGTAAGCTATTGAAATTCTGGGTTAGCTTTTCCTGAATTAATAGAATCTCTATTAAAGCAGAAGTTGTATATAGAAGCTGATAGAATTTTCTAAACTCCTTTAGATCTGAAAAGATAAGGAAAAAGTTTCCTAAATAGGTTAAATTTGTGACATGCGCTTTCTTTATGTAACAATATATATTAAGCTCATAAAAATGCTAGACATTGTGCTGTATGCTGGGGATAACCTTAAGAATAATACTGGGGTCAGGCACAGCAGCTCAAGCCTGTAATCCCAACACTTTCGGAGGCCAAGGCAGGTGGATCACCTGAGGTCAGGAGTTCGAGACCAGCCTGGCCAACATGGTGAAATCCTGTCTCTACTAAAAAAAAAAAAAAAAAAGCCAGGCGTGGTGGCAGGTGCCTGTAATCCCAGCTACTTGGGAGGCTGAAGCAGAAGAATTGCTTGAAGCCGGGAGGCATAGGTTGCAGTGAGCTGAGGTTGCGCCATTGCACTCCAGCCTGGGCAACAAGAGCAAAACTCCATGAAAATAATAATAATAATAATAACAATAATAATATTGATAAAATCCCTTAAATCCCTTAACTCATGGAACTTGCATTCTTTTTTTTTGCATTAGATTTATTTTATTTTTTATTATTATTATACTTTTAGGATACATGTGCACAATATGCAGGTTATTTACATATGTATACATGTGCCATGCTGGTGTGCTGCACCCATTAACTCATCATTTAGCATTAGGTATATCTCCTAAAGCTATCCCTCCCCCATGCCCCCACCCCACAACAGTACCCAGAGTGTGATGTTCCCCTTCCTGTGTCCATGTGTTCTCATTTTTCAGTTCCCACATATGAGTGAGAATATGCGGTGTTTGGTTTTTTATTCTTTCGACAGTTTACTGAGAATGATGATTTCCAGTTTCATCCATGTGCCTACAAAGGACATGAACTCATCATTTTTATGGCTGCATAGTATTCCATGGTGTATATGTGCCACATTTTCTTAATCCAGTCTATCCTTGTTGGACATTTGGGGTGGTTCCAAGTCTTTGCTCTTGTGAATAGTGCCGCAATAAACATGTGTGCATGTGTCTTTATAGCAGCATGATTTATAGTCCTCTGGGTATATACCCAGTAATGGGATGGCTGGGTCAAATTCTATTTCTAGTTCTAGATCCCTGAGGAATCGCCACACTGACTTCCACAAGGGTTGAACTAGTTTACAGTCCCACCAACAGTGTCAAAGTGTTCCTATTTCTCCACATCCTCTCCAGCACCTGTTGTTTCCTGACTTTTGAATGATTGCCATTCTAACTGGTGTGAGATGGTATCTCATTGTGGTTTTGATTTGCATTTCTCTGATGGCCAGTGATGGTGAGCATTTTTTCATGTGTTTTTTGGCTGCATAAATGTCTTCTTTTGAGAAGTGTCTGTTCATATCCTTTGCCCACTTTTTGATGGGGTTGTTTGTTTTTTTCTTGTAAATCTGTTTGAGTTCATTGTAGATTCTGGATATTAGGCCTTTGTCAGATGAGTAGGTTGCGAAAATTTTCTCCCATTTTGTAGGTTGCCTGTTCACTCTGCTGGTAGTTTCTTTTGCTGTGCAGAAGCTCTTTAGTTTAATTAGATCCCATTTGTCAATTTTGTCTTTTGTTGCCATTGCTTTTGGTGTTTTAGACATGAAGTCCTTGCCCATGCCTATGTCCTGAATGGTAATGCCTAGGTTTTCTTTTAGCGTTTTTATGGTTTTAGGTCTAACATTTAAGTCTTTAATCCATCTTGAATTAATTTTTGTATAAGGTGTAAGGAAGGGATCCAGTTTCAGCTTTCTACATATGGCTAGCCAGTTTTCCCAGCACCATTTATTAAAAAGGGAATCCTTTCCCCATTGCTTGTTTTTCTCAGGTTTGTCAAAGATCAGATAATTGTAGATATGTGGCGTTATTTCTGAGGGCTCTGTTCTGTTCCATTGATCTATATCTCTGTTTTGGTTACTGTAGCCTTGTAGTATAGTTTGAAGTCAGGTAGTGTGATGCCTCCAGCTTTGTTCTTTTGGCTTAGGATTGACTTGGCGATGTGGGCTCTTTTTTGGTTCCATATGAACTTTAAAGTAGTTTTTTCCAATTCTGTGAAGAAAGTCATTGGTAGCTTGATGGGGATGACATTGAATCTATAAATTACCTTGGGCAGTATGGCCATTTTCACGATATTGATTCTTCCTACCCATGGGCATGGAGTGTTCTTCCATTTGTTTGTATCCTCTTTTATATCATTGAGCAGTGGTTTGTAGTTCTCCTTGAAGAGGTCCTTCACGTCCCTCATAAGTTGGATTCCTAGGTATTTTATTCTCTTTGAAGCAATTGTGAATGGGAGTTCACTCATGATTTGGCTCTCTGTTTGTCTGTTATTGGTGTATAAGAATGCTTGTGATTTTTGCACATTGATTTTGTATCCTGAGACTTTGCTGAAGTTGCCTATTAGCTTAAGGAGATTTTGGGCTGAGACGATGGGGTTTTCTAAATATACAATCATGTCATCTGCAAACAGGGACAATTTGACTTCCTCTTTTCCTAATTGAATACCCTCTATTTCCTTCTCCTGCCTAATTGCCCTGGCCAGAACTTCCAACACTATGTTGAATAGGAGTGGTGAGGGAGGGCATCCCTGTCTTGTGCCAATTTTCAAAGGGAGTGCTTCCAGTTTTTGCCCACTCAGTATGATATTGGCTGTGGGTTTGTCATAGATAGCTCTTATTATTTTGAGATACGTCCCATCAATACCTAATTTATTGAGAGTTTTTAGCATGAAGCGTTGTTGAATTTGTCAAAGGCCTTTTCTGCATCTATTGAGATAATCATGTGGTTTTTGTCTTTGGTTCTGTTTATATGCTGGATTACATTTATTGATTTGCATATATTGAACCAGCCTTGCATCCCAGGGGTGAAGCCCACTTGATCATGGTGGATAAGCTTTTTCATGTGCTGCTGGATTCAGTTTGCCAGTATTTTATTGAGGATTTTTGCATCAATGTTCATCAAGGATATTGGTCTAAAATTCTCTTTTTTGGTTGTGTCTCTGCCCAGCTTTGGTATCAGGATGATGCTGGCCTCATAAAATGAGTTAGGGAGGATTCCCTCTTTTTCTGTTGATTGGAATAGTTTCAGAAGGAATGGTACCAGTTCCTCCTTGTAGCTCTAGTGGAATTCGGCTGTGAATCCATCTGGTCCTGGACTCTTTTTTGTTGGTAAGCTATTGATTATTGCCACAATTTCAGAGTCTGTTATTGGTCTATTCAGAGATTCAACTTCTTCCTGGTTTAGTCTTGGGAGGGTGTATGTGTCGAGAAATTTATCCATTTCTTCTAGATTTTCTAGTTTATTTGCATAGAGGTGTTTGTAGTATTCTCTGATAGTAATTTGTATTTCTGTGGGATCGGTGGTGATATCTCCTTTATCATTTTTTATTGCGTCTATTTGATTCTTCTCCCTTTTCTTCTTTATTAGTCTTGCTAGAAGTCTATCAATTTTGCTGATCCTTTCAAAAAACCAGCTCCTGGATTTATTAATTTTTTGAAGGGTTTTTTGTGTCTCTATTTCCTTCAGTTCTGCTCTGATTTTAGTTATTTCTTGCCTTCTGCTAGCTTTTGAATGTGTTTGCTCTTGCTTTTCTAGTTCTTTTAATTGTGATGTTAGGGTGTCAATTTTGGATCTTTCCTGCTTTCTCTTGTGGGCATTTAGTGCTATAAATTTCCCTCTACACACTGCTTTGAATGTGTCCCAGAGACTCTGGTATGTTGTGTCTTTGTTCTTGTTGGTTTCAAAGAACATCTTTATTTCTGCCTTCATTTCGTTATGTACCCAGTAGTCATTCAGGAGCAGGTTGTTCAGTTTCCATGTAGTTGAGCGGTTTTGAGTGAGATTCTTAATCCTGAGTTCTAGTTTGATTGCACTGTGGTCTGAGAGACAGTTTGTTATAATTTCTGATTTTTTACATTTGCTGAGGAGAGCTTTACTTCCAACTATGTGGTCAATTTTGGGATAGGTGTGGTGTGGTAAGAGATAGACAGTAAATAAATGAGGAAACAAATAACATAAGAGTTGATTACTATAATGCTTCAAAGAAAATAAAAGTGGTAAGGAAGTGACAGCTGGTCAAGGAAGATTCTGGAGAAAGTGATATTGAAACTGAGGATAGAAAGAAACAAACAATAGAACCAGAACAGGAGGCTTTCTAGAAATGTAAAATCACGAAGTCAACATTCCATTGTAGGAAACAGCTCCAATCCATTCATCTAACTGGCCCCTGACTAAATCCAAAAACTTCATTAATAATCCTTTGTCTGTAACGTGGCACAATTGCCTTTTTCAATAATGGCGTGTCAAACACAAGTTTCTATCCATGTATAAACACTTAAAACTAGTTTTTTTGATTAGCATAGTTTACTATTTTTAAACTCCTTAAATTTACCATGCTCAATATATTCAACTGGCTGAGACTGACAGGAAGACAAATCTGTTTAGTTATTCATTATTTACTTGACTATCATTGTAGTTAATATTCCTTAAAACATATTTAACTCTAAAGAGACTGAATTGAACAGAACTCTGGAAGCCACTTTTTCTGTGAAGATAATAAAAGGATACTCTTAAACTTACTGTAGCTTTGTTCGGTTAATAAAACTGTTTCTACACTAATTAGAAAAACTGTAGGAGCAACTTCCCAATCTTTCCTAGAAGGATATATAGAAAGGCATCTACCACTTCTCTCTAAGGCTGATTTTAAAAGTTCATATTAGAGAACTTGACGAAGAAGAGAGTATTGGATGGGTTTTAAAAATATAAAGTTATATTAAGAAATCTCACTTAGAATCACACAGGATGAGATTTTTAAGATATTTAAATAGATTTTCAATTTGCATATTCAATTAAAGATGCTACAAGAGCAAGCTTTTAATTTATGGATAAATGATTCTAGAATAGTCAAGTTGTTGGAGCATTTGAACATAATTTATAAATGAGGCGAAGCTCAGGTTTTGAGTGTGACATAGATACTGGAAACAGGAGTGAGAAAGGAAACAAGCCCAAGTTCTCTGAGTATGCGCTCCCAGCTTCTTTGCACCACACCATGTTTCTCATAATCACCAAGTGATGCTTGTGATTGTATAGAAAATGAGCATCCAGACCGGGTGCAGTGGCTCACGCCTGTAATCCCAGCACTTTGGGAGGCTGAGGCGGGTGGATCACCTGAGGTCAGGAGTTCGAGACCAGCCTGGCCAACATGGTGAAACCTTGTCTCTACTGAAAAACACAGAAATTAGCAAAAAACAAATACAAAACTTGGTGGCGGGTGCCTGTAATCCCAGCTACTTGGGAGGCTGAGGCAGAAGAATTGCTTGAACCCGGGTGGTGGAGGTTGCGTTGAGCCGAGATCAAGCCGCTGCTCCAGCCTGGGTGACAGAGTGAGATTCTGTCTAAAAAAAACAAACAAAAAAAGCATCCAATTTTCCCAAGGTTTTCTGTTTTTGTTTTGTTTTAATTGTATGATCTCACTTACTGAATATTCTTCATCTTGGTTTATTTCTGACTTAAAATTTTGGAAAGAATACTGTTTGCATGTGTATTGACACTTTAATCTCATAACAATATCAAAATAGAAAAACAAAATAAAAAGGGGTTTCTGGATTTAATTAATGGGTGTGATGCCAAGGTCCAATTGAGAAAAAAGTCAATATTATAATTTTAGTAATTTACACCCATAACATTTATTTCTTTTTGCTTAATATTTTATATATAAGCAGTTGATTAGAAAAATATTATATTGGAAAGTCAATGTCACTTTTATTGCAATAATTAATTTTTTTCCTTTTAAGAGGCGACTGGCTACCTTTGGATTTTATTCGGAATATTTTCTCACCGGGTCTGACACTGTCTTAGTTACATGTCTTTTGTCACTAATATCACTTACATATCTTATATAAATTAATATTCACAATAATGGCATAAATATTATCATTTTTACTTATATTTTGCAAATCAAGAAACTAAGGCTCAGAGAGGGAAAACACATTGTCCAAAATCACACAACTGTTAATTACTGGATCTCCTATTTGAACCCTAGCATTCTGAATCAAGAGCTTAGTCTCAATTACTAGGTAATACAACTCCCTGTATGGTTTCTGTTATCCCTACAGGGTCACTTATTAACTAAATAACCAGCTTGTCCTTTTTTTCCCCCTTCATTCTTTTTTTGCTTCATTCTCAGATATGTACAAACAGATAATTTAAGTTTCCTTGGTTTTAAGGAAGCACACAATTCCAACAACCAAAAAAAAAAAAAAATCAAAGAAATCAACAAAAAACTAACCAAGAGCTAAACAGAGATAATAAACGGCACATAATGACTATAAAATGAACAAAGAATTAAAATCATCTCTGGTTATTACTGGGATAGATTAATATATAGATTTCACCCAAAAAATGCCAAGAAGAATAAAATAGAAACAGCTAACAAGAAAAGTCTTGGAATTTAAAAATATGATTAAAAAATATAGATTGGAATGTAAAAATAATATAGATTGAAGAAATTTCCTAAGAAGTAGAACAAAAGACAAATGTAAAATGAAAAATGAAAAATAGAGGATTGGACCAGAAAATGAAATACCATATCTGATTACTTAGGTTTCCAGAGGGAGAATGGAATAAGCAGAGGAGGCAGAAGTAAGGAAAACAATAGAAGTGTTCAACAAGAAGATATTACAAATTGGTATGCCTAATAACACTGAAGAAAGGGCAGGCAAGGTGGCTCACACCTGTAATCTCAGCACTCTGCGTGGCCAAGAGGGAAAGATTGCCAGAAGTTCATGACCACCCTGGGCAACATAGTGAGTCCTTGTCTCTAGAAATAATAAAAAAAAAAATTAGCTGGATGTGGTGGTGCAGGATGTTGACCATGGGGAAGCTATAGTCCCAGCTACTTGCAAGGCTGAGGCAGGAGGTTCCCTTGTGCCCAGGAAGTCAAGGCTGCAGGAGCTGTGACCGCTATGATCATGCCACTGCACTCCAGCCTGGGTGCACTCTGCCTCTATAAACAAACAAACATAGTGAATGAATAAAGACTTTTGCTTGAACACACTGTTATTGTGAACTTTCAAATAAGATGAGATTCCCATCAACAGCACTATGTGCTTGTAAAAGTTACTAGGTCCACTACTTCAAAATATCAAGAGGATATTATTATCAAACTTAAATTCTATACCTAACCAACTGTCATTCAAATGTGAAGACAAAAAAAGATATTTCCAGTATGCAAGGACTCAAAGTACATTACAGACACTTTTTTTCGTGGAAGTTTTGGTAGATGTGTTTCAGTAAGATGAAAGGTTAACTCAAGAACCAGGAAGCTTTGAAATCCAGAAAGCACAGAAAAGCAACAAGGGGGATTTTCATGAAGAAAGCTGTAACCCTGCTCAAAAGTAATCAAGATTATAGTAGAAGCATAAAGGCTTCCAAGACAAAGGCCCCTGCGAAAAAGGAGAATAAATAGTAAGACGGAGAACTTGGTGAACTTTGAGAACACGATCAGGATTTGGTGGAGTGTAAAAAATGTTGAATAACTTTGAACTTCACTCTATTTAAGTCATTTAAACTTTAGGACATTAAGACATTTAAAAATTAGGACATAGCAATCAAGATGTCCTTCGATAGGTGTATGAGTAACTAAACTGTGGTATATCCAGATAGTGGAATATTACTCAGCACTAAGTGGAAATGAACTACCAAGCCAGGAAAAAAACACGGAGGAAAATAAATACATATACTAAGTAAAAGAAGCCCATATTAAAAGGCTACATACTATAGGATTCCAAATGCATGACATTGTGCAAGAGGCAAAACTATGGAGGCAGCTAAAAGATCAGTGGTTGCCATGGGCCAGAGGGAGGCAGAGATAAATAGGTGAAGCACAGAGGATTTTTAGAGCAGTGAAACTATTTTGTATGATATTAGAATGGTATACATGTGTCATTATACATTTTTTCAAACCCATAAAATCTACAGCAGCAAGCATGAACACTAATGTGTGTTGTAGTCCCTGGATGATAATGATGTGTAAATGTTCATTAATTGTCACAAATGTACCACTCTGATGTGGGATGTTGATAATAAGGAAGGCTATGTATCTGTGGGGGTAGGGAGTATAAGAGAAATCTCTGTACCATCTGCTCAATTTTTCTTTGAATGTAAACCTGCTCTAAAAAAGAGTTTATTAAACAAGAACAATAATAAAAATGTAACCACCAACAAAAAATAGGACATTATGGCAACAGAGAAGGAAATGCAGTCCCAGGGTCCTAACTGGTTATGTTATGGATAACATAGGTAATCTCTTTTTTCATATGTGTTTCAAACTAAGGAAATTTAAATCGTGACTGAATTTATCTGAAACATGAATCACAGCAAACTAATTTTAGGAAGTGATACTTTATGAAGTTTTCCTTTATTTGTGGGTAAATATAGTCATATTCCTATAAAAAATGTTTTCCTAAACAGAGTGATATGAGTAGTTTTAATGGTTTTCATCTTCTGGAATCAATAATTATGGCCAAATTCAGAACACATAACCACATCTCAGAAAGGAATATAAAATTTAAATCCAGACAACATAAACCTAAAGACACAGATAAAAGCTGAAACATAGGTGGTAAGCAGAGGCGGGTTAGGTACTGGGCTGAGAATGCTTATGTTATATTTCAAAATGTTGAAGTGAAGGCATACTCTGTGTAGGCTGATGGAGCACAAAATTTGAGTTTTAAGTATGTTGTTTAAAGTTCCAGGCAGGAACTAAAAAGTGATGTGTAAATAAATTGAGAAGGGAGATAGAGATAGTGTTGGAATATGTGAACTAAACTTTCAACTACCATAGCAGAAAACTTTATATGACACCTTGCGTGCACATGTAGACACAGCAATATAAGCATACAGTTTAGAGTTTTGCAGGCAACCGCAGGAAGAATCTAAAACCAAACAGCCAAAATGTTTGTATTTTATTTGAAGGAGAATATGGTAGGTGGGGAGAACTATGACGAGAGACTATTTGTTTTCATTATAAGCCCTCTGCAGTGTTGAACATTTTTAACCATATACATTCACTACTGTTAGAAGTAACAACAACAACAACAACAAAATACCAGTAGTTCAAAAACAAAGGTAATATCTTTTTTATATATATTTCAAACCAAGGATATTTAAATTGTGACTGAATTTATCTGAAAGATGATTCACAGCAAACTAATTTTAGTAAGCGACATTTTATAAAGTTTTCCTTTATTTGTGGGTAAATATAGTCATATTCCTATAAAAATGTTTCTGGTAGCAGAAACATAGGCATCCAAAACTTTCCATTTGTGACTAAATTTAATATGTTTTAAAACGCTTGCAATGTTTCTGTCTTGCCTTTGTGTTAAAGTTTTCTTTAAGGTGTGTAATTTAATTTAACATGCATGTGTTTCAGATACTGTGTACAAATGATGAAAAAGATGGCCATTTCTGTTTTCTGGGATGCACAGGCATTATATTGTGATGTCACTACGTCAATAACAGGGTTAAAGTATTCAAAGCACTGTGTTCTGAGATATCTGGATATTGTGATAAGGCACAAAGAATGAAAGAGTAAGAGAAAGAAAAGGAATGAGGATATCTCTGTTGAATTACAACGGGATACTTGCAATTATGAATGTCTCAGTTCTTCCAATAAGAAAGGCCTGACTTAGGGGTAAAATGAAAATGAAGTGAAATAGACAGGGTAAGCATAACTTGACATCTGCTTCTTATCTTTCCTTTCTTGAATACTTTAAAGAAAACTCAAATTATTACATTTTCTTTTTTGAGACAGAGTCTCGCTCTATCGCCCAGACTGGAGTGCAGTGGCACGATCTCCGCTCACTGCAACCTGGGCCTCCTGGGTCCAAGTGATTCTCCTGCCTCAGCCTCCCGAGTAGCTGGGATTACAGGCTTCAGCCATCATGCCCGGCTAATTTTTGTCCTTTTAGTAGAGACAGGGTTTCACCCATGTTGGCCAGGATGGTCTCAAAACTCCTGACCTCAAGTAATCCGCCCACCTCGGCCTCCCAAAGTGCTGGGATTACAGGCATGAGCTACAGCTCCCGGACAATTTTCTAATAGTACCAATGACTGACAATAAATACCTCAAAGATGTAGCAGAAAATATACTTTCTCACAGTGATGTTTAGGCTGCAGCAAAGTATCTTGTGATGAATAGTGAATTCAATGTGTATAATTATCCTCTGAAGGTCTCCATATCACTGACCATAACATTAAAATATATATGGCAATCACGTTACCAAACTATAGTTGTAACTATATATCTATTAACATATGCCTGACATTTGGTGGCATTTTGTCTATAGTGAAGGCGATTTCACATGGTTCTAACTAAAGTTTAATTTTCTTTAAACTATTATTTGAAATAACATATTTTAAAACACTGTCAGTTGTAAATATATTATTATTTTCTTCAAGTTCATGTAAGTATAAGGGGAATGTAATAAGTAGCGGGACCCCAGGTAGAGGGTCATAAAACAAATCAACCCATATTTTAACTTTTGTGGAGTGATTTATTATTTAATACTTTTTAATCTTCATTGCATTTCTTTGATAATCATATTTTCAGCATACTTTTCATAAGATTAAAAAAGTATTCATACTTAGATTTAGTAAAACCTAATTTTAAATTGATAATTTATTAGAATTTGTAATTTATAATTTAGCAGAAATCCAGTATTTTAAAACGCTCTTATTTGAAAAGAGAAAATGCATAGAATCTTGGGATAAAAATAAATTGCATTAAACCTGTGTTAATCTAATATTTGAAGCATAAAGATCTTCAAGAGGAAAAATTCAATAGAATGTGAAAGTCAGCAAGAGAAACATAATTACACAGGATGTTGGCTATCATTGCTTTCATTTTTTAAATTTGTCTAGTTATCTTATATTATGTTTATGTAGACCAAATATTTTATGACAAGTGCCCTTACCATTATGTTACTAATGATAGTAGTTTAAAAATGAAACTCTATGGATCTGTAATAATCCAAAGGGATTGTCTGATGTTAATTTTGAAAATTGCCTCTAAAATATAGTTACGTTCAAATATGCCAGCCAGATTATAATAGCACATAGATTGTGTGTGTGTGTGTGTGTGTGTGTGTGTGTGTAGTGAATATCTGCCCAGAATTCATTACTTCTTCTCTATTCATTTTTACGAAAATATTTCTTGCCACACTTAGTCCCAATGTGTCTAAATCTATCCTGTCCTGACTCTTAATCCCTAGAGTTGAGCAAATAAACCATGTCTGGCCAATCAGCTATAGGGATTGTTTAAGTGCCTCAAACCAAGCCAATGTGACACATTCAAGAAGTTTTGATGTTACTAGAGTAAAAAAAAAGTGGTGTGTCAGAAAAAAAACTGATGGTTGGAAAGATAAGATGAGCCTAAATCTGTTGGTTGTACACTCTAAAAATATAGCCAAAAATTGAGTCATGAGAGAGAGGTAATCTTCGTAACATTGTTTGAGCTCCTGGACACAGCTGTGCCTGAAGCCAGTGCTTCACTAGACTTTTCATTCTACACAAGTAAATGCTCTTTTAGCTTTTGTTAATATGAGTATGACTAGATGAATAATATATGACTCTGAGTTTACCTGAAGGTAAGGGGAAACATAAAAATAAAGTACCAAAATATAAAAGGATATAAATGATTTGGGTGTAATAATCACTCCATTTATGGTTAAAGATTTTGAGGCTCAGGGAGTTTAAGGTGCCATGGCAAGGGTTAGAACTTTCATACGTTTCCATGGGTTCTACCCTATTTCCCCAATAAAACATGTACCTTCCCAGCAAGAATTCCTCATTTCTATCCTACAAATATTTAGTACAATCCAGTCTTTCCCAATTTTCACCAATATGCAAATTGAACGTACTGAAGAAATGATACTGTGCTGCCTTCGTGCTCTGAAAAGTAGAGAGGACGAAGAGAAAATTAGAAAATACAAACTCTGCTCTCATAAGAGGAATTCATATTTTGTGAGCCAAGTAGAATTTAATGGCTCTATAATTTTTTGAACAATTACCCACATTTGCTCAATTTGAATGCTAATAATTTATCTTTCTTCCTTATAGGTTATATCATTTATCCAACCAACATTCATTCATTTATCAGAAAATGTATTGAGTACTGTCTTCTTGGGAACACGAGAGGGCATTTCATGCATTGATGGGAAAATACCACAATGAGATAGCAATAGCAAGAAGGAAAAAAAAATCACACACTTTTATAGAGGATAATAAGATCCTACATGTGGAGGATGTCTTTCTCAATAAAAAAGCCTCTGGACTATCTTCTGACACAGAGTTCTCCATGATTTCTGCTTGAGTGAGCCTAGCATAGAAAGCACATTGCCCTTCCCATAGTAGATGCACCAAATGGATATGTTGGATAATTGATGAAAATTCACCAATGGCGTCAAGTTAGATGCATCCCTGTTGGCCTGTGTAAGGGGTTCTATTATAGACTGAATGTTTGTGTCCCCCCAAATTCATATGTTAGAGCTGTAAGTCCGATGCGATAATATTTGGAGATAGGACCTTTGGAAGGTAATTAGGTTTACATGCAGTCCTGCAGGTGAGGCCCCCATGATGGGATTCTTGATTTTATAAGAAGAGGAAGATAAACTAGAGCTGGTGCTGCCTCTCCGCCATGTGAGGACACAGGGCAGCTGTCTGCAAGCCAGAGAAGGGCTCTCCCTGGTACCTTGATCACAAACTTCCCCATCTTCAGAACTGTGAGAAATAAAAGTCAGCTTTTTAAGCCACCCAGGCTATGGTATTTCATTACAGCAGCCCAAGCTTAGACAAAGTATCATTTCAAAAGCACGACCTCTACATCCCAATTACACAGGATTACTAATAGATCCATTTTCAGTATATGATTAATTCCCTCTTTTCCAAATCTTGTGGTCATCTCTCCCTCTGGCCACTTAAAATGATCATTAGTATTTGTTAATCATGTACCAAACGTATAGAGGAAAGAGAGAATTCTAGTTGCACAGAGCTTGACACATAATCAGGGTCTTAAGAGAACATCTACTTTAGTTGTATCATGTTCTCCCTTGGAATACATGGGGAAAAATGTCTTTAGGAAGGAAAGATCAAAGGAGTCTGTTGGTAAAATGATATTCTAACCAGCCTCTTTTGGGAAGTCAGTTTTATAGATTCCATAGATTTAGAAGATTACCATTCTAAGGGCTCTGACTTGTATTAATTTTTCAGCCCAAGCATATAATTCTGTTGCTCTTCCAACTTGGAGCAAGCACAGAGATGAAAAAAAAACACCAATTGATTGGTTTAAGCAGCAGGGAGTTCTCGGATTGGCTCTGCTCCCAGAGAGTAACATTGTGTGACATTAGAAACAGAAAAATAGATAATAACAGGGATTTTAGATTAAAATATAAAGCTCACAGAGATCAGGAAATATAAGGGGAAAATGTGTGTCCACTCTATATCTTTTGCTAAAATGTCTCCTCAGTATCTATTTTGCCTGAGAACAAGGATAAGGGGCCAGAATGATGTTGCATGTAAAGCACATTAAATAATATTGTAGGTCTTTTGGGATGCGGATACTGCATGTGTTTTGCTTTCCAATTCTGCCTTGGGGATTGCTGAATTAGTCTGTCTTCTAAACAGACCCTTTTTTAAAAAAAATCCTTTATATTGAGCTGTCATCTACCTGTCATATCTTCCGCCCGTAGGTCTCATTTCAGCCTTCTAGAATCACTCAAAATATATCTAAAACACCTGCACATGCCTGCATTTGTGCATTTCAAGACAGTTATCATTCTCACAAACATCTCAAATGTCTCCTTGGGTCATCTGCAGTAAATCATTTTCAAAATGTTAGAAAATTTTGTAGCATATTTTTTTCTGTATTGCATTTCATTCAAATCAGCAAAGCAATTTTTACTTTATACACACACACACACACACACACACACACACACACACACTTGCTGAGGACACAAGTAAAAATGTTCCCTTTTATTCAAGATGATGATAATAATATTAACATTAGTAGCAGGATGACCAAGTGCTCTAGTTTGTATGGAACTGAGGAGGTTCTCAGGATAATGGACTTTCGGTTTTAAGGCAAGGACAGTTCTAGACAAACCATCCTAGTTTGCCTGGAATTCTAGGAATTACTGGGACATAGGATCTTCCATGCTAATGCAAAAGAAAATCTCAAGCAAACTTGGAGGAGTTAGTCTCCCTAATTAGCAAGTGTCATTTGTTGATTGCTCACGGTGTGGCAAATGTTGTGCTGGGTTCCCTACACGTGTGCTCTGCAACCTTCTCATTAACCATAAAATGCAAGAATTGAAAAATGGCTAGCCATCTGCCACTGTTCATGTGCCCAAGTCCATAGTAGAAAACTGTGGCTGGGAAGTGAATGCACAGACAAGGACTCCTTTTCCTGGCCTCCTTGCTTCTAGGTGTGATATGTGACAATGTGACAGTGTGTCACAAACAGAATTAGAGAAGTGGCATGCACCACATCGGGGCCAAAGCTCTTAAGAATTGAGGCTACTGTCATCATTCCTTCTTTTTCCTCCCACTGGCTGGATGCAGAGACTCTGGGTGTTAGTGGAACCACAAGATCCAAGGAGCCTGCCTGTCCACAGGATCACCTGCTGGATGGTTACATGAGAAAGAAATATAAACTATTGCATTAAGATGTTGAAATATTGAGGTTTATTTGTTACAGTTGCTAACATATTGACAAATTTAGCAGTTATTCACATTGTATTAGGAAACTCTAAGTCAGAAGGGTTAAATTATGTGTCCCAGGCCAGGCACCTAATAAATAGTAGAGTCGGATACAAGCCCAATCAACCTGTGCTTTTCTCAAACCCACTATCTTACCTCTCATGGACTGAAAGTGATAAAGTCGTTTATCCACATTGTCTCAGGCCAGCTGTACTTTGAATCCCCAGATTTCTTTGACTCTAGATTCTACAAACACTTTCCATTACAAATAGAAACCACTTGAACCAAAAGTCTTCCTTAGTCTGAGATTTTGCACTTTTAAACAATGGCTTAAGAAAATTACATAATAAACTTTAAGGCTATATCTCCACTGATCTTCATTTGTTTTAATGTACAACTTTAATAGAATGCATTGTGGTAGGAGACATGCTGGTTGCCTTCTAAGATTTCATTCTAACTGATTTCTCTACTTCCTTTACAGTTTTGTTCTGTTATTTTGTAGTTCCTTTATATATAATATGAGGATCCTATACAAATAAATGCCATTATTTGCTACCCAGAAAGTAAAGGAAGTAATTGAACATTTCATTTCCATCAGGTACAAGAACACTAGCTAAAGGTTTAAAGCAGTTCTTCACTTGAAGGTTCTCAAACTTTTCTAAATTAACATTAAAATATATTGCAATTTTCCAAATTGTGTGTGTGTTTGTGTATGTGTGTGTGTTTGTGTGTGTCTGTTCTTGCACTGCTATAAAGAAATACCTGAGACTGGATAAGTTGTCAAGGAAAGAGGTTCAATTGCATCATGGTTCTGCAAGCTGTACAGGAAGCATGGCAGCATCTGCTTCTGAGGAGGTCTCCAGAAGGCTCCCAATCATGGCAGAAGACAAAGGGGGAGTGAACTGGATCACATGGTGGGAGTAGGAGCAAAAGAGAGGGCAGGGAAGTGCAACACATTTTTTAACAACCAAATCTCACAGGAGAACTCAGTATTGTGAGGACAGCACCAAGGTGGATGGTGTTAAACCATGAGAAACCATCCTCATCATCCAATCACCTCCCGCCAGGCTCCATCTCCAACACCGGGGATTATAATTTCACAGGAGGTTTGGATGCTGTGGTGATTAATATTGAGTGTCAACTTGATTGCATCAAAGGATGCAAAGTATTGATCCTGGGTGTGTCTGTGAGGGTGTTGCCAAAGGAGATTAACATTTGAGTCAGTGGGCGGGGAAAAGCAGACCTACCCTTAATCTGGGTGGCCACCATCTAATTAGTTGCCAGCACAGCTAGGATATAAAGCAGATAGAAAAACGTGAAAAGGCTAGACTGGCCTAGCCTCCCAGATTACATCTTTCTCCCGTGTTGGATCCTTCCTGACCTTAAACATTGGACTCCATGTTCTTCAGTTTTAGGACTTGGACTGGGTCTCCTTGCCCCTCAGTTTGCAGATGGCCTATTGTGGGACCTTGTGATTGTGTGAGTTAATACTTAATAAACTCTCCTTCATATATATATATATATGTATATATATATATATGTGTGTGTATATATATATGTGTATATATATATATGTGTGTGTATATATATATATATATATATATATCTTTATTAGTTATGTCCCTCTAGAGAACCCTGACTAATACAGATGGGGACACAGATCCAAACCATATCACTGTGTGTGGCAAAGCACAGGTGAATATCTTTATATTATATAGGTATCTCCTACTTGTGTGGCTTATTTATGTCATTGCTTGTAGGTATGAGTGGCATTAAATAAAAGAACTCAATCTAGTCATACCTTCTCAGATTCATAGTTTGGAAGAACCAATGGACAAAAATATTAATCTTTCTGTTTTTTTTTAAGCACTTGATACTACCTTTAAGAAAAAATAAGCCTCTTGCTTACTTTTTAGGTCACTGTACTCTATTGAATACTTCTTTCTTTCAATAATATTTAATGTTTTCCTTAGCACTTGCTTGTGATTGTTCTTCACACCTCCTGAATAGTAATGATAGTTACTATTTCTAAGGGCAACATACAGGCTGCATGATAATCTCATTTATGCATCCTACAACCTTCAAATGTAGATTTCATAATCTCCATTTTACAAAAAGGTAACTTAGGCAAGGGGAGGTTAAGCAAAGCAGAGATAACACATAGCTTGTGCACAGCAGAAATAGGATTTGGATTTAGATCTTTGTAACTCAAAGCCCATACCCTTAGGCAGTAAAGAAGAGCCCTTTAGAAATTTTGATGGTAAATCTATCAGTGCTGTGTTAGTCACATCTGAATCCCCCTCAGCTTTAGCTAAGGAACTGTGCAAGCTGATCATTGGTAAAGGGGAATGGTTAGATTGATGAGTGGAAGGATGGACAGATGAATACACTGTCAATTGTCTAGGTGCAATGGTCAAGACTGTGTTTAGCTGGTGGAAACAATAGGAGGAGTGACACCTTAAACTCTAAAAGTCACTAATAAAGAGATTTTTTGTAAGATAGTATTTAATAATTTAAGATTATAGCATATAATTCCAAATTTTACCTAACTCTTTGTTGTTTCTTTTTTGTGACATTTTTCTTGGTTTTCTATATATAGTTCAGCCAAGAGTCAGATGAAATCCTTTTTGATGTAAAAATTTAAGTAAATGTTCATGAAATATTAATTTTCATATATTGTCACATAAAAATGTTGGTTTAAAAAAATCTAACTTTGCCATTGCTCTAATAATTATTAAATAACAATGGAAAGGAAGCTTCTGATTGCAAATTTTTGTATTGAGATGTGTAATTGACCAGTTTCTTGGCTGAAGTGAAGTTGATTAGAACTGGAATCAGAACTATGTGTTTGGCTTAAACTAATATTTTTTTCTTAACCTATCATCTCTCATGGTTATGTTATAGTATACGCGAGGTAAATTACTTTAGGAAACCTATGTGAGATGCTGTAGGTATCCTAAAATTAGAGTGACAATATGGAAAATGCTTCTACTCATTGTTAAAATAAAAGAATTGTTTCTAAAAAGTTAAGAGATCTGCAACTCATTGAGTTTATGTTGTAACAGTATTCTGCATGGAAAAAACAAACCTAACTAAACATAGAGAAGTTGAGATACAGTAAAGGTGGAAAACAAGAGATACTCTGGAGAGTGAAACATTGTATAAATGCTGGAGATCAGAATTCACATGTAATTCACAGTCAGTTTTCCCCCAACACTTACTCCACAGTCCTTTGACATTTAAACTGTAGGCTACACAGAAAGCCTGCCTGTGGGAACCAAGAGGCCTGAAACGGGAGCTCATCCAATGGCCAGTGGCAGATGGAATTAGAAATGGAGATATTTTGTGATTATTATAAAACAGAATGGGAAACATAAAATTGAACTGGCTCAAGCCTATGCTGAAAACCAAAGGCAAAGAAGTATCTACTGAGCGTATTTGTTGCCAACTTGTTTTGGTGATATGTGGAACTGTAATAAGTCAAGGATATTTTTCTACAGATTCCTGTATTTGTAATAAAATCAACATGTAGTATTTTATAATTTTCCCATGTGATGCCAGAGATTTCGAAAAAATAGACATTTAAAGTTTTTTTTGCCCTTGTCATTCATCAACAGTTGTTTGGTTTGGTTTGCTTTGGTCAGTTGGCCTTATATTAGAAAGTGTCATGGCAGAAAATAACATACCAATCCAAGTAAAATGTCTTTCTAATAAGTATTCCTTACAATCATTACGTTGTTTATGAAAGTAGGAGTAATTGATTCATGTGGGATTCACTATTAAACTTAGTACAAATTTAGACTCAAATGAATTGTTTTTCAGTTCTTATAGAAATGCACTATATAGTTTTTGAAATAAATCCCTAAGCTTTTCATGAGGATATTATCAGAGAAAATCAATAAAAGATAAGTAGATAATCATTAATATCATCAAAGGTTTCAAGTAGTATAAAGAATACAAAGAAGAGCTAAATATGGGATATCACATAATATTAATATTTAGTTGGCTATATAATCATTTCATATTTGATAATAGCAACATCAATATACCTGAAATCAAATTTATTCCTGTTTACCTCATTTTGTGAAACTAAAATTGTTATGTAAAATTGAGTTTAGAAATCACTTTTAAAAAACTATCAGGGCACTATTGTGTTATCACAATTGTAAAGCTTTTTTCTTGAGTACTCTTACTCTTAATTATGGAGTTTAAATATGGAAATTCATTATGGAGTGCTAATACTTCTTATCTTGGGAAAGGCAAGGATTTGCAACTAGATTTGGAATTAAATCTTGAACCTGATATCCGCAAGATCTATGATATTAGAAGTGAAGAAAATAATGACAAAGATAGATGTAATAAAAATTTAGGTATTTATATGCATTATTTGTGATAGTCCTGAGAGATAGATATTTTAAATTTTCATTTTGTGAGTACAGAAACTGTACGTCATAGTGGTTCAGTGATTTATAAAAGTTTGCTCTTCTAATAAGTGCATGGCTGAGATTAGAACCCAATTGTGTCTGGTTTATAAAGCCACTGTTTTTTTGTTTTTTTGTTTTTTTTTCACTAAGTAAGGATGTCATGCCAAATAAAGATGCTGTTGGACCTCCAAATTTAACCAAAATAAATTACAAGCACATGATTACAATGGATGTTTCTCTGCTCTGGGTACATTAGTAGTTTTAGCTAATTAGACTGTTAATTTTCATGCTAACTATGCACAATCAGGAAATACTGTAAGTCAATTTTCTTGAGAAGTCTAACTCTTAGTATCCTTGAAGTCACCTTTGGTTAACTGATGGAGTAGAAAGTAGTAATTGGAGTTCAATCTGTCTGATTCCAAAAATCTGTTCTCTTCTAATAACCATGTTATAATGCCTTACAGTTAAATATGTGAAATATGAAGCCAAATTTTGTGGGTTACTATTGTTAAACTGTGACTTGAGATTCTCCCAAGAGGCTTGCTGCTCCCAGATGTCATATGGTAGATGAAAGCAGGCAATTCTTTGTTCTGTTTTCTATTTAGATTCAGCATCCATAGCTTTATTTCTTTATGGTTCAACAATGACATTTTATTACAAGCTGTGTTCATTTATTTTATTGTTTCTTTGATCCATTTAATAGAATTTTGGCTATGCAATTACCAAAAACATAAGAAATTATAGACTGGTTTTAGTTATTAATGAAGTATATAATTTCTACATTCCATTATTTTTGCATCCCTTGGGATTATAATTTTGTTTTATTTTGTAAACACTATCCACAAATATAAAATTTTCAGCTATACACAGATGGGTAGTATCTCATGTCTTCATTATCACTGGGAATCATGTGGAATTTGTTTTGTAAAGAGACTCAATAGCCAATTACATTATAAGGGTAGGCAGTAAGGGACTTACTTTTTATTTCAGACAACTTAATTACAAGACTTTGTGTCATGGGATGCAAAGTATTGGAAGGAGCATCACTCCCCACATTTAAAACAAAACAAAAAGAGTCAGACTAACTTTAAATGCATGACTTTTAAAAAGTCAGTTGGCAGAGCACCCAAATGACCCAAAAGTTTAAGGACAAATAAGGGAAATCGATTTGTGCACTTGCTCACTGGAGGTAAACACCACCTGATACTGACAAGAAGAGGTCAGGAAGAATAGTTGACAGATGGGTGAAAGCTGAATATGAGAATGCAGGACAGGGGACTATGGGAACCATCGTGGGCTGTAGACATTGGCAGAATCCAAACCTTCTTGTAAGAAATCCCATCAGGTTCACATAGGAAAGACTGAAAAGAGTCCGCGGAGATGTCATTGTGGGGCAGAGGGAACAGAATACACTGTCTTCTGAAGTGCATATGAAAATATAACCAAGATAGACACTAAACCACAAAATTAACTACAAAAATATTTAAAATAGGCCAGGCGCGGTGGCTCACGCCTCTAATCCCAGCACTTTGGGAGGCCGAGGCGGGCGGATCACTAGGTCAGGAGATCGAGACCATCCTGGCTAACACAGTGAAACCCCGTCTCTACTAAAAATACAAAAAATTAGCCGGGCGCGGTGGCGGGGGCCTGTAGTCCCAGCTACTCGGAAGCGGAGGTAGGAGAATTGCGTGAACCCGGGGGGAGGAGCTTGCAGTGAGCCGAGATAGGGCCACTGCAGTCCGGCCTGTGCGAAAGAGAGAGACTCCGTCTCAAAAAAAATAAAAAATAAAAAATAAAAAAAAAATTAAAATAATAGAAACCATACCAAGTATGGTCTTGTACCATAGTGGAATTAAACCAGAAATTGATAAGAGAAAGATATCTGGTAAAATATGAAGAAGGAAGCATATTTCAAAGAGAAATTCTAAAGGAAAATTTAAAAATACTTGAGATCAATGAAAAATTTTAAAGATATAGCAATATGTGTAGGATGTAGCTAAAGCAGTGGATTGAGAGGGATTTCTCTCATTTAAAGTTTAATTTAGAAAATAAAGATTAAAAAATAATAATCTGTTCCACCACAAGAAATTAGAAAAGGAAGAGAAAGTTAAAGCTAAAGTAATCAGAAGGAAGAAAATAAAGCAAAAATCAGTAAAATTAAACACAAAAAATACAATAGAGAAAATCAATGAAAACGAAAACTAAAAACTGATTTTTGTAATGATGAATAAAATTGATAAGCGTCTTGTCAGACTGATGTGGAAAACACAGACAGAAGACAACAATTATCAATGTTATGAAAGAACGAGGACATATTACTATAAGACCCCACAAACATGAAAAGAAAAATAAGGGAATACTATGAAAAACTCTGTGCCCATAAATTTGACCACTTAGATGAAATGAACAAATTTTCAAAAGACACTACCTGTGAAAACTCACTTAAGAAGAACAGATTGTATTAATAGTGGTTTATATGTGATTGAAATTGAATTTTTAATTATAAAGCTCCAAAACAGGTAATGAAAGCTCAGGTAATTTTTATGGCCAATTCTACCATTTCATGAATAAATGCTATTGATTCCTCAAAATCCTTTCAAAAAACAGAGGAAGGAAAAACTTCCCAGTTCATTTTCATAAGACTAGCATTTACGTAATATCAAAATTAGGAAAAAACGTTATTATAAGAAAACTAGAGACCATATCCCTCATGAATATAACTGTAAAGATTGTTAACAAAATATTAACAAATCAAATCCAGCAAAACATCAAAAGGATAATGCATCACATCCAAGTGGGTTTTATCCCAGGAATGTAACCTAGCTCTACAGTAAAAAATCAGTGTAACTCATATTAACAAACTTAAGAAAAAAATGATAATGCCAATAGATACCAAAAACATGGAAAAAAATGATATTCATTCATAGTAAAAACTGGGGAAACTAAAAATAGAAGAAAACATTATCAACTTATCAGAATAAATTTACCATGTCAGAAGACCAAAGCTAAAATCATACATAGTAATCAATGACTGAATTTTTCCCCCAAGATCTGACAAAGGCAAGGCTACCTCGTCTCATGATTTCTATTCAATTTTTTTCCTCTTTTAGTTTCTGTGAGGATTAAATTATATCAAATATGTAAAGCTATTGTACCCAGTATTTTCCATGCTCACAACCCTAGGGGAAACTTCTTGCCCAAATTTCCTGCTGACAGAGACTAGTCTGCCATTTTAGAGCAACATGGCCTCCTGTATTTGTTTTGGCCCTGGGAAGCAGTCTGCCTGGAACCAAGGAGGAGGAGATGGCACTGGTCCCTGGGCCTATGCCTTCTGGGCCTGTGGCAAAATCATTTATTTGCACTGTAGCCATTACAAGATAAACAAATGAAAGGCATACATACAACTTAGAAAAGAAGAAATAAAATCGTCCTTGATCACAAATAAAGTGATTGCCTTTGTCAGGCATCCCAAAGATCTACAAAAAAGCTCCCACAACCAATGAGTTTAGCAAGTTTGTGGATAACAAATCAACATATTCATATCAATTGTATTTCTATATATTAGTAATGAACTACTAAAATATAAACTTTAAAAATCAATAACATCTAAAAGAGCACCAAAAAATGAAATAGTTAAGCATGCCTCTAACATAATATGTGCCATATCTGTACAGTTAAACCACAAAACACTAATAAAATAAATCAAAAAAGGCCTAAATAAATGCGGAGGTATACCATGTTCATGGACTGGATAATTCAATAGCATTAAAGTCATTTCTCCCCAGTTCAATCTATAAATACAATACAATTCTAATAAAATCTCAGCAGACATTTTTGTTGTCACAGATATTTACCAGACTGGAATAGCCAAGATGATTTTGAAAATTATATGAGTAGCATGATTTATAGTCCTTTGGGTATATACCCAGTAATGGGATGGCTGGGTCAAATGGTATTTCTAGTTCTAGATCCCTGAGGAATCGCCACACTGACTTCCACAATGGTTGAACTAGTTTACAGTCCCACCAACAGTGTAAAAGTGTTCCTATTTCTCCACATCCTCTCCAGCACCTGTTGTTTCCTGACTTTTTAATGATTGCCATTCTAACTGGTGTGAGATGATATCTCATAGTGGTTTCATAGCTGCTATAAAGACACATGCACACGTATGTTTATTGCGGCACTATTCACAATAGCAAAGACTTGGAACCAACCCAAATGTCCAACAATGATAGACTGGATTAAGAAAATGTGGCACATATACACCATGGAATACTATGCAGCCATAAAAAATGATGAGTTCATGTCCTTTGTAGGGACATGGATGAAATTGGAAACCATCATTCTCAGTAAACTATCGCAAGAACAAAAAACCAAACACTGCATATTCTCACTCATAGGTGGGAATTGAACAATGAGATCACATGGACACAGGAAGGGGAATATCACACTCTGGGGACTGTGGTGGGGTCGGGGGAGGGGGGAGGGATAGCATTGGGAGATATACCTAATGCTAGATGACACGTTAGTGGGTGCAGCGCACCAGCATGGCACATGTATACATATGTAACTAACCTGCACAATGTGCACATGTACCCTAAAACTTAGAGTATAATAAAAAAAAAAAAAATAATAAAAAAAAAAAAGAAAATTATGTGAGTAAAACCAAGTCTAACATGTTTCATCAGTTATACAAAGGATTATTTTAACTCTAATTGGAATTGATAGGACTTTAGTCCAAGTATGTTGTAAAATGAATTTTAGAACTTAATGTAAAACTACAGTAATCATGACTGTGGTATTGCTGAAAAGGTGGACACATAAATCAATGGAAAAGAACACAAATCCCAGTAATAAATTTATACAAATAGAGTCATTTGATTTTTGACAAAGGTACAATGAAATTGAAAGGAAAATAAGCATATTTTAGCAAAAAAATAAACTGAAAAAACTTCAAAATATACCGAATTTATCTGAAATTCAGAGAATATTTGTTTTTGAATTATTGACCTGGATCCAGGGTATTTTAAGAAAGCTTTTGTCTTTCATAATCTGAAATAGAAGAATAAAGAATTTATGAAAGTTGAATCTCATTAGAAAAAATAATTAATTTGTGTAATAAGAGCTTCCATGGAAAATATCCAGTATCTTAAATAGAATTACTTATAAAGTTCCAGAGACACATAGAATACTGTGTGCACAAGTGGGAAAGGCTTTAGATGGGTATGTTTTATTGCACCGATATGTAGGGAGAACTGTTTTTGAAAAATCTGAGGTAGGAGTAGTTAATAGATGTACACTCCCCCTAACCTCAGTGCTTCTTCCAAAGCAAGGGATGTGGGGAGGAGGGCAGACAGGTAGGGAGGAAAGGAGAGAGAGAGAGGAATTCCTTACCACAGAGAAATTGATCAGAAAATAATGCAGTTTTCTGCCTTTCCTTCCTCCTCAATACTAATATCATATTATTTTTAAAAGGCAGAAGGATACTAAGAAATATAAAATAATACCCTGATACATTTGATTTTCAAAAACTTTCAAAAGTGGCGTGAATCTACAATGAGAAAATATTTAAATGATCAGCTGAATTGATGAAATCAGTATCACATGGATATAACTTATATTCTGCATCATTTCTTGGAAACTCTTATTAGTACAATTAGATCCTATTTCATAAACATACCCTCTTGTATTAATTACAGTTGTATTCTGGAAAAGAAGCTCTGATAAATCAACTTATATAGGAGTCCATTTTACTGTCATTTCCGATAAAGGCTATTAAAGAACACTTGGCAGTTTGTAGTTAACGACGATATTAGAAGCTAGAACAAGGTGTGTTCTTTTTTTTTCTTACTTTTGTTTTTTAAATAACACACAATAATTGTGCATATTTATGGGATGTAGTGAAACGTTTGAATACATGTATACATTGTGTAAAAATTAAAAATTTGTTTGGGCACAGAGGCTCATTCCCGTAATTCCAGCACATTGGGAGGCCAAGTGGGAGGATCGCTTGAGGCCAGGAGTCTGAGACCAGCTTAGGCATCACAGTGAGACCCTGTTGCTACAAAAAAATTTAACATTTAGTCAGGCATGGAAGATTACTTGAGCCTGAGAGGTCAAGGCTACAGTTAGCTGGGATGGCGCCACTGAACTCTAGACTGGATGACAGAGCAAGACTGTCTCAAAAAATAAATAATAAAAAATAAAAAATCAGGGTATTTAGCATATCTATCACATATATTTATGATTTCTTTGTGGTGAGAACCTTAAAAATTTTCTCTTCTAGCTACGGATAGATATAGATATAGATAAAAATATAGATATAGATATGGATGGATTTTTTTTTTGAGACGGAGTCTCACTCTGTTGCCCAGGCTGGAGTGCATTGGTGTCATCTTGGCTCACTGCAACCTCCACCTCCTTGGTTCAAGTGATTCTCCCACCTCAGCCTCCCAAGTATCTGGGATTACAGAAACCCACCACCACTCCCTGTTAATTTTTGTATTTTTAGTAGAGACAGGGTTTCACCGCGTTGGCCAGGCTGGTCTCAAACTCCTGACCTCAGGTGATCCACCCAACTTAGCCTACCAAAGTGCTGGGATTACAGGTGTGAGCCACCACACCAGGCGTTAATATTTTGAAAATACACTACAATATTTTTAACCCCCTGTGCAATAGAAAGCCAGAAGTTATTTCTCCTAACTGTAACTTTGTACCTGTTGATGAATCTCTCCCAATCCCCACTTCCAGCCCACTGGTTAACCTCTGATAACCACTATTCCTTCCTCTACTTCTGTGAGATCAACTTTCTTAGATTCCACATATGAGTGAGATTATGTGGTATTAGTCCTTCTATGTCTGGTTTATTTCACTTAACATAATGCCCTGCGGTTCATCCATGTTGCCACAAATGACAGAATTTCATTCTTTTTTAATGGTTGAATAGTATTCTATTGTGTATAAATACCACATTTTCTTTGTTCATTCATCTGTTAATGGATACTTACGCTGATTTCATGTCTTGGTTATTGTGAATACTACTGCAATAAACATAGGAATGCAGTTATCTCTTTGACATACTAAGATATCTCTTCCACAAAGATATACATTTCGCACAGATATCTCTTCAACAATCAATGGTGTAAAAATACAACCTAAAGAATGAGAGAATATATATATGCAAACTATGCATTTCACGAGGGGTTAATATTCAGAATATATAAGAAACTCAAACAACTGAATAGCAAAAAAAAAATCATCCTAATAAAAAAATGCAAAAAAAAATCTGAATTAGTATTTCTCAAAAGAAGACATATAAATGGCCAACAGGTAGATGAAAAAATGTGCAACATCAGTAATCATCAAGGAAATGCAGATCAAAACCACAATGAGACATCGTCTCACCACAAATAGAATGGCTATTATCAAATAAACAAAAAATAATAAATGCTGGCAAGGATGCAAAGAAAAGGAAACTCTTATACACTGTTGGTGGGAATATAAGTTAGTACAACCATTATGGAAAACAGCATGGTTGTTCCTCAAAAAATTGAAAATTGAACTACCGTATGATCCAGCAATTCCACTAGTGGGTATATGTTCAAATGAAATGTCAGAGATGTGTTCTTTTAGCTGTTTTCTGTGCGGTCCTGAGTTCCACATAGAGGATTATTAGGGCGCCCGATGTAGAAATCAAAAGAAATGGATAGAGCTGAGTGCAGTGGCTCATGCCTTTAATCTCAACTACTTATGAGGCCAAGGCAGGAGGATCACTTGAGGCTGGGAATTAGAGACAAGCCTGAGCAACATAGGAAGATTGTGTCTAAAAAAAAAACAAAAAAACCAAAACAAAAACAAAAAAATGGAGAGAGAGAGGAAGGAATAGCAGGGGGGCTCTGTTCATTGGCTACAACCAACGAGAATACCAGTCTTATCTGTTTTATATCTTAAAACTGTTTAACTTCTTAATTGTGTTATTTGTTTTCTTGCTATTGAGTTGTGTGATTTCCTTGTGTATTTCGGATATTAACTTTTTATCAGATATATGGTTTGCAAATATTTTCTCCCATTCGGTGAGTTGTTTCTCTATTTTGTTGATTTTCTTTCCCTGTACTGCATAGGAGCTTTTTAGTTTGAAGTAATCTTCATTTGTCTATTTTTGCATTTGTTGGCTGTGCTTCTGGGGTCATAGCCAAAAAAAAATCATTGCCCAGACCCATGTCGAAAAGCTTTCCCCATGTTTTGTTCTAGTAGTTTTACAGTTTCTGGTCTTATGATGAAGTCTTTAATGTCTTTTGAGTTGACTTTTGTATAATGGTGTGAGAAAAGGTTCTAATTTAATTCTTCTGCATGTGGATAACAAGTTGTACCAACACTATTTATTGAGGAGACTCTTCTTTCCCCATTGTGTGTTCTTGGCATATTTGTCAAAAATCAATTGACCATAAATGTGTGGATGCATATGTTAATTAGCTTGATTTAGCTATTCCACAGCATACACATATGTCAAAACATCATGTCTGACACCAGAAGTAGTACATAAAAATTTTTATTTGTTAATTTAAAAAAACTGGAAGATTTAAAATTAAAATAAATAGAGGGAGGAGAAGGTTCTACTGCTAAAGTGTTTTTAAAAAATTGTTGGCCTTGGTAACTATGAAGTTTTGTATATGTAACTTAATAACATACATTAAGGCTGAAGTCCTATAATTTCTGAATAAATTTAACATCACTTTGTATATAACTGAGAAAATAATCTCAAGTTGGTTTTACTCATACAATGCTGAATGAGTAGAAATTTCAAAGACATTTTCAAGTGAAGGTGGTCAGCAGCTGCAGAATTGGATCTACGATTTTACATTGAGTTAGTGACTGGCTTATTGTAACATTAAGTGATACGTGATAGACATTATGCATGAATAAATAAACATAGCTGGACATATTAATGGCTATAATGTTGTCATGGTATTATTTAAACAACATATAATAACAAATTATTTCAAACTTCAAGGTAAAATTACCTAATAGGCAGAGACATTATCGACAAGTCCCACTCAGCATGCACATGTGTAATATTTTTAAAATGCAATTAGAACAAAATTACCCTTAGGATATTGTGGAAACTCAATGTTAACGATGCTTGAAAAACAGAAAGTTAAAACAGTTATATAGAGAGAAGCCTAAAATGACTTTAAATAGTCATTGCAAATCTAGTGAAGGAAAGACAAAAAACATAATCTTTTTAAAGATGTAATTTTGAATCTTGTTTTACCCTTAATTATTTCAAGACAGACTCTAAAATTATATAATTGTGGATAGCTCTATGAATTTAAATAATATTTAATATGTTAGAGGAATTTAATACAGAAGGTCTGGATATTACTTAAAAAATACCCCACTCCTCCTTCCCCAAGTTTGGCTTGGGGGACAGAGAGTAAGGGAAAGTGTCTTTTCTCTATCTGGAAAGACCGAGCGAAAGTAAGTCCTGATTTTGCATTTCTCTCGGTTTTTATTTAATAATTATTATTTTTTACTTTTAGAAAGCTGCCCTGAATTTTGTCAGGCTGTAAGTCTGGTAAGGTGCAGAGTTTGCTTGATCTCTGTGATAGTTATTTGGATATATCTTTCCCGAATTAGAGCACCTTAGAATGGTTATTACTCAAGGGACTATGAAAGGGACAGTTCCTGCAGTGTCATTTTCCCTACCCCTTCCTTGGCTAGCTTACCGAATTTTATGTTCTGAAGAGTATCATTCATGCTGTCACTCAATAAATGATTATTAGACATGTATCATTTTCCAGGAATTGAACTAAGTATTTTTCTGTGATAAACTTAGATATTTATAAATCAGAGGTATTACATGTTGGAATCCTTTTAACATTTGCTGTTGTGTATTCTCTGAATTTTTAACCAGGGTGCTTAGCAAAGTTGGTACTATAGTACTCTCATTATCATTAGCTAGCATTTAGTGAAGACTTATTTTCTTCCCAGCACTTTGGTAAGCATTTTATGGTCCTTATTGCTTTCATCTGTTTGCTGATTTCTGTACCCTTTTCTTGGGAAAATAACAGTGATATGGTGGACATTTGGGTTATTAATGAGAGGAACCCGAACAGAATAAGTTGCCATTGATCCCTTGTGCAACTTTCCAGGCATTGTAATTAGCTGGCATTGACTTTTGAGTAAAAGTCACTGGTCATGACCACCTCATTCATTGTTTTTGTGTTCTAAATTAGGCTCTTATTCTCAGCACTGTCGGAGATTTGTTCTGGAAAATAGCATTAATTAGTCACTGAATAAAACCATATGATACAATTTGAGTCTAATGAGGAAACAGTGAGATTGTTTTTGGTGAAAAAAGTGAATCACTTAATATTAAAGCTCCTAGAGACTAATATTTGTGCCTTGGTAACCCTCACTCTGGCCATGAACAGGGTCACTTTTATAATTAGTAGACCAATGTGCCATCTGATAATTGGATGGTAGCAGGATAGAATTTTTATCTTTGCAATTCATTCTGTTCCTTTTACAACTGTGGTAAAATGTTATGCTTTGAATAAAGTCGTGGTGCAGTAATAGTAATGCAAAATTATGTGATTGTTTTAAAATGATTAGAAAAAATAATTTTAGGTAGTTGTCCATTGATTTAGTAATTGAAAGAATGGTGTAAAAAATAGCAATTAGCATAAAAAGATCAATTTGTTAAAAAGAGAGGGTGAAATTATCAAAATATAAAATCATATCATTTTATTATTTTGACTAGTATTTCATTCCAACCTTCTTATAAGTCTTCCAAATCTTTCTAATATGGCATTTTATCTCTAATACAAAGTAACATCTTGCTAATAAACAAAGTATTTTCTAACTAATGTGTTGACTTTGGGGATTAATGTTATTTTAAAAATATATCACAAAAAACAAAGTTTTAGCCGTAAAAGTAATCATTTTTTTTCTTTTCTCTCTTTCTTTCTTTTTTTTTTTTTTTTTTTTTAAGAGATGGGGTCAGCTATGTAGACCAGGCTGGTCTCAAATTCCTAGTGCCAAGCGATCCTCCTATCTTGGCCTCCCAAAGTGCTGGGATTACAGGCATGAGCAACAGCACCCAGCCTAGTCATAAGAATAATGGATTTTAAACAAGGTAAATTTCCACTGCAAAATACTTTTAAATGTTTATTTAGAAACTGTACTGTGTGTGTATGTGTGTGGAAATTTCTGTATAATGGATTTGGTGCAGTAGTTCAGAAATAATGCAATGGTCTTTCATTTTTCTTTCAACCTTACTAAAAGGAAATCCTAAAATTTAAAGAATAGTTAGAATATTATTTTTCAGAAAACTATGAGTCCTAATTATGATTTACTTGTGCGAGGTTGCATGTGGTGCCTTTAAGGCTTGTGTGCAGAGGCCCTGTATGAGATGAAGCATGAAGACATAGGGCAGGGGAAACATGCTGTGCTCCAGACAGAACTCTTCAGGGCCTTCATGAAGCCCCTCCTTATCCTCCTGCTCCGGCTGGCTCCGGGTTGTGAGTGGCTTCTACTTTGCTCCTCCACAGCCCTCTACCTCCCTCATAGGTATTACCCTGCCTGTTCTCCCTGCACCTACGCCACCCATTTCTATGTGAGTCAGTTTCACATGTCTCAATTTCACACATCACTCCCTGTTCCTAACTTCCAAAGTCTTTTTATCTGACATTGCTTACTACTCTGTAATTCCATTTGAGTTTTGGATGAATATCTTGAAGCTTTATGTCTGTGGTCAAACTCCTCTTTGCTCAAATGTCTTGCCTCCCTTTGCTTCCTATATATGTCGTTAATATCACCATTCTTCCAGGAACTCAGAATGGGTCAATGATCATACCTTCTCTTTCCCTATTGTCCTGCTAATTTTCCCAAAAACATCATTATCATTATCACTTATGTATACTTAGGTCTCTAACACAACACTTGTATAAGCACTGTAACAAAGAATCTTGTTTCTAGAGCACTTACTATGTCTAAGGTTCCGTATGAGGCATTTGAGTACATATTTTCTGGTTTAATACCACCAACAAACCTGTTAGAGCTTATTATCATTGTATTTATTATTATTCATGAGGAAACTGAGGTTGAAAACAGTTAAGACATGTGCCCTGGGTTTACATAGAGAGCTAGGAAGTGTCAGAACTAGAATTTGAACCTACTCAGTTTAATTCCCAAACCATCACTCTTGTTACACTCTCACTCTTGAATCTCTTCTCATTCCCATCCAGCTCCCTAAAGCACAGAAGTAAGTAGGTCACATTCAAAACACCATGATTCCCACAACCTATATCCAAATACCTTGGCAAGGGATTCAAGGTTCTTGAAGCTCAATCCTAGCTTCGGGTTGTGGTTTCCTCTCCAGTAGGTTTGACATGTGTCTGCAGGCCAGCCACCCCACATTCAAGTCCAGTCCCTGAAAGGGCTTTTTCCCTTCTGTCTGTGTCATCGAGCTAGCTGTTCTTTCTGTTTAGAATATTTTTCCACACTTTGCCTTCCTCACATAACTCTATTTCCTCTTTTTTTAATAAAAATCTATAAACAGAGAAAAGACAGATGATAGATAAATAGATAGATAGATCCAACAATACTAACAACATTGAATACTTTTGTGTGCCAAGCATGACAGAGCTGTCTATGGATTAACTTCTGTCATAGATATCATAGATATAATATAATCACTGCTTACACTTTCTCCAAAAGCATCAATTATTCTTTTATTTATGGTTTTATTGTCTTTACGCATTCTTCAGTTATTGCATTTTTTAAATTCAAATAAGTTTTATTTCTTAGAGAAGTTTTAGGTTTACAGAAAAATCAAATACAAAGTACAGAGAGTTCCCATGTACTCCCTATCCTCTCACATACATGCAATTTTCCCTATTTTAATATTTTGCATTAGTGTGGAACATTTGTTACAACTGATGAACCGATATTGACAAATTATTATAATGAAAAGTTCATAGGTTATGTTAAGATTCGAAGTTGTATAGTTCTAAGAATTTTCTGAAATACATCATGTTATTTATCTGCCATTATGATGCATATGGCATAGTTTCATTGTCCGAAAAATGAAACTGTTTTACCTGTGGTCCATTTACTCATCTCTCCCTGCCCCCCAAATTTTGGCTACAATTTTAATTTTTGTAATTTTTGTGTGCTGCAGCATCTTTGTAGTTAATTATATATTTCCCTCTTCTATTTTTGTGGTTTTTTTTTTTTTGAGACGGAATCTCGTTCTGCAGCCCAGTCTGGAGTGGTGCACTGGCATGATCTCGGCTCACTGCAACCTCCACCTCCTGGGTTCAAGCAATTCTTCTGCTTCAGCCTCCTGAGTAGCTGGGATTACAGGCGCACGCCACCACACCTGGCTAATTTTTGTATTTTTAGTAGAGATGGGGTTTCACCATGTTGGTCAGGCTGTTCTCGAACTCCTGACCTTGCGGTCCACCTGCCTCAGCCTCCCAAAGTGCTAGGATCACAGGTGTGAGCCACCGCGCCTGGCCCTATTCAAGATTTTTCAAATTAATAAGGAATGGCTTCTCCTATGCAAAATGTTGAGTAATTCCCCTGAGAAGAAACAATTTTATCTATTTAAAATTCTTTATCCTTTTATGTGTTCCTCTCTGTGGTATTCATGTTAATATATATCTATATTTACATCTCTATATGTACACATATTTGATAAATAATATATTAATGTATTATCATCTTAAACTGGAACATTATATGTAAAACTATAGATTGTTATGATTATTTCCATAGTTCCAGTATTTTGCCCAGTGGAAGCCACTGTTTTCATTTCATTTACATCTTTCCAGGCCTTTTCCGTAAAAATCTCTATACGTGTTACATGCCCATAAATGTATAATATTTATATGGTCATACTGGTTCAGCAGTTTGCTTTATTCATTCACACTCTGGCTACTGGGGCTGTTTTTGATTTGTTTACTGCTGCTATGCTATTCCGTATTGTGAATAATTCATGTTACTTTAGCCATTTCTCTCTTAATAAACATTTATGTTTCCTCCAAATTCTTATTTTTACAAACAATGCAGCAATGAACATCCTTACTCTCCAGTTTTGTTCACAGATATATGAATTTACCTTTAAAAAGTTTCTAATCCTCCTGATCAGTACATGACCCCTTCAAGAGCACAGTCTGTATCTTCTACCCTCCGTAGCACTGAGCTTGGTGTTTTCTATGTCATTGGTACAAAATGGTGTTTGAATAAATGATGGGCAAATGAACTTGTCAGTGAACTCAGGTATTAGTGGGAGTCTTTCAGCTTGCTTTGCCATGTGCTTCAAGGTAATTTAAGATCTTTGTAAACACTTGACAATGGCCGGACATTAAAAACATTATTTCTAGATCTAGAACTTAGCTAATCAAGGCTAATTTTATCTGCTTTCAGCTGTAATGCCCTTTTAAGTTTGTCTATATTTAAGTTAATAACATTACCTAATGTTAAATATTCCTCACTAATAAGAAGCTCTTCCATAAAGTAATTCTCTGATAAATTGCCAGCTTATTTTTACTATTGCCAGACTCTAGATGAGTAGGTGGCTGGAGAAGAACTGACAAAGATCCTCAGTAAGCTAACCTACTAGATAATGAAACATGTTTAGTAATTAATTATTAGAGGCAGAGCATGTTGCCTCACACCCGTAATCCCAGCACTTTGGGAGGCTGAGGCAGGCATATCACTTGAGGCCAGGAATTCTAGACCAGCCTGGCCAACATGGTGAAACCCCGTCTCTATTAAAAACACAAAAATTAGCTGGGTGCAGTGATGCATGCCTGTTGTCCCAGCTACTTGGGATGCTGAAGCAGGAAAATCACTTGAACCCGGGAGACGGAGGTTTCAGTGAGCTGAAATTGCCTCACTACACTCCAGCCTGGGCAACAAAAGCAGGACTCTGTCTCAAACAAAGTAAAAAATAAATCAAAAAAATTAGTTATTAGAGATTATCTTTCATTGCTTCATTCTTCCAGTGAGTTCTTTCCAGTTTTGTTTTTGAGAGTTATGAGTTAAAATCAAGTTGACTAGACTTCGTAATCATAAAAAATAAACATAAAATTGAAGTGGAACTACTGATGTGTTTAATTCTGGCTAGTTTGGTGGGCTGGTTGTGAAAAGTTCATTGCTCATCATTGTGTCTCTTCTTGTAGCTCCACTGAGAAATTTTACCCAGCAATATCACTGGCCTTTTGCATAATACCAAATAAATGTGATTCAGTACACTGAAGTCTTAAGCAAGACCAGCCAGCATCCACAAGCTCCCTGTCTTAGAGTGCAGAAAACAAGAATAAAAAGATTACTGCAATTTTCCTTCATTTATTCTGTAGTTTTTGTTAGTTACTTTCCTAAAAATGTATTATTTTTGCTATTTTGCTAGTTTTATCTTTTGATGTTGCTGTTACATCTCACTAATTCCATGAAATAATATATGAAAAAATAACTAGCATAGTAGGTGCTTTTAAAAATTGTGTACTTCTACCTTCAGATTAGGCTTCATATCCTTTATCTACAAAATGGAGCTTCCATGAACTGAACATACATGGAGTGACTCCAATATGCCACAGATTGTTTTCAACACTGGGTTAACAAAGGACCTAGACTCATGGTAAATTCTAGTGGTTAACTTTATATTCAAGATACGGTGGTAGTGATGATGATAGGGAAGATGATAATAAATAGGAGGAACAAGTGGAGTAGTAGAGGGAAAAATAATTCCATGTGAATTGTGAATAGTAAACACGATACTAGATTTTAAAATGCTCCATCCAAAGTAATGTTTTATTCCAAGCCCTATATACCGTGATTTAACAATGTAATTATGTCATCATTTTAAAACTATAGCTGTAAAAAGAAGCACTGCATAGTAAAGAATAGACAACAATAAGTGGTCTTTGTTGTGGTCCTTGCTTTGTCCTACTTGGTGAATAATTCTGGGCATATAACACCAGCTTTTGCACCATACTTTACCGATGAACATGCTGGTTGTAGTAGATCATTTATTTAAAGCAATATTAACACGTTACAGAAGTAAAACAATTTATGGTCCAGTAAGTTTGAAAATGTTTTATTTGTTTTACTATAGTCATCTCTTGGAGAGCTATGATGACTGTGAGCATTTTAAGTTGCTGAGCATAGTCCCACAGGACACAAACAGATTTCAGTTAGTTCAAGCCAAATTTCACCAGGACATTTGACTTGTAATCCTTTAGTCATGGGATTCCCATTCATCTTGCTGAACTGATGTTTTAGAGAATAGGGATTGGAAATGTTGTACTAGTAGAGTCCCTGTGACAGTAACATTTCCAAGAATCTGCATTTGCTCTCCACCTTACTCTTGCTACTTTTTATACTGGTTAAAATACCTAGCAAGAGATGTATCCATAAATGTCACAAACACAGAAATATAATACCGAATTAGATCCCATGCATTTAAACTACTTGTTCCCCAACAGGCATTGTAGTCTGTATCTTAAACGGTGATAAAGGAGGACAACTGTCATTTATGGCTACGTTAGATTGGTTTGATATGCCTTGGAGCAAGCAGGGCAGTGACCTCAGCACGATCAAAATTTTGTACTGGGTAATTCTTTGTTTGGGGGGCTTTCTGGTGTATTATAAAATGTTTATCATTATCCCTGGTCTCCACCCACTTGATAGGCAGGCTCCCTTAGTGATAACAATTAAAAATGTCTCCAGACATTGCCAAACGTTTATGGGTACCAAAATTGCCCCAGTTAGGAACCATTATGTGGGGACACCAATGTTAAAAAGCCATATTCAGTTGAATATGAAATATCTCACTTTAGAGCTGGCCCTAGCGTGGTAACGAAATTCCCCAGATGGCATCCTTAGTGGTGGCATTAATGACTATTTTTGCCAACTGTGTATTCTTACTTGGAGTTGTGCTTCTGTTTGTAGGTTGAGCTGTGGTGTTGACATTGTTGCCAATCGGATTTTTTAGGAAATGAAAAGCAGCTGCAATATTTCAAAGCATTGGACAGATTGGGCAGAGGGTATGTGGACAAATCCTATTAACAAATAACGGGATTTGTGCACACACAGTGCCTCCCACATTGCGCCTTGGAAATCGACACAAGACTATTTCCATCACTGTTGTGCATAAATCACAGGAATTATAATAAATTGGGAAAAATGTTCTCACACACATGGAGGTTCAACCTACATTCTGATGATGACTAGACATGTTGGATCATTTATCAAACAGGGTGTCTGATGAAACAAACCTTTAATCCAGTTTAGTTTTAGAGCAGACAGAAGATACTAAATACATCTGCCCTCAATTTGCTGTCTTAACCTTAAAAATAACAATAAAGTCATTAATTGGGTACTTTATGGGGAGAAAAACAATTTTTAAATAATAAAGTATGCTAAATGGGCCAGATGCCACTGAGAGGTTTGAACAGAATGACCTTTAAGTTTCCTTCCAAACCTCAGTGACTATGAATTTCCCATCTGGGTTCCTAGGAGATCAAATTGTCTCACACAATTAGTATCCTATTCCCTTCCCTTCTTGAGATGCTTTATGTATCCAGTTTTGTTTAAATTGATACATTCACTATGTAAAACTGCTACTTTTCCTTCAGTGTTTTTAGTGTTTTTTTATTGATGTATATACACAGTTGGTCTGTCGGAGAGCCCAATATCATAACTGTATTTGCTAAAAAAAAAAAAATACTAACATTGTGGGTTACTTGCAATGGGGTTAGCATGATTGAATTTTCTGAATATTTGGGATTGGAAATCCATATATCGGGTCTTTACAACTTGCTACAATGAGTCAACAAATTAGAAGCAGGGAAGTGTGGCTACACATTGAGTGATAGTTGACATCACTCAATTAAGGAGACTGGTTTAACAAAAAGCCATTTTCTGTGAGATACTCAAAAGCTTCTGACTACATCACACGTAGCATGTGTGTCTGCAGTCTGCTGCATTCTATCTTCCCTTCTCCCTTCCTCCATTTCCCTGTATTCTTTCCCTCTATTTCATCTGTCCTTTATTCATTCCACCATTCATTCAGAGGCAGTACAATAGAGTACAGCGGACTAGATAAGAGCAAAGACTATAAAGTCACATTGCTTGGATTCATACGCAGAACTCCTTCTTAGCCATGTGAACTTCAGCAACTTCTTGAACTTCTTGTTTGTGGTATGAGATAATAACAGTACCTAGCTCACAGCTGTGGAGATGGAGGATTTAATACACATAAATTACTTAGAATAGGGCCTGGCACATAGTAGCTTCTATAAAGTGATAGCTGTTTTAATTAACTGATTCATTCTTTTTTAGAAAACACTTTTTGTAGAGATGGGTCCTGCTGTATTGCTCAGGCTGGTATTTTTTTTTTATTTTTTATTTTTATTTATTATTTATTTTTTTATTATACTTTAAGTTTTAGGGTACATGTGCACATTGTGCAGGTTATTTACATATGTATACATGTGCCATGCTGGTGCGCTGCACCCACTAACTCATCATCTAGCATTAGGTATATCTCTCAATGCTATCCCTCCGCCCTCCCCCCACCCCACAACAGTCCCCAGAGTGTGAAATTCCCCTTCCTGTGTCCATATGATCTCATTGTTCAATTCCCACCTATGAGTGAGAATATGCGGTGTTTGGTTTTTTGTTCTTGCGATAGTTTACTGAGAATGATGGTTTCCAATTTCATCCATGTCCCTACAAAGGACATGAACTCATCATTTTTTATGGCTGCATAGTATTCCATGGTGTATATGTGCCACATTTTCTTAATCCAGTCTATCATTGTTGGACATTTGGGTTGGTTCCAAGTCTTTGCTATTGTGAATAATGCCGCAATAAACATACGTGTGCTTGTGTCTTTATAGCAGCATGATTTCTAGTCCTTTGGGTATATACCCAGTAATGGGATGGCTGGGTCAAATGGTATTTCTAGTTCTAGATCCCTGAGGAATTGCCACAGTGACTTCCACAATGGTTGAACTAGTTTACAGTCCCACCAACAGTATAAAAGTGTTCCTATTTCTCCACATCTTCTCCAGCACCTGTTGTTTCCTGACTTTTTAATGATCGCCATTCTAACTGGTGTGAGATGGTATCTCATTGTGGTTTTGATTTGCATTTCTCTGATGGCCAGTGATGATGAGCATTTTTTCATGTGTTTTTTGGCTGCATAAATGTCTTCTTTTGAGAAGTGTCTGTTCATGTCCTTCACCCACTTTTTGATGGGGTTGTTTGTTTTTTTCTTGTAAATTTGTTTGAGTTCATTGTAGATTCTGGATGTTAGCCCTTTGTCAGATGAGTAGGTTGCGAAAATTTTCTCCCATTTTGTAGGTTGCCTGTTCACTCTGATGGTAGTTTCTTTTGCTGTGCAGAAGCTCTTTAGTTTAATTAGATCCCATTTGTCAATTTTGTCTTTTGTTGCCATTGCTTTTGGTGTTTTGGACATGAAGTCCTTGCCCATGCCTACGTCCTGAATGGTAATGCCTATGTTTTCTTCTAGGGTTTTTATGGTTTTAGGTCTAACGTTTAAATCTTTAATCCATCTTGAATTGATTTTTGTATAAGGTGTAAGGAAGGGATCCAGTTTCAGCTTTCTACATATGGCTAGCCAGTTTTCCCAGCACCATTTATTAAATAGGGAATCCTTTCCCCATTGCTGGTTTTTCTCAGGTTTGTCAAAGATCAGATAGTTGTAGATATGCGGCGTTATTTCTGAGGGCTCTGTTCTGTTCCATTGATCTATATCTCTGTTTTGGTACCAGTACCATGCTGTTTTGGTTACTGCAGCCTTGTAGTATAGTTTGAAGTCAGGTAGTGTGATGCCTCCAGCTTTGTTCTTTTGGCTTAGGATTGACTTGGCAATGCAGGCTCTTTTTTGGTTCCATATGAACTTTAAAGTAGTATTGAAACCTTGTCCTCGAGTGATCCTCTCTCCTCGGCCTCCCAAAGTGCTGGGATTACAGGTATGAGCCATTATGCCCAGCCCCATTCATTCTTAAAGCGATTTACATGTACCATTGTTCTAAGCCCAAGAGGTATAATATTCATGGCCAAAAAGTTTTTGTCTTTGCTCTCACGGAGTATGCAGTTTGGTTGAGAAGATACATATTATACATACAAACACACACAATGAAATAAGATCTCTGAGGCTGAGAAACACCATCGAGCTAGGAGAGCATGTAACAAAGAAAATGACTTAGATAGTTGTGGGGTTTAGTATGAAGGTGGCAGTTTAGTGGGTCGGAGGAAAATGGAAAAGTTTTTACATAAGCACAGTAGAAATTAAGAGGGTGAATGTAGTTGGTGATGTGGTGCCCCATCCGGATCCTATCACCCAGCTGTTGTGAAGGTTCGCTGTGGACAACTCGCAGCTACATTCCTCTAGGAATCACACTGGGCTGAAAGTAGCCACCTTGCCCAGAAATGCCTAGGACATTGCTCCCTCCCCACCCACAAGGATGGACCACTGATGTGTGAGGGGATGATAGGTATTGTTGCCCTTGCCTAGTGGACCAATTCTGTGGAGCCACTATGTTCCAGCTCCTGTGGACTGACGTTGAGGCTGGAACTCAGTGGAACCCATGCTCTTGCCTATTCAACTTCCACCACTCCCTCATACATCACTCACTCAAAGTCCTTGTTTCAGGCAATGTTGTTAAGGAACTCCACCTAAGAGAAAATACACTGCAAAATCTTGGAGAATTGCCTGGCAGCATGGATAGCCTTTTGGAAATTAGTGATTATGAGTATGTAATGATTCAAAGCTGTCTAGTATAGGTCTATGCTATTATTGCTTGGCTTTTTAAAATGCAGACCCAGGGATGGATTGGTTAGGATTAATTTAGGGTGAGGTTTTAGCAGACAGATATGATGAAAAGGTAGAAATGCAATGGAATATGGGTATGGACTTAAGCATTTGAAAATAGTAGCCCATGGTATCTTAAGTGAATAAGGAAAGATGTCAAGAATAAAAAAAGGACTAAGCAGAAGGAAAAATCAGAGGGTGAAAGGGTGGGAGGCCCCAACATGGTCAAGAATTAACCAAACACCACATGTTCTCACTCATAAGTGGGAGTTGAACAATGAGAACACATGGACACAGGGATGGGACCATCACACATCAGGGTCTGTCAGGGGCTGGGGGACTAGAGGAGGGATAGCATTAGAAGAAATACCTAATGTAGATGATGAGTTGATGGGGGCAGCAAACCACCATGGCATGTGTATACCTATGTAACAAACCTGCACATTCTGCACATGTATCCCAGAACTTAAATTATAATAATAAGAAAAAAGATAAAAGCAAAAAAAAAAAGAGAGAAAGAAAAGAAAGAGTAAATCAACAATTCAACTGGAAGGAGTGAGGCAGTAGCAAAAATGTAACATATATGAATTTATGATTTAAGAGGTAGCTCGGTTTCTGGTAATGGCAAGTTCCCAGGTATAGCTTTTTCAGTGTATCTCTATAACAATATCAGGATTTAGAGGTCAAGGAATTCGGAGATCAGGTAATTAGATGGGTTGTCTGTGTGAAGGTTGAAGACACTAGGGTATTGATGAGGCTTTGGGCTAGTTCCAAAGTTCAGGCAAATGAATGGAGACTTTAACACCCTATTGTCAATATTAGATCAATGAGACAGAAAATTAACAAGGGTATTCAGGACTTGAACTCAGCTCTGGACCAAGCAGACCTAACAGACATCCACAGAACTCTCCACCCCAAGTCAACAGAATATACATTCTCTTCAGCACCACATAGCAAAGTCTCAGGATACAAAATCAATATGCAAAAATCACAAGTATTCGTATACACCAATAATAGAGAGCCAAATCATTAGTGAACTCTCATTCACAATTGCTACAAAGAAAATAAAACACCTAGGAATACAACTTACAAGAGACATGAAAGACCTCTTCAAGGAGAGCTACAAACCACTGCTCAAAGAAATATGAGAGGACACAAACAAATGAAAAAAAAATTCCATGCTCATGGATAAGAAGAACCAATATTGTGAAAATGGCCATACTGCCCAAAGTAATTTATAGATTCAATGCTATTCCCATCAAGCTACCATTGAATTTCTTCACAGAATTAGAAAAAAACTACATTAAATTTCATGTGGAACCAAAAAAGAGCCCATATATCCAAGACAATCCCAAGCAAAAAGAACAAAGCTGGAGGCATCACAATACCTGACCTCAAACTATACTACAAGGCTACAGTAACCAAAATAGCAAGGTACTGGTACCAAAACAAGTGTATAGACCAATGGAACAGAACAGAGGCCTCAGAAATAACACAACTCTACAACCTCAAGGATCCTCAAGGATCTAGAATCAGAAATACCATGTGACCCAGCAATCTCATTACTGGGTATATACCCAAAGGATTATAAATCATTCTACTATAAAGACACATGCACACCTATATTTACTCCAGCACTATTTACAACAGCAAAGGCTTGGAACCAACCCAAATGCCCATCAATGATAGACTGGATAAAGAAAATGTGGCACATATGCACCATGGAATACTATGCAGCCACAACAAAGAATGAATTCATGTCCTTTGCAGGGACATGGATGAAGCTGCAAACCTTCCTTCTTAGGAAACTAACACAGAAACAGAAAACCAAACACCACATATTCTCACTTATAAGTGGGAGTTGAACAATGAGAACATGTGGACACAAGGAAGGGAACATCACACACTGGGGCCTGTAGGGGGCTGAGGGGCAAGGGGAGGAAGAAAATTACAAGAAACACCTAATGCATGCAGAGCTTAAAACCTAGATGATGGGTTGATAGATGCAGCAAACCACCATGTCACATGTTTGCCTATGTAACAAACCTGCACGTTCTGCACATGCATCCCAGAACTTAAAGTAAAAAAAAAAAGAGAAAAAAAGAGAAAGAAATTACTTCCAAGCACTTTTGCATTCTCCACTTAGCAGAAGAGAAGCTATTATTTATTAAATACAGGAGGTGCTATATGCCTTCCTCACATCCTATGAAGTAGGCATTCTAGTAAAGGAATGAAAGATGAGAGATTAAACTGACCTACCCCAAATGGATTAATGTAATTTCATTAGAAATAACCTGATCATCTTGCCAGGATGATTAAATGGTCCTTTCTCTGTAAGGTTATTAGGTTGTCTATTTTGGTTGTTCTGTGTCATTTTTTCCCACAGTGTAATGACTTTTCCACTTCATGTCTTCTTTTGTTTAATATTTCCTTGAATTTCTGTTTCCAAATGCACCACTGTGCTTGTCCATCCCTCCTCTTCAGGTGCTGGTCATGTGCAGGTGTAGCTCCTTATTTAGTTATCTCTGAAAATTTGTATTAATAAAGAATGAACAAATCAGGCAAAAAAAAATAAACTGGATTTAGAAATAAAAAATACTGCTTAAATATTTTGTAGAATATCCCTCAATTTGTGTTTGTCTGGCACTTTCTCATAATTAAGCTGAAGTTCCATAACTTTTGGAAAGAGTACCATGATGCACCATGCAATGGCATTATAGCAGAGGGTAGATAATATCATTATTCTTTATTACTGCTAATGTTAAGCTGGATTACTTCATTAAGATGATTTCCAACAGGGTTTTAAGCCAGGATTTTAAACCATAAAGTTACCATTTTTCCCTTTCCATATTCTACTTTTTAGAAGTAAGTCCTATATGAAGAGTTTAGCGTGGCATATGATAACTAAAACTTCCTCAGTTCATGTCTGAAGTATCGTTACACTTCCTGGAGGGAAGTGTTTCAAAGAATTTGTGGGCATATGTTAAAATAACCACAGTAATGAATACATACATCGAGTATATTTTAAGGCCACAAATTTTCCTGATTCTCCTTGAGGTTTTGCCCAGCAATTTTCATATTCACTGGTAGACTTTGCTTGCAGCAATTATTACTATTGTAATCATCTTGGTGTGTTAGTTTTGCTATAGAGGAATATCTGAGGCTGGGTAATTTATAAAGAAACAGAGGATTTATTGGCTCACAATTCTATTTGCTGGAAGATTGTGCATCTGGTGAGAGCCTCAGGCAGCCTTTACTCATGGCTGAAGGCAAAGAGGAGCTGGTGTGTGGAGACCACAGGGGAAGAGAAAAGCAAGAGGGAGAGGGGAAGGAAGTGCCAGGCTCTTAACCCTAGAAGAAAACTTAGGCAATACCATTCAGGACATAGGCATGGGCCAGGACTTCATGTCTAAAACACCAAAAGCAATGGCAACAAAAGCCAAAATTGACAAATGGGATCTAATTAAACTAAAGAGCTTCTGCACAGCAAAAGAAACTACCATCAGAGTGAACAGGAAACCTACAGAATGGGAGAAAATTTTTGCAACCTACTCATCTGACAAAGGGCTAATATCCAGAATCTACAATGAACTCAGACAAATTTACAAGAAAAAAACAAACCACCCCATCAAAAAGTGGGCAAAGGATATGAACAGACACTTCTCAAAAGAAGACATTTATGCAGCCAAAAAACACATGAAAAAATGCTCATCATCACTGGCCATCAGAGAAATGCAAATCAAAACCACAATGAAATACCATCTCACACCAGTTAGAATGGCGATCATTAAAACGTCAGGAAACAACAGGTGCTGGAGAGGATGTGGAGAAATAGGAACACTTTGACACTGTTGGTGGGACTGTAAACTAGTTCAACCATTGTGGAAGTCAGTGTGGCGATTCCTCAGGGATCTAGAACTAGAAATACCATTTGACCCAGCCATCCCATTACTGGGTATATACCCAAAGGAGTATAAATCATGCTGCTATAAAGACACATGCACACGTATGTTCATAGCGGCATTATTCACAATAGCAAAGACTTGGAACCAACCCAAATGTCCAACAAGGATAGACTGGATTAAGAAAATGTGGCACATATACACCATGGAATACTATGCAGCCATAAAAAATGATGAGTTCATGTCCTTTGTAGGGACATGGATGAAACTGGAAACCATCATTCTCAGCAAACTATCACAAGGACAAAAAATCAAACACCGTATGCTCTCACTCATAGGTGGGAACTGAACAATGAGAACACATGGACACAGGAAGGGGAACATCACACACTGGGGACTGTTGTGGGGTGGGGGGCGGGGGGAGGGATGGCATTAGGAGATATACCTAATGCTAAATGACGAGTTAATGGGTGCAGCACACCGACATGGCACATGTATACATATGTAACAAACCTACACATTGTGCACATGTACCCTAAAACTTAAAGTATAATAAAATAAAATTAAAAAAAGAACCAGTTCTAGGAGCAACAAATAGAGTGAAAACTTCCTCATCATCATCAGGGTATCAAGCCATTCATGAGGGATCTGCCCCCATGATCCAAACACCTCCCATTAGGCCCCACATCCAACATTAGAGATCAGATTTCAACATGAGGTTTGGAGGGTCAGTTATCCAAACTATACCAGTGATCTAATGGCAATTTTCTGCTTCCTACATTCCTTTTCTGTTTACTAATTAAAATTCTTCTAAAAGCAAGAATTCCAAGAATTCTGACTTCTGCCCCTTTTATTCACTTATTCGATCAATCGTTTATTTTTATCAGTATGGATTGGTGAATATTCTTTGGGCTATAATACTATACTATAATTATTTAATTGGTTGCTCAAATTGCTCTAGTTTCAGCCATGGAAGAGTTAATATTGCAAGTGATTGGGTGATTTTAGGGTAATTATGTGGGTTTTAGAAGAAGCTAATATTCTGTGTTGTTAGATCAATCTTCTAGACCTGACTCTGTTCTCAGTCTCTACTGAGCACTAAGCTCATTACTATTGGGAGAAGAAGATAGATCTTTCCTTCCTTTTAGAATTCTTTTATATAATTTTTGCCTTTAGTGATCCCCTTTTCTAATGGACCTATAAATTTGGATTGGAGGGTGAGAGTGGTCTTTTCCTTGTGAATTAGGACATGATTGCAGGACTTGCATTAAGATTTCTCTTTTTTTTCTAGGATTAAATGTACAACAATTTTACTATTATTCCAGGCCCATTTACTTTGGTTTGATTATAAAATATCTATTACTTTTTTTTCAAATTAATTGGATTGTGTCTTACAAATATAATCCTCTCACAAACTGAAATATTACTTTAATTTCACCAGAATATAGATTTCATTAGTTTTTTGCAAGTTTATTATGATTCTCTACTTTGTCCCCAGATGTAAGTCTGGATAATCTTATGTTGACTGCTACTTGTTACCACGAACTTTAGTTTGGTTTTCATACTGAAAGAAATCTCAGAATTTTAAAACACCGTTTTCCTATCTAGAACACTGAGTTTTCAGGACCAGGATACAAGGTAAATTTCTAAAAATATTGTGATTCTTATCTTTTTATATCATTAATTGAAAATCAACCATATTGATAACTCAAAATCCAGGTAAAATATATAGACATAAATGTCCCCTTAAAAATTAATGATAATTAGGGATAATAAATATTTTAACTTAAAGCTTAAGCAGGGATGTTTTATAAGTTTCATTTCCTAAAGTAATACTTAGTACATAGGAGATGTTTAATAGGCATGTGTGATTTAACAGAAATATCAATAAAGAATTTATAACTTCTTTGTTGTTTCAGCTAGATTATGCACATATTAATAGAATATTCATTATAAAATTAAAAATGAATACTCAGAAATTATTCTTCAAAATCATTATTGATGCTTACTGTACTATTGTAAAAATTAAGTATTTATTTTATACTTTAATTGGAATATCAAGAAAAATACCATTTCAGAAATATAAAAGCAAGCGAGATTACTAAAATAGTTTTTTTCTATTTGCAACTTACCATGTGGTGAGTTTACATGGAAATGGAAAATTAGTTTACATTGTGAATGTATTATTTTTATTGTAATAAAATAAGGCTTAATATATTTATATAAACTAATTAAAACTATTTAAACAGATTTATTGTGAAATTAACATTATTTACCAAAGTAATTATAAGACCTATGAAAATCATTATTTCACACTTTTCTTTCTTTACTCCTCCCTCCCCTAACCATCTATTTAAATAATTTCAAATTCCATGTGTTTCAATAACGTGTAGGATTTTACACCCTGATACCTGAAGACAGATATTAGTTATTTATTGAATATTTAAATGACAAAGCCACTTGAGGAAACCTGAAATTCTTTTTCAGTAGTAAATGAGTAGTTCACATGTTCAAAATCTTATTCTAGCTCTTTCTAGCTGTGTTTCCTTGACTGGGTTGCCTAACATCTCTGAACCTTCATTTAATGTCTTTCCCTAAACAAGGCGCATAATATAGACCTTACAAATTGGCTGTGACAGTGCAGTTTCATAATCAGAGGAGTGCTTATTTTGGTCTTCATTTTCAAAATCCTCTGGCTGTCATAAAACATTAGTAACGGTAACTGATTAAGAAAATATACTTTCGGTGCTACGATACTGCCAGATAACTTAATGTTCTTTTTATGATGATGATGCAAAACTTAAATTTAAAATCATGATTAAGTGAGATCCAATTGGATAATCTATCAGACTTGTCCAAGGTAACAGATTGCTTTTCTGAAGCTTTACTGAAATACAGCAAATCATGGTAGATAGAATGTTTTTTTTTACAGAGAGCATGAGATGATTATGTGATTTATTTCTTCTGAGACTTTCAATTTATTAAAATATTAATGTTTCTTATTAATAAGAGTAACTACCAATAAGAATTCTAATAAGATCACAATGAAAGTTAACTGTCCATTTTCTTAAAAGGGAGGCAGCTTCATATACTGGAATATATATAGGTTTTCAAATTAGAAAGAAATATATTCAAATCCAAATTTCCACTTATTAATACTTTTTGGAATCTTAGTTTCTTTGTTATTGATGTGGAATTAACAAAATTTCTTCTTCAGGGTTGTTTTGATGATGACAGATAATTATATATGCAGAGTTTAGTGTGGCATATGATAACTAAAACTTCCTCAGTTCATGTCTGTGGTAGATATAAATACATCTCCTCTTTTTGCAAGCACTCCTATTACAAATGTAGGCATTTGCCATGTACCCGTCATGCATTATTAAATGCACTCATTCATTCATTCATTTATCATAATATGCTAGGTAGCAGGAATAATCAAGTGAGGGAAATTAACACAAATAACTACAATGTAAAGCAAGAGAGACATTTCTGAGACAATTGGCTGGTTGTTAGAGAAGAAAACGGCATTAGAAAAGTATCACAGAAGAGGTGGAATTTAAGATTGGTCATGGAAGATGAATATGGATCCTAAATTTTGAGAAGATTGTAGAGAGGATTTAAGACTGTCAAAACAAGAAGAGTAAGTTCAAGAAGGCATGTGTAACCAGAATAAATTTCTGAACCTCATGTGACCCAACCTTCAAACAAACAGACTCCGGTAACAATAAGAAAGTAATTTCAGTTTCTAGTTGTGTCTCTCAAAGAACATCAAAGGGTATATAGTTTAAAACCTACTTCTGCCATTCCTTTTATTCTGTGTTTTATTTTACCCCCTCCCGCTTTCCCTGAAGCATCTCTTCATGTTCTCCTTCTCTACAAAGCATCAAAATGTACTTCATCCCAAGGGGTCTTTCCTTTTCCATTTCCTTTACTGTATTTCTTTTTACTTTTATCCCTTGTAGGAATTTCTCTTGACACAATTCAAATTCCCTATTCTGGTTTTCCCTCCACTGATTAGCATGATTTGCATAATAAGGCCCAAGAACTAGGGCAGGGGTTCTTATCCACAGGTTCAGGACAGGACTGTATTTCATCATCATTGGTTTCTCTTAGAATCCCAGGCATTTTATTTTATGTATTTAGAAACACTATTCTGAGAAGTGACCCATAAGTTTCTCCAGATTGCCAAAGAGGCCCATGGCACAAAACACATTTAAGAACCCTTGAAACTAGGGAGAGGGAGGGGCAATTGAAAACAGCAGCCAATATTTTTTCATTCAAGTTTTTCTCCCTGTTTTACTTGGAAGTACCTGCAGACATGTGGGGAGCAATAGGCAGTTTACATGACCAAAACTTAGCATGACAACAGGAAGTGATGGGACGGGAGTCATTGATTTTCTATACATATGGAAACAAAAATGAGACACAAAACAGCCACTATCCTGTGCATACAGGTTGTCAAACATCCTCTCCATAAAAACATAAAGGGCTTATTCCTTCTATTTCTTTCCCCTCGTGGGTTATCCTGCTACTCTTCTCATTAGTTTTCCCAAAATTATCTATAACCTGAACCTAGTGAAGAAATATTCAAACTTACTAAAACTTCCGATTTCAAAGCAGATTAGTTCCAAACTCAAATTAAACAGAAATCAGCTGTCATAGTTCAAATATTTCACAGTAGTTATCCAACTATTTAATTCCTTTCCTGTCTCCCCGTATTCCCTCCTCACCTCTTCTTATACCTTAACTAGAAATTTTCAAGGGAGTAGTTTTCTGAAAGACACTCCTGCCAGCTTTTAGTGTTGCAGAAAAATCAACCCACCTGCCACCAGCTGTGTGACAGTTTATATAGTGTTGCTAGGCCCATAATGGTTCAGAGACTATTCGAATATAGAATATTTTATTTTTGACAGGTTCTTCTCCCAATTAAGGACCACACAAAACTCTTCATTCACAGTTAAAATTCCCAGCAGTGGTATCCCTTGTGTAGTCAAGGAGTTTTAAATCTCGAAAAAAGAAAAGTCTAGATTTTCATGGGGATCTGGGAAGGAGCACAGATCAGTCTGCAGTTCATTCCTTTACTTTTGTGGGTCACTTTTTAGGGGCAGCACAGATTTCCAATTTGCTGAATGTTAAGTCACCTTCTTCCATCCACTCCCTATCAATGGCAAAACCATCCCATAATACCCAAACTTTCACTTTTGTTAAAGCAGCAGAATCCCAATTATTCTCATAAACACAAGACACAGGACAGACCAAACCACATTTTAACTTTTCACTTGAGGACAGATTGAATATGGCAGCACCTTTCAAGTCTTCATTTATGATGAAGCAATTGTATAAAACTACAGGGATAACATAAATAAATTTAAATAGATTCTCATGATCTCCTGGACTGTCACTGATCAGTGAGGACTAATTTTCTTTTGAAATTTAACTCCTCTGACGACTTCAAACTTTATGAAGTAATAGTACTGAGCAATAATTCTAGCTGACATGTATTCTATTGCCAAGAGTATTAAAATTCAAAAAATTTATTGAGTGCTTAGTAGGTATCAAATACTTTATACATATTAATCCATCTATTTTTTCCCAAAACTCTTTGAGTTAGATATTAAGATTATCTCCATTTTTAAAGATGTGAGAATTGAGAAAGTTGACTCTTCTGGATCTGAGTCCAGGCAGCCTAGACCCAGAGCTCACTTGTAATTTGTGCTGTTGTGTATACTGTTCCAGATCTAAAAATGTGCCCCACTTAGGTTAATGCTCCTGTCTTAAAATCATTAATAATTTTTGGAAAAGGAGTCTTGCATTTTCATTTTGCACTGGGCTCCACAAATTATGGAGCCAGTCCTACCCAAGCACTTAATCTTTATGCTGCCTTGGCCATATTTCACCACTCGATTCATAGAAACATCATCAAGCCCCACTCTCTCCTTAACCATTTCTGAGTTCTTATTTGTCCCTGCCTTGGCTGAAATCTGGCTCTCACTAGAAGACACCACTCTGTAGCTCTGTTAAGTGACAGCATCTTGTTGGTCTGTTACCCATGATGGACCTCAGGGATTGAAAGGGATATTTTTGTATTCTATGCTTCTCATTGCCACTTTCAGACCACTTCTTTCAGCCTCTTGTAAAATAATTGCTGCTTGCTTGAATACCAAACCATTTGACTAAGTTAGTCCACGACCTTCATCCTCATCTCAATTGCTATCCCTGTTAGTCTCTTTGTAGGCCTCTAAGAACTTGTTTTTATGAATCTGGGTGCTCCTGTATTGAGTGCATATATATTTAGGATAGTTAGCTCTTCTTGTTGCATTGGTCCTTTTACCATTACGTAATGTCTTTGTCATTTTTTTGGTCTTTGTTGGTTTAAAGTCTGTTTTATCAGAGACTAGGATTGCAACCCCTGCTTTTTTTCCTTTCTATTTGCTTGGTAAATATTCCTCCATCCCTTTATTTTGAGCCCACTTGTGTCTTTGCACATGAGATGGGTCTCCTGAATACAGCACACCGATGGGTCTTGACTGTTTATCCAATTTGCCAGTCTGTGTCTTTTAATTGGGTCTTTTAGCCAATTTACATTTAAGGTTAATATTGTTATGTGTGAATTTAATCCTGTCATCGTGATGCTAGCTGGTTTATTTTCCACATTAGTTGATGCAAGTTCTTCATAGTGTCATTGGTCTTTATATTTTGGTGTATTTTTGCAGTGACTGGGACCAGTTTTCCTTTTCCATATTTAGTGCTTCCTTCAGGAGCTCTTGTAAGGCAGACCTGGTGGTAACAAAATCCCTCAGCATTTGCTTGCCTGTAAAGGATTTTATTTCTTCTTCACTTATGAAGATTAATTTGGCTGGATATGAAATTCTGGGTTGAAAATTATTTTCTTTAAGAATGTTGAATATTGGCCCCCACTGTCTTCTGGCTTGTAGGGCTTCTGCAGAGATATCTGCTGTTAGTCTGATGGGCTTCCTTTTGTAGGTAACCTGACCTTTCTCTCTGGCTGCCCTTAAGTTTTTTTTTCCTTCATTTTAATCTTAGAGAATCTGGTGATTATGTGTCTCAGAGTTGTTCTTCTTGAGGAGTATCTTAGTGGTATTCCCTGTATTTCCTGAATTTGAATGTTGGCCTGTCTTGCTAGGTTGGGGAAATTCTCCTGGGTAATATCCCGAACTTGGTTCCATTCTCCCCATCACTTTCAGGTACACCAATCAATCATAGGTTTGGTCTTTTCACATAGTCCCATATTTCTTGGAGGCTTTGTTCTTTCCTTTTCATTCTTTTTTTTCTTGAATTTTGTCTTCACGCCTTATTTCATTAAGTTGATCTTCAATCTCTGATATCCTTTCTTCTGCTTGATCGATTCAGCTATTGATACTTGTGTATGCTTCACGAAGTTCTGCTGCTGTGTTTTTCAGCTCCATAAGGTCATTTATGTTATTCTCTATACTGGTTATTCTAGTTAGTAGTTCCTGTAACCTTTTATCAAGGTTCTTAGCTTCCTTGCACTGGGTTAGATCGTGCTCCTTTAACTAGGAGTTTGTTATTACCCACGTTCTGAAGCCTACTTCTGTCAATTCATCAAACTCATTCTCCATCAAGTTTTATGTTTTTGCTGGAGAGTAGTTGTGATCACTTGGAAGAGAAGAGGCATTCTGATTTTTGGAATTTTCAGCTTTTTTGCACTGTTTTTCCCTCATCTTTGTGGATTTATCTACCTTTGACCTATAAGACTGATGACCTTTGCATTGGGTTTTTGTGTGGGGGTCCTTTTTGTTGATGTATTGCTTTCTGTTAGTTTTTCTTCTAGCAGTCAGTCCCCTCTTTTGCAGGTCTGTTGCAGTTTACTGGAAGTCCACTCCAGACCCTGATTGCCTGGGTATCACCAGTGGAGGCTGCAGAACAACAAAGATTCCTGCCTGCTTCTTCCTCTGGAAGCTTTGTGTCTGGAATTGGTGAGTTCTTGGTCTCACTCACTTTAAGAATGAAGCCGCGGACCCTCGTGGTGAGTGTTAAGCTCTTAAGGTGGCGTGTCTGGAGTTTGTTCCTTCTGATGTTCGGATGTGTTCGGAGTTTCCTCCTTCTGGTGGGTTCGTGGTCTCACTGGCTCAGGAGTGAAGCTGCAGATCTTCGTGGTGAGTGTTACGGCTCTTAAGGCAGCACGTCTGGAGTTGTTCGTTCCTCCTGGTGGGCTCGTGGGCTCGCTGGCTTCAGGAGTGTAGTTGCAGACCTTCGCGGTGTGTGTTACAGCTCTTAAGGTGGCGTGTCTGGAGTTGTTCGTTCCTTTCGGTGGGCTCGTGGTCTTGCTGGCTTCAGGAGTGAAGCTGCAGACCTTCGCGGTGAGTGTTATAGCTCATAAAGGCAGTGTGGACCCAAAGAGTGAGCAGTAGCAAGATTTATTGCAAAGAGCGAAAGAACAAAGCTTCCACAGTGTGTAAGGGGAACCGAGCAGGTTGCCACTGCTGGCTCCGGCAGCCTGCTTTTATTCTCTTATTTGGCCCCACCCACATCCTGCTGATTGGTAGAGCCTAGTGGTCTGTTTTGACAGGGTGCTGATTGGTGCGTTTACAATCCCTGAGCTAGACACAAAGGTTCTCCACATCCCCACTAGATTAACTAGATACAGAGTGTCAACACAAAGATTCTCTAAGGCCCCACCAGAGTAGCTAGATACAGAGTGTCCATTGGTGCATTCACAAACCGTGAGCTAGACACAGGGTGCTGATTGGTGTGTTTACAAACCTTGAGCTAGATACAGAGTGCCAATTGGTGTATTTACAATCCCTGAGCTAGACATAAAGGTTCTCCAAGGTCCCACCAGTGTAGCTAGATACAGAGTGTCGATTAGTGCATTCACAAACCCTGAGCTAGACACAGGGTGCTGTTTGGTGTATTTACAATCCCTGAGCTAGACATAAAGGTTCTCCACGTCCCCACCAGACTCAGGAGCCCAGCTGGCTTCACCCAGTGGATCCCACACCGGGGCTGCAGGTGGAGCTGCCTGCCAGTTCTGCGCCGTGCGCCCGCACTCCTCAGCTCTTGGGTGGTCAATGGGACTGGGTGCCATGGAGCAGGGGGCGGCGCTCATTGGGGAGGCTCCGCCTGCACAGGAACCCATGGAGGGGGTGGGAGGCTTAGGCATGGCAGGCTGCAGGTCCTGAGCCCTGCCCCGCAGGAAGGCAGCTAAGGCCCGGTGAGAGATCTAGCGCAGCGCCCGTGGGCTGGCACTGCTGGGGGACCCAGTACACCCTCCGCAGCCGCTGGCCCAGGTGCTAAGCCCCTCATTGCCCGGGGCCAGCAGGGCCCGCCAGCTGCTCCGAGTATGGGGCCCCCCAAGCCCACGCCCACCCAGAACTACAGCTGGCCCGCAAGCGCAGCATGCAGCCCCGGTTCCCGCTCGCGCCTCTCCCTCCACACCTCCCTGCAAGCTGAGGGAGCCGGCTCTGGCCTTGGCCAGCCCAGAAAGGGGCTCCCACAGTGCAGCGGTGGGCTGAAGGGCTCCTCAAGTACCGCCAAAGTGGCAGCCCAGGCAGAGGAGGCGCCGAGAGCAAGCAAGGGCTGTGAGGACTGCCAGCACTCTGTCACCTCTCAGCTTCATCCCAGGGGGGCACTGGCCTGTTGCCAGCCAGAGCTCTCCTATATGAGGTATCCGTCGAACCCTGTTGGGAGGTGTCTCCCAGTCAGGAGGCATGGGGGTCAGGGACTCACTTGAGGAGGCAGTCTGTCCCTTAGCAGAGCTCGAGTGCTGTGCTGGGAGAATCCTGCTTGTCAGGATCCACTGCTCTCTTCAGAGCTGGCAAGCAGGAACATTGAAGTCTGTTGAAGTCCACTGAAGCTGTGCTCACAGCCAGCCCTTCCCCGAGATGCTCTGTCTGAGTGAGATGGGAGTTTTATCTATAAGCCCCTGACTGGAGCTGATGCCTTTCTTTCAGGGATGCCCTGCCCAGTGAGGAGGAATCTAGAGAGGCAGTCTAGCCACAGCCACTTTGCTGCTCTATGGAGTCCTGCCCAGTCTGAACTTCCCCTCCTCCTTAGCCCTGTCAGGGGAAAACCACCTACTCAAGCCTCAGTAATGGTGGACGCCCCTCCCCCAAAACAAGCTCCAGCATCCCAGGTCGGCTTTAGACTGCTGTGCTGGCAGAGAGAATTTCAAGCCAGTGGTTCCTGGCTTGCTGGGCTCCGTGGGGGTGGGATCCACTGAGCTAGACCACTTGACTTCCTGGCTTCAGCCGCTTTCTAGGGGAGTGAGTGGTTCTGTCTTGCTAGGTGGTACTGGGGTATGAAAGAAAACAAACAAACAAAAAAACTCCCGCAGCTATCTCGATGTCTGCCCAAACAGCCACCTAGTTTTGTGCTTGAAACCCAGGGCCCTGGTGGTGTACACATCCGGGGAATCTCCTGGTCTGCGGATTGCAAAAACCATAGGAAAAGCGTAGTATGTGGGTCAGATAGCACCGTCCCTCATGGCTTCCCTTGGCTGAGGAAGGGAGGTTCCTGGCTCCTTGCACTTCCCAGGTGAGCCAACACCTCACCCTGCTTCTGCTCGTGTCTGCACCCACTGCCTAACCAGTCCCAATGAGATGAACTGGGTGCCTCAGTTGGAAATGCAGAAATCCCCCGCCTTCTGCATTGTTCTCGCTGGGACCTGCAGACAGGAGATGTTCGTATTCAGCTATCTTTCCAGCTCTCCCCTAAAATCCGTTTTAAGCAGTATTTTAAAGTGTCAAAGTCATAAAAAACTAGGAAAGACTGAGGCGCTGTTACAGACTGGAGGAGACCAAGGAGATGTAATGACTAATTGCAACACCATAGCCTGGATTGGCTCCTCGAACAGGAAAAAAAAAAAAAAAAAAAAAGACATTAATAGAAAAACTAGGATGGTAGAAATAAAATCTGTAGTTTTGTGAATAGAACCGTGCCAATATTAATGTCTTCATTTTGATGAATGTACTGTGGTAGCAGATGACCTTAACATTGTGGGATGCCATATGAAAGGTATATGGGATCTCTTCATGCTATCTTTGCAACATTTCTGTAAGTTTAATATTATTTCAAAATATAGCATTTTAAAAGTTTAAATTTAGAAACCACTAAATTTTTTTCTTTCTTCTTCTTTTTTTTTTTTTTTTTTTGAGACAAGGTCTCACTCTGTCACTCAGGCTGGAGTGCAGTGACATGATCTCAGCTTACTGCAGCCTCGAACTCCCAGGCCCATGCAATCCTCTACCTCAGCCTCCCAAGTAGCTGGACAACAGACACACACCACCACACTCACCTAACTTTTTTTTTTTTTTTTTTTGAGATGGAATCTCACTCTGTCACCCAGGATGGAGTGCAGTGATGTGATCTTGGCTCACTGCAACCTCTGCCTCCCGGGTTAAAGCGATTCTCCTGCCTCAGCCTCCTGAGTAGCTGGGATTGCAGGCGCCCACCACCACACCCAGCTAATTTTTGTATTTTCAGTAGAGACGGGGTTTCACCATGTTGGTCAGGCTGGTCTTGAACTCCTGACCTCGTGATCCGCCTGCCTCAGCCTCCCAAAGTGCTGGGATTACAGGCGTGAGCACTTCACCTGGCAGATGTTTATTTTTAAATAAATAAGAACAAATCAGTAATATAATGGTAAAAATAGACTAGGCTATAACATTAAGAAGATTAGCTTTAGCTCTTCACTGAATGGATGTGACCTAGACTCTCTTTGGTTTAGGATCAATGGTAACATTCTATGTAACTACTTCCAGCTGAAGCATTAATGTTTTATATGTTTTATATAGACAGTTATGAACAGACATAAAGCATTCCCACACTAAAAAGTGTGTGTTTAAAAATAACCCCAACATAAAAATAAATATATGTGTGTGTGTCAACAATAGACTTTACAGAAATCAAATTCTTTTAAAATATATTATTAAAATTGTAAAATATTCTAACAGATATCTAGTTTAATGCTTCAAAGCTGATGACTTTCATTTGCATATATAAAGATGTAGCTGACTATTAAATTATCTGACGAGCTTTAATGTTTTTTCATATCATTTTAACTGTAAGGATACTTTCATTGCATTATCATTGTATGACTGTGGAACCTTGTTTTCTATGAACTCTCACATTGTTCTCTTTCCTTGAAATATGTTTCCAGCGAAACTATTTCCTGTTTATTTCCCCAGCATCATATCCAAGCTCCTTCCTCTCTGGAGTTTTTTTATAATTACTGTGACTCTCACTCTGTCGAACTTCCATATCCCATACTTCCTTTCTTCATGGGTGCCTTAGTGGTATTAGACATAAGTACTGTTACCATGTTGTACCTGTTTTTTTCCCAAAGCAGCTAGTACAGTGCTGAACTGAAGCACTGACTGAATGAAAAATTGTTTAATTACACTTAATGCTTGTACAAGGATAATCCATTTCCTGACTCTGCATGACAACACAGAACTCACTGATTATCAGGGACCGTGCTTCTTGCTGAACATTTATTCCAGAAAAAATATTAAAGCCTCTAGTTAAAAGAATCATGCCAGATTAATACTCATCCCTATATGACATGTCAGGAGTTATTTCAGCCAGGTGTAATATGGTGACTTTTGCCCTACTTTCCATTTTTCAAATAAGATTCAGAGGGAAGCTCTGTAGACAAACAACATTCTTTCCTTCTTTGTAGAACCAAATATCAGTCTACATAAATAAATAAATAAACAAAAAATAAATAAATAATAAATAAAAATCTCACTGGTTGAAAGGCCATTACATTCAGAACGTTTTCTTTTAAAAATCCTTTCTCCTTTGGGAGGCCGAGGCTGGCAGATCACAAGGTCAAGAGCTAGAGACCATCCTGGCCAACATGGTGAAACCCTGTCTCTATTAAAAGTATAAAAATTAGCTGGGCGTGGTGGCGTTTACTTGTAACCCCAGCTACTGAGGAGGCTGAGGCAGGAGAATCTCTTGAACCCGGGAGGCGGAGGTTGCAGTGAGCCCAGATCGCACCACTGGACTCCAGCCTGGTGACAGAGCAAGACTCCGTCAAACAAAACAAAACAAACAAACAAACAAAAATCCTTTCTCTAAACCAGTGGGAAAACTCCCAAGGCAGTATATTTTCAGAAAAAAAATCTGACAAAAAAGTTATAAGTTGAAAGTTGAAATGAATGGAATTTTTTAAAGACAGTGGAAATAGAAGTTGGGAGTGAAAGTTTAAACCAAACAAAGAAACGGCAAATAAAGGAAAATAATAGTGTGCCCTTGATAGTCTTTCTTTTTTAAACTTACAGGATCTTGAATTATTTTCTACCTTCTCCCAAATGACTGTGAACCCCACAATCCTTTAAATATAGGGAATATGTCCTACCACACTGTAGTTAATATCAGCAAATATCCATTCTTGATAAGTTGTGGTATCAACAAGTTTTTGTTTGAGTTGAATCATAAGGACTATAAAAAGGTAAGTCCCGTTTCAGATAAAAACATTGCTTTAGCATGTAAACCCTTATAATAGCTCACTCTAATTTTAATTAATAACTGACACAGAAACCCTACAAAATAAATAAAAGCATTTTCAGGAGAAAATAAAGTGCAGCAATTATTTTTGCTGTGTTTTTGTGGAATCGCAATAAGTTTTAAATCAATTACCTTTGACCCAGAGGCTATGAATCCCCCCGGAAACGGATGAGATTTTTTTCCTTAGCCCAAAGTTGAAGTAACAGAAATAAAATCACGTAGCAAACCTATACCTCGCTTAAAACTGTTGATAGAGAAATATTTACAATTAAAAATATTGTACATTGTACATTTACAAAAAATTGTAAATACAATTAAAAATATTTAAAACTAGAAGTTTTAAAGTCATACATTTCCAAGTTTGATGTCATTAGCTCGTCACTGAGAGTTCTGCCTATCTGCTTCCTGTATTTGACAGAGGAAATATGATAGATGGGTTATTTTACAAAAATGGTGAGGACTCTACTTTTTCTGGGGTCTTTCTTTTAGCATTCATTCTTTCACTAGTCTACTCACTCACAGATATACTCAATAAACATTTATGGGCTTCTAAATGTGTGAGGTGCTATGGTAGACACTTGGGAAACAGTAATGAACAAAAAGAGGCTTGATTTCTATTCTTGTGGAGTTCACAGAGCTAAAAGTTTAGTAGAGAAATGGTACTAACCCAATTATCCAACAAATAAATATAAAATTACAGTTATAATTATTGCTATGGTGAGAGGGATGTGGTACCACTTAAGTTGTGGGTTAGGCTAAGAGAAAGCTTCCCTGAGGATGTAAAATTTAAGCTGAAATATGAAGGATACTTACAAGTACAACAAGTTAAAAGGATGGATGGGAAGAAAATATACCAGGGAAAGGGAGGGGCATGCATTCACTCATTCCTGTATTTAACACTAGTTATGGGTGCGGACCAAATTACAGGTGCTGTTCTCAGCCGGGACACTGGGGAAACAGCTACCATGAGACTTTTGGGATGATCCTGAGAAGCCATATTGTTGTCTTAGTGCCCGAAAGAAGGTCAGGAGGCTTGGAGTACGGGGTGTGGGAGGGGACATATGAATTGGAACCTAATGCTTGGTGGCGGAAGGCACACACAGGGACTTGCAGGCATTGCTTTCATCCTAAGAAAAAAGTGAAGCCACTGCCAGTCTAAGCAGGGGAGTGCGGGCTGTGGTGGGGAGATGTTATGATTCAATCATGTTGTGTTTTAAAAATTACCTTGAGTACCTATTTGGAAAACATTTAGAGAGGCAACTTTAAGCCCCTTCCCAGATCAATTGGTCTTTGAGGAAGTCCCTTGCCTTCCTTTTCCAGAAGGTTTGGCATTTAATGAAACATATGCAAGATGACTGTATTCATTCTACAATACCTGATCCTTTAGAATATAACCATCAGCCCCACTTTATAATAAATCTCATGCAGATCACTTGGGTAAATGGAAGAATCATATAGGACTGGCAGTTGAATGATAAAATTAGTGTGTTCTTTGATCTAAATAAGCAGTGTGCTTATATTCACAGGCACATATAATTCTTTGTTTCCTATGACAGAAAAAATGTCTGTTCCTTTCATTTACCTTCACGTTGTCGTTCTCTAAAATATTTGAGATGACTGAAAATCTGTTTGCCATGTTGATTAAACTGGTACACGTTTATTCCTTTAACATATTTTAAATGTGTTTTCCCATTTGCATTCAATCAGGTTTATTTTTTATCATGACAAGTTGGTGGTAGCATTATTTGGCTGTCAAAATGGGCTATGATGATGTGTGTTTGTTAAAACAAACAACAAGAAATTATTAAGAAGCTATGCATGTACTCCGCCGGGTGCTTGTGTAGCTCTCATAGCTTTTTATCAGATGGATCATTCATCCTGTAAAGACCGAGCTAGCTACACACACACATCAAGCAGCCAGTAGTTTTCCATGCACAGTTTCCTCTTCTGCCTTTAAATGAGTTTACTGTATCTCAGACAGTTGTGTAGACATTGGGGTAGGTTCTTTTTACAAGAATGAAACATGTTGCTGTGTCATTTCCTCTGGAGGCAGCCGACTTTTATAGCATAAATGTGGGCTCACCAGCATGTTTTCTATAGCAACACTGTGTACAATGCTTTCAGCCAAATGTTTGTAGAATTGAGAAATGGAGCCACAGGTGCAGTACCAAACAATTGTTACTGTGGAAATAAAGTTTTATAACATAATTTTATGCTAAAGCAGCAATTTTTTGTTGTCTAGTAGCCTTAAATAAGATGTGTATATGCATGAGAGGAGAGGCGAAGTAATTCAGGGCTTAAATATGTGGTATGTAGACAAAAACAGAATGGGTTCTAATCTTGTGTCCATTTGTCACTTCTATGACATTGGCCAACTGATCCGCTCTGCAGATCAGTTATGTGAGCTCTAAAATTGGTACTATAATAACAACCATCTCATCAAGTTTTGGTGAGGATTAACTGAGAGAGAGAATGTGAAGTCCTTAGGAACGTGCCTGGCACATGGTAAGGGGTAAAAAGATTAATAGTATTAGGGTGGTTCAAAAGTAATTGCAATTTTTGCTATTAAAAGTAATAATTACATCACATAAGCTGAGTAAACTGGATGATTGAAAGTCACAACCGCACTAGCTCTTTAAGACTCAGACTTTGTGGGGAATATTGCTTAGTTTTCAACTGTTTGCCTGCAATTTTCTGAGTGACAGCCAAAGGAAGAAAAAAAAAAGATATAGGGAAAGATTGACTTATGAAATTCAAATAAGTGGCATTTCAAACCACTGTTCAGTTCTTCATCACTGAGAAACAGCTTATTTTTGCATATTTAAAAGATGAAAGAAAGTGCATACATATTAATTTTAAATTAGGCTTTCTAATGGGGGAACTTTTCAAGTGATTTCCAATGGTGGAAAAATGCAGAATTCATGCTCAAGTGAATCTCTTAGTGTTTTGGGCAAGAATAAATTAATTATAGCAATTGAAGGTATGCCCAAAGCTCTTCACATTTTGAAGAAGAGATTGGGTACACACACACACACACACACACACACACACACACACACGTGTAAACCCAAAAACTTTGGATGGAAAATAGGTACAATGACAATACTTTTACTCTCTGGTTTACCATCGGTGGAAACTTTTAAGATTTCTAGATGTTTTGGTTTTTGGGGGGATTGTTTTGGTAACATTGAAATTACCATTAGGAAAGTAAGAGTGATTTACTATTTGAAGATTAGAAGACTATTGGTTTTCCATTCAAGTTGCTACCTAAAGAGTTCACTTATCTGGACTGTAGCAAATTTATGTAATATTTTTTTCTCCTATAAAGGAACTCAGAAAATGTTCAGCAATAGAATAATTGTCCATGTTAGTAACTCAATCATCAAACAATGCTTACACTTAAGTTCAGTAAGCTTCCATCTTCCAATTGCTTTAAATCCATTTGCAATAAAATTATGGAGGATTCAAACAGTGTGGAGGTTGATGTTGTTGAACTTGCTGATGATGCATTAATATGGTCATCTTGGAATTTGCTTTCCTTTCTAGCTCTGTAAATCCAGCCTATCCATGTATCAAGTACTCCCCCATCTATGAAGCCTTCCAAGCATTCTCTGACACTAATCATAATAATCATGTTTTGATCATTCTTATATTGCTAATAATACCATTATATTTGCTATCACCCATTAACATCAATATCACCATCATCATCTTCTTCTTCATGAATAATATTTATCGAGTGCTCAATATGAGCCAGATTCTATACTAAAGACCTTATGTTCATTTTATTTTGTCATCCCAATACTGTAATTCTACTATTATTCTCTACTGATGCATGAGAAACTGAGTCTTGCAAAGTTTAAATACCTATCCAAGTTCATATTGCAAATACATGACAGAACCAGACTTTTAATCCCAGCAGCCTAACTGCAAAGCCCTAATTTCTTAACCCCCCTATAATGACTATCAACTTATTATTTATTTATTTATTTTGTTTATTTTAATTTTTTTGAGACAGAGTCTCGCTCTGTCGCCCAGTCTGGAGTGTAATCGTGTGATCTTGACCCACTGCAACCTCCGCCTTTCAGGTTCAAGCAATTCTCCTGCCTCAGCCTCCCTAGAATCTGGGATTACAATCCCCCGCTACCATGCCTGGCTGATTTTTCTATTTTTAGTAGAGACGGCATTTCACCATTTTGGCCAGGCTGGTCTTGAACTCCTGACCTCGGGTGATCCACCCATCTTGGCCTCCCAAAGTGCTAGGATTACAGGTGTGAGCAACTGCACCCAGTCTCCAATTTATAATTTAAACATTAGACATTTAACTTTTAGATTTTCCATCTTGTCTCCTTCTTTGGTAACTTCTTTGTAGCAGAAGTTTGTCCCCAAATGCCTTTCTCCCTTTCTTCATTAGAATTGCAATCTTTAAATTTTAGCTGAGCACACAGTAATCAAAAATAAGAATCTTATATTCTGGTTTCCCTATGCATGCAAGTGATTAAGTCTGGATAATGACATGTCAATGGGAATTCTTCTTAGAAAGGAGAAGGTGTGTAATCCTTTGATCCTTTCTTCATTCTCTTGGCTGGATTTGGGTCCTGGAGCTGGTGCTAGACCAGCCACCTCAGAATATGATATGGAGACCACATGCTGAGGATGGCTGAGAAGAAATGCAGAAAGACTCTTGGTGTTTGACAGTGTGATGCACTGACCAACCCTAAACAGACTCTTTCTACACTTATTTCATTTGAGATGGAATACGTTTCTACTGTATTGATATTTCAATTATTTTGAGTTTTTGGTCTCTTGAAGCCGATCTAATCCTACCTAATACACTCTTAGAGGGCAGAGTGAATTTTTATACAAGTAAGAATACTCATAACATGTTTAAAAGGCACTTGATAAATATCATATTGCTTTATGGTAATTACAGATTTCCAAATATGTCCAAGGTCTATCAAAAATCATAGTCTAGTATACATAATCTAAAACAGTAGTATATTTGAAACCCTCAGAATTGGACAGTTTATTAGGCTAAGCTTTATTTTGCAGCCACTTCAGCCACTTCTTCCATATTAACACAGGGGAGATTTGATATAAAATGCTATTATATGTAGTTGGATATACTCCTAGTGCTGACAGAATAAAAACATACTGCATTTAAAAAAAACAAAATTTCCTTTTTGAATTAATGTCATCTCTTACTGTGGCAATCTAACTGGCATTATTAAAAACCCTGTCAGGAATTACTATACAAATCCTCACTCTAGTAATCATACACATGCTTGTCCACCTAATTGAGGCCATTGCAATGTGGCACTACAAAGAGAATATTCTAGAAGTTAGTTCAAACCAACTGAAGATGCAAGCCAATATAAGAATTGTCTTCCCACAAGAGATATCAATAATACAGAGCTGAGATGCTACAGAAAAGAGAATAAATCATAAAATTATTTAAAAGCTAACACTATATAGTTTAGGATTAGTTTTGTCTTGGGAAAATTGTCTAATTCCCTGCTTTCTCAGAATATATGACCATCCTGTGATAGAATAAAATAGTAAAAGTACTGACATTCAGTCATTTCTTCTTTTACTTATTAACTCAATCCTTCAATAATATTTCCAAGCCCATACTGTAGGCTAGACACTTGTCTCATATCTGGTGATATAGGCATAAACAATATTGACAAAATTCATGCCTTCCTGGAGCTCATTTTCTTATGGAGGAAGACAGACAAAAATTATATATTTTTTAAGACAGTGGTTAAGATTAATAAGATATTGAGATTGAAAGCGATTGAAGGCAAGGGGAAGTCAGGTTAGACCCCTTTGAGAATGTATAATTTGAGCTGAGATGTAGGTAGCAAGATAGGCTGGTCTTACAAAAATTTGAGGGAAAAGGCTCCAGGCAGAGGAAACAAGAAGTGCACAGCTCTTAAGACTGGAACAAGCTTTGCTGATTCAGGAGATGGGAGATAACTTCAAGGTTTCTGGGACAAAGTGGAGAAGGGGAGAGTGGTGCTAAGATCAGAGGAATAGGCAGGACTGGGTCGTATAGGACCCTGAAGGGTATGGTAAGATGTCTGAAATTTATTCTAAGTTCTTTAGGTGTGACATGTAATCGAAGTGACAGTTTTGTGTTAGAGACCTATTGCTCTTTTGCTGTCTATAGTTTTCTACATAAACTTAGAAATAGATTTTTAGAATGTCAACCCCTAAGTCCTCATATCCGTAGAAGTTAAGTCACTATCATTACCAGAAATTATCTGGTATTTCATAAGTGCTCATATTAATGGGACTATGGAGGCTGGAATGAATTAAGGATTCTTGTGACTTATGATAAATGATAAATCTTAATTATGAGCCTCATTTTATTCATACTGAAAGCACACAGAAATAGTAAATTCAGTGTAATCTGTCAGGAATAATTAATTTGATTAAATATTGATTTTAATTTTAGATCTGTCATTTCCTATTTAGTTATATTTTATATGCACCTTTTCATATTTATTACACTGTACATGCATTTTAAAAATATGTCTTTGAAAAACTGTGCTAAACTATTAAAAGCATAAATAAGTGAGTACATGGAGAAACAATAACAGCAAATTGAGCACATGGGGAAACAGTAACATCAAATTGTATGTTTGTGAAACATTCTTATATTGTTTGCAAATACTGTAAAGTATATTCTGCTCATTGGACTTACATTATGGAATTAAGAATAAGAAGCAGATGCTGCATCTTGTTTGTAGGATCTAAGTCAGAGGCAATGAACATGTACACATGTGGCTGCTCCTAAAAGGAACACAGGTATCACCAACTAGCTAGCTCCTGGAAAGTCCTACTTCAACCTCAGAATCTTTTCATCATTGCTGTTTAGTCAACCACCACTCATAAATGACTTGTCAAGAGAAGCTAGTCCAAGATTTGCTCTTGCCTTAAACTGACAATGAACAAAGAAAGATATGCATCTTTTGCAGGTGTGAAAGTTCTCTGCTCATTTGTTACAATAGAGGATAATTTAGAAAGAATGTGGACATTGAAGTTAAATAAAATCGCCTTGAACCAGGATAGGATACTTATATTGGGCAGGTTCCTTAGCTTCCCTAAGCCTTTCTTTTCTTCAGTAGAAAATGAAAATGACATTTTATTTATGGGATTTAGGGAAAAATAAAATACTTGATGTATTGAAAGTGTTTAACAAATAATTTGATTCCATATTTTTCCTAGAATATTAAATGGTATTACCTTGGTCTAGAGATGCAAAAAATTTTTACTCCCAAATCGGTATTCTTTCCACTCCCACTATAAAGAGTATCTGAATTCTTATTTAAGGAAACACCTAAAAGAATATATACACACCCCATTTACACACATATATTAAACTTATTTATTATGATTTCAAGATCATATTGCTTTCATTTTAAGGTTTTTGAAAGACACATAAAGGCTAAGAACACTGTGATCTTTAAAATAAGTTCTAAAGAAGAGAGAAGAAGAGAGAAGGAGTTAAGAGGTGGGGAAAGCTTCATTGCTTTTGGTTAAGAATAAGAAAAATTTTGAAATGATTTAAGTTTGCAATATTTGGACAAATATCAAAGATTTTGTTTTGATAATATTACAAAATAAAATGTTATCAGAAATTATTGGGCATAAAATATCTACTTGTGTGAATTTCTATGAAACAGGAAATAAAATTTAGGGTCCAGGTACCCATAAAAATCTCATTGTTAAATTGCTTTTTTTTTGTGCTAAGATAGTATTTCCACATAGTTTGTACAATCTTTAAAATTGTCTTCAACAGTGAAAGCCATTTTCAAAGCAATCTTTCTTTCAATGTTTCTATGTTCTTTTCTTTTTCTTTTTTTTTTTTTTTTTTTGAGACGGAGTCTCACTCTGTCGCCCATGCTGGAGTGCAGTGGCGCCATCTCGGCTCACTGCAACCTCCGCCTCCCGGGTTCATGCCGTTCTCCTGCCTCAGCCTCCCGAGTAGCAGGTCTACAGGTGCCTGCCACCACGCCCAGCTAATTTTTGTATTTTTAGTAGAGACGGGGTTTCACCGTGTTAGCCAGGATGGTCTCGATTCCTGACCTTGAGATCCGCCCACCTGGGCCTCCCAAAGTGCTAGGATTACAGGCGTGAGCCACTGCGCCCGGCCGTTTCTGTGTTCTTTCTTTGTTCGTAAGACACTATCATTTCACTCTATGAGAGGTTCCCAAACAGTATAGTTGGTAACATCTGAAAAATGCAGATTCTTATCCCATACCAAGAAATTTTAGTTAAAGGGGTCTGTGACAGGCTGAGATGGAATAAAGAGTTCATATCAGACATTTCTAGTGGTTGGGAGGTGTTTTGTAATTCTCAATGCTATTTTATTTGTTTTAGTCAAGTTATTTCATTTATTTTAAAATTTCAAACAATATTTAAAAATGGTATGGAAGTCCCACTATCAAAATGAATGGTTACAAAAGAAAAATTATTTGGAAACACAGCACATTGAAAGGGAACAACAAGTTTTATTTATTTTTGAGCCTTCAGTTTAGTGCTGGTTACTCAATAAATGTTTGTTGAATAAATGAATAATCTGAATGAAGCTTTACCTTTTTAAAAATGAGATGACTGCTCTCCCATGAAATATAAATGCAAAAAGACACCTCTGTAGATTTTAATTTCCTTCTAGACTCCCAAACTACAACAACTGCTTTATATAGTGCAGGAATATTGCTCTTACTCACTTACTCTGACCCTGAAAATGTCTGTTACAAATAACTGAGCTCTCTAATAGTTCATAATGACCCTGTTCTCTGAGCAGAACTAATCAGTAATTTGGAATCAAATCGGCATTCTAAAAATGAGACATTGCTCACATTGATTCCTACATGGTCATCATCTTTGCATTAAAGGAGACAATTACAATATGTTAGTGTCAATCAATATTATGAATAAATTTTCAAACCATGAGGGGTGATGACTGACCTATTGTGATGTTAATTTCCTCTTCACCTCTAGTGCCAATTGTTTGCAGTGAGAAAGCTAACACTACTATGGGAAACTCATATTTCCAATTAAGGTGATAATATTTAAGGTTTTTTTGTTTTTATTTTTGCCTCCATTTGAATTATTTGCAGTAATATAAGGAGTTTTTTTACCTATAGTCTGGTTTAAAATGTTTTTAACTACAAATCAGAATCTTTGCAGTACTCATTGTGTTGACTATTCAAAAGTCTTAAAAAGGTATTTTTAAAAGATATTGAAGGCCAGGCACAGTGGTCCATGCCGGTAATCCCAGCACTTTGGGAGGCCGAGGTAGGTGGATGACGAGGTCAGGAGATCGAGACCATCCTGGCCAACACGGTGAAATAAAAATACAAAAATTAGCTGGGTGTGGTGGCACATGCCTGTAATCCTAGCTACTTGGGAGGATGTGGCAGGAGAATCACTTGAACTGGGGAGTCGGAGGTTGCAGTGAGCCGGAATCTTGCCACTGCACTCCAGCCTGGTGACAGAGAGAGACTCTGTCTCAAAAAAAAAAAAAAAAAAGATATTGATAGTTATTTTTCATAGAAGAAAATCCATGTTGGCCCATTAATAGACTGCAGAAAATGTCTGAATCTGTTAGGTCAATTATTGACAGCAAGGAGGTCAAAGCCATAACATAATTGTCATGGGGCCATTTAGCATCACTTGGAGAAAAATCTCTTGACCAGCCTGCAACTGAAGTCTTGAATCATTGACTCAAAAACCCAGTCTGCTAGTCAAATGCTGATGAGGTGAAAGAGCTTAATTGGCTTGATGCAAATTCACCATCTTAAATAATTTTTTAATATAATAAAACCTATAACTTACAGTTGGGTCAAAAAAGTGTTACCTTCATATTTGATAGACATTTTGGTTATATCTACAAATTCCAAATCACAGATATGGCCTAGGTCCTAAGATAATATTAATACACAACTTCCTAGTGAGTAAATGTAGCCATGAAATATGATCTATTAGAAATGTGCTACTAAACCCTGGGTACCTGTTTCCCTTGGGGAAATTTTTATCTCAAACACAAAGCAATTAATCTTCTTAGTCTTTCTTGATAACTCAATGATTTTCAGCTAATGGGTAATGATCTATAATTTGATATAAGTGAAAGAATAATGGTCAGGTTCATTTTCTATTCAACTCAAAAAATGATTTTTTTGTAAATCCTTACAGTGTGTCTAGGTAAGAACTAAATCAGTATGCACTCCATGTCATAGAAAACAATAAACAACACCTATTATTACCAATTGTAAAGGTACAGTCTCAGTTTTTCTCTTTTTTTTTTTTTTTTGAGACGGAGTCTCGCTCTGTCGCCCAGGCTGGAGTGCAGTGGCGGGATCTCGGCTCACTGCAAGCTCCGCCTCCCGGGTTCACGCCATTCTCCTGCCTCAGCCTCCCAAGTAGCTGGGACTACAGGCGCCCGCCACTACGCCCGGCTAATTTTTTGTATTTTTAGTAGAGACGGGGTTTCACCGTTTTAGCCGGGATGGTCTCGATCTCCTGACCTCGTGATCCGCCCGCCTCGGCCTCCCAAAGTGCTGGGATTACAGGCGTGAGCCACCGCGCCCGGCCCTCTTAAATATTTAATATTTAAATATTAAATTTTTAGTTAAATGTAATCATATTAAAAATAAATTTTAAAATAAATTCTACATTTAATGTAGAGTCACTTTATTACCTTCTATATTCAAGTATCTGATTAATTTATGTCTTTTTCAGTAATGCAAATGATTCATTATCATTTGAATGTTTAACTGCTCAAGTTTTATTGTCAGTGTACTTTTACTATGTTTTCATTAATTATTTTTTAAGAAATTTGATTAATAGTATCCTGCTAAGTTGAAATCCTAGTAGAGTGTTTTAGATTTTGAGAGCTTATCAAAATCAAACTGGAAGGAAACATTGCTTTGCACTTAATTCTGCCAGTTACCAAAATCATATCACATAGCGATCCTGACATAGATAGGAAGAAAGCAGTGGTGTGACCCATATCACAAATCACAGTCACAGTCATTTCATGAAAAATCTCTTCTTTGGGAAAATAAAAATTAACTGGGTAGATTTCTCAAGATGTTTTATTTTGTCTATGGAAAGAGGAAGATGGCAGTCAATGTATGATGTTCTTTTCAAAGGAGCTTCACCTGCAAATTCATTGACACCATATTTCTGCAATGTTTTAGAAATACACATTGTGTTGTGCTCAGCATGACTCTCTGAAAACTTTTTAGCATTCAGGATTGTAAGTGCCAGAAACTGTCTTGATTATATTTTATGAGAATATGTCAGAAATATTACTTATAAATCACCAGGTTGGAATAACCAGTACCTGAAGTTGGCCATCTTTATTTCAATAGGTGTACATATGTACTATGCATAACGCATGCTTCAGAAATTGTTACTACTCAACCTACTTACTTAGTATGAAGTTTCTTCTTTAGTATGTTATCATCCATTGTAATTCAAAATTACATAATGGATTAATTTTGAAAACAAATCTTCCCAAGGTCTAGTTTCTGGCTCAGCTTTTAAAGGCTAAGCATAATGATAATATAATACTATAATTTATGAATATTGCAAAGAGGATGGATAGTGGAAATGTAGAAAATACCATAGTACTTTGTTATAGAACCCATACAAATATAATACTTGTCAAAAATGGAAGATTTTTTTGGTACCAATTTATAGTAAGGGTAAGGAACAGTGAAGGGATGAGAAACTGTTGCAGCTAGAAAAATGATGCCAATGGAAAAATAGTATTTCAGATTCATAGTGGTGGTATTGATTCATAAAGTGATGTACTTTTTTCAATTAAGTATCAATAGAATCAAAATCAATTAGTAACAGGTATGAGAGTTCCTCTGTGAATTGAGAAATATCTTTATTCAATTTGACATATTCCAGCCATTCTTAGTCAATAGCTCCCTCTTTAGACATATGAGAGTTACTGACATTTATTTATGCCTTGGGAAATCGAATTTACAGGGGCTTTTGTATAGGCACCCATTGTGAAATCTAGCCACTCTATTAATTTTGGAACAAGAACAAAAAAATCCCTACAAATAAAAGGTTAAAAATATATTAAGTGCTAAAAGTGGAGTAAAAGATATTTTAAATAAATAAATTTGACGCTTTTGTAAAATGATTTCAGTGGCAAGAAAACACAAACAATTCAAATACCCAGCTATTGTCAACCTAGCTTATGAAGAATATATCCAACTCTGCGCTTTGGGGCTTATTTTAAAACTTGGCTATGTCATAGTTTCTTATTTGTCAGCTTTCTTTTGCCCTGCATGAGCACAACTCTACAAAGAGTCTTAATATGTGATTGGGTTAGCTTCTCTTAGACTCAGTTATTGTGGGTTTCTGTCATCAACTAGAATATTATTTATTAAAGTCTGAAGTCATTATCATGCTCAATTAACAAGGTTGCTTCTCTGCTTTCTCTTTCTTTCTTTCCCTCTGTCTCTCAAGTGGCATATTTATTTCCCCCAAATTAGAAATTTAGTAGATTCTAGTAAATTAAAAAAATTTTTAAAACAGTCACAGAACCACCAAAAGGAAGTAAAATAACAATCATTATTTATTATATCATAATACAAAATAACCTCACTTAACATTTAATATATTCCTTTTGGTCTATTTTTATATAGATGTGTATTTTTATAAAATTGAAATAAAGCTGAAAATACGGTTTTATATCTTTCCCCAAAATATAATTATTATAACAAAGCCATAAATGATATATGTATTGCATTTGTGTAACTATCTTTTAAAATTACCATTAAACATTTCTGAATAATGCCTCATCAGATGAAAATACAAAACTGATTTAGATGTTATTGCACATTTAGAATACAGCTTCAATGACTATCTTTACACCTATGTTTTTGAATGGCTTTCTGAGTATTTCCTTAGAGAGTTTCCTGGAAATGAAATGGTCGGTGAAAGGACAGGACATCTTTGAAATATTGTCAAGTAGCTTTTCAGAGTGATTGAACAAAGATTTACTTCTAAAGAGATATTCTGAGTGGAATAATTTAAAATTGATCATTTTAAGCTGGAATTTAAATTAGCAACCTCTCCACTCCATACCTACACACCACACCTCTGGATCCCCTCCCACTGTAATAAACATCTTATTTATTCTATGTTTATGAACACACTGCTTTAAAATGAGGAAAGAATACAGATCTCTTATGGAAGTATATAATAAACATCCTGGTGGCATTTAACTGAGGTGTTTCCATTTATTTAATTTGCATTTTAAAAGTATTTATTTTTTATACTTCTGAGATACATATGCAGAACATGCAGGTTTGTTACATAGATATACATATGCCATGGTGGTTTGCTACACACATCAACCTGTCATCTACATTAGATATTTCTCCTAATGCTATCCCTCCCCTAGCACCCAACCCCCTGACAGGCCCTGGTGTGTGATGTTCCCCTCCCTGTGCCCATATGCTTTCATTGTTCAACTCCCACTTGTGAGTGAGAATTTGCAGTGTTTGGTTTTCTGTTCCTGTGTTAGTTTGCTGAGAAAGATGGTTTCCAGTTTCATTCATGTCCCTGCAAAGAACATGAACTCATTCTTTTTTATCACTGTGGCGTATTCCATGGGATATATGTGCCACATTTTCTTTATCCAGTATAACACTGATGGGCATATGTGTTGGTTCCAAGTCTTTACTATTATGAATAGTGCTGCAATAAACATACCGGTGCATGTGTCTTTGTAGTAGAATGATTTACAATCCTTTGGTTATATACCCAGTAATGGGATTGCTGGGTCAAATGGTATTTCTAGTTCTAGATCCTTGAGGAATCACCACACTGTCTTCCACAATGGTTGAACTAATTTACACTCCCACCAACAGTGTAAAAGCGTTTCTATTTCTCCACATCCTCTCCAGCATCTGTTGTTTCCTGATTTTTTAATGATCACCATTCTAAATGGCGTGAGATGGTATCTCATTGTGGTTTTGATTTGCGTTTCTCTAATGACCAAGGATGATGAGCTTTTTTTCATGTTTGTTGACCGCATAAATGTCTTCCTTTAAAAAGTGTCTGTTTGTATCCTTTGCCCACTTTCTGATTTTTTTTTTAATTTGTTTATGTTCCTGGTAGATTCTGGATATTAGCCCTTTTTCAGATGGATAGATTGCAAACATTTTCTCCCATTCTGTAGGTTGCCTGTTCACTCTGGTGAGAGTTTCTTTTGCTGTACAGAAGCTCTTTAGTTTAATTAGATCCTGTTTGTCAATTTTGGCTTTTGTTGCAATGGCTTTTGGTGTTTTAGTCTTGAAGTCTTTGCCCATGCCTCTGTCCTGAATGGTATTGCCTAGATTTTCTTCAATGGTTTTTATGGTTTTAGGTCTTACATTTAAGTATTTACTCATCTTGAGTTAATTTTTGTATAAGGTGTAAAGAAGGGGTCCAGTTTCAGTTTTCTGCATATGGCTAGCCAGTTGTCCCAACACCATTTATTAAATAGGGAATCATTTCCCCACTGCTTGTTTTTATCAGGTTTGTCAAAGATCAGATGGTTGTAGAGGTGTGGTGTTATTTCTGAGGCCTCTGTTCCGTTACATTGGTCTATATATCTATTTTGGTACCAGTATCATGCTGTTTTGGTTACTGTAGCCTTGTAGTATAGTTTGAAGTCATGTAGCATGATGCCTCCAGGTTTGTTCTTTCTGCTTAGGATTGTCTTGGCTATATGGGCTCTTTTTTGGTTCCATATGAAATTTAAAGTAGTTTTTTCTAATTCTGTGAAGAAATTCACGGTAGCTTGATGGGAATACCATTGAATCTATCAATTACTTTGGGCACTATGGCCATTTTCACGATATTGATTCTTCTTATCCATGAGCTAGGAATGTTTTTCCATTTGTTTGTGTCCTCTCATATTTCCTTGAGCAGTGGTTTGTAGTTCTCCTTGAAGAGATCCTTCACATCCCTTTTAAGTGGTATTCTTAGGTATTTTATTCTCTTTGTAGCAGTTGTGAATGGAAGTTTGCTCATGCTTTTCTTCTGTTGTCTATTATTGGTGTATAGGAATGCTTGTGATTTTTGCACGTTGATTTTGTATCCTGAGACTTTGCCGAAGTTGCTTATCAGCTTAAGGAGATTTTGGGCTGAGACAATGGGGTTTTCTAAATATGCAATCATGTCATCTGCAAACAGAGATATTTTGACTTCCTTTCTTCCTATTTGAATACCCTTTATTTTTTTCTCTAGCCTGATTGCCCTGGCCAGAACTTCCAATATTATGTTGAATAGGAGTGGTGAGAGATGGCATCCTTGTCTTGTGCCAGTTTTCAAAGGGAATTCTGCCAGCTTTTGCCCATTCGGTGTAATATTGGCTGTGGGTTTGTCATAAATAGGTCTTATTATTTTGAGATATGTTCCACTGATACCTAGTTTATTGAGAATTTTTTAGCATGAAGGGGTGTTGAATTTTATCAAAGGCCTTTTCTGTATCTACTGAGATAACCATGTGGTTTTTGTCATTGGTTCTGCTTATGTGATGGATTACATTTATTGATTTTTGTATGTTGAACCAGCCTTGCATCCCAGGGATGAAGCCAACTTGATCTTGGTGGATAAGCTTTTTAATGTGCTGCTGGTTTTGGTTTGCCAGTATTTTATTGAGGATTTTTGCATCAATGTTCATCAGGGATATTGGCCTGAAATTTTCTTTTTTGTTGTGTCTTTGCAAGGTTTTGGTATCAGAATGATGCTGGCCTCATAAATATAATAACTCATAAAATGAGTTAGGGAGGAGTCCCTCTTTTTCTGTTGTTTGGAATAGTTTCAGAAGGAATGTACCAGCTCATCTTTGTACCTCTGGAAGAATTTGGCTGTGAATCCACCTGGTCCTGGGCTTTTTTGGTTGGTAGGCTATTAATTACTGCCTCAATTTCAGAACTTGTTATTGGTCTATTCAGGGATTTGATTTCTTCCTGGTTAAGTCTTGGGAGGGTGTATGTGTCCAGGAATTTATCCATTTCTTCTAGATCTTCAGGTTTATTTGTGTAGAGGTGTTTATAGTATTCTCTCATGATAGTTTGTATTTCTGTGGGATCAGTGGTGATCTCCCCTTTATCATTTTTTATTGTGTCTATTTGATTCTTCTCTTTTCTTATTTATTATTCTGGCTAGTGGTCTATCTATTTTGTTAATCTTTTCAAAAAATCATCTCCTGGATTCACTGTTTTTTTGAAGGGTTTTTCATGACTCGATATCCTTCAGTTCTGCTCTGATCTTAGTTATTTCTTGTCTTCTGCTAGCTTTTGAATTTATTTGCTCTTGCTTCTCTAGTTCTTTTAATTGTGATGTTAAGATGTCGATTTCAGATTTTCCCATTTCTCCTGTGGGCATTTAGTGCTATCAGTTTCCTTCTAAACACTGCTTTATCTGTGTCCTAGAGATTCTGGTACGTTTTGTCTTTGTTCTCATGGGTTTCAAAGAACGTATTTGTTTCTGCCTTAATTTTGTTATTTACCCAGTAGTCATTCAGGAGCAGGTTGCTCAGTTTTCATGTAGTTGTGTGGTTTTGAGTGGGATTTTTAATCCTGAGTTCTAATTTGATTGCACTGTGGTCTGAGAAAGTGTTTGTTTTGATTTCCCATCTTTTGCATTTGCTGAGGAGTGTTTTACTTCCAATTATGTGGTCAATTTTAGAATAAGTGCTATGTGGTGCAGAGAAGACTGTATATTCTGTTGATCTGGGGTGGAGAGTTCTGCAGATGTCTATTGGGTCCACTTGGTCCAGAGCTGAGTTCAAGTCCTGAATATCCTTGTTAATTTTCTGTCTCATTGTTCTAATATTGATAGTGAGGCTTTAAAGTCTCCCTCTATTATTGTGTGGGAGTCTAAGTCTCCTTGTAGGTCTCTAAGAACATGCTTTATGAATCTGGGTGCCCCTGCATTAGGTGCATGTATATTTAGGATAGTTAGCTCTTCTTGTTGCATTGATGGCTATACCATCAAGTAATGCCCTTCTTTGTCTTTTTTTGTTCTTTGTTGTTTTAAAGTCTGTTTCATCAGAGACTAGGACTGCAACCCCTGGTTTTTTTTTTTCTTTGCTTTCCATTTGCTTGGTAAGTCCTCCCCCATCCCTTTATTTTGAGCCATTTGTTTCTTTGCATGTGAGATGGGTCTCTCGAATACAGCACACCGATGGGTCTTGATTGTTCATCCAGTTTGCCAGTCTGTGCCTTTTAATTGGGGCATTAAGCCCAATAACATTTAAGGTTAATATGGTTATGTGTGAATTTGATCCTGTCATTATGATGCCAGCTGGTTATTTTGCCCATTAGTTGATGCAGTTTCTTCATAGTGTCAATGGTCTTTACATTTTGGTTTGTTTTTGCAGTGGCTGGTACCAGTTTTTCTTTTCCATATTTAGTGCTTCCTTCAGCAGTCTTGTAAGGCAGGCCTGGTGGTGACAAAATCCCTCAGCATTTGCTTGTCTGTAAAGGATTTTATTTCTCCTTCACTTATGAAGCTTAGTTTTGGGCTGGATATGAAATTCTGGGTTGAAAATTCTTTTCTTTAAGAATGTCGAATATTGGCCCCCACTCTCTTCTGGCTTGTAGGGTTTCTGCAGAGAGATCTGCTGTTAGTCTGATGGGCTTCCCTTTGTGGGTAACTCAACCTTTCTCTCTGGCTGCCCTTAACATTTTCTTCTTCATTTCAACCTTGGTGAATCTGATGATTATGTGTCTTGGGGTTGCTCTTCTCAATGAGTATCTTAGTGGTGTTCTCTGTATTTCCTGAATTTGAATGTTGGCCTGTCTTGCTTGGTTGGGGAAGTTCTGCTCGATAATATCCCGAAGTGTGTTTTCTAACTCGGTTCCATTGTCCCCATTACTTTTAGGTACACCAATCAAATGTAGGTTTGGTCTTTTCACATAGTCCCATATTTATGGGAGGTTTTGTTTGTTCCTTTTCATTCTTCTTCCTCTAATCTTGTCTTCACACTTTATTTCATTAAATTGATCTTCAATCTCTGATATCCTTTCTTCCACTTGATCAATTCAGCTATTGATACTTGTGTATGCTTCACAAAGTTCTCGTGCTGTGTTTTTCAGCTTCATCAGGTCTTTTATGTTCTTCACTAAACTGGTTATTCTAGTTAACAATTCCTCTAACCTTTTATCAGGTTCTTAGCTTCCTTGCATTGGGTTAGAACATGCTTCTTTAGCTCAGAGGAGTTTGTTATTACCCACCTTCTGAAGCGTACTTCTGTGAACTCATTAAACTCACTCTTTGTCCAGTTTTGTTCCCTTGCTGTTGAGGAGTTGTGATCCTTTGGAGGAGAAGAGGCATTCTGGTTTTTGGAATTTTCAGCCTATGGGGTGTCTGTCAACCCCTGCTGGGAAGTGTCTCCCAGTCAGGAGGCATGGGAGTCAGGGACCCACTTGAGGAGGCAATCTGTCCCTTAGCAGAACTCAAGGGCTGTGCTGGGAGATCCACTGCTCTCTTCAGAGCCAGAAGGCAGCAACATTTAAGTCTGCTGAAGCTGTACCCACAGCCGCCCCTTCCCTCATGTGCTCTGTCCCAGGGAGACCAGAGTTTTATCTATAAGCCCCTGACTGGGGTTGCTCCCTCTCTTTCAGAGATGCCTGCCCAGAGAGGAGGAATTTAGAGAGGCAGTCTGGCTACAAGGGCTTTGTGGTGCTGCGGTGGGCTCCACCCTGTCAAAACTTCCTGGTTGCTTTGTTTACACTGTGAGGGGAAGACCACCTACTCAGGCCTCAGTAATGGCAGACACCCCTCCCTCCACCAAGCTCCAGCTTCCCAGGTTCACTTCAGACAGCTGTGCTGGCAGTGAGAATTTCAAGCCAGTGGATCTTAGCTTGCTGGGCTCCGTGGGAGTGGGATCCGCTGAGCAAGACCACTTGGCTCCCTGGCTTCAGCCCCCTTTCCAGGGAAGTGAAAAGTTCTGTCTCACTGGGGTTCCAGGCACCAATGCGGTATGAAAAAAAAACTCATGCAGCTAGCTCAGTGTCTGACTCAAGGACCACCTAGTTGTGTGCTTTAAACTCAGGGCCCCTGTGGTGTAGGCACCCGAGGGAATCTGCTAGTTAGTGGGTTGTGAAGACTGTTAGAAAAGCGTTGTAGCCAGGCACAGTGGCTCAAGCCTGTAATCCCAGCACTTTCAGAGGCAGAGGCAGGCAGATCACGAGATCAGGAGATCGAGACCATCCTGGCTAACATGGTGAAACCCTGTCTCTACTAAAAATACAAAAAAAAAAATTAGCCAGGTGTGGTGGCGGGCACCTCTAGTCCCAGCTACTGGGGAGGCTGAGGCAAGAGAACAGTATGAACCTGGGAGGCAGAGCTTGCAGTAAGCCAAGATCTCACCACTGCACTCCAGCCTGGGTGACAGAGCGAAACTCGTCTCAAAAAAAAAAAAAAGAAAGAAAGAAAAAGAAAAGCATAGTATCTGGGTCGGGTAGCACTGTCCCTCACAGCAGGGTCCTTCATGGCTTCCCTTGGCTAGGGGAGGGAGTTCTCTGACCCCTTGGGCTTCCTGGGTGAGGCAACACACCACCCTGCTTCTGCTGGCCCTCCATGGGCTGCACCCACTGTCTTACCAGTCCCAATGAGATGAACCAGGTATCTCAGTTGGAAATGCAGAAATCACATGCCTTCTGCTTTGGTCTCTCTAGGAGCTGCAGACTGGAGCTGTTCCTATTCGGCCATCTTGCCTGGGAATCATTAAAAGCATTTATTATAAGTTCATGAATCAATTGATACTCTTAGGGAACATTTAATAAGATTTATTGCCTTATAAAATTTATTACCTTATAAAAGCTAAACAACTGAGATTATAATTATTAGCAGTTGCATAATTACATTTCTGGTAATTCTAGAAATGACCAAAGATAAGAAATGTTGATAACTTTCTACATTTTATATAGAAATTGATGACTTTAAAATGTTATTTTAAACATATTCATAACTTCAAAGTACACGTATTTATTTTTTTAAGTTGAAAGGTATAAAAAATCTGTGATCTAAAAATATAAGTCCTTCATAATAGCAATAGGGCAGAGGAACCAAAAGCGCAATTAACTAGGAAATGTTAAGATCTGGAGAGTTTGCATGGTGGCACGCACCTGTAATCTCAGTTACTTGGGAGGCTAAGGCACGAGAATCACTTGAACCTGGGAGGCAAAGGTTGCAGTGAGCCTAGATTGTGCCACTGCACTCCAGCCTGAGTGACAGAGTGAAACTTGGTCTCAAAATAAATGAATAAAATTTGGAGAATTTGAAATGCCATGTTGCCTAAGCAATCCATAGTTTCCTGGCATAGACGGCAGAAGGTTCCTTTTTACAATATGTCCTCTGAGTGTTT